>NC_000012.12:36050001-36673355 GCF_000001405.40 Homo sapiens
CAACTCACAGAGTTGAACCTTCCTTCAGAAAGAGCAGATTTGAAACACTCTTTTTGTGGAGTTTCCATGTGGAGATTTCAATCGCTTTGAGACCGAAGGTAGAAAAGGAAACATCTTCGTAGAAAAACTAGACAGAATCATTCACAGATACTACTTTGTGACGTGTGTGTTCAACTCAAGGAGTTTAACCTTTCTTTTGATGGAGCAGTTTGGAAAAACTCTGTCTGTAAAGTCTGCAAGCAGATATTTGGACGTCTTTGGGGTCTTCGTTGGAAAGGGGATTTCTTCATAGAACGCTAGAAAGAAGAATACTGAGTAAGTTCTTTGTGTTGCCTCTATTCAACTCACAGAGGTGAACTGTCCTTTAGACAGAGCAGATGTGAAACCCTCTTTTTGTGATATTTGCAGGTGGAGATTTCAAGCGCTTTTAGGCCAAATGTAGAAAAGGAAATATCTTCGTATAAAAACTAGACAGAATCATTCTCAGAAACTACTTTGTGATGTGTGCGTTCAATTCACAGAGTATAACCTTTCTTTTGATGGAGGAGTTTGGAGACACTGTCTTTGTAAAGTCTGCAAGTGGATATTTGGACCTCTTTGAGGCCTTCGTTGGAAACGGGATTTCCTCATATAATGTTACACAGAAGAATTCTCAGTAACTTATTTGTGGTGTGTGTATTCAACTCACAGAGTTGAACCTTCCTTCAGAAAGAGCAGATTTGAAACACTCTTTTTGTGGAGTTTCCATGTGGAGATTTCAATCGCATTGAGACCAAAGGTAGAAAAGGAAACATCTTCGTATAAAAACTAGACAGATAATCATTCACAGTAAACTACTTTGTGATGTGTGTGTTCAACTCAAGGAGTTTAACCTTTCTTTTGATGGAGCAGTTTGGAAACACTCTGTCTGTAAAGTCTGCAAGCAGATATTTGGACCTCTTTGAGGCCTTCGTTGGAAACGGGATTTCTTCATATAATGTTTGATAGGAGAAGTCTCAGTAACTTCTTTGTGCTGTGTGTATTCAACTCATAGAGTTGAACTTTCCTTTAGAAGAGCAGATGTTAAACACCCTTTTTGTGGAATTTGCAGCTGGAGATTTCAAGCGCTTTGAGGCCTACGGTAGAAAAGGAAACATCTTCTTATAAAATCTAGACAGAATCATTCACAGAAACTTCTTTTTGATGTGTGTGTTCAGCTCACAGAGTTTAACCTTTCTTTTGATGGAGCAGTTTGGAAACACTCTGTTTGTAATGTCTGCAAGTGGATATTTGGACCTCTTTGAGGCCTTCGTTGGAAACGGGATTTCTTCATGTAATGTTCGACAGAAGAATTCTCAGTAACTTATTTGTGGTGTGTGTATTCAACTCAAAGAGTTGAACCTTCCTTTAGACAGAGCAGATTTGAAACACCCTATTTGTGCAGTTTCCAGTTGGAGATTTCAATCGCTTTGAGACCAAATGTAGAAAAGGAAACATCTTCGTATAAAAACTAGACAGAATCATTCTCCGAAACTACTTTGTGATGTGTGCGTTCAACTCAAGGAGTTTAAGCTTTCTTTTCATAGAGTAGTTTGGAAACACTCTGTCTGTAAAGTCTGCAAGCAGATATTTGGACCTCTTTGGGGCCTTCGTTGGAAACGGGATTTCTTCATAGAACGCTAGAAAGAAGAATACTGAGTAAGTTCTTTGTGTTGCCTCTATTCAACTCACAGAGGTGAACTGTCCTTTAGACAGAGCAGATGTGAAACCCTCTTTTTGTGATATTTGCAGGTGGAGATTTCAAGCGCTTTTAGGCCAAATGTAGAAAAGGAAATATCTTCGTATAAAAACTAGACAGAATCATTCTCAGAAACTACTTTGTGATGTGTGCGTTGAATTCACAGAGCATAACCTTTCTTTTGATGGAGGAGTTTGGAGACACTGTCTTTGTAAAGTCTGCAAGTGGATATTTGGACCTCTTTGAGGCCTTCGTTGGAAACGGGATTTCCTCATATAATGTTACACAGAAGAATTCTCAGTAACTTATTTGTGGTGTGTGTATTCAACTCACAGAGTTGAACCTTCCTTCAGAAAGAGCAGATTTGAAACACTCTTTTTGTGGAGTTTCCATGTGGAGATTTCAATCGCTTTGAGACCAAAGGTAGAAAAGGAAACATCTTCGTATAAAAACTAGACAGAATCATTCACAGAAACTAGTTTGTGATGTGTGTGTTCAACTCAAGGAGTTTAACCTTTCTTTTGATGGAGCTGTTTGGAAACACTCTGTCTGTAAAATCTGCAAGCAGATATTTGGACCTCTTTGAGGCCTTCGTTGGAAACGGGATTTCTTCATATAATGTTTGATAGGAGAAGTCTCAGTAACTTCTTTGTGCTGTGTGTATTCAACTCATAGAGTTGAACTTTCCTTTAGAAGAGCAGATGTTAAACACCCTTTTTGTGGAATTTCCAGCTGGAGATTTCAAGCGCTTTGAGGGCTAAGGTAGAAAAGGAAACATCTTCTTATAAAATCTAGACAGAATCATTCACAGAAACTTCTTTTTGATGTGTGTGTTCAGCTCACAGAGTTTAACCTTTCTTTTGATGGAGCAGTTGGGAAACACACTGTTTGTAATGTCTGCAAGTGGATATTTGGACCTCTTTGAGGCCTTCGTTGGAAACGGGATTTCTTCCTGTAATGTTCGACAGAAGAATTCTCAGTAACTTATTTGTGGTGTGTGTATTCAACTCACAGAGTTGAACCTTCCTTTAGACAGAGCAGATTTGAAACACCCTATTTGTGCAGTTTCCAGTTGGAGATTTCAATCGCTTTGAGACCAAATGTAGAAAAGGAAACATCTTCGTATAAAAACTAGACAGAATCATTCTCCGAAACTACTTTGTGATGTGTGCGTTCAACTCAAGGAGTTTAAGCTTTCTTTTCATAGAGTAGTTTGGAAACACTCTGTCTGTAAAGTCTGC
Source organism: Homo sapiens (assembly GCF_000001405.40). Lineage (NCBI taxonomy): Eukaryota > Metazoa > Chordata > Mammalia > Primates > Hominidae > Homo > Homo sapiens. Next base: position 36,052,960 of record NC_000012.12, read on the forward strand.
AAGCAGATATTTGGACCTCTTTGGGGCCTTCGTTGGAAACGGGATTTCTTCATAGAACGCTAGAAAGAAGAATACTCAGTAACTTCTTTGTGCTGCCTCTATTCAACTCACAGAGGTGAACTGTCCTTTAGACAGAGCATGTGTGAAACCCTCTTTTTGTGATATTTGCAGGTGGAGATTTCAAGCGCTTTTAGGCCAAATGTAGAAAAGGAAATATCTTCGTATAAATAATAGACAGAATCATTCTCAGAAACTACTTTGTGATGTGTGCGTTCAATTCACAGAGTATAACCTTTCTTTTGATGGAGGAGTTTGGAGACACTGTCTTTGTAAAGTCTGCAAGTGGATATTTGGACCTCTTTGAGGCCTTCGTTGGAAACGGGATTTCCTCATATAATGTTACCCAGAAGAATTCTCAGTAACTTATTTGTGGTGTGTGTATTCAACTCACAGAGTTGAACCTTCCTTCAGAAAGAGCAGATTTGAAACACTCTTTTTGTGGAGTTTCCAAGTGGAGATTTCAATCGCTTTGAGACCAAAGGTAGAAAAGGAAACATCTTCGTATAAAAACTAGACAGAATCATTCACAAAAACTACTTTGTGATGTGTGTGTTCAACTCAAGGAGTTTAACCTTTCTTTTGATGGAGCAGTTTGGAAACACTCTGTCTGTAAAGTCTGCAAGCAGATATTTGGACCTCTTTGAGGCCTTCGTTGGAAACGGGATTTCTTCATATAATGTTTGATAGGAGAAGTCTCAGTAACTTCTTTGTCCTGTGTGTATTCAACGCATAGAGTTGAACTTTCCTTTAGAAGAGCAGATGTAAAACACCCTTTTTGTGGAATTTGCAGGTGGAGATTTCAAGCGCTTTGAGGCCTACGGTAGAAAAGGAAACATCTTCTTACAAAATCTAGACAGAATCATTCACAGAAACTTATTTTTGATGTGTGTGTTCAGCTCACAGAGTTTAACCTTTCTTTTGATGGAGCAGTTTGGAAACACTCTGTTTGTAATGTCTGCAAGTGGATATTTGGACCTCTTTGAGGCCTTCTTTGGAAACGGGATTTCTTCATATAATGTTTGATAGGAGAAGTCTCAGTAACTTCTTTGTGCTGTGTGTATTCAACTCATAGAGTTGAACTTTCCTTTAGAAGAGCAGATGTTAAACACCCTTTTTGTGGAATTTGCAGCTGGAGATTTCAAGCGCTTTGAGGCCTACGGGTAGAAAAGGAAACATCTTCTTATAAAATCTAGACAGAATCATTCACAGAAACTTCTTTTTGATGTGTGTGTTCAGCTCACAGAGTTTAACCTTTGTTTTGATGGAGTAGTTTGGAAACACTCTGTTTGTAATGTCTGCAAGTGGATATTTGGACCTCTTTGAGGCCTTCGTTGGAAACGGGATTTCTTCCTGTAATGTTCGACAGAAGAATTCTCAGTAACTTATTTGTGGTGTGTGTATTCAACTCACAGAGTTGAACCTTCCTTTAGACAGAGCAGATTTGAAACACCCTATTTGTGCAGTTTCCAGTTGGAGATTTCAATCGCTTTGAGACCAAATGTAGAAAAGGAAACATCTTCGTATAAAAACTAGACAGAATCATTCTCAGAAACTACTTTGTGATGTGTGCGTTCAACTCAAGGAGTTTAAGCTTTCTTTTCATAGAGTAGTTTGGAAACACTCTGTCTGTAAAGTCTGCAAGCAGATATTTGGACCTCATTGGGGTCTTCGTTGGAAACGGGATTTCTTCATAGAACGCTAGAAAGAAGAATACTGAGTAAGTTCTTTGTGTTGCCTCTATTCAACTCACAGAGGTGAACTGTCCTTTAGACAGAGCAGATGTGAAACCCTCTTTTTGTGATATTTGCAGGTGGAGATTTCAAGCGCTTTTAGGCCAAATGTAGAAAAGGAAATATCTTCGTATAAAAACTAGACAGAATCATTCTCAGAAACTAGTTTGTGATGTGTGCGTTCAATTCACAGAGTATAACCTTTCTTTTGATGGAGGAGTTTGGAGACACTGTCTTTGTAAAGTCTGCAAGTGGATATTTGGACCTCTTTGAGGCCTTCGTTGGAAACGGGATTTCCTCATATAATGTTACACAGAAGAATTCTCAGTAACTTATTTGTGGTGTGTGTATTCAACTCACAGAGTTGAACCTTCCTTCAGAAAGAGCAGATTTGAAACACTCTTTTTGTGGAGTTTCCATGTGGAGATTTCAATCGCATTGAGACCAAAGGTAGAAAACGAAACATCTTCGTATAAAAACTAGACAGAATCATTCACAGAAACTACTTTGTGATGTGTGTGTTCAACTCAAGGAGTTTAACCTTTCTTTTGATGGAGCAGTTTGGAAAAACTCTGTCTGTAAAGTCTGCAAGCAGATATTTGGACCTCTTTGAGGCCTTCGTTGGAAACGGGATTTCTTCATATAATGTTTGATAGGAGAAGTCTCAGTAACTTCTTTGTGCTGTGTGTATTCAACTCATTGAGTTGAACTTTCCTTTAGAAGAGCAGATGTTAAACACCCTTTTTGTGGAATTTGCAGCTGGAGATTTCAAGCGCTTTGAGGCCTACGGTAGAAAAGGAAACATCTTCTTATAAAATCTAGACAGAATCATTCACAGAAACTTCTTTTTGATGTGTGTGTTCAGCTCACAGAGTTTAACCTTTCTTTTGATGGAGCAGTTTGGAAACACTCTGTAATGTCTGCAAGTGGATATTTGGACCTCTTTGAGGCCTTCGTTGGAAACGGGATTTCTTCAAGTAATGTTCGACAGAAGAATTCTCAGTAACTTATTTGTGGTGTGTGTATTCAATTCACAGAGTTGAACCTTCCTTTAGACAGAGCAGATTTGAAACACCCTATTTGTGCAGTTTCCAGTTGGAGATTTCAATCGCTTTGAGACCAAATGTAGAAAAGGAAACATCTTCGTATAAAAACTAGACAGAATCATTCTCAGAAACTACTTTGTGATGTGTGCGTTCAACTCAAGGAGTTTAAGCTTTCTTTTCATAGAGTAGTTTGGAAACACTCTGTCTGTGAAGTCTGCAAGCAGATATTTGGACCTCTTTGAGGCCTTCGTTGGAAACGGGATTTCTTCATAGAACGCTAGAAAGAAGAATACTGAGTAAGTTCTTTGTGTTGCCTCTATTCAACTCACAGAGGTGAACTGTCTTTTAGACAGAGCAGATGTGAAACCCTCTTTTTGTGATATTTGCAGGTGGAGATTTCAAGCGCTTTTCGGCCAAATGTAGAAAAGGAAATATCTTCGTATAAAAACTAGACAGAATCGTTCTCAGAAACTACTTTGTGATGTGTGCGTTCAATTCACAGAGTATAACCTTTCTTTTGATGGAGGAGTTTGGAGACACTGTCTTTGTAAAGTCTGCAAGTGGATATTTGGACTTCTTTGAGGCCTTCGTTGGAAACGGGATTTCCTCATATAATGTTACACAGAAGAATTCTCAGTAACTTATTTGTGGTGTGTGTATTCAAATCACAGAGTTGAACCTTCCTTCAGAAAGAGCAGATTTGAAACACTCTTTTTGTGGAGTTTCCATGTGGAGATTTCAATCGCTTTGAGACCAAAGGTAGAAAAGGAAACATCTTCTTATAAAAACAAGACAGAATCATTCACAGAAACTACTTTGTGATGTGTGTGTTCAACTCAAGGAGTTTAACCTTTCTTTTGATGGAGCAGTTTGGAAAAACTCTGTCTGTAAAGTCTGCAAGCAGATATTTGGACCTCTTTGGGGCCTTCGTTGGAAACGGGATTTCTTCATAGAATGCTAGAAAGAAGAAGTCTCAATAACTTCTTTGTGCTGTGTGTATTCAACTCTTAGAGTTGAACTTTCCTTTAGAAGAGCAGATGTTAAACACCCTTTTTGTGGAATTTGCAGCTGGAGATTTCAAGCGCTTTGAGGCCTACGGTAGAAAAGGAAACATCTTCTTATAAAATCTACACAGAATCATTCACAGAAACTTCTTTTTGATGTGTGTGTTCAGCTCACAGAGTTTAACCTTTCCTTTGATGGAGCAGTTTGGAAACACTCTGTTTGTAATGTCTGCAAGTGGATATTTGGACCTCTTTGAGGCCTTCGTTGGAAACGGGATTTCTTCATGTAATGTTCGACAGAAGAATTCTCAGTAACTTATTTGTGGTGTGTGTATTCAACACACAGAGTTGAACCTTCCTTTAGACAGAGCAGATTTGAAACACCCTATTTGTGCAGTTTCCAGTTGGAGATTTCAATCGCTTTGAGACCAAATGTAGAAAAGGAAACATCTTCGTATAAAAACTAGACAGAATCATTCTCAGAAACTACTTTGTGATGTGTGCGTTCAACTCAAGGAGTTTAAGCTTTCTTTTCATAGAGTAGTTTGGAAACACTCTGTCTGTAAAGTCTGCAAGCAGATATTTGGACCTCTTTGGGGCCTTCGTTGGAAACGGGATTTCTTCATAGAACGCTAGAAAGAAGAATACTGAGTAAGTTCTTTGTGTTGCCTCTATTCAACTCACAAAGGTGAACTGTCCTTTAGACAGAGCAGATGTGAAACCCTCTTTTTGTGATATTTGCAGGTGGAGACTTCAAGCGCTTTTAGGCCAAATGTAGAAAAGGAAATATCTTCGTATAAAAACTAGACAGAAATCATTCTCAGAAACTACTTTGTGATGTGTGCGTTCAATTCACAGAGTATAACCTTTCTTTTGATGGAGGAGTTTGGAGACACTGTCTTTGTAAAGTCTGCACGTGGATATTTGGACCTCTTTGAGGCCTTCGTTGGAAACGGGATTTCCTCATATAATGTTACACAGAAGAATTCTCAGTAACTTATTTGTGGTGTGTGTATTCAACTCACAGAGTTGAACCTTCCTTCAGAAAGAGCAGATTTGAAACACTCTTTTTGTGGAGTTTCCATGTGGAGATTTCAATCGCTTTGAGACCAAAGGTAGAAAAGGAAACATCTTCGTATAAAAACTAGACAGAATCATTCACAGAAACTACTTTGTGATGTGTGTGTTCAACTCACAGAGTTTAACCTTTCTTTGGATGGAGCAGTTTGGAAACACTCTGTTTGTCACGTCTGCAAGTGGATATTTGGACCTCTTTGAGGCCTTCGTTGGAAACGGGATTTCTTCCTATAATGTTTGATAGCAGAAGTCTCAGTAACTTCTTTGTGCTGTGTGTATTCAACTCATAGAGTTGAACTTTCCTTTAGAAGAGCAGATGTTAAACACCCTTTTTGTGGAATTTGCAGCTGGAGATTTCAAGCGCTTTGAGGCCTACGGTAGAAAAGGAAACATCTTCTTATAAAATCTAGACAGAATCATTCACAGAAACTTCTTTTTGATGTGTGTGTTCAGCTCACAGAGTTTAACCTTTCTTTTGATGGAGCAGTTGGGAAACACACTGTTTGTAATGTCTGCAAGTGGATATTTGGACCTCTTTGAGGCCTTCGTTGGAAACGAGATTTCTTCCTGTAATGTTTGACAGAAGAATTCTCAGTAACTTATTTGTGGTGTGTGTATTCAACTCACAGAGCTGAACCTTCCTTTAGACAGAGCAGATTTGAAACAGCCTATTTGTGCAGTTTCCAGTTGGAGATTTCAATCGCTTTGAGACCAAATGTAGAAAAGGAAACATCTTCGTATAAAAACTAGACAGAATCATTCTCAGAAACTACTTTGTGATGTGTGCGTTCAACTCAAGGAGTTTAAGCTTTCTTTTCATAGAGTAGTTTGGAAACACTCTGTCTGTAAAGTCTGCAAGCAGATATTTGACCTCTTTGAGGCCTTCGTTGGAAACGGGATTTATTCATAGAACGCTAGAAAGAAGAATACTGAGTAAGTTCTTTGTGTTGCCTCTATTCAACTCACAGAGGTTAACTGTCCTTTAGACAGAGCAGATGTGAAACCCTCTTTTTGTGATATTTGCAGGTGGAGATTTCAAGCGCTTTGAGGCCAAATGTAGAAAAGGAAATATCTTCGTATAAAAACTAGACAGAATCATTCTCAGAAACTACTTTGTGATGTGTGCGTTCAATTCACAGAGTATAACCTTTCTTTTGATGGAGGAGTTTGGAGACACTGTCTTTGTAAAGTCTGCAAGTGGATATTTGGACCTCTTTGAGGCCTTCGTTGGAAACGGGATTTCCTCATATAATGTTACACAGAAGAATTCTCAGTAACTTATTTGTGGTGTGTGTATTCAACTCACAGAGTTGAACCTTCCTTCAGAAAGAGCAGATTTGAAACACTCTTTTTGTGGAGTTTCCATGTGGAGATTTCAATCGCTTTGAGACCAAAGGTAGAAAAGGAAACATCTTCGTATAAAAACTAGACAGAATCATTCACAGAAACTACTTTGTGATGTGTGTGTTCAACTCAAGGAGTTTAACCTTTCTTTTGATGGAGCAGTTTGGAAAAACTCTGTCTGTAAACTCTGCAAGCAGATATTTGGACCTCTTTGGGGCCTTCGTTGGAAACGGGATTTCTTCATAGAATGCTAGAAAGAAGAAGTCTCAGTAACTTCTTTGTGCTGTGTGTATTCAACTCATAGAGTTGAACTTTCCTTTAGAAGAGCAGATGTTAAACACCCTTTTTGTGGAATTTGCAGCTGGAGATTTCAAGCGCTTTGAGGCCTACGGTAGAAAAGGAAACATCTTCTTATAAAATCTAGACAGAATCATTCACAGAAACTTCTTTTTGATGTGTGTGTTCAGCTCACAGGGTTTAACCTTTCTTTTGATGGAGCAGTTTGGAAACACTCTGTTTGTAATATCTGCAAGTGGATATTTGGACCTCTTTGAGGCCTTCGTTGGAAACGGGATTTCTTCAAGTTATGTTCGACAGAAGAATTCTCAGTAACTTATTTGTGGTGTGTGTATTCAACTCACAGAGTTGAACCTTCCTTTAGACAGAGCAGATTTGAAACACCCTATTTGTGCAGTTTCCAGTTGGAGATTTCAATCGCTTTGAGACCAAATGTAGAAAAGGAAACATCTTCGTATAAAAACTAGACAGAATCATTCTCAGAAACTACTTTGTGATGTGTGCGTTCAACTCAAGGAGTTTACGCTTTCTTTTCATAGAGTAGTTTGGAAACACTCTGTCTGTAAAGTCTGCAAGCAGATCTTTGACCTCTTTGAGGCCTTCGTTGGAAACGGGATTTCTTCATAGAACGCTAGAAAGAAGAATACTGAGTAAGTTCTTTGTGTTGCCTCTATTCAACTCACAGAGGTGAACTGTCCTTTAGACAGAGCAGATGTGAAACCCTCTTTTTGTGATATTTGCAGGTGGAGATTTCAAGCGCTTTTAGGCCAAATGTAGAAAAGGAAATATCTTCGTATAAAAACTAGACAGAATCATTCTCAGAAACTACTTTGTGATGTGTGCGTTCAATTCACAGAGTATAACCTTTCTTTTGATGGAGGAGTTTGGAGACACTGTCTTTGTAAAGTCTGCAAGTGGATATTTGGACCTCTTTGAGGCCTTCGTTGGAAACGGGATTTCCTCATATAATGTTACACAGAAGAATTCTCAGTAACTTATTTGTGGTGTGTGTATTCAACTCACAGAGTTGAACCTTCCTTCAGAAAGAGCAGATTTGAAACACTCTTTTTGTGGAGTTTCCATGTGGAGATTTCAATCGCTTTGAGACCAAAGGTAGAAAAGGAAACATCTTCTTATAAAAACTAGACAGAATCATTCACAGAAACTACTTTGTGATGTGTGTGTTCAACTCAAGGAGTTTAACCTTTCTTTTGATGGAGCAGTTTGGAAACACTCTGTCTGTAAAGTCTGCAAGCAGATATTTGGACCTCTTTGAGGCCTTCGTTGGAAACGGGATTTCTTCATATAATGTTTGATAGGAGAAGTCTCAGTAACTTCTTTGTGCTGTGTGTATTCAACTCATAGAGTTGAACTTTCCTTTAGAAGAGCAGATGTTAAACACCCTTTTTGTGGAATTTGCAGCTGGAGATTTCAAGCGCTTTGAGGCCTACGGTAGAAAAGGAAACATCTTCTTATAAAATCTAGACAGAATCATTCACAGAAACTTCTTTTTGATGTGTGTGTTCAGCTCACAGAGTTTAACCTTTCTTTTGATGGAGCAGTTTGGAAACACTCTGTTTGTAATGTCTGCAAGTGGATATTTGGACCTCTTTGAGGCCTTCGTTGGAAACGGGATTTCTTCATGTAATGTTCGACAGAAGAATTCTCAGTAACTTATTTGTGGTGTGTGTATTCAACTCACAGAGTTGAACCTTCCTTTAGACAGAGCAGATTTGAAACACCCTATTTGTGCAGTTCCCAGTTGGAGATTTCAATCGCTTTGAGACCAAATGTAGAAAAGGAAACATCTTCGTATAAAAACTAGACAGAATCATTCTCAGAAACTACTTTGTGATGTGTGCGTTCAACTCAAGGAGTTTAAGCTTTCTTTTCATAGAGTAGTTTGGAAACACTCTGTCTGTAAAGTCTGCAAGCAGATATTTGGACCTCTTTGGGGCCTTCGTTGGAAACGGGATTTCTTCATAGAACGCTAGAAAGAAGAATACTGAGTAAGTTCTTTGTGTTGCCTCTATTCAACTCACAGAGGTGAACTGTCCTTTAGACAGAGCAGATGTGAAACCCTCTTTTTGTGATATTTGCAGGTGGAGATTTCAAGCGCTTTTAGGCCAAATGTAGAAAAGGAAATATCTTCGTATAAAAACTAGACAGAATCATTCTCAGAAACTACTTTGTGATGTGTGCGTTCAATTCACAGAGTATAACCTTTCTTTTGATGGAGGAGTTTGGAGACACTGTCTTTGTAAAGTCTGCAAGTGGATATTTGGACCTCTTTGAGGCCTTCGTTGGAAACGGGATTTCCTCATATAATGTTACACAGAAGAATTCTCAGTAACTTATTTGTGGTGTGTGTATTCAACTCACAGCGTTGAACCTTCCTTCAGAAAGAGCAGATTTGAAACACTCTTTTTGTGGAGTTTCCATGTGGAGATTTCAATCGCATTCAGACCAAAGGTAGAAAAGGAAACATCTTCGTATAAAAACTAGACAGAATCATTCACAGAAACTACCTTGTGATGTGTGTGTTCAACTCAAGGAGTTTAACCTTTCTTTTGATGGAGCAGTTTGGAAACACTCTGTCTGTAAAGTCTGCAAGCAGATATTTGGACCTCTTTGAGTCCTTCGTTGGAAACGGGATTTCTTCATATAATGTTTGATAGGAGAAGTCTCAGTAACTTCTTTCTGCTGTGTGTATTCAACTCATAGAGTTGAACTTTCCTTTAGTAGAGCACATGTTAAACACCCTTTTTGTGGAATTTGCAGCTGGAGATTTCAAGCGCTTTGAGGCCTACGGTAGAAAAGGAAACATCTTCTTACAAAATCTAGACAGAATCATTCACAGAAACTTCTCTTTTGATGTGTGTGTTCAGCTCACAGAGTTTAACCTTTCTTTTGATGGAGCACATTTGGAAACACACTGTTTGTAATGTCTGCAAGTGGATATTTGGACCTCTTTGAGGCCTTCGTGGGAAACGGGATTTCTTCATGTAATGTTCGACAGAAGAATTCTCAGTAACTTATTTGTGTTGTGTGTATTCAACTTACAGAGTTGAACCTTCCTTTAGACAGAGCAGATTTGAAACACCCTATTTGTGCAGTTTCCAGTTGGAGATTTCAATCGCTTTGAGACCAAAGGTAGAAAAGGAAACATCTTTGTAGAAAAACTAGACAGAATCATTCTCAGAAACTACTTTGTGATGTGTGCGTTCAACTCAAGGAGTTTAAGCTTTCTTTTCATAGAGTAGTTTGGAAACACTCTGTCTGTAAAGTCTGCAAGCAGATATTTGGACCTCTTTGGGGCCTTCGTTGGAAACGGGATTTCTTCATAGAACGCTAGAAAGAAGAATACTGAGTAAGTTCTTTGTGTTGCCTCTATTCAACTCACAGAGGTGAACTGTCCTTTAGACAGAGCAGATGTGAAACCCTCTTTTTGTGATATTTGCAGGTGGAGATTTCAAGCGCTTTTAGGCCAAATGTAGAAAAGGAAATATCTTCGTATAAGAACTAGACAGAATCATTCTCAGAAACTACTTTGTGATGTGTGCGTTCAATTCACAGAGTATAACCTTTCTTTTGATGGAGGAGTTTGGAGACACTGTCTTTGTAAAGTCTGCAAGTGGATATTTGGACCTCTTTGAGGCCTTCGTTGGAAACGGGATTTCCTCATATAATGTTACACAGAAGAATTCTCAGTAACTTATTTGTGGTGTGTGTATTCAACTCACAGAGTTGAACCTTCCTTCACAAAGAGCAGATTTGAAACACTCTTTTTGTGGAGTTTCCATGTGGAGATTTCAATCGCTTTGAGACCAAAGGTAGAAAAGGAAACATCTTCGTATAAAAACTAGACAGAATCATTCACAGAAACTACTTTGTGATGTGTGTGTTCAACTCAAGGAGTTTAACCTTTCTTTTGATGGAGCAGTTTGGAAACACTCTGTCTGTAAAGTCTGCAAGCAGATATTTGGACCTCTTTGAGGCCTTCGTTGGAAACGGGATTTCTTCATATAATGTTTGATAGGAGAAGTCTCAGTAACTTCTTTGTGCTGTGTGTATTCAACTCATAGAGTTGAACTTTCCTTTAGAAGAGCAGATGTTAAACACCCTTTTTGTGGAATTTGCAGCTGGAGATTTCAAGCGCTTTGAGGCCTACGGTAGAAAAGGAAACATCTTCTTCTAAAATCTAGACAGAATCATTCACAGAAACTTCTTTTCGATGTGTGTGTTCAGCTCACAGAGTTTAACCTTTCTTTTGATGGAGCAGTTTGGAAACACTCTGTTTGTAATGTCTGCAAGTGGATATTTGGACCTCTTTGAGGCCTTCGTTGGAAACGGGATTTCTTCAAGTAATGGTCGACAGAAGAATTCTCAGTAACTTATTTGTGGTGTGTGTATTCAACTCACAGAGTTGAACCTTCCTTTAGACAGAGCAGATTTGAAACACCCTATTTGTGCAGTTTCCAGTTGGAGATTTCAATCGCTTTGAGACCAAATGTAGAAAAGGAAACATCTTCGTATAAAAACTAGACAGAAATCATTCTCAGAAACTACTTTGTGATGTGTGCGTTCAACTCAAGGAGTTTAAGCTTTCTTTTCATAGAGTAGTTTGGAAACACTCTGTAAAGTCTGCAAGCAGATATGTGGACATCTTTGAGGCCTTCGTTGGAAACGGGATTTCTTCATAGAACGCTAGAAAGAAGAATACTCAGTAACTTCTTTGTGCTGTCTCTATTAAACTCACAGAGGTGAACTGTCCTTTAGAAAGAGCAGATGTGAAACTCTCTTTTTGTGATATTTGCAGGTGGAGATTTCAAGCGCTTTTAGGCCAAATGTAGAAAAGGAAATATCTTCGTATAAAAACTAGACAGAATCATTCTCAGAAACTACTTTGTGATGTGTGCGTTCAATTCACACAGTATAACCTTTCTTTTGATGGAGGAGTTTGGAGACACTGTCTTTGTAAAGTCTGCAAGTGGATATTTGCACCTCTTTGAGGCCTTCGTTGGAAACGGGATTTCCTCACATAATGTTACACAGAAGAATTCTCAGAAACTTATTTGTGGTGTGTGTATTCAACTCACAGAGTTGAACCTTCCTTCAGAAAGAGCAGATTTGAAACTCTCTTTTTGTGGAGTTTCCAAGTGGAGATTTCAATCGCTTTGAGACCAAAGGTAGAAAAGGAAACATCTTCGTATAAAAACTAGACAGAATCATTCACAAAAACTACTTTGTGATGTGTGTGTTCAACTCAAGGAGTTTAACCTTTCTTTTGATGGAGCAGATTGGAAACACTCTGTCTGTAAAGTCTGCAAGCAGATATTTGGACCTCTTTGAGGCCTTCGTTGGAAACGGGATTTCTTCATATAATGTTTGATAGGAGAAGTCTCAGTAACTTCTTTGTGCTGTGTGTATTCAACTCATAGAGTTGAACTTTCCTTTAGAAGAGCAGATGTTAAACACCCTTTTTGTGGAATTTGCAGCTGGAGATTTCAAGCGCTTTGAGGCCTACGGTAGAAAAGGAAACATCTTCTTACAAAATCTAGACAGAATCATTCACAGAAACTTCTTTTTGATGTGTGTGTTCAGCTCACAGAGTTTAACCTTTCTTTTGATGGAGCAGTTTGGAAACACTCTGTTTGTAATGTCTGCAAGTGGATATTTGGACCTCTTTGAGGCCTTCGTTGGAAACGGGATTTCTTCATGTAATGTTCGACAGAAGAATTCTCAGTAACTTATTTGTGGTGTGTGTATTCAACTCACAGAGTTCGACCTTCCTTTAGACAGAGCAGATTTGACACACCCTATTTGTGCAGTTTCCAGTTGGAGATTTCAATCGCTTTGAGACCAAATGTAGAAAAGGAAACATCTTCGTATAAAAACTAGACAGAATCATTCTCAGAAACTACTTTGTGATGTGTGCGTTCAACTCAAGGAGTTTAAGCTTTCTTTTCATAGAGTAGTTTGGAAACACTCTGTCTGTAAACTCTGCAAGCAGATATTTGGACCTCTTTGGGGCCTTCGTTGGAAACGGGATTTCTTCATAGAACGCTAGAAAGAAGAATACTGAGTAAGTTCTTTGTGTTGCCTCTATTCAACTCACAGAGGTGAACTGTCCTTTAGACAGAGCAGATGTGAAACCCTCTTTTTGTGATATTTGCAGGTGGAGATTTCAAGCGCTTTTAGGCCAAATGTAGAAAAGGAAATATCTTCGTATAAAAACTAGACAGAATCATTCTCAGAAACTACTTTGTGATGTGTGCGTTCAATTCACAGAGTATAACCTTTCTTTTGATGGAGGAGTTTGGAGACACTGTCTTTGTAAAGTCTGCAAGTGGATATTTGGACCTCTTTGAGGCCTTCGTTGGAAACGGGATTTCCTCATATAATGTTACACAGAAGAATTCTCAGTAACTTATTTGTGGTGTGTGTATTCAACTCACAGAGTTGAACCTTCCTTCAGAAAGAGCAGATTTGAAACACTCTTTTTGTGGAGTTTCCATGTGGAGATTTCAATCGCATTGAGACCAAAGGTAGAAAAGGAAACATCTTCGTATAAAAACTAGACAGAATCATTCACAGAAACTACTTTGTGATGTGTGTGTTCAACTCACAGAGTTTAACCTTTCTTTTGATGGAGCAGTTTGGAAACACTCTGTCTGTAAAGTCTGCAAGCAGATATTTGGACCTCTTTGAGGCCTTCGTTGGAAACGGGATTTCTTCATATAATGTTTGATAGGAGAACTCTCAGTAACTTCTTTGTGCTGTGTGTATTCAACTCATAGAGTTGAACTTTCCTTTAGAAGAGCAGATGTTAAACACCCTTTTTGTGGAATTTGCAGCTGGAGATTTCAAGCGCTTTGAGGTCTACGGTAGAAAAGGAAACATCTTCTTATAAAATCTAGACAGAATCATTCACAGAAACTTCTTTTTGATGTGTGTGTTCAGCTCACAGAGTTTAACCTTTCTTTTGATGGAGCAGTTTGGAAACACTCTGTTTGTAATGTCTGCAAGTGGATATTTGGACCTCCTTTGAGGCCTTCGTTGGAAACGGGATTTCTTCAAGTAATGTTCGACAGAAGAATTCTCAGTAACTTATTTGTGGTGTGTGTATTCAACTCACAGAGTTGAACCTTCCTTTAGACAGAGCAGATTTGAAACACTCTTTTTGTGGAGTTTCCATGTGGAGATTTCAATCGCTTTGAGACCAAAGGTAGAAAAGGAAACATCTTCGTATAAAAACTAGACAGAATCATTCACAGAAACTACTTTGTGATGTGTGTGTTCAACTCAAGGAGTTTAACCTTTCTTTTGATGGAGCAGTTTGGAAACACTCTGTCTGTAAAGTCTGCAAGCAGATATTTGGACCTCTTTGAGGCCTTCGTTGGAAACGGGATTTCTTTCATATAATGTTTGATAGGAGAAGTCTCAGTAACTTCTTTGTGCTGTGTGTATTCAACTCATAGAGTTGAACTTTCCTTTAGAAGAGCAGATGTTAAACACCCTTTTTGTGGAATTTGCAGCTGGAGATTTCAAGCGCTTTGAGGCCTACGGTAGAAAAGGAAACATCTTCTTATAAAATCTAGACAGAATCATTCACAGAAACTTCTTTTTGATGTGTGTGTTCAGCTCACAGAGTTTAACCTTTCTTTTGATGGAGCAGTTTGGAAACACTCTGTTTGTAATGTCTGCAAGTGGTTATTTGGACCTCTTTGAGGCCTTCGTTGGAAACGGGATTTCTTCAAGTAATGTTAGACAGAAGAATTCTCAGTAACTTATTTGTGGTGTGTGTATTCAACTCACAGAGTTGAACCTTCCTTTAGACAGAGCAGATTTGAAACACCCTATTTGTGCAGTTTCCAGTTGGAGATTTCAATCGCTTTGAGACCAAATGTAGAAAAGGAAACATCTTCGTATAAAAACTAGACAGAATCATTCTCAGAAACTACTTTGTGATGTGTGCGTTCAACTCAAGGAGTTTAAGCTTTCTTTTCATAGAGTAGTTTGGAAACACTCTGTCTGTAAAGTGTGCAAGCAGATATTTGGACCTCTTTGGGGCCTTCGTTGGAAACGGGATTTCTTCATAGAACGCTAGAAAGAAGAATACTGAGTAAGTTCTATGTGTTGCCTCTATTCAACTCACAGAGGTGAACTGTCCTTTAGACAGAGCAGATGTGAAACCCTCTTTTTGTGATATTTGCACGTGGAGATTTCAAGCGCTTTTAGGCCAAATGTAGAAAAGGAAATATCTTCGTATAAAAACTAGACAGAATCATTCTCAGAAACTACTTTGTGATGTGTGCGTTCAATTCACAGAGTATAAGCTTTCTTTTGATGGAGGAGTTTGGAGACACTGTCTTTGTAAAGTCTGCAAGTGGATATTTGGACCTCTTTGAGGCCTTCGTTGGAAACGGGATTTCCTCATATAATGTTACACAGAAGAATTCTCAGTAACTTATTTGTGGTGTGTGTATTCAACTCACAGAGTTGAACCTTCCTTCAGAAAGAGCAGATTTGAAACACTCATTTTGTGGAGTTTCCATGTGGAGATTTCAATCGCTTTGAGACCAAAGGTAGAAAAGGAAACATCTTCGTATAAAAACGAGACAGAATCATTCACAGAAACTACTTTGTGATGTGTGTGTTCAACTCAAGGAGTTTAACCTTTCTTTTGATGGAGCAGTTTGGAAACACTCTGTCTGTAATGTCTGCAAGCAGATATTTGGACCTCTTTGAGGCCTTCGTTGGAAACGGGATTTCTTCATATAATGTTTGATAGGAGAAGTCTCAGTAACTTCTTTGTGCTGTGTGTATTCAACTCATAGAGTTGAACTTTCCTTTAGAAGAGCAGATGTTAAACACCCTTTTTGTGGAATTTGCAGCTGGAGATTTCAAGCGCTTTGAGGCCTACGGTAGAAAAGGAAACATCTTCTTATAAAATCTAGACAGAATCATTCACAGAAACTTCTTTTTGATGTGTGTGTTCAGCTCACAGAGTTTAACCTTTCTTTTGATGGAGCAGTTTGGAAACACACTGTTTGTAATGTCTGCAAGTGGACATTTGGACCTCTTTGAGGCCTTCGTTGGAAACGGGATTTCTTCATGTAATGTTCGACAGAAGAATTCTCAGTAACTTATTTGTGGTGTGTGTATTCAACTCACAGAGTTGAACCTTCCTTTAGACAGAGCAGATTTGAAACACCCTATTTGTGCAGTTTCCAGTTGGAGATTTCAATCGCTTTGAGACCAAATGTAGAAAAGGAATCATCTTCGTATAAAAACTAGACAGAATCATTGTCAGAAACTACTTTGTGATGTGTGCGTTCAACTCACGGAGTTTAAGCTCTCTTTTCATAGAGTAGTTTGGAAACACTCTGTCTGTAAAGTCTGCAAGCAGATATTTGGACCTCTTTGAGGCCTTCGTTGGAAACGGGATTTCTTCATGTAACGCTAGAAAGAAGAATACTCAGTAATTTCTTTGTGTTGCCTCTATTCAACTCACAGAGGTGAACTGTCCTTTAGACAGAGCAGATGTGAAACCCTCTTTTTGTGATATTTGCAGGTGGAGATTTCAAGCGCTTTTTGGCCAAATGTAGAAAAGGAAATATCTTCGTATAAAAACTAGACAGAATCATTCTCAGAAACTACTTTGTGATGTGTGCGTTCAATTCACAGAGTATAACCTTTCTTTTGATGGAGGAGTTTGGAGACACTGTCTTTGTAAAGTCTGCAAGTGGATATTTGGACCTCTTTGAGGCCTTCGTTGGAAACGGGATTTCCTCATATAATGTTACACAGAAGAATTCTCAGTAACTTATTTGTGGTGTGTGTATTCAACTCACAGAGTTGAACCTTCCTTCAGAAAGAGCAGATTTGAAACACTCTTTTTGTGGAGTTTCCATGTGGAGATTTCAATCGCTTTGAGACCAAAGGTAGAAAAGGAAACATCTTCATATAAAAACTAGACAGAATCATTCACAGAAACTACTTTGTGATGTGTGTGTTCAACTCAAGGAGGTTAACCTTTCTTTTGATGGAGCAGTTTGGAAACAGTCTGTCTGTAAAGTCGGCAAGCAGATATTTGGACCTCTTTGAGGCCTTCGTTGGAAACGGGATTTCTTCATATAATGTTTGATAGGAGAAGTCTCAGTAACTTCTTTGTGCTGTGTGTATTCAACTCATAGAGTTGAACTTTCCTTTAGAAGAGCAGATGTTAAACACCCTTTTTGTGGAATTTGCAGCTGGAGATTTCAAGCACTTTGAGGCCTACGGTAGAAAAGAAAACATCTTCTTATAAAATCTAGACAGAATCATTCACAGAAACTTCTTTTTGATGTGTGTGTTCAGCTCACAGAGTTTAACCTTTCTTTTGATGGAGCAGGTTGGAAACAATCTGTTTGTAATGTCTGCAAGTGGATATTTGGACCTCTTTGAGGCCTTCGTTGGAAACGGGATTTCTTCATGTAATGTTCGACAGAAGAATTCTCAGTAACTTATTTGTGGTGTGTGTATTCAACTCACAGAGTTGAACCTTCCTTTAGACACAGCAGATTTGAAACACCCTATTTGTGCAGTTTCCAGTTGGAGATTTCAATCGCTTTGAGACCAAACGTAGAAAAGGAAACATCTTCGTATAACAACTAGACAGAATCATTCTCAGAAACTACTTTGTGATGTGTGCGTTCAACTCAAGGAGTTTAAGCTTTCTTTTCATAGAGTAGTTTGGAAACACTCTGTCTGTAAAGTCTGCAAGCAGATATTTGGACCTCTTTGGGGCCTTCGTTGGAAACGGGATTTCTTCATAGAACGCTAGAAAGAAGAATACTGAGTAAGTTCTTTGTGTTGCCTCTATTCAACTCACAGAGGTGAACTGTCCTTTAGACAGAGCAGATGTGAAACCCTCTTTTTGTGATATTTGCAGGTGGAGATTTCAAGCGCTTTTAGGCCAAATGTAGAAAAGGAAATATCTTCGTATAAAAACTAGACAGAATCATTCTCAGAAACTACTTTGTGATGTGTGCGTTCAATTCACAGAGTATAACCTTTCTTTTGATGGAGGAGTTTGGAGACACTGTCTTTGTAAAGTCTGCAAGTGGATATTTGGACCTCTTTGAGGCCTTCGTTGGAAACGGGATTTCCTCATATAATGTTACACAGAAGAATTCTCAGTAACTTATTTGTGGTGTGTGTATTCAACTCACAAAGATGAACCTTCCTTCAGAAAGAGCAGATTTGAAACACTCTTTTTGTGGAGTTTCCATGTGGAGATTTCAATCGCTTTGAGACCAAAGGTAGAAAAGGAAACATCTTCGTATAAAAACTAGACAGAATCATTCACAGAAACTACTTTGTGATGTGTGTGTTCAACTCAGGAGGTTAACCTTTCTTTTGATGGAGCAGTTTGGAAACACTCTGTCTGTAAAGTCTGCAAGCAGATATTTGGACCTCTTTGAGGCCTTCGTTGGAAATGGGATTTTTTCATATAATGTTTGATAGGAGAAGTCTCAGTAACTTCTTTCTGCTGTGTGTATTCAACTCATAGAGTTGAACTTTCCTTTAGAAGAGCAGATGTTAAACACCCTTTTTGTGGAATTTGCAGCTGGAGATTTCAAGCGCTTTGAGGCCTACGGTAGAAAAGGAAACATCTTCTTATAAAATCTAGACAGAATCATTCACAGAAACTTCTTTTTGATGTGTGTGTTCAGCTCACAGAGTTTAACCTTTCTTTTGATGGAGCAGTTTGGAAACACTCTGTTTGTAATGTCTGCAAGTGGATATTTGGACCTCTTTGAGGCCTTCGTTGGAAATGGGATTTCTTCATGTAATGTTCGACAGAAGAATTCTCAGTAACTTATTTGTGGTGTGTGTATTCAACTCACAGAGTTGAACCTTCCTTTAGACAGAGCAGATTTGAAACACCCTATTAGTGCAGTTTCCAGTTGGAGATTTCAATCGCTTTGAGGCCAATCGTAGAAACGGAAATATCTTCGTATAAAAACAAGACAGAATCATTCTCAGAAACTACTTTGTGATGTGTGCGTTCAACTCAAGGAGTTTAAGCTTTCTTTTCATAGAGTAGTTTGGAAACACTCTGTCTGTAAAGTCTGCAAGCAGATATTTGGACCTCTTTGAGGCCTTCGTTGGAAACGGGATTTCTTCATAGAACGCTAGAAAGAAGAATACTGAGTAAGTACTTTGTGTTGCCTCTATTCAACTCACAGAGGTGAACTGTCCTTTAGACAGAGCAGATGTGAAACCCTCTTTTTCTGATATTTGCAGGTGGAGATTTCAAGCGCTTTTAGGCCAAATGTAGAAAAGGAAATATCTTCGTATAAAAACTAGACACAATCATTCTCAGAAACTACTTTGTGATGTGTGCGTTCAATTCACAGAGTATAACCTTTCTTTTGATGGAGGAGTTTGGAGACACTGTCTTTGTAAAGTCTGCAAGTGGATATTTGGACCTCTTTGAGGCCTTCGTTGGAAACGGGATTTCCTCATATAATGTTACACAGAAGAATTCTCAGTAACTTATTTGTGGTGTGTGTATTCAACTCACAGAGATGAACCTTCCTTCAGAAAGAGCAGATTTGAAACACTCTTTTTGTGGAGTTTCCATGTGGAGATTTCAATCGCATTGAGACCAAAGGTAGAAAAGGAAACATCTTCGTATAAAAACTAGACAGAATCATTCACAGAAACTACTTTGTGATGTGTGTGTTCAACTCAAGGAGTTTAACCTTTCTTTTGATGGAGCAGTTTGGAAACACTCTGTCTGTAAAGTCTGCAAGCAGATATTTGGACCTCTTTGAGGCCTTCGTTGGAAACGGGATTTCTTCATATAATGTTTGATAGGAGAAGTCTCAGTAACTTCTTTGTGCTGTGTGTATTCAACTCATAGAGTTGAACTTTCCTTTAGAAGAGCAGATGTTAAACACCCTTTTTGTGGAATTTGCAGCTGGAGATTTCAAGCGCTTTGAGGCCTACGGTAGAAAAGGAAATATCTTCTTATAAAATCTAGACAGAATCATTCACAGAAACTTCTTTTTGATGTGTGTGTTCAGCTCACAGAGTTTAACCTTTGTTTTGATGGAGCAGTTTGGAAACACTCTGTTTGTAATGTCTGCAAGTGGATATTTGGACCTCTTTGAGGCCTTCGTTGGAAACGGGATTTCTTCAAGTAATGTTCGACAGAAGAATTCTCAGTAACTTATTTGTGGTGTGTGTATTCAACTCAAAGAGTTGAACCTTCCTTTAGACAGAGCAGATTTGAAACACCCTATTTGTGCAGTTTCCAGTTGGAGATTTCAATCGCTTTGAGACCAAATGTAGAAAAGGAAACATCTTCGTATAAAAACTAGACAGAATCATTCTCAGAAACTACTTTGTGATGTGTGCGTTCAACTCAAGAAGTTTAAGCTTTCTTTTCATAGAGTAGTTTGGAAACACTCTGTCTGTAAAGTCTGCAAGCAGATATTTGGACCTCATTGGGGCCTTCGTTGGAAACGTGATTTCTTCATAGAACGCTGGAAAGAAGAATACTGAGTAAGTTCTTTGTGTTGCCTCTATTCAACTCACAAAGGTGAACTGTCCTTTAGACAGAGCAGATGTGAAACCCTCTTTTTGTGATATTTGCAGGTGGAGACTTCAAGCGCTTTTAGGCCAAATGTAGAAAAGGAAATATCTTCGTATAAAAACTAGACAGAATCATTCTCAGAAACTACTTTGTGATGTGTGCGTTCAATTCACAGAGGATAAGCTTTCTTTTGATGGAGGAGTTTGGAGACACTGTCTTTGTAAAGTCTGCAAGTGGATATTTGGACCTCTTTGAGGCCTTCGTTGGAAACGGGATTTCCTCGTATAATGTTACACAGAAGAATTCTCAGTAACTTATTTGTGGTGTGTGTATTCAACTCACAGAGTTGAACCTTCCTTCAGAAAGAGCAGATTTGAAACCCTCTTTTTGTGGAGTTTCCATGTGGACATTTCAAAGGCTTTGAGACAAAAGGTAGAAAAGGAAACATCTTCGTATAAAAACTAGACAGAATCATTCACAGAAACTACTTTGTGATGTGTGTGTTCAACTCAAGGAGTTTAACCTTTCTTTTGATGGAGCAGTTTGGAAATACTCTGTCTGTAAAGTCTGCAAGCAGATATTTGGACCTCTTTGAGGCCTTCGTTGGAAACGGGATTTCTTCATATAATGTTTGATAGGAGAAGTCTCAGTAACTTCTTTGTGCTGTGTGTATTCAACTCATAGAGTTGAACTTTCCTTTAGAAGAGCAGATGTTAAACACCCTTTTTGTGGAATTTGCAGCTGGAGATTTCAAGCGCTTTGAGGCCTACGGTAGAAAAGGAAACATCTTCTTATAAAATCTAGACAGAATCATTCACAGAAACTTCTTTTTGATGTGTGTGTTCAGCTCACAGAGTTTAACCTTTCTTTTGATGGAGCAGTTTGGAAACACTCTGTTTGTAATGTCTGCAAGTGGATATTTGGACCTCCTTTGAGGCCTTCGTTGGAAACGGGATTTCTTCAAGTAATGTTCGACAGAAGAATTCTCAGTAACTTATTTGTGGTGTGTGTATTCAACTCACAGAGTTGAACCTTCCTTTAGACAGAGCAGATTTGAAACACTCTTTTTGTGGAGTTTCCATGTGGAGATTTCAATCGCTTTGAGACCAAAGGTAGAAAAGGAAACATCTTCGTATAAAAACTAGACAGAATCATTCACAGAAACTACTTTGTGATGTGTGTGTTCAACTCAAGGAGTTTAACCTTTCTTTTGATTTAGCAGTTTGGAAACACTCTGTCTGTAAAGTCTGCAAGCAGATATTTGGACCTCTTTGAGGCCTTCCTTGGAAACGGGATTTCTTCATATAATGTTTGATAGGAGAAGTCTCAGTAACTTCTTTGTGCTGTGTGTATTCAACGCATAGAGTTGAACTTTCCTTTAGAAGAGCAGATGTTAAACACCTTTTTTGTGGAATTTGCAGCTGGAGATTTCAAGCGCTTTGAGGCCTACGGTAGAAAAGCAAACATCTTCTTATAAAATCTAGACAGAATCTTTCACAGAAACTTCTTTTTGATGTGTGTGTTCAGCTCACCGAGTTTAACCTTTCTTTTGATGGAGCAGTTTGGAAACACTCTGTTTGTAATGTCTGCAAGTGGATATTTGGACCTCTTTGAGGCCTTCGTTGGAAACGGGATTTCTTCAAGTAATGTTCGACAGAAGAATTCTCAGTAACTTATTTGTGGTGTGTGTATTCAACTCACAGAGTTGAACCTTCCTTTAGACAGAGCAGATTTGAAACACCCTATTTGTGCAGTTTCCAGTTGGAGATTTCAATCGCTTTGAGACCAAATGTAGAAAAGGAAACATCTTCGTATAAAAACTGGACAGAATCATTCTCAGAAACTACTTTGTGATGTGTGCGTTCAACTCAAGGAGTTTAAGCTTTCTTTTCATAGAGTAGTTTGGAAACACTCTGTCTGTAAAGAGTGCAAGCAGATATTTGGACCTCTTTGGGGCCTTCGTTGGAAACGGGATTTCTTCATAGAACGCAAGAAAGAAGAATACTGAGTAAGTTCTTTGTGTTGCCTCTATTCAACTCACAGAGGTGAACTGTCCTTTAGACAGAGCAGATGTGAAACCCTCTTTTTGTGATATTTGCAGGTGGAGATTTCAAGCGCTTTTAGGCCAAATGTAGAAAAGGAAATATCTTCGTATAAAAACTAGACAGAATCATTCTCAGAAACTACTTTGTGATGTGTGCGTTCAATTCACAGAGTATAACCTTTCTTTTGATGGAGGAGTTTGGAGACACTGTCTTTGTAAAGTCTGCAAGTGGATATTTGGACCTCTTTGAGGCCTTCGTTGGAAACGGGATTTCCTCATATAATGTTACACAGAAGAATTCTCAGTAACTTATTTGTGGTGTGTGTATTCAACTCACAGAGATGAACCTTCCTTCAGAAAGAGCAGATTTGAAACACTCTTTTTGTGGAGTTTCCATGTGGAGATTTCAATCGCTTTGAGACCAAAGGTAGAAAAGGAAACATCTTCGTATAAAAACTAGACAGAATCATTCACAGAAACTACTTTGTGATGTGTGTGTTCAACTCAAGGAGTTTAACCTTTCTTTTGATGGAGCAGTTTGGAAACACTCTGTCTGTAAAGTCTGCAGGCAGATATTTGGACCTCTTTGAGGCCTTCGTTGGAAACGGGATTTCTTCATATAATGTTAGACAGAAGAAGTCTCAGTAACTTCTTTGTGCTGTGTGTATTCAACTCATAGAGTTGAACTTTCCTTTAGAAGAGCAGATGTTAAACACCCTTTTTGTGGAATTTGCAGCTGGAGATTTCAAGCGCTTTGAGGCCTACGGTAGAAAAGGAAACATCTTCTTATAAAATCTAGACAGAATCATTCACAGAAACTTCTTTTTGATGTGTGTGTTCAGCTCACAGAGTTTAACCTTTCTTTTGATGGAGCAGTTGGGAAACACTCTGTTTGTAATGTCTGCAAGTGGATATTTGGACCTCTTTGAGGCCTTCGTTGGAAACGGGATTTCTTCAAGTAATGTTCGACAGAAGAATTCTCAGTAACTTATTTGTGGTGTGTGTATTCAACTCACAGAGTTGAACCTTCCTTTAGACAGAGCAGATTTGAAACACTCTTTTTGTGGAGTTTCCAGTTGGAGATTTCAATCGCTTTGAGACCAAATGTAGAAAAGGAAACATCTTCGTATAAAAACTAGACAGAATCATTCTCAGAAACTACTTTGTGATGTGTGCGTTCAACTCAAGGAGTTTAAGCTTTCTTTTCATAGAGTAGTTTGGAAACACTCTGTCTGTAAAGTCTGCAAGCAGATATTTGGACCTCTTTGGGGCCTTCGTTGGAAACGGGATTTCTTCATAGAACGCTAGAAAGAAGAATACTGAGTAAGTTCTTTGTGTTGCCTCTATTCAACTCACAGAGGTGAACTGTCCTTTAGACAGAGCAGATGTGAAACCCTCTTTTTGTGATATTTGCAGGTGGAGATTTCAAGCGCTTTTAGGCCAAATGTAGAAAAGGAAATATCTTCGTATAAAAACTAGACAGAATCATTCACAGAAACTACTTTGTGATGTGTGCGTTCAATTCACAGAGTATAACCTTTCTTTTGATGGAGGAGTTTGGAGACACTGTCTTTGTAAGGTCTGCAAGTGGATATTTGGACCTCTTTGAGGCCTTCGTTGGAAACGGGATTTCCTCATGATAATGTTACACAGAAGAATTCTCAGTAACTTATTTGTGGTGTGTGTATTCAACTCACAGAGTTGAACCTTCCTTCAGAAAGAGCAGATTTGAAACACTCTTTTTGTGGAGTTTCCATGTGGAGATTTCAATCGCTTTGAGACCAAAGGTAGAAAAGGAAACATCTTCGTATAAAAACTAGACAGAATCATTCACAGAAACTACTTTGTGATGTGTGTGTTCAACTCAAGGAGTTTAACCTTTCTTTTGATGGAGCAGTTTGGAAACACTCTGTCTGTAAAGTCTGCAAGTAGATATTTGGACCTCTTTGAGGCCTTCGTTGGAAACGGGATTTCTTCATATAATGTTTGATAGGAGAAGTCTCAGTAACTTCTTTGTGCTGTGTGTATTCAACTCATAGAGTTGAACTTTCCTTTAGAAGAGCAGATGTTAAACACCCTTTTTGTGGAATTTGCAGCTGGAGATTTCAAGCGCTTTGAGGCCTACGGTAGAAAAGGAAACATCTTCTTATAAAATCTAGACAGAATCATTCACAGAAACTTCTTTTTGATGTGTGTGTTCAGCTCACAGAGTTTAACCTTTCTTTTGATGGAGCAGTTTGGAAACACACTGTTTGTAATGTCTCCAAGTGGATATTTGGACCTCTTTGAGGCCTTCGTTGGAAACGGGATTTCCTCATATAATGTTACACAGAAGAATTCTCAGTAACTTATTTGTGGTGTGTGTATTCAACTCACAGAGTTGAACCTTCCTCCAGAGAGAGCAGATTTGAAACACTCTTTTTGTGGAGTTTCCATGTGGAGATTTCAATAGCTTTGAGACCAAAGGTATAAAAGGAAACATCTTCGTATAAAAACTAGACAGAATCATTCTCAGAAACTACTTTGTGATGTGTGCGTTCAACTCAAGGAGTTTAAGCTTTCTTTTCATAGAGTAGTTTGGAAACACTCTGTCTGTAAAGTCTGCAAGCAGATATTTGGACCTCTTTGGGGCCTTCGTTGGAAACGGGATTTCTTCATAGAACGCTAGAAAGAAGAATACTGAGTAAGTTCTTTGTGTTGCCTCTATTCAACTCACAGAGGTGAACTGTCCTTTAGACAGAGCAGATGTGAAACCCTCTTTTTGTGATATTTGCACTTGGAGATTTCAAGCGCTTTTAGGCCAAATGTAGAAAAGGAAATATCTTCGTATAAAAACTAGACAGAATCATTCTCAGAAACTACTTTGTGATGTGTGCGTTCAATTCACAGAGTATAACCTTTCTTTTGATGGAGGAGTTTGGAGACACTGTCTTTGTAAAGTCTGCAAGTGGATATTTGGACCTCTTTGAGGCCTTCGTTGGAAACGGGATTTCCTCATATAATGTTACACAGAAGAATTCTCAGTAACTTATTTGTGGTGTGTGTATTCAACTCACAGAGTTGAACCTTCCTTCAGAAAGAGCAGATTTGAAACACTCTTTTTGTGGAGTTTCCATGTGGAGATTTCAATCGCTTTGAGACCAAAGGTAGAAAAGGAAACATCTTCGTATAAAAACTAGACAGAATCATTCACAAAAACTACTTTGTGATGTGTGTGTTCAACTCAAGGAGTTTGACCTTTCTTTTGATGGAGCAGTTTGGAAACACTCTGTCTGTAAAGTCTGCAAGCAGATATTTGGACCTTTTCGAGGCCTTCGTTGGAAACGGGATTTCTTCATATAATGTTTGATAGGAGAAGTCTCAGTAACTTCTTTGTGCTGTGTGTATTCAACTCATAGAGTTGAACTTTCCTTTAGAAGAGCAGATGTTAAACACCCTTTTTGTGGAATTTGCAGCTGGAGATTTCAAGCGCTTTGAGTCCTACGGTAGAAATGGAAACATCTTATAAAATCTTGACAGAATCATTCACAGAAACTTCTTTTTGATGTGTGTGTTCAGCTCACAGAGTTTAACCTTTCTTTTGATGGAGCAGTTTGGAAACACTCTGTTTGTAATATCTGCAAGTGAATATTTGGACCTCTTTGAGGCCTTCGTTGGAAACGGGATTTATTCAAGTAATGTTCGACACAAGAATTCTCAGTAACTTATTTGTGGTGTGTGTATTCAACTCACAGAGTTGAACCTTCCTTTAGACAGAGCAGATTTGAAACACCCTATTTGTGCAGTTTCCAGTTGGAGATTTCAATCGCTTTGAGACCAAATGTAGAAAAGGAAACATCTTCGTATAAAAACTGGACAGAATGATTCTCAGAAACTACTTTGTGATGTGTGCGTTCAACTCAAGGAGTTTAAGCTTTCTTTTCATAGAGTACTTTGGAAACACTCTGTCTGTAAAGTCTGCAAGCAGATATTTGGACCTCATTGGGGCCTTCGATGGAAACGGGATTTCTTCATAGAACGCTAGAAAGAAGAATACTGAGTAAGTTCTTTGTGTTGCCTCTATTCAACTCACAGAGGTGAACTGTCCTTTAGACAGAGCAGATGTGAAACCCTCTTTTTGTGATATTTGCAGGTGGAGATTTCAAGCGCTTTTAGGCCAAATGTAGAAAAGGAAATATCTTCGTATAAAAACTAGACAGAATCATTCTCAGAAACTACTTTGTGATGTGTGCGTTCAATTCACAGACTATAACCTTTCTTTTGATGGAGGAGTTTGGAGACACTGTCTTTGTAAAGTCTGCAAGTGGATATTTGGACCTCTTTGAGTCCTTCGTTGGAAACGGGATTTCCTCATATAATGTTACACAGAAGAATTCTCAGTAACTTATTTGTGGTGTGTGTATTCAACTCACAGAGTTGAACCTTCCTTCAGAAAGAGCAGATTTGAAACACTCTTTTTGTGGAGTTTCCATGTGGAGATTTCAATCGCATTGAGACCAAAGGTAGAAAAGGAAACATCTTCGTATAAAAACTAGACAGAATCATTCACAGAAACTACTTTGTGATGTGTGTGTTCAACTCAAGGAGTTTAACCTTTCTTTTGATGGAGCAGTTTGGAAACACTCTGTCTGTAAAGTCTGCAAGTAGATATTTGGACCTCTTTGAGGCCTTCGTTGGAAACGGGATTTCTTCATATAATGTTTGATAGGAGAAGTCTCAGTAACTTCTTTGTGCTGTGTGTATTCAACTCATTGAGTTGAACTTTCCTTTAGAAGAGCAGATGTTAAACACCCTTTTTGTGGAATTTGCAGCTGGAGATTTCAAGCGCTTTGAGGCCTACGGTAGAAAAGGAAACATCTTCTTAGAAAATCTAGACAGAATCATTCACAGAAACTTCTTTTTGATGTGTGTGTTCAGCTCACAGAGTTTAACCTTTCTTTTGATGGAGCAGTTTGGAAACACTCTGTTTGTAATGTCTGCAAGTGGATATTTGGACCTCTTTGAGGCCTTCGTTGGAAACGGGATTTCTTCATGTAATGTTCGACAGAAGAATTCTCAGTAACTTATTTGTGGTGTGTGTATTCAACTCACAGAGTTGAACCTTCCTTTAGACAGAGCAGATTTGAAACACCCTATTTGTGCAGTTTCCAGTTGGAGATTTCAATCGCTTTGAGACCAAACGTAGAAAAGGAAACATCTTCGTATAAAAACTAGACAGAATCATTCTCAGAAACTACTTTGTGATGTGTGCGTTCAACTCAAGGAGTTTAAGCTTTCTTTTCATAGAGTAGTTTGGAAACACTCTGTCTGTAAAGTCTGCAAGCAGATATTTGGACCTCATTGGGGCCTTCGTTGGAAACGGGATTTCTTCATAGAACGCCAGAAAGAAGAATACTGAGTAAGTTCTTTGTGTTGCCTCTATTCAACTCAAAGAGGTGAACTGTCCTTTAGACAGAGCAGATGTGAAACCCTCTTTTTGTGATATTTGCAGGTGGAGATTTCAAGCGCTTTTAGGCCAAATGTAGAAAAGGAAATATCTTCGTATAAAAACTAGACAGAATCATTCTCAGAAACTACTTTGTGATGTGTGCGTTCAATTCACAGAGTATAACCTTTCTTTTGATGGAGGAGTTTGGAGACACTGTCTTTGTAAAGTCTGCAAGTGGATATTTGGACCTCTTTGAGGCCTTCGTTGGACACGGGATTTCTTCCTGTAATGTTCGACAGAAGAATTCTCAGTAACTTATTTGTGGTGTGTGTATTCAAGTCACAGAGTTGAACCTTCCTTTAGACAGAGCAGATTTGAAACAGCCTATTTGTGCAGTTTCCAGTTGGAGATTTCAATCGCTTTGAGACAAATGTAGAAAAGGAAACATCTTCGTATAAAAACTAGACAGAATCATTCTCAGAAGCTACTTTGTGATGTGTGCGTTCAATTCACAGAGTATAACCTTTCTTTTGATGGAGGAGTTTGGAGACACTGTCTTTGTAAAGTCTGCAAGTGGATATTTGGACCTCTTTGAGGCCTTCGTTGGAAATGGGATTTCCTCATATAATGTTACACAGAAGAATTTTCAGTAACTTATTTGTGGTGTGTGTATTCAACTCACAGAGTTGAACCTTCCTTCAGAAAGAGCAGATTTGAAACACTCTTTTTGTGGAGTTTCCATGTGGAGATTTCAATCGCTTTGAGACCAAAGGTAGAAAAGGAAACATCTTCGTATAAAAACTAGACAGAATCATTCACAGAAACTACTTTGTGATGTGTGTGTTCAACTCAAGGAGTTTAACCTTTCTTTTGGTGGAGCAGTTTGGAAAAACTCTGTCTTTAAAGTCTGCAAGCAGATATTTGGACCTCTTTGAGGCCTTCGTTGGAAACGGGATTTCTTCATATAATGTTTGATAGGAGAAGTCTCAGTATCTTCTTTGTGCTGTGTGTATTCAACTCATAGAGTTGAACTTTCCTTTAGAAGAGCAGATGTTAAACACCCTTTTTGTGGAATTTGCAGCTGGAGATTTCAAGCGCTTTGAGGCCTACGGTAGAAAAGGAAACATCTTCTTATAAAATCTAGACAGAATCATTCACAGAAACTTCTTTTTGATGTGTGTGTTCAGCTCACAGAGTTTAACATTTCTTTTGATGGAGCAGTTTGGAAACACTCTGTTTGTAATATCTGCAAGTGGATATTTGGACCTCTTTGAGGCCTTCGTTGGAAACGGGATTTCTTCAAGTAATGTTCGACAGAAGAATTCTCAGCAACTTATTTGTGGTGTGTGTATTCAACTCACAGAGTTGAACCTTCCTTTAGACAGAGCAGATCTGAAACACCCTATTTGTGCAGTTTCCATTTGGAGATTTCAAACGCTTTGAGAAGAAATGTAGAAAAGGAAACATCTTCGTATAAAAACTAGACAGAATCATTCTCAGAAACTACTTTGTGATGTGTGCGTTCAACTCAAGGAGTTTAAGCTTTCTTTTCATAGAGTAGTTTGGAAACACTCTGTCTGTAAAGTCTGCAAGCAGATATTTGGACCTCTTTGAGGCCTTCGTTGGAAACGGGATTTCTTCATAGAACGGTAGAAAGAAGAATACTGAGTAAGTTCTTTGTGTTGCCTCTATTCAACTCACAGAGGTGAACTGTCCTTTAGACAGAGCAGATGTGAAACCCTGTTTTTGTGATATTTGCACGTGGAGATTTCAAGCGCTTTCAGGCCAAATGTAGAAAAGGAAATATCTTCGTATAAAAACTAGACAGAATCATTCTCAGAAACTACTTTGTGATGTGTGCGTTCAATTCACAGAGTATAACCTTTCTTTTGATGGAGGAGTTTGGAGACACTGTCTTTGTAAGTCTGCAAGTGGATATTTGGACCTCTTTGAGGCCTTCGTTGGAAACGGGATTTCCTCATATAATGTTACACAGAAGAATTCTCAGTAACTTATTTGTGGTGTGTTTATTCAACTCACAGAGGTGAACCTTCCTTCAGAAAGAGCAGATTTGAAACACTCTTTTTGTGGAGTTTCCATGTGGAGATTTCAATCGCTTTGAGACCAAAGGTAGAAAAGGAAACATCTTCGTATAAAAACTAGACAGAATCATTCACAGAAACTACTTTGTGATGTGTGTGTTCAACTCAAGGAGTTTAACCTTTCTTTTGATGGAGCTGTTTGGAAAAACTCTGTCTGTAAAGTCTGCAAGCAGATATTTGGACCTCTTTGGGGCCTTCGTTGGAAACGGGATTTCTTCATATAATGTTTGATAGGAGAAGTCTCAGTAACTTCTTTGTGCTGTGTGTATTCAACTCATAGAGTTGAACTTTCCTTTAGAAGAGCAGATGTTAAACACCCTTTTTGTGGAATTTGCAGCTGGAGATTTCAAGCGCTTTGAGGCCTACGGTAGAAAAGGAAACATCTTCTTATAAAATCTAGACAGAATCATTCACAGAAACTTCTTTTTGATGTGTGTGTTCAGCTCACAGAGTTTAACCTTTCTTTTGATGGAGCAGTTTGGAAACACTCTGTTTGTAATGTCTGCAAGTGGATATTTGGACCTCTTTGAGGCCTTCGTTGGAAACGGGATTTCTTCAAGTAATGTTCGACAGAAGAATTCTCAGTAACTTATTTGTGGTGTGTGTATTCAACTCACAGAGTTGAACCTTCCTTTAGACAGAGCAGATTTGAAACACCCTATTTGTGCAGTTTCCAGTTGGAGATTTCAATCGCTTTGAGACCAAATGTAGAAAAGGAAACATCTTCGTATAAAAACTAGACAGAATCATTCTCAGAAACTACTTTGTGATGTGTGCGTTCAACTCAAGGAGTTTAAGCTTTCTTTTCATAGAGTAGTTTGGAAACACTCTGTCTGTAAAGAGTGCAAGCAGATATTTGGACCTCTTTGGGGCCTTCGTTGGAAACGGGATTTCTTCATAGAACGCAAGAAAGAAGAATACTGAGTACGTTCTTTGTGTTGCCTCTATTCAACTCACAGAGGTGAACTGTCCTTTAGACAGAGCAGATGTGAAACCCTCTTTTTGTGATATTTGCAGGTGGAGATTTCAAGCGCTTTTAGGCCAAATGTAGAAAAGGAAATATCTTCGTATAAAAACTAGACAGAATCATTCTCAGAAACTACTTTGTGATGTGTGCGTTCAATTCACAGAGTATAACCTTTCTTTTGATGGAGGAGTTTGGAGACACTGTCTTTGTAAAGTCTGCAAGTGGATATTTGGACCTCTTTGAGGCCTTCGTTGGAAACGGGATTTCCTCATATAATGTTACACAGAAGAATTCTCACTAACTTATTTGTGGTGTGTGTATTCAACTCACAGAGTTGAACCTTCCTTCAGAAATAGCAGATTTGAAACACTCTTTTTGTGGAGTTTCCATGTGGAGATTTCAATCGATTTGAGACCAAAGGTAGAAAAGGAAACATCTTCGTATAAAAACTAGACAGAATCATTCACAGAAACTACTTTGTGATGTGTGTGTTCAACTCAAGGAGTTTAACCTTTCTTTTGATGGAGCAGTTTGGAAACACTCTGTAAAGTCTGCAAGCAGATATTTGGACCTCTTTGAGGCCTTCGTTGGAAACGGGATTTCTTCATATAATGTTTGATAGGAGAAGTCTCAGTAACTTCTTTGTGCTGTGTGTATTCAACTCATAGAGTTGAACTTTCCTTTAGAAGAGCAGATGTTAAACACCCTTTTTGTGGAATTTGCAGCTGGAGATTTCAAGCGCTTTGAGGCCTACGGTAGAAAAGGAAACATCTTCTTATAAAATCTAGACAGAATCATTCACAGAAACTTCTTTTTGATGTGTGTGTTCAGCTCACAGAGTTTAACCTTTCTTTTGATGGAGCAGTTTGGAAACACTCTGTTTGTAATGTCTGCAAGTGGATATTTGGACCTCTTTGAGGCCTTCTTTGGAAACGGGATTTCTTCAAGTAATGTTCGACAGAAGAATTCTCAGTAACTTATTTGTGGTGTGTGTATTCAACTCACAGAGTTGAACCTTCCTTTAGACAGAGCAGATTTGAAACAGCCTATTTGTGCAGTTTCCAGTTGGAGATTTCAATCGCTTTGAGACCAAATGTAGAAAAGGAAACATCTTCGTATAAAAACTAGACAGAATCATTCTCAGAAACTACTTTGTGATGTGTGCGTTCAACTCAAGGAGTTTAAGCTTTCTTTTCATAGAGTAGTTTGGAAACACTCTGTCTGTAAAGTCTGCAAGCAGATATTTGACCTCTTTGAGGCCTTCGTTGGAAACGGGATTTCTTCATATAACGCTAGAAAGAAGAATACTGAGTAAGTTCTTTGTGTTGCCTCTATTCAACTCACAGAGGTGAACTGTCCTTTAGACAGAGCAGATGTGAAACCCTCTTTTTGTGATATTTGCAGGTGGAGATTTCAAGCGCTTTTAGGCCAAATGTAGAAAAGGAAATATCTTCGTATAAAAACTAGACAGAATCATTCTCAGAAACTACTTTGAGATGTGTGCGTTCAATTCACAGAGTATAACCTTTCTTTTGATGGAGGAGTTTGTAGACACTGTCTTTGTAAAGTCTGCAAGTGGATATTTGGACCTCTTTGAGGCCTTCGTTGGAAACGGGATTTCCTCATATAATGTTACACAGAAGAATTCTCAGTAACTTATTTGTGGTGTGTGTATTCAACTCACAGAGTTGAACCTTCCTTCAGAAAGAGCAGATTTGAAACACTCTTTTGGTGGAGTTTCCATGTGGAGATTTCAATCGCTTTGAGACCAAAGGTAGAAAAGGAAACATCTTCGTATAAAAACTAGACAGAATCATTCACAGAAACTACTTTGTGATGTGTGTGTTCAACTCAAGGAGTTTAACCTTTCTTTTGATGGAGCAGTTTGGAAACACTCTGTCTGTAATGTCTGCAAGCAGATATTTGGACCTCTTTGAGGCCTTCGTTGGAAACGGGATTTCTTCATATAATGTTTGATAGGAGAAGTCTCAGTAACTTCTTTGTGCTGTGTGTATTCAACTCATAGAGTTGAACTTTCCTTTAGAAGAGCAGATGTTAAACACCCTTTTTGTGGAATTTGCAGCTGGAGATTTCAAGCGCTTTGAGGCCTACGGTAGAAAAGGAAACATCTTCTTATAAAATCTAGACAGAATCATTCACAGAAACTTCTTTTTGATGTGTGTGTTCAGCTCACAGAGTTTAACCTTTCTTTTGATGGAGCAGTTGGGAAACACACTGTTTGTAATGTCTGCAAGTGGATATTTGGACCTCTTTGAGGCCTTCGTTGGAAACGGGATTTCTTCCTGTAATGTTCGACAGAAGAATTCTCAGTAACTTATTTGTGGTGTGTGTATTCAACTCACAGAGTTGAACCTTCCTTTAGACAGAGCAGATTTGAAACACCCTATTTGTGCAGTTTCCAGTTGGAGATTTCAATCGCTTTGAGACCAAATGTAGAAAAGGAAACATCTTCGTATAAAAACTAGACAGAATCATTCTCAGAAACTACTTTGTGATGTGTGCGTTCAACTCAAGGAGTTTAAGCTTTCTTTTCATAGAGTAGTTTGGAAACACTCTGTCTGTAAAGTCTGCAAGCAGATATTTGGACCTCTTTGGGGCCTTCGTTGGAAACGGGATTTCTTCATAGAACGCTAGAAAGAAGAATACTGAGTAAGTTCTTTGTGTTGCCTCTATTCAACTCACAGAGGTGAACTGTCCTTTAGACAGAGCAGATGTGAAACCCTCTTTTTGTGATATTTGCAGGTGGAGATTTCAAGCGCTTTTAGGCCAAATGTAGAAAAGGAAATATCTTCGTATAAAAACTAGACAGAATCATTCTCAGAAACTACTTTGTGATGTGTGCGTTCAATTCACAGAGTATAACCTTTCTTTTGATGGAGGAGTTTGGAGACACTGTCTTTGTAAAGTCTGCAAGTGGATATTTGGACCTCTTTGAGGCCTTCGTTGGAAACGGGATTTCCTCATATAATGTTACACAGAAGAATTCTCAGTAACTTATTTGTGGTGTGTGTATTCAACTCACAGAGTTGAACCTTCCTTCAGAAAGAGCAGATTTGAAACACTCTTTTTGTGGAGTTTCCATGTGGAGATTTCAATTGCTTTGAGACCAAAGGTAGAAAAGGAAACATCTTCGTATAAAAACTAGACAGAATCATTCACAGAAACTACTTTGTGATGTGTGTGTTCAACTCAAGGAGTTTAACCTTTCTTTTGATGGAGCAGTTTGGAAACACTCTCTCTGTAAAATCTGCAAGCAGATATTTGGACCTCTTTGAGGCCTTCGTTGGAAACGGGATTTCTTCATATAATGTTTGATAGGAGAAGTCTCAGTAACTTCTTTGTGCTGTGTGTATTCAACTCATAGAGTTGAACTTTCCTTTAGAAGAGCAGATGTTAAACACCCTTTTTGTGGAATTTCCAGCTGGAGATTTCAAGCGCTTTGAGGGCTAAGGTAGAAAAGGAAACATCTTCTTATAAAATCTAGACAGAATCATTCACAGAAACTTCTTTTTGATGTGTGTGTTCAGCTCACAGAGTTTAACCTTTCTTTTGATGGAGCAGTTGGGAAACACACTGTTTGTAATGTCTGCAAGTGGATATTTGGACCTCTTTGAGGCCTTCGTTGGAAACGGGATTTCTTCCTGTAATGTTCGACAGAAGAATTCTCAGTAACTTATTTGTGGTGTGTGTATTCAACTCACAGAGTTGAACCTTCCTTTAGACAGAGCAGATTTGAAACACCCTATTTGTGCAGTTTCCAGTTGGAGATTTCAATCGCTTTGAGACCAAATGTAGAAAAGGAAACATCTTCGTATAAAAACTAGACAGAATCATTCTCAGAAACTACTTTGTGATGTGTGCGTTCAACTCAAGGAGTTTAAGCTTTCTTTTCATAGAGTAGTTTGGAAACACTCTGTCTGTAAAGTCTGCAAGCAGATATTTGGACCTCTTTGAGGCCTTCGTTGGAAACGGGATTTCTTCATAGAACGCTAGAAAGAAGAATACTCAGTAACTTCTTTTTGTTGCCTCTATTCAACTCACAGAGGTGAACTGT
Organism: Homo sapiens; assembly: GCF_000001405.40. Classification (NCBI taxonomy): domain Eukaryota; kingdom Metazoa; phylum Chordata; class Mammalia; order Primates; family Hominidae; genus Homo; species Homo sapiens. Next base: position 36,087,725 of record NC_000012.12, read on the forward strand.
CCTTTAGACAGAGCAGATGTGAAACCCTCTTTTTGTGATATTTGCAGGTGGAGATTTCAAGCGCTTTTAGGCCAAATGTAGAAAAGGAAATATCTTCGTATAAAAACTAGACAGAATCATTCTCAGAAACTACTTTGTGATGTATGCGTTCAATTCACAGAGGATAACCTTTCTTTTGATGGAGGAGTTTGGAGACACTGTCTTTGTAAAGTCTGCAAGTGGATATTTGGACCTCTTTGAGGCCTTCGTTGGAAACGGGATTTCCTCCTATAATGTTACACAGAAGAATTCTCAGTAACTTATTTGTGGTGTGTGTATTCAACTCACAGAGTTGAAACTTCCTTCAGAAAGAGCAGATTTGAAACACTCTTTTTGTGGAGTTTCCATGTGGAGATTTCAATCGCTTTGAGACCAAAGGTAGAAAAGGAAACATTCTTCGTATAAAAACTAGACAGAATCATTCACAGAAACTACTTTGTGATGTGTGTGTTCAACTCAAGGAGTTTAACCTTTCTTTTGATGGAGCAGTTTGGAAACACTCTGTCTGTTAAGTCTGCAAGCAGATATTTGGACCTCTTTGAGGCCTTCGTTGGAAACGGGATTTCTTCATATAATGTTTGATAGGAGAAGTCTCAGTAACTTCTTTGTGCTGTGTGTATTCAACGCATAGAGTTGAACTTTCCTTTAGAAGAGCAGATGTTAAACACCCTTTTTGTGGAATTTGCAGCTGGAGATTTCAAGCGCTTTGAGGCCTACGGTAGAAAAGGAAACATCTTCTTATAAAATCTAGACAGAATCATTCACAGAAACTTCTTTTTGATGTGTGTGTTCAGCTCACAGAGTTTAACCTTTCTTTTGATGGAGCTGTTTGGAAACACTCTGTTTTTAATGTCTGCAAGTGGATATTTGGACCTCTTTGAGGCCTTCGTTGGAAACGGGATTTCTTCAAGTAATGTTCGACAGAAGAATTCTCAGTAACTTATTTGTGGTGTGTGTATTCAACTCACAGAGTTGAACCTTCCTTTAGACAGAGCAGATTTGAAACCCCCTATTTGTGCAGTTTCCAGATGGAGATTTCAATCGCTTTGAGACCAAATGTAGAAAAGGAAACATCTTCGTATAAAAACTAGACAGAATCATTCTCAGAAACTACTTTGCGATGTGTGCGTTCAACTCACGGAGTTTAAGCTTTCTTTTCATAGAGTAGTTTGGAAACACTCTGTCTGTAAAGTCTGCAAGCAGATATTTGGACCTCTTTGAGGCCTTCGTTGGAAACGGGATTTCTTCATATAACGCTAGAAAGAAGAATACTCAGTAACTTCCTTGTGTTGCCTCTATTCAACTCACAGAGGTGAACTGTCCTTTAGACAGAGCAGATGTGAAACCCTCTTTTTGTGATATTTGCAGGTGGAGATTTCAAGCGCTTTTAGGCCAAATGTGGAAAAGGAAATATCTTCGTAGAAAAACTAGACAGAATCATTCTCAGAAACTACTTTGTGATGTGTGCGTTCAATTCACAGAGTATAACCTTTCTTTTGATGGAGGAGTTTGGAGACACTGTCTTTGTAAAGTCTGCAAGTGGATATTTGGACCTCTTTGAGGCCTTCGTTGGAAACGGGATTTCCTCATATAATGTTACACAGAAGAATTCTCAGTAACTTATTTGTGGTGTGTGTATTCAACTCACAGAGTTGAACCTTCCTTCAGAAAGAGCAGATTTGAAACACTCTTTTTGTGGAGTTTCCATGTGGAGATTTCAATCGCTTTGAGACCAAAGGTAGAAAAGGAAACATCTTCATATAAAAACTAGACAGAATCATTCACAGAAACTACTTTGTGATGTGTGTGTTCAACTCAAGGAGTTTAACCTTTCTTTTGATGGAGCAGTTTGGAAACACTCTGTCTGTAAAGTCTGCAAGCAGATATTTGGACCTCTTTGAGGCCTTCGTTGGAAACGGGATTTCTTCATATAATGTTTGATAGGAGAAATCTCAGTAACTTCTTTGTGCTGTGTGTATTCAACTCATAGAGTTGAACTTTCCTTTAGAAGAGCAGATGTTAAACACCCTTTTTGTGGAATTTGCAGCTGGAGATTTCAAGCGCTTTGAGGCCTACGGTAGAAAAGGAAACATCTTCTTATAAAATCTAGACAGAATCATTCACAGAAACTTCTTTTTGATGTGTGTGTTCAGCTCACAGAGTTTAACCTTTCTTTTGATGGAGCAGTTTGGAAACACTCTGTAATGTCTGCAAGTGGATATTTGGTCCTCTTTGAGGCCTACGTTGGAAACGGGATTTCTTCATGTAATGTTCGACAGAAGAATTCTCAGTAACTTATTTGTGGTCTGTGTATTCAACTCACAGAGTTGAACCTTCCTTTAGACAGAGCAGATTTGAAACACCCTATTTGTGCAGTTTCCAGTTGGAGATTTCAATCGCTTTGTGACCAAATGTAGAAAAGGAAACATCTTTGTATAAAAACTAGACAGAATCATTCTCAGAAACTACTTTGTGATGTGTGCGTTCAACTCAAGGAGTTTAAGCTTTCTTTTCATAGAGTAGTTTGGAAACACTCTGTCTGTAAAGTCTGCAAGCAGATATTTGGACCTCTTTGGGGCCTTCGTTGGAAACGGGATTTCTTCATAGAACGCTAGAAAGAAGAATACTGAGTAAGTTCTTTGTGTTGCCTCTATTCAACTCACAGAGGTGAACTGTCCTTTAGACAGAGCAGATGTGAAACCCTCTTTTTGTGATATTTGCAGGTGGAGATTTCAAGCGCTTTTAGGCCAAATGTAGAAAAGGAAATATCTTCGTATAAAAACTAGACAGAATCATTCTCAGAAACTACTTTGTGATGTGTGCGTTCAATTCACAGAGTATAACCTTTCTTTGATGGCGGAGTTTGGAGACACTGTCTTTGTAAAGTCTGCAAGTGGATATTTGGACCTCTTTGAGGCCTTCGTTGGAAACGGGATTTCCTCATATAATGTTACACAGAAGAATTCTCAGTAACTTATTTGTGGTGTGTGTATTCAACTCACAGAGTTGAACCTTCCTTCAGAAAGAGCAGATTTGAAACACTCTTTTTGTGGAGTTTCCATGTGGAGATTTCAATCGCTTTGAGACCAAAGGTAGAAAAGGAAACATCTTCGTATAAAAACTAGACAGAATCATTCACAGAAACTACTTTGTGATGTGTGTGTTCAACTCAAGGAGTTTAACCTTTCTTTTGATGGAGCAGTTTGGAAAAACTCTGTCTGTAAAGTCTGCAAGCAGATATTTGGACCTCTTTGAGGCCTTCGTTGGAAACGGGATTTCTTCATATAATGTTTGATAGGAGAAGTCTCAGTAACTTCTTTGTGCTGTGTGTATTCAACTCATAGAGTTGAACTTTCCTTTAGAAGAGCAGATGTTAAACACCCTTTTTGTGGAATTTGCAGCTGGAGATTTCAAGCGCTTTGAGGCCTACGGTAGAAAAGGAAACATCTTCTTATAAAATCTAGACAGAATCATTCATAGAAACTTCTTTTTGGTGTGTGTGTTCAGCTCACAGAGTTTAACCTTTCTTTTGATGGAGCAGTTTGGAAACACTCTGTTTGTAATGTCTGCAAGTGGATATTTGGACCTCTTTGAGGCCTTCGTTGGAAACGGGATTTCTTCAAGTAATGGTCGACAGAAGAATTCTCAGTAACTTATTTGTGGTGTGTGTATTCAACTCACAGAGTTGAACCTTCCTTTAGACAGAGCAGATTTGAAACACCCTATTTGTGCAGTTTCCAGTTGGAGATTTCAATCGCTTTGAGACCAAATGTAGAAAAGGAAACATCTTCGTATAAAAACTAGACAGAATCATTCTCAGAAACTACTTTGTGATGTGTGCGTTCAACTCAAGGAGTTTAAGCTTTCTTTTCATAGAGTAGTTTGGAAACACTCTGTCTGTAAAGTCTGCAAGCAGATATTTGAACCTCTTTGAGGCCTTCGTTGGAAACGGGATTTCTTCATAGAACGCTAGAAAGAAGAATACTGAGTAAGTTCTTTGTGTTGCCTCTATTCAACTCACAGAGGTGAACTGTCCTTTAGGCAGAGCAGATGTGAAACCCTCTTTTTGTGATATTTGCAGGTGGAGATTTCAAGCGCTTTTAGGCCAAATGTAGAAAAGGAAATATCTTCGTATAAAAACTAGACAGAATCATTCTCAGAAACTACTTTGTGACGTGTGCGTTCAATTCACAGAGTATAACCTTTCTTTTGATGGAGGAGTTTGGAGACACTGTCTTTGTAAAGTCTGCAAGTGGATATTTGGACCTCTTTGAGGCCTTCGTTGGAAACGGGATTTCCTCATATAATGTTACACAGAAGAATTCTCAGTAACTTATTTGTGGTGTGTGTATTCAACTCACAGAGATGAACCTTCCTTCAGAAAGAGCAGATTTGAAACACTCTTTTTGTGGAGTTTCCATGTGGAGATTTCAATCGCTTTGAGACCAAAGGTAGAAAAGGAAACATCTTCGTATAACAACTAGACAGAATCATTCACAGAAACTACTTTGTGATGTGTGTGTTCAACTCAAGGAGTTTAACCTTTCTTTTGATGGAGCAGTTTGGAAACACTCTGTCTGCAAAGTCTGCAAGCAGGTATTTGGACCTCTTTGAGGCCTTCGTTGGAAACGGGATTTCTTCATATAATGTTTGATAGGAGAACTCTCAGTAACTTCTTTGTGCTGTGTGTATTCAACTCATAGAGTTGAACTTTCCTTTAGAAGAGCAGATGTTAAACACCCTTTTTGTGGAATTTGCAGCTGGAGATTTCAAGCGCTTTGAGGCCTACGGTAGAAAAGGAAACATCTTCTTATAAAATCTAGACAGAATCATTCACAGAAACTTCTTTTTGATGTGTGTGTTCAGCTCACAGAGTTTAACCTTTCTTTTGATGGAGCAGTTTGGAAACACTCTGTTTGTAATGTCTGCAAGTGGATATTTGGACCTCTTTGAGGCCTTCGCTGGAAACGGGATTTCTTCCTGTAATGTTCGACAGAAGAATTCTCAGTAACTTATTTGTGGTGTGTGTATTCAACTCACAGAGTTGAACCTTCCTTTAGACAGAGCAGATTTGAAACACCCTATTTGTGCAGTTTCCAGTTGGAGATTTCAATCGCTTTGAGACCAAATGTAGAAAAGGAAACATCTTCGTATAAAAACTAGACAGAATCATTCTCAGAAACTACTTTGTGATGTGTGCGTTCAACTCAAGGAGTTTAAGCTTTCTTTTCATAGAGTAGTTTGGAAACACTCTGTCTGTAAAGTCTGCAAGCAGATATTTGGACCTCTTTGAGGCCTTCGTTGGAAACGGGATTTCTTCAAGTAATGTTCGACAGAAGAATACTGAGTAAGTTCTTTGTGTTGCCTCTATTCAACTCACAGAGGTGAACTGTCCTTTAGACAGAGCAGATGTGAAACCCTCTTTTTGTGATATTTGCAGGTGGAGATTTCAAGCGCTTTTAGGCCAAATGTAGAAAAGGAAATATCTTCGTATAAAAACTAGACAGAAATCATTCTCAGAAACTACTTTGTGATGTGTGCGTTCAATTCACAGAGTATAACCTTTCTTTTGATGGAGGAGTTTGGAGACACTGTCTTTGTAAAGTCTGCAAGTGGATATTTGGACCTCTTTGAGGCCTTCGTTGGAAACGGGATTTCCTCATATAATGTTACACAGAAGAATTCTCAGTAACTTATTTGTGGTGTGTGTATTCAACTCACAGAGTTGAACCTTCCTTCAGAAAGAGCAGATTTGAAACACTCTTTTTGTGGAGTTTCCATGTGGAGATTTCAATCGCTTTGAGACCAAAGGTAGAAAAGGAAACATCTTCGTATAAAAACTAGACAGAATCATTCACAGAAACTACTTTGTGATGTGTGTGTTCAACTCAAGGAGTTTAACCTTTCTTTTGATGGAGCAGTTTGGAAACACTCTGTCTGTAAAGTCTGCAAGCAGATATTTGGACCTCTTTGAGGCCTTCGTTGGAAACGGGATTTCTTCATATAATGTTTGATAGGAGAAGTCTCAGTAACTTCTTTGTGCTGTGTGCATTCAACTCATAGAGTTGAACTTTCCTTTAGAAGAGCAGATGTTAAACACCCTTTTTGTGGAATTTGCAGCTGGAGATTTCAAGCGCTTTGAGGCCTACGGTAGAAAAGGAAACATCTTCTTATAAAATCTAGACAGAATCATTCACAGAAACTTCTTTTCGATGTGTGTGTTCAGCTCACAGAGTTTAACCTTTCTTTTGATGGAGCAGTTTGGAAACACTCTGTTTGTAATGTCTGCAAGTGGATATTTGGACCTCTTTGAGGCCTTCGTTGGAAACGGGATTTCATCAAGTAATGGTCGACAGAAGAATTCTCAGTAACTTATTTGTGGTGTGTGTATTCAACTCACAGAGTTGAACCTTCCTTTAGACAGAGCAGATTTGAAACACCCTATTTGTGCAGTTTCCAGTTGGAGATTTCAATCGCTTTGAGACCAAATGTAGAAAAGGAAACATCTTCGTATAAAAACTAGACAGAATCATTCTCAGAAACTACTTTGTGATGTGTGCGTTCAACTCAAGGAGTTTAAGCTTTCTTTTCATAGAGTAGTTTGGAAACACTCTGTCTGTAAAGTCTGCAAGCAGATATTTGGACCTCTTTGGGGCCTTCGTTGGAAACGGGATTTCTTCATAGAACGCTAGAAAGAAGAATACTGAGTAAGTTCTTTGTGTTGCCTCTATTCAACTCACAGAGGTGAACTGTCCTTTAGACAGAGCAGATGTGAAACCCTCTTTTTGTGATATTTGCAGGTGGAGATTTCAAGCGCTTTTAGGCCAAATGAAGAAAAGGAAACATCTTCGTATAAAAACTAGACAGAATCATTCTCAGAAACTACTTTGTGATGTGTGCGTTCAATTCACAGAGTATAACCTTTCTTTTGATGGAGGAGTTTGGAGACACTGTCTTTGTAAAGTCTGCAAGTGGATATTTGGACCTCTTTGAGGCCTTCGTTGGAAACGGGATTTCCTCATATAATGTTACACAGAAGAATTCTCAGGAACTTATTTGTGGTGTGTGTATTCAACTCACAGAGTTGAACCTTCCTTCAGAAAGAGCAGATTTGAAACACTCTTTTTGTGGAGTTTCCATGTGGAGATTTCAATCGCTTTGAGACCAAAGGTAGAAAAGGAAACATCTTCGTATAGAAACTAGACAGAATCATTCACAGAAACTACTTTGTGATGTGTGTGTTCAACTCAAGGAGTTTAACCTTTCTTTTGATGGAGCAGTTTGGAAAAACTCTGTCTGTAAAGTCTGCAAGCAGATATTTGGACCTCTTTGAGGCCTTCGTTGGAAACGGGATTTCTTCATAGAATGCTAGAAAGAAGAATACTGAGTAAGTTCTTTGTGTTGCCTCTATTCAACTCACAGAGGTGAACTGTCCTTTAGACAGAGCAGATGTGAAACCCTCTTTTTGTGATATTTGCAGGTGGAGATTTCAAGCGCTTTTAGGCCAAATGTAGAAAAGGAAATATCTTCGTATAAAAACTAGACAGAATCATTCTCAGAAACTACTTTGTGATGTGTGCGTTGAATTCACAGAGTATAACCTTTCTTTTGATGGAGGAGTTTGGAGACACTGTCTTTGTAAAGTCTGCAAGTGGATATTTGGACCTCTTTGAGGCCTTCGTTGGAAACGGGATTTCCTCATATAATGTTACACAGAAGAATTCTCAGTAACTTATTTGTGGTGTGTGTATTCAACTCACAGAGATGAACCTTCCTTCAGAAAGAGCAGATTTGAAACACTCTTTTTGTGGAGTTTCCATGTGGAGATTTCAATCGCTTTGAGACCAAAGGTAGAAAAGGAAACATCTTCGTATAACAACTAGACAGAATCATTCACAGAAACTACTTTGTGATGTGTGTGTTCAACTCAAGGAGTTTAACCTTTCTTTTGATGGAGCAGTTTGGAAACACTCTGTCTGTAAAGTCTGCAAGCAGATATTTGGACCTCTTTGAGGCCTTCGTTGGAAACGGGATTTCTTCATATAATGTTTGATAGGAGAAGTCTCAGTAACTTCTTTGTGCTGTGTGTATTCAACTCATAGAGTTCAACTTTCCTTTAGAAGAGCAGATGTTAAACACCCTTTTTGTGGAATTTGCAGCTGGAGATTTCAAGCGCTTTGAGGCCTACGGTAGAAAAGGAAACATCTTCTTATAAAATCTAGACAGAATCATTCACAGAAACTTCTTTTCGATGTGTGTGTTCAGCTCACAGAGTTTAACCTTTCTTTTGATGGAGCAGTTTGGAAACACTCTGTTTGTAATGTCTGCAAGTGGATATTTGGACCTCTTTGAGGCCTTCGTTGGAAACGGGATTTCATCAAGTAATGTTCGACAGAAGAATTCTCAGTAACTTATTTGTGGTGTGTGTATTCAACTCACAGAGTTGAACCTTCCTTTAGACAGAGCAGATTTGAAACACCCTATTTGTGCAGTTTCCAGTTGGAGATTTCAATCGCTTTGAGACCAAATGTAGAAAAGGAAACATCTTCGTATAAAAACTAGACAGAATCATTCTCAGAAACTACTTTGTGATGTGTGCGTTCAACTCAAGGAGTTTAAGCTTTCTTTTCATAGAGTAGTTTGGAAACACTCTGTCTGTAAAGTCTGCAAGCAGATATTTGGACCTCTTTGGGGCCTTCGTTGGAAACGGGATTTCTTCATAGAACGCTAGAAAGAAGAATACTGAGTAAGTTCTTTGTGTTGCCTCTATTCAACTCACAGAGGTGAACTGTCCTTTAGACAGAGCAGATGTGAAACCCTCTTTTTGTGATATTTGCAGGTGGAGATTTCAAGCGCTTTTAGGCCAAATGTAGAAAAGGAAATATCTTCGTATAAAAACTAGACAGAATCATTCTCAGAAACTACTTTGTGATGTGTGCGTTCAATTCACAGAGTATAACCTTTCTTTTGATGGAGGAGTTTGGAGACACTGTCTTTGTAAAGTCTGCAAGTGGATATTTGGACCTCTTTGAGGCCTTCGTTGGAAACGGGATTTCCTCATATAATGTTACACAGAAGAATTCTCAGTAACTTATTTGTGGTGTGTGTATTCAACTCACAGAGATGAACCTTCCTTCAGAAAGAGCAGATTTGAAACACTCTTTTTGTGGAGTTTCCATGTGGAGATTTCAATCGCTTTGAGACCAAAGGTAGAAAAGGAAACATCTTCGTATAACAACTAGACAGAATCATTCACAGAAACTACTTTGTGATGTGTGTGTTCAACTCAAGGAGTTTAACCTTTCTTTTGATGGAGCAGTTTGGAAACACTCTGTCTGTAAAGTCTGAAAGCAGATATTTGGACCTCTTTGAGGCCTTCGTTGGAAACGGGATTTCTTCATATAATGTTTGATAGGAGAAGTCTCAGTAACTTCTTTGTGCTGTGTGTATTCAACTCATAGTAGTTGAACTTTCCTTTAGAAGAGCAGATGTTAAACACCCTTTTTGGGGAATTTGCAGCTGGAGGTTTCAAGCGCTTTGAGGCCTACTGTAGAAAAGGAAACATCTTCTTATAAAATCTAGACAGAATCATTCACAGAAACTTCTTTTTGATGTGTGTGTTCAGCTCACAGAGTTTAACCTTTCTTTTGATGGAGCAGTTTGGAAACACACTGTTTGTAATGTCTGCAAGTGGATATTTGGACCTGTTTGAGGCCTTCGTTGGAAACGGGATTTCTTCAAGTAATGTTCGACAGAAGAATTCTCAGTAACTTATTTGTGGTGTGTGTATTCAACTCACAGAGTTGAACCTTCCTTTAGACAGAGCAGATTTGAAACACCCTATTTGTGCAGTTTCCAGTTGGAGATTTCAATCGCTTTGAGACCAAATGTAGAAAAGGAAACATCTTCGTATAAAAACTAGACAGAATCATTCTCCGAAACTACATTGTGATGTGTGCGTTCAACTCAAGGAGTTTAAGCTTTCTTTTCATAGAGTAGTTTGGAAACACTCTGTCTGTAAAGTCTGCAAGCAGATATTTGGACCTCTTTGGGGGCCTTCGTTGGAAACGGGATTTCTTCATAGAACGCTAGAAAGAAAGAATACTGAGTAAGTTCTTTGTGTTGCCTCTATTCAACTCACAGAGGTGAACTGTCCTTTAGACAGAGCAGATGTGAAACCCTCTTTTTGTGATATTTGCAGGTGGAGATTTCAAGCGCTTTTAGGCCAAATATAGAAAAGGAAATATCTTCGTATAAAAACTAGACAGAATCATTCTCAGAAACTACTTTGTGATGTGTGCGTTCAATTCACAGAGTATAACCTTTCTTTTGATGGAGGAGTTTGGAGACACTGTCTTTGTAAAGTCTGCAAGTGGATATTTGGACCTCTTTGAGGCCTTCGTTGGAAACGGGATTTCCTCATATAATGTTACACAGAAGAATTCTCAGTAACTTATTTGTGGTGTGTGTATTCAACTCACAGAGTTGAACCTTCCTTCAGAAAGAGCAGATTTGAAACACTCTTTTTGTGGAGTTTCCATGTGGAGATTTCAATCGCATTGAGACCAAAGGTAGAAAAGGAAACATCTTCGTATAAAAACTAGACAGAATCATTCACAGAAACTACTTTGTGATGTGTGTGTTCAACTCAAGGAGTTTAACCTTTCTTTTGATGGAGCAGTTTGGAAACACTCTGTCTGTAAAGTCTGCAAGCAGATATTTGGACCTCTTTGAGGCCTTCGTTGGAAACGGGATTTCTTCATATAATGTTTGATAGGAGAAGTCTCAGTAACTTCTTTGTGCTGTGTGTATTCAACTCACAGAGCTGAACTTTACTTTAGACAGAGCAGATTTTAAACACACTTTTTGTGGAATTTGCAGCTGGAGATTTCTAGCGCTTTGAGGCCTATGGTAGAAAAGGAAACATCTTCTTATAAAATCTAGACAGAATCATTCACAGAAACTTCTTTCTGATGTGTGTGTTCATCTCAGAGAGTTTAACCTTTCTTTTGACGGAGCAGTTTGCAAACACTGTGTTTGCATTGTCGGCAACTGGATATTTGGACCTCTTTCAGGCCTTCTTTGGAAACGGGATTTCTTCATGTAATGTTCGAGAGAAGAATTCTCAGTAACTTATTTGTGGTGTGTGTATTCAACTCACAGAGTTGAACCTTCCTTTAGACAGAGCAGATTTGAAACACCCTATTTGTGCAGTTTCCAGTTGGAGATTTCAATCGCTTTGAGGCCAATCGTAGAAACGGAAATATCTTCGTATAAATACAAGACAGAATCATTCTCAGAAACTACTTTGTGATGTGTGCGTTCAACTCACGGAGTTTAAGCTTTCTTTTCTTAGAGTAGTTTGGAAACACTCTGTATGTAAAGTCTGCAAGCAGATATTTGGACCTCTTTGAGGCCTTCGTTGGAAACGGGATTTCTTCATATAACGCTAGAAAGAAGAATACTCAGTAACTTCATTGTGTTGCCTCTATTCAACTCACAGAGGTGAACTGTCCTTTAGACAGAGCAGATGTGAAACCCTCTTTTTGTGATATTTGCAGGTGGAGATTTCAAGCGCTTTTAGGCCAAATGTAGAAAAGGAAATATCTTCGTATAAAAAGTAGACAGAATCATTCTCAGAAACTACTTTGTGATGTGTGCGTTCAATTCACAGAGTATAACCTTTCTTTTGATGGAGGAGTTTGGAGACACTGTCTTTGTAAAGTCTGCAAGTGGATATTTGGACCTCTTTGAGGCCTTCGTTGGAAACGGGATTTCCTCATATAATGTTACCCAGAAGAATTCTCAGTAACTTATTTGTGGTGTGTGTATTCAACTCACAGAGATGAACCTTCCTTCAGAAACAGCAGATTTGAAACACTCTTTTTGTGGAGTTTCCATGTGGAGATTTCAATCGCTTTGAGACCAAAGGTAGAAAAGGAAACATCTTCGTATAACAACTAGACAGAATCATTCACAGAAACTACTTTGTGATGTGTGTGTTCAACTCAAGGAGTTTAACCTTTCTTTTGATGGAGCAGTTTGGAAACACTCTGTCTGTAAAGTCTGCAAGCAGATATTTGGACCTCTTTGAGGCCTTCGTTGGAAACGGGATTTCTTCATATAATGTTTGATAGGAGAAGTCTCAGTAACTTCTTTGTGCTGTGTGTATTCAACTCATAGAGTTGAACTTTCCTTTAGAAGAGCAGATGTTAAACACCCTTTTTGTGGAATTTGCAGCTGGAGATTTCAAGCGCTTTGAGGCCTACGGTAGAAAAGGAAACATCTTCTTATAAAATCTAGACAGAATCATTCACAGAAACTTCTTTTCGATGTGTGTGTTCAGCTCACAGAGTTTAACCTTTCTTTTGATGGAGCAGTTTGGAAACACTCTGTTTGTAATGTCTGCAAGTGGATATTTGGACCTCTTTGAGGCCTTCGTTGGAAACGGGATTTCATCAAGTAATGGTCGCCAGAAGAATTCTCAGTAACTTATGTGTGGTGTGTGTATTCAACTCACAGAGTTGAACCTTCCTTTAGACAGAGCAGATTTGAAACACCCTATTTGTGCAGTTTCCAGTTGGAGATTTCAATCGCTTTGAGACCAAATGTAGAAAAGGAAACATCTTCGTATAAAAACTAGACAGAATCATTCTCAGAAACTACTTTGTGATGTGTGCGTTCAACTCAAGGAGTTTAAGCTTTCTTTTCATAGAGTAGTTTGGAAACACTCTGTCTGTAAAGTCTGCAAGCAGATATTTGGACCTCATTGAGGCCTTCGTTGGAAACGGGATTTCTTCATAGAACGCTAGAAAGAAGAATACTGAGTACGTTCTTTGTGTTGCCTCTATTCAACTCACAGAGGTGAACTGTCCTTTAGACAGAGCAGATGTGAAACCCTCTTTTTGTGATATTTGCAGGTGGAGATTTCAAGCGCTTTTAGGCCAAATGTAGAAAAGGAAATATCTTCGTATAAAAACTAGACAGAATCATTCTCAGAAACTACTTTGTGATGTGTGCGTTCAATTCACAGAGTATAACCTTTCTTTTGATGGAGGAGTTTGGAGACACTGTCTTTGTAAAGTCTGCAAGTGGATATTTGGACCTCTTTGAGGCCTTCGTTGGAAACGGGATTTCCTCATATAATGTTACACAGAAGAATTCTCAGTAACTTATTTGTGGTGTGTGTATTCAACTCACAGAGATGAACTTTCCTTCAGAAAGAGCAGATTTGAAACACTCTTTTTGTGGAGTTTCCATGTGGAGATTTCAATCGCTTTGAGACCAAAGGTAGAAAAGGAAACATCTTCGTATAACAACTAGACAGAATCATTCACAGAAACTACTTTGTGATGTGTGTGTTCAACTCAAGGAGTTTAACCTTTCTTTTGATGGAGCAGTTTGGAAACACTCTGTCTGTAAAGTCTGCAAGCAGATATTTGGACCTCTTTGAGGCCTTCGTTGGAAACGGGATTTCTTCATATAATGTTTGATAGGAGAAGTCTCAGTAACTTCTTTGTGCTGTGTGTATTCAACTCATAGAGTTGAACTTTCTTTTAGAAGAGCAGATGTTAAACACCCTTTTTGTGGAATTTGCAGCTGGAGATTTCAAGCGCTTTGAGTCCTACGGTAGAAAAGGAAACATCTTCTTATAAAATCTAGACAGAATCATTCACAGAAACTTGTTTTTGATGTGTGTGTTCAGCTCACAGAGTTTAACCTTTCTTTTGATGGAGCAGTTTGGAAACACTCTGTTTGTAATATCTGCAAGTGAATATTTGGACCTCTTTGAGGCCTTCGTTGGAAACGGGATTTCTTCAAGTAATGTTCGACAGAAGAATTCTCAGTAACTTATTTGTGGTGTGTGTATTCAACTCACAGAGTTGAACCTTCCTTTAGACAGAGCAGATTTGAAACACCGTATTTGTGCAGTTTCCAGTTGGAGATTTCAATCGCTTTGAGACCAAATGTAGAAAAGGAAACATCTTCGTATAAAAACTGGACAGAATCATTCTCAGAAACTACTTTGTGATGTGTGGGTTTAACTCAAGGAGTTTAAGCTTTCTTTTCATAGAGTAGTTTGGAAACACTCTGTCTGTAAAGTCTGCAAGCAGATATTTGGACCTCTTTGAGGCCTTCGTTGGAAACGGGATTTCTTCATACAACGCTAGAAAGAAGAATACTGAGTAAGTTCTTTGTGTTGCCTCTATTCAACTCACAGAGGTGAACTGTCCTTTAGACAGAGCAGATGTGAAACCCTCTTTTTGTGATATTTGCAGGTGGAGATTTCAAGCGCTTTTAGGCCAAATGTAGAAAAGGAAATATCTTCGTATAAAAACTAGACAGAAATCATTCTCAGAAACTACTTTGTGATGTGTGCGTTCAATTCACAGAGTATAACCTTTCTTTTGATGGAGGAGTTTGGAGACACTGTCTTTGTAAAGTCTGCAAGTAGATATTTGGACCTCTTTGAGGCCTTCGTTGGAAACGGGATTTCCTCATATAATGTTACACAGAAGAATTCTCAGTAACTTATTTGTGGCGTGTGTATTCAACTCACAGAGTTGAACCTTCCTTCAGAAAGAGCAGATTTGAAACACTCTTTTTGTGGAGTTTCCATGTGGAGATTTCAATGGCTTTGAGACCAAATGTAGAAAAGGAAACATCTTCGTATAAAAACTAGACAGAATCATTCACAGAAACTACTTTGTGATGTGTGTGTTCAACTCAAGGAGGTTAACCTTTCTTTTGATGGAGCAGTTTGGAAACACTCTGTCTGTAAAGTCTGCAAGCAGATATTTGGACCTCTTTGAGGCCTTCGTTGGAAACGGGATTTCTTCATATAATGTTTGATAGGATAATACTCAGTAACTTCTTTGTGTTGCCTCTATTCAACTCACAGAGGTGAACTGTCCTTTAGACAGAGCAGATGGGAAACCCTCTTTTTGTGATATTTGCAGGTGGAGATTTCAAGCGCTTTTAGGCCAAATGTAGAAAAGGAAATATCTTCTTATAAAATCTAGACAGAATCATTCACAGAAACTTCTTTTTGATGTGTGTGTTCAGCTCACAGAGTTTAACCTTTCTTTTGATGGAGCAGTTTGGAAACACTCTGTTTGTAATGTCTGCAAGTGGATATTTGGACCTCTTTGAGGCCTTCGTTGGAAACGGGATTTCTTCATGTAATGTTCGACAGAAGAATTCTCAGTAACTTATTTGTGGTGTGTGTATTCAACTCACAGAGTTGAACCTTCCTTTAGACAGAGCAGATTTGAAACACCCTATTTGTGCAGTTTCCAGTTGGAGATTTCAATCGCTTTGAGACCAAATGTAGAAAAGGAAACATCTTCGTATAAAAACTAGACAGAATCATTCTCAGAAACTACTTTGTGATGTGTGCGTTCAACTCAAGGAGTTTAAGCTTTCTTTCATAGAGTAGTTTGGAAACACTCTGTAAAGTCTGCAAGCAGATATTTGGACCTCTTTGAGGCCTTCGTTGGAAACGGGATTTCTTAATAGAACGCTAGAAAGAAGAATACTGAGTAAGTTCTTTGTGTTGCCTCTATTCAACTCACAGAGGAGAACTGTCCTTTAGACAGAGCAGATGTGAAACCCTCTTTTTGTGATATTTGCAGGTGGAGATTTCAAGCGCTTTTAGGCCAAATGTAGAAAAGGAAATATCTTCGTATAAAAACTAGACAGAATCATTCTCAGAAACTACTTTGTGATGTGTGCGTTCAATTCACAGAGTATAACCTTTCTTTTGATGGAGGAGTTTGGAGACACTGTCTTTGTAAAGTCTGCAAGTGGATATTTGGACCTCTTTGAGGCCTTCATTGGAAACGGGATTTCCTCATATAATGTTACACAGAAGAATTCTCAGTAACTTATTTGTGGTGTGTGTATTCAACTCACAGAGTTGAACCTTCCTTCAGAAAGAGCAGATTTGAAACACTCTTTTTGTGGAGTTTCCATGTGGAGATTTCAATCGCTTTGAGACCAAAGGTAGAAAAGGAAACATCTTCTTATAAAAACTAGACAGAATCATTCACAGAAACTACTTTGTGATGTGTGTGTTCAACTCAAGGAGGTTAACCTTTCTTTTGATGGAGCAGTTTGGAAACACTCTGTCTGTAAAGTCTGCAAGCAGATATTTGGACCTCTTTGAGGCCTTCGTTGGAAACGGGATTTCTTCATATAATGTTTGATAGGAGAAGTCTCAGTAACTTCTTTGTGCTGTGTGTATTCAACTCATAGAGTTGAACTTTCCTTTAGAAGAGCAGATGTTAAACACCCTTTTTGTGGAATTTGCAGCTGGAGATTTCAAGCGCTTTGAGGCCTACGGTAGAAAAGGAAACATCTTCTTATAAAATCTAGACAGAATCATTCACAGGAACTTCTTTTCGATGTGTGTGTTCAGCTCACAGAGTTTAACCTTTCTTTTGATGGAGCAGTTTGGAAACACTCTGTTTGTAATGTCTGCAAGTGGATATTTGGACCTCTTTGAGGCCTTCGTTGGAAACGGGATTTCTTCAAGTAATGTTCGACAGAAGAATACTGAGTAAGTTCTTTGTGTTGCCTCTATTCAACTCACAGAGGTGAACTGTCCTTTAGACAGAGCAGATGTGAAACCCTCTTTTTGTGATATTTGCAGGTGGAGATTTCAAGCGCTTATAGGCCAAATGTAGAAAAGGAAATATCTTCGTATAAAAACTAGACAGAATCATTCTCAGAAACTACTTTGTGATGTGTGCAGTTCAACTCAAGGAGTTTAAGCTTTCTTTTCATAGAGTAGTTTGGAAACACTCTGTCTGTAAAGTCTGCAAGCAGATATTTGACCTCTTTGAGGCCTTCGTTGGAAACGGGATTTCTTCATAGAACGCTAGAAAGAAGAATACTGAGTAAGTTCTTTGTGTTGCCTCTATTCAACTCACAGAGGTGAACTGTCCTTTAGACAGAGCAGATGTGAAACCCTCTTTTTGTGATATTTGCAGGTGGAGATTTCAAGCGCTTTTAGGCCAAATGTAGAAAAGGAAATATCTTCGTATAAAAACTAGACAGAATCATTCTCAGAAACTAC
This sequence comes from Homo sapiens, assembly GCF_000001405.40. Classification (NCBI taxonomy): domain Eukaryota; kingdom Metazoa; phylum Chordata; class Mammalia; order Primates; family Hominidae; genus Homo; species Homo sapiens. The sequence continues at coordinate 36,104,844 of NC_000012.12, forward strand.
TTTGTGATGTGTGCGTTCAATTCACAGAGTATAACCTTTCTTTTGATGGAGGAGTTTGGAGACACTGTCTTTGTAAAGTCTGCAAGTGGATATTTGGACCTCTTTGAGGCCTTCGTTGGAAACGGGATTTCCTCATATAATGTTACACAGAAGAATTCTCAGTAACTTATTTGTGGTGTGTGTATTCAACTCACAGAGATGAACCTTCCTTCAGAAAGAGCAGATTTCAAACACTCTTTTTGTGGAGTTTCCATGTGGAGATTTCAATCGCTTTGAGACCAAAGGTAGAAAAGGAAACATCTTCGTATAACAACTAGACAGAATCATTCACAGAAACTACTTTGTGATGTGTGTGTTCAACTCAAGGAGTTTAACCTTTCTTTTGATGGAGCAGTTTGGAAACACTCTGTCTGTAAAGTCTGCAAGCAGATATTTGGACCTCTTTGAGGCCTTCGTTGGAAACGGGATTTCTTCATATAATGTTTGATAGGAGAAGTCTCAGTAACTTCTTTGTGCTGTGTGTATTCAACTCACAGAGTTGAACTTTCCTTTAGAAGAGCAGATGTTAAACACCCTTTTTGTGGAATTTGCAGCTGGAGATTTCAAGCGTTTTGAGGCCTACGGTAGAAAAGGAAACATCTTCTTATAAAATCTAGACAGAATCATTCACAGAAACTTCTTTTCGATGTGTGTGTTCAGCTCACAGAGTTTAACCTTTCTTTTGATTTAGCAGTTTGGAAACACTCTGTTTGTAATGTCTGCAAGTGGATATTTGGACCTCTTTGAGGCCTTCGTTGGAAACGGGATTTCTTCAAGTAATGTTCGACAGAAGAATTCTCAGTAACTTATTTGTGGTGTGTGTATTCAACTCACAGAGTTGAACCTTCCTTTAGACAGAGCAGATTTTAAACACCCTATTTGTGCAGTTTCCAGTTGGAGATTTCAATCGCTTTGAGACCAAATGTAGAAAAGGAAACATCTTCGTATAAAAACTAGACAGAATCATTCTCCGAAACTACTTTGTGATGTGTGCGTTCAACTCAAGGAGTTTAAGCTTTCTTTTCATAGAGTAGTTTGGAAACACTCTGTCTGTAAAGTCTGCAAGCAGATATTTGGACCTCTTTGGGGCCTTCGTTGGAAACGGGATTTCTTCATAGAACTCTAGAAAGAAGAATACTGAGTAAGTTCTTTGTGTTGCCTCTATTCAACTCACAGAGGTGAACTGTCCTTTAGACAGAGCAGATGTGAAACCCTCTTTTTGTGATATTTGCAGGTGGAGATTTCAAGCGCTTTTAGGCCAAATGTAGAAAAGGAAATATCTTCGTATAAAAACTAGACAGAATCATTCTCAGAAACTACTTTGTGATGTGTGCGTTCAATTCACAGAGTATAACCATTCTTTCGATGGAGGAGTTTGGAGACACTGTCTTTGTAAAGTCTGCAAGTGGATATTTGGACCTCTTTGAGGCCTTCGTTGGAAACGGGATTTCCTCATATAATGTTACACAGAAGAATTCTCAGTAACTTATTTGTGGTGTGTGTATTCAACTCACAGTGTTGAACCTTCCTTCAGAAAGAGCAGATTTGAAACACTCTTTTTGTGGAGTTTCCATGTGGAGATTTCAATCGCTTTGAGACCAAAGGTAGAAAAGGAAACATCTTCGTATAAAAACTAGACAGAATCATTCACAGAAACTACTTTGTGATGTGTGTGTTCAACTCAAGGAGTTTAACCTTTCTTTTGATGGAGCAGTTTGGAAAAACTCTGTCTGTAAAGTCTGCAAGCAGATATTTGGACCTCTTTGAGGCCTTCGTTGGAAACGGGATTTCTTCCTATAATGTTTGATAGGAGAAGTCTCAGTAACTTCTTTGTGCTGTGTGTATTCAACTCATAGAGTTGAACTTTCCTTTAGAAGAGCAGATGTTAAACACCCTTTTTGTGGAATTTGCAGCTGGAGATTTCAAGCGCTTTGAGGCCTACGGTAGAAAAGGAAACATCTTCTTATAAAATCTAGACAGAATCATTCACAGAAACTTCTTTTCGATGTGTGTGTTCAGCTCACAGAGTTTAACCTTTCTTTTGATGGAGCTGTTTGGAAACACTCTGTTTGTAATGTCTGCAAGTGGATATTTGGACCTCTTTGAGGCCTTCGTTGGAAACGGGATTTCATCAAGTAATGGTCGACAGAAGAATTCTCAGTAACTTATTTGTGGTGTGTGTATTCAACTCACAGAGTTGAACCTTCCTTTAGACAGAGCAGATTTGAAACAGCCTATTTGTGCAGTTTCCAGTTGGAGATTTCAAGAGCTTTGAGACCAAATGTAGAAAAGGAAACATCTTCGTATAAAAACTAGACAGAATCATTCTCAGAAACTACATTGTGATGTGTGCGTTCAACTCAAGGAGTTTAAGCTTTCTTTTCATAGAGTAGTTTGGAAACACTCTGTCTGTAAAGTCTGCAAGCAGATATTTGGACCTCTTTGGGGACTTCGTTGGAAACGGGATTTCTTCATAGAACGCTAGAAAGAAGAATACTGAGTAAGTTCTTTGTGTTGCCTCTATTCAACTCACAGAGGTGAACTGTCCTTTAGACAGAGCAGATGTGAAACCCTCTTTTTGTGATATTTGCAGGTGGAGATTTCAAGCGCTTTTAGGCCAAATGTAGAAAAGGAAATATCTTCGTATAAAAACTAGACAGAATCATTCTCAGAAACTACTTTGTGATGTGTGCGTTCAATTCACAGAGTATAACCTTTCTTTTGATGGAGGAGTTTGGAGACACTGTCTTTGTAAAGTCTGCAAGTGGATATTTGGACCTCTTTGAGGCCTTTGTTGGAAACGGGATTTCCTCATATAATGTTACACAGGGAGAATTCTCAGTAACTTATTTGTGGTGTGTGTATTCAACTCACAGAGATGAACCTTCCTTCAGAAAGAGCAGATTTGAAACACTCTTTTTGTGGAGTTTCCATGTGGAGATTTCAATCGCTTTGAGACCAAAGGTAGAAAAGGAAACATCTTCGTATAAAAACTAGACAGAATCATTCACAGAAACTACTTTGTGATGTGTGTGTTCAACTCAAGGAGTTTAACCTTTCTTTTGATGGAGCAGTTTGGAAACACTCTGTCTGTAAAGTCTGCAAGCAGATATTTGGACCTCTTTGAGGCCTTCGATGGAAACGGGATTTCTTCATATAATGTTTGATAGGAGAAGTCTCAGTAACTTCTTTGTGCTGTGTGTATTCAACTCATAGAGTTGAACTTTCCTTTAGAAGAGCAGATGTTAAACACCCTTTTTGTGGAATTTGCAGCTGGAGATTTCAAGCGCTTTGAGGCCTACGGTAGAAAAGGAAACATCTTCTTATAAAATCTAGACAGAATCATTCACAGAAACTTCTTTTTGATGTGTGTGTTCAGCTCACAGAGTTTAACCTTTCTTTTGATGGAGCAGTTTGGAAACACTCTGTTTGTAATGTCTGCAAGTGGATATTTGGACCTCTTTGAGGCCTTCGTTGGAAACGGGATTTCTTCAAGTAATGTTCGACAGAAGAATTCTCAGTAACTTATTTGTGGTGTGTGTATTCAACACACAGAGTTGAACCTTCCTTTAGACAGAGCAGATTTGAAACACCCTATTTGTGCAGTTTCCAGTTGGAGATTTCAATCGCTTTGAGACCAAATGTAGAAAAGGAAACATCTTCGTATAAAAACTAGACAGAATCATTCTCAGAAACTACTTTGTGATGTGTGCGTTCAACTCAAGGAGTTTAAGCTTTCTTTTCATAGAGTAGTTTGGAAACACTCTGTCTGTAAAGTCTGCAAGCAGATATTTGGACCTCTTTGGGGCCTTCGTTGGAAACGGGATTTCTTCATAGAACGCTAGAAAGAAGAATACTGAGTAAGTTCTTTGTGTTGCCTCTATTCAACTCACAGAGGTGAACTGTCCTTTAGACAGAGCAGATGTGAAACCCTCTTTTTGTGATATTTGCAGGTGGAGATTTCAAGCGCTTTTAGGCCAAATGTAGAAAAGGAAATATCTTCGTATAAAAACTAGACAGAATCATTCTCAGAAACTACTTTGTGATGTGTGCGTTCAATTCACAGAGTATAACCTTTCTTTTGATGGAGGAGTTTGGAGACACTGTCTTTGTAAAGTCTGCAAGTGGATATTTGGACCTCTTTGAGGCCTTCGTTGGAAACGGGATTTCCTCATATAATGTTACACAGAAGAATTCTCAGTAACTTATTTGTGGTGTGTGTATTCAACTCACAGAGATGAACCTTCCTTCAGAAAGAGCAGATTTGAAACACTCTTTTTGTGGAGTTTCCATGTGGAGATTTCAATCGCTTTGAGACCAAAGGTAGAAAAGGAAACATCTTCGTATAAAAACTAGACAGAATCATTCACAGAAACTACTTTGTGATGTGTGTGTTCAACTCAAGGAGTTTAACCTTTCTTTTGATGGAGCAGTTTGGAAACACTCTGTCTGTAAAGTCTGCAAGCAGATATTTGGACCTCTTTGAGGCCTTCGTTGGAAACGGGATTTCTTCATATAATGTTTGATAGGAGAAGTCTCAGTAACTTCTTTGTGCTGTGTGTATTCAACTCATAGAGTTGAACTTTCCTTTAGAAGAGCAGATGTTAAACACCCTTTTTGTGGAATTTGCAGCTGGAGATTTCAAGCGCTTTGAGGCCTACGGTAGAAAAGGAAACATCTTCTTATAAAATCTAGACAGAATCATTCACAGAAACTTCTTTTTGATGTGTGTGTTCAGCTCACAGAGTTTAACCTTTCTTTTGATGGAGCAGTTTGGAAACACTCTGTTTGTAATGTCTGCAAGTGGATATTTGGACCTCTTTGAGGCCTTCGTTGGAAACAGGATTTCTTCAAGTAATGTTCGACAGAAGAATTCTCAGTAACTTATTTGTGGTGTGTGTATTCAACTCACAGAGTTGAACCTTCCTTTAGAAAGAGCAGATTTGAAACACCCTATTTGTGCAGTTTCCAGTTGGAGATTTCAATGGTTTGAGGCCAATCATAAAAACGGAAACATCTTCGTATAAAAACAAGACAGAATCATTCTCAGAAACTACTTTGTGATGTGTGCGTTCAACTCAAGGAGTTTAAGCTTTCTTTTCATAGAGTAGTTTGGAAACACTCTGTCTGTAACGTCTGCAAGCAGATATTTGGACCTCTTTGAGGCCTTCGTTGTAAACGGGATTTCTTCATAGAACGCTAGAAAGAAGAATACTGAGTACGTTCTTTGTGTTGCCTCTATTCAACTCACAGAGGTGAACTGTCCTTTAGACAGAGCAGATGTGAAACCCTCTTTTTGTGATATTTGCAGGTGGAGATTTCAAGCGCTTTTAGGCCAAATGTAGAAAAGGAAATATCTTCGTATAAAAACTAGACAGAATCATTCTCAGAAACTACTTTGTGATGTGTGCGTTCAATTCACAGAGTATAACCTTTCTTTTGATGGAGGAGTTTGGAGACACTGTCTTTGTAAAGTCTGCAAGCAGATATTTGGACCTCTTTGAGGCCTTCGTTGGAAACGGGATTTCTTCATATAATGTTTGATAGGAGAAGTCTCAGTAACTTCTTTGGGCTGTGTGTATTCAACTCATTGAGTTGAACTTTCCTTTAGAAGAGCAGATGTTAAACACCCTTTTTGTGGAATTTGCAGCTGGAGATTTCAAGCACTTTGAGGCCTACAGTAGAAAAGGAAACATCTTCTTATAAAATCTAGACAGAATCATTCACAGAAACTTCTTTTTGATGTGTGTGTTCATCTCACAGAGTTTAACCTTTCTTTTGACGAAGCAGTTTGCAAACACTGTGTTTGCCATGTCGGCAAGTGGATATTTGGACCTCTTTGAGGCCTTCGTTGGAAACGGGATTTCTTCATGTAATGTTCGAGAGAATAATTCTCAGTAACTTATTTGTGGTGTGTGTATTCAACTCAAAGAGTTGAACCTTCCTTTAGGCAGAGCAGATTTGAAACACCTTATTTGTGCAGTTTCCAGTTGGAGATTTCAATCGCTTTGAGGCCAATCGTGGAAACGGAAATATCTTCGTATAAAAACAAGACAGAATCATTCTCAGAAATTACTTTGTAATGTGTGCGTTCAACTCACGGAGTTTAAGCTTTCTTTTCATAGAGTAGTTTGGAAACACTCTGTCTGTAAAGTCTGCAAGAAGATATTTGGACCTCTTTGAGGCCTTCGTTGGAAACGGGATTTCTTCATAGAACGCTAGAAAGAAGAATACTGAGTAAGTTCTTTGTGTTGCCTCTATTCAACTCACAGAGGTGAACTGTCCTTTAGACAGAGCAGATGTGAAACCCTCTTTTTGTGATATTTGCAGGTGGAGATTTCAAGCGCTTTTAGGCCAAATGTAGAAAGGAAATATCTTCGCATAAAAACTAGACAGAATCATTCTCAGAAACTACTTTCTGATGTGTGCGTTCAATTCACAGAGTATAACCTTTCTTTTGATGGAGGAGTTTGGAGACACTGTCTTTGTAAAGTCTGCAAGTGGATATTTGGACCTCTTTGAGGCCTTCGTTGGAAACGGGATTTCCTCATATAATGTTACACAGAAGAACTCTCAGTAACTTATTTGTGGTGTGTGTATTCAACTCACAGAGATGAACCTTCCTTCAGAAAGAGCAGATTTGAAACACTCTTTTTGTGGAGTTTCCATGTGGAGATTTCAATCGCTTTGAGACCAAAGGTAGAAAAGGAAACATCTTCGTATAACAACTAGACAGAATCATTCACAGAAACTACTTTGTGATGTGTGTGTTCAACTGAAGGAGTTTAACCTTTCTTTTGATGGAGCAGTTTGGAAACACTCTGTCTGTAAAGTCTGCAAGCAGATATTTGGACCTCTTTGAGGCCTTCGTTGGAAACGGGATTTCTTCATATAATGTTTGATAGGAGAAGTCTCAGTAACTTCTTTGTGCTGTGTGTATTCAACTCATAGAGTTGAACTTTCCTTTAGAAGAGCAGATGTTAAACACCCTTTTTGTGGAATTTGCAGCTGGAGATTTCAAGCGCTTTGAGGCCTACGGTAGAAAAGGAAACATCTTCTTATAAAATCTAGACAGAATCATTCACAGAAACTTCTTTTTGATGTGTGTGTTCAGCTCACAGAGTTTAACCTTTCTTTTGATGGAGCAGTTTGGAAACACTCTGTTTGTAATGTCTGCAAGTGGATATTTGGACCTCTTTGAGGCCTTCATTGGAAACGGGATTTCTTCAAGTAATGTTCGACAGAAGAATTCTCAGCAACTTATTTGTGGTGTGTGTATTCAACTCACAGAGTTGAACCTTCCTTTAGACAGAGCAGATTTGAAACACCCTATTTGTGCAGTTTCCATTTGGAGATTTCAAACGCTTTGAGAAGAAATGTAGAAAAGGAAACATCTTCGTATAAAAACTAGACAGAATCATTCTCAGAAACTACTTTCTGATGTGTTCGTTCAACTCAAGGAGTTTAAGCTTTCTTTTCATAGAGTAGTTTAGAAACACTCTGTCTGTAAAGTCTGCAAGCAGATATTTGGACCTCTTTGAGGCCTTCGTTGGAAACGGGATTTCTTCATAGAACGCTAGAAAGAAGAATACTGAGTAAGTTCTTTGTGTTGCCTCTATTCAACTCACAGAGGTGAACTGTCCTTTAGACAGAGCAGATGTGAAACCCTCTTTTTGGGATATTTGCAGGTGGAGATTTCAAGCGCTTTTAGGTCAAATGTAGAAAAGGAAATATCTTCGTATAAAAACTAGACAGAATCATTCTCAGAAACTACTTTGTGATGTGTGCGTTCAATTCACAGAGTATAACCTTTCTTTTGATGGAGGAGTTTGGAGACACTGTCTTTGTAAAGTCTGCAAGTGGATATTTGGACCTCTTTGAGGCCTTCGTTGGAAACGGGATTTCCTCATATAATGTTACCCAGAAGAATTCTCAGTAACTTATTTGTGGTGTGTGTATTCAACTCACAGAGTTGAACCTTCCTTCAGAAAGAGCAGATTTGAAACACTCTTTTTGTGGAGTTTCCATGTGGAGATTTCAATCGCATTGAGACCAAAGGTAGAAAAGGAAACATCTTCGTATAAAAACTAGACAGAATCATTCACAGAAACTACTTTGTGATGTGTGTGTTCAACTCAAGGAGTTTAACCTTTCTTTTCATGGAGCAGTTTGGAAACACTCTGTCTGTAAAGTCTGCAAGCAGATATTTGGACCTCTTTGAGGCCTTCGTTGGAAACGGGATTTCTTCATATAATGTTTGATAGGAGAAGTCTCAGTAACTTCTTTGTGCTGTGTGTATTCAACTCATAGAGTTGAACTTTACTTTAGAAGAGCAGATGTTAAACACCCTTTTTGTGGAATTTGCAGCTGGAGATTTCAAGCGCTTTGAGGCTTACGGTAGAAAAGGAAACATCTTATAAAATCTAGACAGAATCATTCACAGAAACTTCTTTTTGATGTGTGTGTTCAGCTCACAGAGTTTAACCTTTCTTTTGATGGAGCAGTTTGGAAACACACTGTTTGTAATTTCTGCAAGTGGATATTTGGACCTCTTTGAGGCCTTCGTTGGAAACGGGATTTCTTCATGTAATGTTCGACAGAAGAATTCTCAGTAACTTATTTGTGGTGTGTGTATTCAACTCACAGAGTTGAACCTTCCCTTTAGACAGAGCAGATTTGAAACACCCTATTTGTGCAGTTTCCAGTTGGAGATTTCAATCGCTTTGAGACCAAATGTAGAAAAGGAAACATCTTCGTATAAAAACTAGACAGAATCATTCTCAGAAACTACTTTGTGATGTGTGCGTTCAACTCAAGGAGTTTAAGCTTTCTTTTCATAGAGTAGTTTGGAAACACTCTGTCTGTAAAGTCTGCAAGCAGATATTTGGACCTCTTTGGGGCCTTCGTTGGAAACGGGATTTCTTCATAGAATGCTAGAAAGAAGAATACTGAGTAAGTTCTTTGTGTTGCCTCTATTCAACTCACAGAGGTGAACTGTCCTTTTGACAGAGCAGATCTGAAACCCTCTTTTTGTGATATTTGCAGGTGGAGATTTCAAGCGCTTTTAGGCCAAATGTAGAAAAGGAAATATCTTCGTATAAAAACTAGACAGAATCATTCTCAGAAACTACTTTGTGATGTGTGCGTTCAATTCACAGAGTATAACCTTTCTTTTGATGGAGGAGTTTGGAGACACTGTCTTTGTAAAGTCTGCAAGTGGATATTTGGACCTCTTTGAGGCCTTCGTTGGAAACGGGATTTCCTCATATAATGTTACACAGAAGAATTCTCAGTAACTTATTTGTGGTGTGTGTATTCAACTCACAGAGATGAACCTTCCTTCAGAAAGAGCAGATTTGAAACACTCTTTTTGTGGAGTTTCCATGTGGAGATTTCAATCGCTTTGAGACCAAAGGTAGAAAAGGAAACATCTTCGTATAACAACTAGACAGAATCATTCACAGAAACTACTTTGTGATGTGTGTGTTCAACTCAAGGAGTTTAACCTTTCTTTTGATGGAGCAGTTTGGAAACACTCTGTCTGTAAAGTCTGCAAGCAGATATTTGGACCTCTTTGAGGCCTTCGTTGGAAACGGGATTTCTTCATATAATGTTTGATAGGAGAAGTCTCAGTAACTTCTTTGTGCTGTGTGTATTCAACTCATAGTAGTTGAACTTTCCTTTAGAAGAGCAGATGTTAAACACCCTTTTTGGGGAATTTGCAGCTGGAGGTTTCAAGCGCTTTGAGGCCTACTGTAGAAAAGGAAACATCTTCTTATAAAATCTAGACAGAATCATTCACAGAAACTTCTTTTTGATGTGTGTGTTCAGCTCACAGAGTTTAACCTTTCTTTTGATGGAGCAGTTTGGAAACACTCTGTTTGTAATGTCTGCAAGTGGATATTTGGACCTCTTTGAGGCCTTCTTTGGAAACGGGATTTCTTCAAGTAATGTTCGACAGAAGAATTCTCAGTAACTTATTTGTGGTGTGTGTATTCAACTCAAAGAGTTGAACCTTCCTTTAGACAGAGCAGATTTGAAACACCCTATTTGTGCAGTTTCCAGTTGGAGATTTCAATCGCTTTGAGACCAAATGTAGAAAAGGAAACATCTTCGTATAAAAACTAGACAGAATCATTCTCAGAAACTACTTTGTGATGTGTGCGTTCAACTCAAGAAGTTTAAGCTTTCTTTTCATAGAGTAGTTTGGAAACACTCTGTCTGTAAAGTCTGCAAGCAGATATTTGGACCTCTTTGGGGCCTTCGTTGGAAACGTGATTTCTTCATAGAACGCTAGAAAGAAGAATACTGAGTAAGTTCTTTGTGTTGCCTCTATTCAACTCACAGAGGTGAACTGTCCTTTAGACAGAGCAGATGTGAAACCCTCTTTTTGTGATATTTGCAGGTGGAGATTTCAAGCGCTTTTAGGCCAAATGTAGAAAAGGAAATATCTTCGTATAAAAACTAGACAGAATCATTCTCAGAAACTACTTTGTGATGTGTGCGTTCAATTCACAGAGTATAACCTTTCTTTTGATGGAGGAGTTTGGAGACACTGTCTTTGTAAAGTCTGCAAGTGGATATTTGGACCTCTTTGAGGCCTTCGTTGGAAACGGGATTTCCTCATATAATGTTACACAGAAGAATTCTCAGTAACTTATTTGTGGTGTGTGTATTCAACTCACAGAGTTGAACCTTCCTTCAGAAAGAGCAGATTTGAAACACTCTTTTTGTGGAGTTTCCATGTGGAGATTTCAATCGCTTTGAGACCAAATGTAGAAAAGGAAACATCTTCGTATAAAAACTAGACAGAATCATTCACAGAAACTACTTTGTGATGTGTGTGTTCAACTCAAGGAGTTTAACCTTTCTTTTGATGGAGCAGTGTGGAAAAACTCTGACTGTAAAGTCTGCAAGCAGATATTTGGACCTCTTTGAGGCCTTCGTTGGAAACGGGATTTCTTCATATAATGTTTGATAGGAGAAGTCTCAGTAACTTCTTTGTGCTGTGTGTATTCAACTCATAGTGTTGAACATTCCTTTAGAAGAGCAGATGTTAAACACCCTTTTTGTGGAATTTGCAGCTGGAGATTTCAAGCGCTTTGAGGCCTACGGTAGAAAAGGAAACATCTTCTTATAAAATCTAGACAGAATCATTCACAGAAACTTCTTTTTGATGTGTGTGTTCAGCTCACAGAGTTTAACCTTTCTTTTGATGGAGCAGTTTGGAAACACTCTGTTTGTAACGTCTGCAAGTGGATATTTGGACCTCTTTGAGGCCTTCGTTGGAAACGGGATTTCTTCAAGTAATGTTCGACAGAAGAATTCTCAGTAACTTATTTGTGGTGTGTGTATTCAACTCACAGAGTTGAACCTTCCTTTAGACAGAGCAGATTTGAAACACCCTATTTGTGCAGTTTCCAGCTGGAGATTTCAATCGCTTTGAGACCAAATGTAGAAAAGGAAACACCTTCGTATAAAAACTAGACAGAATCATTCTCAGAAACTACTTTGTGATGTGTGCGTTCAACTCAAGGAGTTTACGCTTTCTTTTCATAGAGTAGTTTGGAAACACTCTGTCTGTAAAGTCTGCAAGCAGATCTTTGACCTCTTTGAGGCCTTCGTTGGAAACGGGATTTCTTCATAGAACGCTAGAAAGAAGAATACTGAGTAAGTTCTTTGTGTTGCCTCTATTCAACTCACAGAGGTGAACTGTCCTTTAGACAGAGCAGATGTGAAACCCTCTTTTTGTGATATTTGCAGGTGGAGATTTCAAGCGCTTTGAGGCCAAATGTAGAAAAGGAAATATCTTCGTATAAAAACTAGACAGAATCATTCTCAGAAACTACTTTGTGATGTGTGCGTTCAATTCACAGAGTATAACCTTTCTTTTGATGGAGGAGTTTGGAGACACTGTCTTTGTAAAGTCTGCAAGTGGATATTTGGACCTCTTTGAGGCCTTCGTTGGAAACGGGATTTCCTCATATAATGTTACCCAGAAGAATTCTCAGTAACTTATTTGTGGTGTGTGTATTCAACTCACAGAGTTGAACCTTCCTTCAGAAAGAGCAGATTTGAAACACTCTTTTTGTGGAGTTTCCATGTGGAGATTTCAATCGCTTTGAGACCAAAGGTAGAAAAGGAAACATCTTCGTATAAAAACTAGACAGAATCATTCACAGAAACTACTTTGTGATGTGTGTGTTCAACTCAAGGAGTTTAACCTTTCTTTTGATGGAGCAGTTTGGAAACACTCTGTCTGTAAAGTCTGCAAGTAGATATTTGGACCTCTTTGAGGCCTTCGTTGGAAACGGGATTTCTTCATATAATGTTTGATAGGAGAAGTCTCAGTAACTTCTTTGTGCTGTGTGTATTCAACTCACAGAGTTGAACTTTCCTTTAGAAGAGCAGATGTTAAACACCCTTTTTGTGTAATTTGCAGCTGGAGATTTCAAGTGCTTTGAGGCCTACGGTAGAAAAGGAAACATCTTCTTATAAAATCTAGACAGAATCATTCACAGAAACTTCTTTTTGATGTGTGTGTTCAGCTCACAGAGTTTAACCTTTCTTTTGATGGAGCAGTTGGGAAACACACTGTTTGTAATGTCTGCAAGTGGATATTTGGACCTCTTTGAGGCCTTCGTTGGAAACGGGATTTCTTCCTGTAATGTTCGACAGAAGAATTCTCAGTAACTTATTTGTGGTGTGTGTATTCAACTCACAGAGTTGAACCTTCCTTTAGACAGAGCAGATTTGAAACACCCTATTTGTGCAGTTTCCAGTTGGAGATTTCAATCGCTTTGAGACCAAATGTAGAAAAGGAAACATCTTCGTACAAAAACTAGACAGCATCATTCTCAGAAACTACTTTGTGATGTGTGCGTTCAACTCAAGGAGTTTAAGCTTTCTTTTCATAGAGTAGTTTGGAAACACTCTGTCTGTAAAGTCTGCAAGCAGATATTTGGACTTCATTGGGGTCTTCGTTGGAAACGGGATTTCTTCATAGAACGCTAGAAAGAAGAATACTGAGTAAGTTCTTTGTGTTGCCTCTATTCAACTCACAGAGGTGAACTGTCCTTTAGACAGAGCAGATGTGAAACCCTCTTTTTGTGATATTTGCAGGTGGAGATTTCAAGCGCTTTTAGGCCAAATGTAGAAAAGGAAATATCTTCGTATAAAAACTAGACAGAATCATTCTCAGAAACTACTTTGTGATGTGTGCGTTCAATTCACAGAGTATAACCTTTCTTTTGATGGAGGAGTTTGGAGACACTGTCTTTGTAAAGTCTGCAAGCAGATATTTGGACCTCTTTGAGGCCTTCGTTGGAAACGGGATTTCTTCATATAATGTTTGATAGGAGAAGTCTCAGTAACTTCTTTCTGCTGTGTGTATTCAACTCATTGAGTTGAACTTTCCTTTAGAAGAGCAGATGTTAAACACCCTTTTTGTGGAATTTGCAGCTGGAGATTTCAAGCGCTTTGAGGCCTACGGAAGAAAAGGAAACATCTTCTTATAAAATCTAGACAGAATCATTCACAGAAACTTCTTTTTGATGTGTGTGTTCAGCTCACAGAGTTTAACCTTTCTTTTGATGGAGCAGTTTGGAAACACTCTGTTTGTAATGTCTGCAAGTGGATATTTGGACCTCTTTGAGGCCTTCGTTGGAAACGGGATTTCTTCAAGTAATGTTCGACAGAAGAATTCTCAGTAACTTATTTGTGGTGTGTGTATTCAACTCACAGAGTTGAACCTTCCTTCAGAAAGAGCAGATTTGAAACACTCTTTTTGTGGAGTTTCCATGTGGAGATTTCAATCGCATTGAGACCAAAGGTAGAAAAGGAAACATCTTCGTATAAAAACTAGACAGAATCATTCACAGAAACTACTTTGTGATGTGTGTGTTCAACTCAAGGAGTTTAACCTTTCTTTTGATGGAGCAGTTTGGAAAAACTCTGTCTGTAAAGTCTGCAAGCAGATATTTGGACCTCTTTGAGGCCTTCGTTGGAAACGGGATTTCTTCATAGAATGCTAGAAAGAAGAATACTGAGTAAGTTCTTTGTGTTGCCTCTATTCAACTCACAGAGGTGAACTGTCCTTTAGACAGAGCAGATGTGAAACCCTCTTTTTGTGATATTTGCAGGTGGAGATTTCAAGCGCTTTTAGGCCAAATGTAGAAAAGGAAATACCTTCGTATAAAAACTAGACAGAATCATTCTCAGAAACTACTTTGTGATGTGTGCGTTCAATTCACAGAGTATAACCTTTCTTTTGATGGAGGAGTTTCGAGACACTGTCTTTGTAAAGTCTGCAAGTGGATATTTGGTCCTCTTTGAGGCCTTCGTTGGAAACGGGATTTCCTCATATAATGTTACACAGAAGAATTCTCAGTAACTTATTTGTGGTGTGTGTATTCAACTCACAGATTTGAACCTTCCTTCAGAAAGAGCAGATTTGAAACACTCTTTTTGTGGAGTTTCCATGTGGAGATTTCAATCGCTTTGAGACCAAAGGTAGAAAAGGAAACATCTTCGTATAAAAACTAGACAGAATCATTCACAGAAACTACTTTGTGATGTGTGTGTTCAACTCAAGGAGTTTAACCTTTCTTTTGATGGAGGAGTTTGGAGACACTGTCTTTGTAAAGTCTGCAAGCAGATATTTGGACCTCTTTGAGGCCTTCGTTGGAAACGGGATTTCTTCATATAATGTTTGATAGGAGAAGTCTCAGTAACTTCTTTGTGCTGTGTGTATTCAACTCACAGAGTTGAACTTTCCTTTAGAAGAGCAGATGTTAAACACCCTTTTTGTGGAATTTGCAGCTGGAGATTTCAAGCGCTTTGAGGCCTACGGTAGAAAAGGAAACATCTTCTTATAAAATCTAGACAGAATCATTCACAGAAACTTCTTTTTGATGTGTGTGTTCAGCTCACAGAGTTTAACCTTTCTTTTGATGGAGCAGTTTGGAAACACTCTGTTTGTAATGTCTGCAAGTGGATATTTGGACCTCTTTGAGGCCTTCTTTGGAAACGGGATTTCTTCAAGTAATGTTCGACAGAAGAATTCTCAGTAACTTATTTGTGGTGTGTGTATTCAACTCACAGAGTTGAACCTTCCTTTAGACAGAGCAGATTTGAAACACCCTATTTGTGCAGTTTCCAGTTGGAGATTTCAATCGCTTTGAGACCAAATGTAGAAAAGGAAACATCTTCGTATAAAAACTAGACAGAATCATTCTCAGAAACTACTTTGTGATGTGTGCGTTCAACTCAAGGAGTTTAAGCTTTCTTTTCATAGAGTAGTTTGGAAACACTCTGTCTGTAAAGTCTGCAAGCAGATATTTGGACCTCTTTGGGGCCTTCGTTGGAAACGGGATTTCTTCATAGAACGCTAGAAAGAAGAATACTGAGTAAGTTCTTTGTGTTGCCTCTATTCAACTCACAGAGGTGAACTGTCCTTTAGACAGAGCAGATGTGAAACCCTCTTTTTGTGATATTTGCAGGTGGAGATTTCAAGCGCTTTTAGGCCAAATGTAGAAAAGGAAATATCTTCGTATAAAAACTAGACAGAATCATTCTCAGAAACTACTTTGTGATGTGTGCGTTCAATTCACAGAGTATAACCTTTCTTTTGATGGAGGAGTTTGGAGACACTGTCTTTGTAAAGTCTGCAAGTGGATATTTGGACCTCTTTGAGGCCTTCGTTGGAAACGGGATTTCCTCATATAATGTTACACAGAAGAATTCTCAGTAACTTATTTGTGGTGTGTGTATTCAACTCACAGAGTTGAACCTTCCTTCAGAAAGAGCAGATTTGAAACACTCTTTTTGTGGAGTTTCCATGTGGAGATTTCAATCGCATTGAGACCAAAGGTAGAAAAGGAAACATCTTCGTATAAAAACTAGACAGAATCATTCACAGAAACTACTTTGTGATGTGTGTGTTCAACTCAAGGAGTTTAACCTTTCTTTTGATGGAGCAGTTTGGAAACACTCTGTCTGTAAAGTCTGCAAGCAGATATTTGGACCTCTTTGAGGCCTTCGTTGGAAATGGGATTTCTTCATATAATGTTTGATAGGAGAAGTCTCAGTAACTTCTTTGTGCTGTGTGTATTCAACTCATAGAGTTGAACTTTCCTTTAGAAGAGCAGATGTTAAACACCCTTTTTGTGGAATTTGCAGCTGGAGATTTCAAGCGCTTTGAGGCCTACGGTAGAAAAGGAAACATCTTCTTATAAAATCTAGACAGAATCATTCACAGAAACTTCTTTTTGATGTGTGTGTTCAGCTCACAGAGTTTAACCTTTCTTTTGATGGAGCAGTTGGGAAACACACTGTTTGTAATGTCCGCAAGTGGATATTTGGACCTCTTTGAGGCCTTCGTTGGAAACGGGATTTCCTCATATAATGTTACACAGAAGAATTCTCAGTAACTTATTTGTGGTGTGTGTATTCAACTCACAGAGTTGAACCTTCCTTCAGAAAGAGCAGATTTGAAACACTCTTTTTGAGGAGTTTCCATGTGGAGATTTCAATCGCTTTGAGACCAAAGGTAGAAAAGGAAACATCTTCTTATAAAAACTAGACAGAATCATTCACAGAAACTACTTTGTGATGTGTGTGTTCAACTCAAGGAGTTTAACCTTTCTTTTTGATGGAGCAGTTTGGAAACACTCTGTCTGTAAAGTCTGCAAGCAGATATTTGGACCTCTTTGAGGCCTTCGTTGGAAACGGGATTTCTTCATATAATGTTTGATAGGAGAAGTCTCAGCAACTTCTTTGTGCTGTGTGTATTCAACTCATAGAGTTGAACTTTCCTTTAGAAGAGCAGATGTTAAACACCCTTTTTGTGGAATTTGCAGCTGGAGATTTCAAGCGCTTTGAGGCCTACGGTAGAAAAGGAAACATCTTCTTATAAAATCTAGACAGAATCATTCACAGAAACTTCTTTTCGATGTGTGTGTTCAGCTCACAGAGTTTAACCTTTCTTTTGATGGAGCAGTTTGGAAACACTCTGTTTGTAATGTCTGCAAGTGGATATTTGGACCTCTTTGAGGCCTTCGTTGGAAACGGGATTTCTTCAAGTAATGTTTGACAGAAGAATTCTCAGTAACTTATTTGTGGTGTGTGTATTCAACTCACAGAGTTGAACCTTCCTTTAGACAGAGCAGATTTGAAACACCCTATTTGTGCAGTTTCCAGTTGGAGATTTCAATCGCTTTGAGACCAAATGTAGAAAAGGAAACATCTTCGTATAAAAACTAGACAGAATCATTCTCAGCAAACTACTTTGTGATGTGTGCGTTCAACTCAAGGAGTTTAAGCTTTCTTTTCATAGAGTAGTTTGGAAACACTCTGTCTGTAAAGTCTGCAAGCAGATATTTGGACCTCTTTGAGGCCTTCGTTGGAAACGGGATTTCTTCATATAACGCTAGAAAGAAGAATACTGAGTAAGTTCTTTGTGTTGCCTCTATTCAACTCACAGAGGTGAACTGTCCTTTAGACAGAGCAGATGTGAAACCCTCTTTTTGTGATATTTGCAGGTGGAGATTTCAAGCGCTTTTAGGCCAAATGTAGAAAAGGAAATATCTTCGTATAAAAACTAGACAGAATCATTCTCAGAAACTACTTTGTGATGTGTGCGTTCAATTCACAGAGTATAACCTTTCTTTTGATGGAGGAGTTTGGAGACACTGTCTTTGTAAAGTCTGCAAGTGGATATTTGGACCTCTTTGAGGCCTTCGTTGGAAACGGGATTTCCTCATATAATGTTACACAGAAGAATTCTCAGTAACTTATTTGTGGTGTGTGTATTCAACTCACAGAGTTGAACCTTCCTTCAGAAAGAGCAGATTTGAACCACTCTTTTTGTGGAGTTTCCATGTGGAGATTTCAATCGCTTTGAGACCAAAGGTAGAAAAGGAAACATCTTCGTATAAAAACTAGACAGAATCATTCACAGAAACTACTTTGTGATGTGTGTGTTCAACTCAAGGAGTTTAACCTTTCTTTTGATGGAGCAGTTTGGAAACACTCTGTCTGTAAAGTCTGCAAGCAGATATTTGGACCTCTTTTAGGCCTTCGTTGGAAATGGGATTTCTTCATATAATGTTTGATAGGAGAAGTCTCAGTAACTTCTTTGTGCTGTGTGTATTCAACTCATAGAGTTGAACTTTCCTTTAGAAGAGCAGATGTTAAACACCCTTTTTGTGGAATTTGCAGCTGGAGATTTCAAGCGCTTTGAGGCCTACGGTAGAAAAGGAAACATCTTCTTATAAAATCTAGACAGAATCATTCACAGAAACTTCTTTTTGATGTGTGTGTTCAGCTCACAGAGTTTAACCTTTCTTTTGATGGAGCAGTTTGGAAACACTCTCTTTGTAATGTCTGCAAGTGGATATTTGGACGTCTTTGAGGCCTTCGTTGGAAACGGGATTTCTTCATGTAATGTTCGACAGAAGAATTCTCAGTAACTTATTTGTGGTGTGTGTATTCAACTCACAGAGTTGAACCTTCCTTTAGACAGAGCAGATTTGAAACACCCTATTTGTGCAGTTTCCAGTTGGAGATTTCAATCACTTTGAGGCCAATCATAGAAACAGAAATAACTTTGTATAAAAACAAGACAGAATCATTCTCAGAAACTACTTTGTGATGTGTGCGTTCAACTCAAGGAGTTTAAGCTTTCTTTTCATAGAGTAGTTTGGAAACACTCTGTCTGTAAAGTCTGCAAGCAGATATTTGGACCTCTTTGAGGCCTTCGTTGGAAACGGGATTTCTTCATATAACGCTAGAAAGAAGAATACTGAGTAAGTTCTTTGTGTTGCCTCTATTCAACTCACAGAGGTGAACTGTCCTTTAGACAGAGCAGATGTGAAACCCTCTTTTTGTGATATTTGCAGGTGGAGATTTCAAGCGCTTTTAGGCCAAATGTAGAAAAGGAAATATCTTTGTATAAAAACTAGACAGAATCATTCTCAGAAACTACTTTGTGATGTGTGCATTCAATTCACAGAGTATAACCTTTCTTTTGATGGAGGAGTTTGGAGACACTGTCTTTGTAAAGTCTGCAAGTGGATATTTGGACCTCTTTGAGGCCTTCGTTGGAAACGGGATTTCCTCATATAATGTTACACAGAAGAATTCTCAGTAACTTATTTGTGGTGTGTGTATTCAACTCACAGAGATGAACCTTCCTTCAGAAAGAGCAGATTTGAAACACTCTTTTTGTGGAGTTTCCATGTGGAGATTTCAATCGCTTTGAGACCAAAGGTAGAAAAGGAAACATCTTCGTATAACAACTAGACAGAATCATTCACAGAAACTACTTTGTGATGTGTGTGTTCAACTCAAGGAGTTTAACCTTTCTTTTGATGGAGCAGTTTGGAAACACTCTGTCTGTAAAGTCTGCAAGCAGACATTTGGACCTCTTTGAGGCCTTCGTTGGAAACGGGATTTCTTCATATAATGTTTGATAGGAGAAGTCTCAGTAACTTCTTTGTGCTGTGTGTATTCAACTCATAGAGTTGAACTTTCCTTTAGAAGAGCAGATGTTAAACACCCTTTTTGTGGAATTTGCAGCTGGAGATTTCAAGCGCTTTGAGGCCTACGGTAGAAAAGGAAACATCTTCTTATAAAATCTAGACAGAATCATTCACAGAAACTTCTTTTTGATGTGTGTGTTCAGCTCACAGAGTTTAACCTTTCTTTTGATGGAGCAGTTGGGAAACACACTGTTTGTAATGTCCGCAAGTGGATATTTGGACCTCTTTGAGGCCTTCGTTGGAAACGGGATTTCTTCAAGTAATGTTCGACAGAAGAATTCTCAGTAACTTATTTGTGGTGTGTGTATTCAACTCACAGAGTTGAACCTTCCTTTAGACAGAGCAGATTTGAAACACCCTATTTGTGCAGTTTCCAGTTGGAGATTTCAATCGCTTTGAGACCAAATGTAGAAAAGGAAACATCTTCGTATAAAAACTAGACAGAATCATTCTCAGAAACTACTTTGTGATGTGTGCGTTCAACTCAAAGAGTTTAAGCTTTCTTTTCATAGAGTAGTTTGGAAACACTCTGTCTGTAAAGTCTGCAAGCAGATATTTGGACCTCTTTGAGGCCTTCGTTGGAAACGGGATTTCTTCATGTAACGCTAGAAAGAAGAATACTCAGTAACTTCTTTGTGCTGCCTCTATTCAACTCACAGAGGTGAACTGTCCTTTAGACAGAGCAGATGTGAAATCCTGTTTTTGTGATATTTGCAGGTGGAGATTTCAAGCGCTTTTAGGCCAAATGTAGAAAAGGAAATATCTTCGTATAAAAACTAGACAGAATCATTCTCAGAAACCACTTTGTGATGTGTGCGTTCAATTCACAGAGTATAACCTTTCTTTTGATGGAGGAGTTTGGAGACACTGTCTTTGTAAAGTCTGCAAGTGGATATTTGGACCTCTTTGAGGCCTTCGTTGGAAACGGGATTTCCTCATATAATGTTACACAGAAGAATTCTCAGTAACTTATTTGTGGTGTGTGTATTCAACTCACAGAGTTGAACCTTCCTTCAGAAAGAGCAGATTTGAAACACTCTTTATGAGGAGTTTCCATGTGGAGATTTCAATCGCTTTGAGACCAAAGGTAGAAAAGGAAACATCTTCTTATAAAAACTAGACAGAATCATTCACAGAAACTACTTTGTGATGTGTGTGTTCAACTCAAGCAGTTTAACCTTTCTTTTGATGGAGCAGTTTGGAAAAACTCTGTCTGTAAAGTCTGCAAGCAGATATTTGGACCTCTTTGGGGCCTTCGTTGGAAACGGGATTTCTTCATAGAATGCTAGAAAGAAGAATACTGAGTAAGTTCTTTGTGTTGCCTCTATTCAACTCACAGAGGTGAACTGTCCTTTAGACAGAGCAGATGTGAAACCCTCTTTTTGTGATATTTTGCAGGTGGAGATTTCAAGCGTTTTCAGGCCAAATGTAGAAAAGGGAATATCTTCGTATAAAAACTAGACAGAATCATTCTCAGAAACTACTTTGTGATGTGTGCGTTCAATTCACAGAGTATAACCTTTCTTTTGATGGAGGAGTTTGGAGACACTGTCTTTGTAAGTCTGCAAGTGGATAATTGGACCTCTTTGAGGCCTTCGTTGGAAACGGGATTTCCTCATATAATGTTACACAGAAGAATTCTCAGTAACTTATTTGTGGTGTGTGTATTCAACTCACAGAGTTGAACCTTCCTTCAGAAAGAGCAGATTTGAAACACTCTTTTTGTGGAGTTTCCATGTGGAGATTTCAATCGCATTGAGACCAAAGGTAGAAAAGGAAACATCTTCGTATAAAAACTAGACAGAATCATTCACAGAAACTACTTTGTGATGTGTGTGTTCAACTCAAGGAGTTTAACCTTTCTTTTGATTGAGCAGTTTGGAAACACTCTGTCTGTAATGTCTGCAAGCAGATATTTGGACCTCTTTGAGGCCTTCATTGGAAACGGGATTTCTTCATATAATGTTTGATAGGAGAAGTCTCAGTAACTTCTTTGTGCTGTGTGTATTCAACTCATAGAGTTGAACTTTCCTTTAGAAGAGCAGATGTTAAACACCCTTTTTGTGGAATTTGCAGCTGGAGATTTCAAGTGCTTTGAGGCCTACGGTAGAAAAGGAAATATCTTCTTATAAAATCTAGTCAGAATCATTCACAGAAACTTCTTTTTGATGTGTGTGTTCAGCTCACAGAGTTTAACCTTTCTTTTGATGGAGCAGGTTGGAAACAATCTGTTTGTAATGTCTGCAAGTGGATATTTGGACCTCTTTGAGGCCTTCGTTGGAAACGGGATTTCTTCAAGTAATGTTCGACAGAAGAATTCTCAGTAACTTATTTGTGGTGTGTGTATTCAACTCACAGAGTTGAACCTTCCTTTAGACAGAGCAGATTTGAAACAGCCTATTTGTGCAGTTTCCAGTTGGAGATTTCAATCGCTTTGAGACCAAACGTAGAAAAGGAAACATCTTCGTATAAAAACTAGACAGAATCATTCTCAGAAACTACTTTGTGATGTGTGCGTTCAACTCAAGGAGTTTAAGCTTTCTTTTCATAGAGTAGTTTGGAAACACTCTGTCTGTAAAGTCTGCAAGCAGATATTTGGACCTCTTTGGGGCCTTCGTTGGAAACGGGATTTCTTCATAGAACGCTAGAAAGAAGAATACTGAGTAAGTTCTTTGTGTTGCCTCTATTCAACTCACAGAGGTGAACTGTCCTTTAGACAGAGCAGATGTGAAACCCTCTTTTTGTGATATTTGCAGCTGGAGATTTCAAGCGCTTTTAGGCCAAATGTAGAAAAGGAAATATCTTCGTATAAAAACTAGACAGAATCATTCTCAGAAACTACTTTGTGATGTGTGCGTTCAATTCACAGAGTATAACCTTTCTTTTGATGGAGGAGTTTGGAGACACTGTCTTTGTAAAGTCTGCAAGTGGATATTTGGACCTCTTTGAGGCCTTCGTTGGAAACGGGATTTCCTCATATAATGTTACACAGAAGAATTCTCAGTAACTTATTTGTGGTGTGTGTATTCAACTCACAGAGTTGAACCTTCCTTCAGAAAGAGCAGATTTGAAACACTCTTTTTGTGGAGTTTCCATGTGGAGATTTCAATCGCTTTGAGACCAAACGTAGAAAAGGAAACATCTTCGTATAGAAACTAGACAGAATCATTCACAGAAACTACTTTGTGATGTGTGTGTTCAACTCAAGGAGTTTAACCTTTCTTTTGATGGAGCAGTTTGGAAAAACTCTGTCTTTAAAGTCTGCAAGCAGATATTTGGACCTCTTTGAGGCCTTCGTTGGAAACGGGATTTCTTCATATAATGTTTGATAGGAGAAGTCTCAGTAACTTCTTTGTGCTGTGTGTATTCAACTCATAGAGTTGAACTTTCCTTTAGAAGAGCAGATGTTAAACACCCTTTTTGTGGAATTTGCAGCTGGAGATTTCAAGCGCTTTGAGGCTTACGGTAGAAAAGGAAACATCTTCTTATAAAATCTAGACAGAATCATTCACAGAAACTTCTTTTTGATGTGTGTGTTCAGCTCACAGAGTTTAACCTTTCTTTTCATGGAGCAGTTTGGAAACACTCTGTTTGTAATGTCTGCAAGTGGATATTTGGACCTCTTTGAGGCCTTCGTTGGAAACGGAATTTCTTCAAGTAATGTTCGACAGAAGAATTCTCAGTAACTTATTTGTGGTGTGTGTATTCAACTCACAGAGTTGAACCTTCCTTTAGACAGAGCAGATTTGAAACACCCTATTTGTGCAGTTTCCAGTTGGAGATTTCAATCGCTTTGAGACCAAATGTAGAAAAGGAAACATCTTCGTATAAAAACTAGACAGAATCATTCTCAGAAACTACTTTGTGATGTGTGCGTTCAACTCATGGAGTTTAAGCTTTCTTTTCATAGAGTAGTTTGGAAACACTCTGTCTGTAAAGTCTGCAAGCAGATATTTGGACCTCTTTGAGGCCTTCGTTGGAAATGGGATTTCTTCATATAACGCTAGAAAGAAGAATACTGAGTAAGTTCTTGGTGTTGCCTGTATTCAACTCACAGAGGTGAACTGTCCTTTAGACAGAGCAGATGTGAAACCCTCTTTTTGTGATATTTGCAGGTGGAGATTTCAAGCGCTTTTGGGCCAAATGTAGAAAAGGAAATATCTTCGTATAAAAACTAGACAGAATCATTCTCAGAAACTACTTTCTGATGTGTGCGTTCAATTCACAGAGTATAACCTTTCTTTTGATGGAGGAGTTTGGAGACACTGTCTTTGTAAAGTCTGCAAGCAGATATTTGGACCTCTTTGAGGCCTTCGTTGGAAACGGGATTTCTTCATATAATGTTTGATAGGAGAATTCTCAGTAACTTATTTGTGGTGTCTGTATTCAACTCACAGAGTTGAACCTTCCTTCAGAGAGAGCAGATTTGAAACACTCTTTTGGTGGAGTTTCCATGTGGAGAGTTCAATCGCTTTGAGACCAAAGGTAGAAAAGGAAACATCTTCGTATAAAAACTAGACAGAATCATTCACAGAAACTACTTTGTGATGTGTGTGTTCAACTCAAGGAGTTTAACCTTTCTTTTGATGGAGCAGTTTGGAAAAACTCTGTCTGTAAAGTCTGCAGGCAGATATTTGGACCTCTTTGGGGCCTTCGTTGGAAATGGGATTTCTTCATAGAATGCTAGAAAGAAGAATACTGAGTAAGTTCTTTGTGTTGCCTCTATTCAACTCACAGAGGTGAACTGTCCTTTAGACAGAGCAGATGTGAAACCCTCTTTTTGTGATATTTGCAGGTGGAGATTTCAAGCGCTTTTAGGCCAAATGTAGAAAAGGAAATATCTTCGTATAAAAACTAGACAGAATCATTCTCAGAAACTACTTTGTGATGTGTGCGTTCAATTCACAGAGTATAACCTTTCTTTTGATGGAGGAGTTTGGAGACACTGTCTTTGTAAAGTCTGCAAGTGGATATTTGGACCTCTTTGAGGCCTTCGTTGGAAACGGGATTTCCTCATATAATGTTACACAGAAGAATTCTCAGTAACTTATTTGTGGTGTGTGTATTCAACTCACAGAGATGAACCTTCCTTCAGAAAGAGCAGATTTGAAACACTCTTTTTGTGGAGTTTCCATGTGGAGATTTCAATCGCATTGAGACCAAAGGTAGAAAAGGAAACATCTTCGTATAAAAACTAGACAGAATCATTCACAGAAACTACTTTGTGATGTGTGTGTTCAACTCAAGGAGTTTAACCTTTCTTTTGATGGAGCAGTTTGGAAATACTCTGTCTGTAAAGTCTGCAAGCAGATATTTGGACCTCTTTGAGGCCTTCGTTGGAAACGGGATTTCTTCATATAATGTTTGATAGGAGAAGTCTCAGTAACTTCTTTGTGCTGTGTGTATTCAACTCATAGAGTTGAACTTTCCTTTAGAAGAGCAGATGTTAAGCACCCTTTTTGTGGAATTTGCAGCTGGAGATTTCAAACGCTTTGAGGCCTACAGTAGAAAAGGAAACATCTTCTTATAAAATCTAGATAGAATCATTCACAGAAACTTCTTTTTGATGTGTGTGTTCAGCTCACAGAGTTTAACCTTTCTTTTGATGGAGCAGTTTGGAAACACTCTGTTTGTAATGTCTGCAAGTGGATATTTGGACCTCTTTGAGGCCTTCGTTGGAAACGGGATTTCTTCCTGTAATGTTCGACAGAAGAATTCTCAGTAACTTATTTGTGGTGTGTGTATTCAACTCACAGAGTTGAACCTTCCTTTAGGCAGAGCAGATTTGAAACACCCTATTTGTGCAGTTTCCAGTTGGAGATTTCAATCGCTTTGAGACCAAATGTAGAAAAGGAAACATCTTCGTATAAAAACTAGACAAAATCATTCTCAGAAACTACTTTGTGATGTGTGCGTTCAACTCAAGGAGTTTAAGCTTTCTTTTCATAGAGTAGTTTGGAAACACTCTGTCTGTAAAGTCTGCAAGCAGATATTTGGACCTCTTTGGGGCCTTCGTTGGAAACGGGATTTCTTCATAGAACGCTAGAAAGAAGAATACTGAGTAAGTTCTTTGTGTTGCCTCTATTCAACTCACAGAGGTGAACTGTCCTTTAGACAGAGCAGATGTGAAACCCTCTTTTTGTGATATTTGCAGGTGGAGATTTCAAGCGCTTTTAGGCCAAATGTAGAAAAGGAAATATCTTCTGTATAAAAACTAGACAGAATCATTCTCAGAAACTACTTTGTGATGTGTGCGTTCAATTCACAGAGTATAACCTTTCTTTTGATGGAGGAGTTTGGAGACACTGTCTTTGTAAAGTCTGCAAGTGGATATTTGGACCTCTTTGAGGCCTTCGTTGGAAACGGGATTTCCTCATATAATGTTACCCAGAAGAATTCTCAGTAACTTATTTGTGGTGTGTGTATTCAACTCACAGAGATGAACCTTCCTTCAGAAAGAGCAGATTTGAAACACTCTTTTTGTGGAGTTTCCATGTGGAGATTTCAATCGCTTTGAGACCAAAGGTAGAAAAGGAAACATCTTCGTATAAAAACTAGACAGAATCATTCACAGAAACTACTTTGTGATGTGTGTGTTCAACTCAAGGAGTTTAACCTTTCTTTTGATGGAGCAGTTTGGAAACACTCTGTCTGTAATGTCTGCAAGCAGATATTTGGACCTCTTTGAGGCCTTCGTTGGAAACGGGATTTCTTCATATAATGTTTGATAGGAGAAGTCTCAGTAACTTCTTTGTGCTGTGTGTATTCAACTCATAGAGTTGAACTTTCCTTTAGAAGAGCAGATGTTAAACACCCTTTTTGTGGAATTTGCAGCTGGAGATTTCAAGCGCTTTGAGGCCTACGTTAGAAAAGGAAACATCTTCTTATAAAATCTAGACAGAATCATTCACAGAAACTTCTTTTTGATGTGTGTGTTCAGCTCACAGAGTTTAACCTTTCTTTTGATGGAGCAGTTGGGAAACACACTGTTTGTAATGTCTGCAAGTGGATATTTGGACCTCTTTGAGGCCTTCGTTGGAAACGGGATTTCTTCCTGTAATGTTCGACAGAAGAATTCTCAGTAACTTATTTGTGGTGTGTGTATTCAACTCACAGAGTTGAACCTTCCTTTAGACAGAGCAGATTTGAAACACCCTATTTGTGCAGTTTCCAGTTGGAGATTTCAATCGCTTTGAGACCAAATGTAGAAAAGGAAACATCTTCGTATAAAAACTAGACAGAATCATTCTCAGAAACTACTTTGTGATGTGTGCGTTCAACTCAAGGAGTTTAAGCTTTCTTTTCATAGAGTAGTTTGGAAACACTCTGTCTGTAAAGTCTGCAAGCAGATATTTGACCTCTTTGAGGCCTTCGTTGGAAACGGGATTTCTTCATAGAACGCTAGAAAGAAGAATACTGAGTAAGTTCTTTGTGTTGCCTCTATTCAACTCACAGAGGTGAACTGTCCTTTAGACAGAGCAGATGTGAAACCCTCTTTTTGTGATATTTGCAGGTGGAGATTTCAAGCGCTTTTAGGCCAAATGTAGAAAAGGAAATATCTTCGTATGAAAACTAGACAGAATCATTCTCAGAAACTACTTTGTGATGTGTGCGTTCAATTCACAGAGTATAACCTTTCTTTTGATGGAGGAGTTTGGAGACACTGTCTTTGTAAAGTCTGCAAGTGGATATTTGGACCTCTTTGAGGCCTTCGTTGGAAACGGGATTTCCTCATATAATGTTACACAGAAGAATTCTCAGTAACTTATTTGTGGTGTGTGTATTCAACTCACAGAGATGAACCTTCCTTCAGAAAGAGCAGATTTGAAACACTCTTTTTGTGGAGTTTCCATGTGGAGATTTCAATCGCTTTGAGACCAAAGGTAGAAAAGGAAACATCTTCGTATAACAACTAGACAGAATCATTCACAGAAACTACTTTGTGATGTGTGTGTTCAACTCAAGGAGTTTAACCTTTCTTTTGATGGAGCAGTTTGGAAAAACTCTGTCTGTAAAGTCTGCAAGCAGATATTTGGACCTCTTTGGGGCCTTCGTTGGAAACGGGATTTCTTCATAGAATGCTAGAAAGAAGAAGTCTCAGTATCTTCTTTGTGCTGTGTGTATTCAACTCATAGAGTTGAACTTTCCTTTAGAAGAGCAGATGTTAAACACCCTTTTTGTCGAATTTGCAGCTGGAGATTTCAAGCGCTTTGAGGCCTACGGTAGAAAAGGAAACATCTTCTTATAAAATCTAGACAGAATCATTCACAGAAACTTCTTTTTGATGTGTGTGTTCAGCTCACAGAGTTTAACCTTTCTTTTGATGGAGCAGTTTGGAAACACTCTGTTTGTAATATCTGCAAGTGGATATTTGGACCTCTTTGAGGCCTTCGTTGGAAACGGGATTTCTTCAAGTAATGTTCGACAGAAGAATTCTCAGTAACTTATTTGAGGTGTGTGTATTCAACTCACAGAGTTGAACCTTCCTTTAGACAGAGCAGATTTGAAACACCCTGTTTGTGCAGTTTCCAGTTGGAGATTTCAATCGCTTTGAGGCCAATCGTAGAAACGGAAATATCTTCGTATAAAAACAAGACAGAATCATTCTCAGAAACTACTTTGTGATGTGTGCGTTCAACTCACGGAGTTTAAGCTTTCTTTTCATAGAGTAGTTTGGAAACACTCTGTCTGTAAAGTCTGCAAGCAGATATTTGGACCTCTTTGAGGCCTTCATTGGAAACGGGATTTCTTCATACAACGCTAGAAAGAAGAATACTGAGTAAGTTCTTTGTGTTGCCTCTATTCAACTCACAGAGGTGAACTGTCCTTTAGACAGAGCAGATGTGAAACCCTCTTTTTGTGATATTTGCAGGTGGAGATTTCAAGCGCTTTTAGGCCAAATGTAGAAAAGGAAATATTCTTCGTATAAAAACTAGACAGAATCATTCTCAGAAACTACTTTGTGATGTGTGCGTTCAATTCACAGAGTATAACCTTTCTTTTGATGGAGGAGTTTGCAGACACTGTCTTTGAAAAGTCTGCAAGTGGATATTTGGACCTCTTTGTGGCCTTCGTTGGAAACGGGATTTCCTCATATAATGTTACACAGAAGAATTCTCAGTAACTTATTTGTGGTGTGTATATTCAACTCACAGAGTTGAACCTTCCTTCAGAAAGAGTAGATTTGAAACACTCTTTTTGTGTAGTTTCCATGTGGAGATTTCAATCGCTTTGAGACCAAAGGTAGAAAAGGAAACATCTTCGTATAAAAACTAGACAGAATCATTCACAGAAACTACTTTGTGATGTGTGTGTTCAACTCAAGGAGTTTAACCTTTCTTTTGATGGAGCAGTATGGAAAAACTCTGTCTGTAAAGTCTGCAAGCAGATATTTGGACCTCTTTGAGGCCTTCGTTGGAAACGGGATTTCTTCATATAATGTTTGAGAGGAGAAGTCTCAGTAACTTCTTTGTGCTGTGTGTATTCAACTCATAGAGTTGAACTTTCCTTTAGAAGAGCAGATGTTAAACACCCTTTTTGTGGAATTTGCAGCTGGAGATTTCAAGCGCTTTGAGGCCTACGGTAGAAAAGGAAACATCTTCTTATAAAATCTAGACAGAATCATTCACAGAAACTTCTTTTTGATGTGTGTGTTCAGCTCACAGAGTTTAACCTTTCTTTTGATGGAGCAGTTTGGAAACACTCTGTAATGTCTGCAAGTGGATATTTGGACCTCTTTGAGGCCTTCGTTGGAAACGGGATTTCTTCATGTAATGTTCGACAGAAGAATTCTCAGTAACTTATTTGTGGTGTGTGTATTCAACTCACAGGGTTGAACCTTCCTTTAGACAGAGCAGATTTCAAACACCCTATTTGTGCAGTTTCCAGTTGGAGATTTCAATCGCTTTGAGACCAAATGTAGAAAAGGAAACATCTTCGTATAAAAACTAGACAGAATCATTCTCAGAAACTACTTTGTGATGTGTGCGTTCAACTCAAGGAGTTTAAGCTTTCTTTTCATAGAGTAGTTTGGAAACACTCTGTCTGTAAAGTCTGCAAGCAGATATTTGACCTCTTTGAGGCCTTCGTTGGAAACGGGATTTCTTCATAGAACGCTAGAAAGAAGAATACTGAGTACGTTCTTTGTGTTGCCTCTATTCAACTCACAGAGGTGAACTGTCCTTTAGACAGAGCAGATGTGAAACCCTCTTTTTGTGATATTTGCAGGTGGAGATTTCAAGCGCTTTTAGGCCAAATGTAGAAAAGGAAATATCTTCGTATAAAAACTAGACAGAATCATTCTCAGAAACTACTTTGTGATGTGTGCGTTCAATTCACAGAGTATAACCTTTCTTTTGATGGAGGAGTTTGGAGACACTGTCTTTGTAAAGTCTGCAAGTGGATATTTGGACCTCTTTGAGGCCTTCGTTGGAAACGGGATTTCCTCATATAATGTTACACAGAAGAATTCTCAGTAACTTATTTGTGGTGTGTGTATTCAACTCACAGAGTTGAACCTTCCTTCAGAAAGAGCAGATTTGAAACACTCTTTTTGTGGAGTTTCCATGTGGAGATTTCAATCGCTTTGAGACCAAAGGTAGAAAAGGAAACATCTTCGTATAAAAACTAGACAGAATCATTCACAGAAACTACTTTGTGATGTGTGTGTTCAACTCAAGGAGTTTAACCTTTCTTTTGATGGAGCAGTTTGGAAACACTCTGTCTGTAAAGTCTGCAAGCAGATATTTGGACCTCTTTGAGGCCTTCGTTGGAAACGGGATTTCTTCATATAATGTTTGATAGGAGAAGTCTCAGTAACTTCTTTGTGCTGTGTGTATTCAACTCATAGAGTTGAACTTTCCTTTAGAAGAGCAGATGTTAAACACCCTTTTTGTGGAATTTGCAGCTGGAGATTTCAAGCGCTTTGAGGCCTACGGTAGAAAAGGAAACATCTTCTTATAAAATCTAGACAGAATCATTCACAGAAACTTCTTTTCGATGTGTGTGTTCAGCTCACAGAGTTTAACCTTTCTTTTGATGGAGCAGTTTGGAAACACTCTGTTTGTAATGTCTGCAAGTGGATATTTGGACCTCTTTGAGGCCTTCGTTGGAAACGGGATTTCTTCAAGTAATGTTCGACAGAAGAATTCTCAGTAACTTATTTGTGGTGTGTGTATTCAACTCACAGAGTTGAAACTTCCTTTAAACAGAGCAGATTTGAAACACCCTATTTGTGCAGTTTCCAGTTGGAGATTTCAATCGTTTTGAGACCAAATGTAGAAAAGGAAACATCTTCGTATAAAAACTAGACAGAATCATTCTCCGAAACTTCTTTGTGATGTGTGCGTTCAGCTCAAGGAGTTTAAGCTTTCTTTTCATAGAGTAGTTTGGAAACACTCTGTCTGTAAAGTCTGCAAGCAGATATTTGGACCTCTTTGGGGCCTTCGTTGGAAACGGGATTTCTTCATAGAACGCTAGAAAGAGAATACTGAGTAAGTTCTTTGTGTTGCCTCTATTCAACTCACAGAGGTGAACTGTCCTTTAGACAGAGCAGATGTGAAACCCTCTTTTTGTGATATTTGCAGGTGGAGATTTCAAGCGCTTTTAGGCCAAATGTAGAAAAGGAAATATCTTCGTATAAAAACTAGACAGAAATCATTCTCAGAAACTACTTTGTGATGTGTGCGTTCAATTCACAGAGTATAACCTTTCTTTTGATGGAGGAGTTTGGAGACACTGTCTTTGTAAAGTCTGCAAGTGGATATTTGGACCTCTTTGAGGCCTTCGTTGGAAACGGGATTTCCTCATATAATGTTACACAGAAGAATTCTCAGTAACTTATTTGTGGTGTGTATATTCAACTCACAGAGATGAACCTTCCTTCAGAAAGAGCAGATTTGAAACACTCTTTTTGTGGAGTTTCCATGTGGAGATTTCAATCGCTTTGAGACCAAAGGTAGAAAAGGAAACATCTTCGTATAACAACTAGACAGAATCATTCACAGAAACTACTTTGTGATGTGTGTGTTCAACTCAAGGAGTTTAACCTTTCTTTTGATGGAGCAGTTTGGAAACACTCTGTCTGTAAAGTCTGCAAGCAGATATTTGGACCTCTTTGAGGCCTTCGTTGGAAACGGGATTTCTTCATATAATGTTTGATAGGAGAAGTCTCAGTAACTTCTTTGTGCTGTGTGTATTCAACTCATAGAGTTGAACTTTCCTTTAGAAGAGCAGATGTTAAACACCCTTTTTGTGGAATTTGCAGCTGGAGATTTCCAGCGCTTTGAGGCCTACGGTAGAAAAGGAAACATCTTATAAAATCTAGACAGAATCATTCACAGAAACTTCTTTTTGATGTGTGTGTTCAGCTCACAGAGTTTAACCTTTCTTTTGATGGAGCAGTTTGGAAACACTCTGTTTGTAATGTCTGCAAGTGGATATTTGGACCTCTTTGAGGCCTTCGTTGGAAACGGGATTTCTTCAAGTAATGTTCGGGAGAAGAATTCTCAGTAACTTATTTGTGGTGTGTGTATTCAACTCACAGAGTTGAACCTTCCTTTAGACAGAGCAAATTTGAAACACCCTATTTGTGCAGTTTCCAGTTGGAGATTTCAATCGCTTTGAGACCAAATGTAGAAAAGGAAACATCTTCGTATAAAAACTAGACAGAATCATTCTCAGAAACTCTTTGTGATGTGTGCGTTCAACTCAAGGAGTTTAAGCTTTCTTTTCATAGAGTAGTTTGGAAACACTCTGTCTGTAAAGTGTGCAAGCAGATATTTGGACCTCTTTGGGGCCTTCGTTGGAAACGGGATTTCTTCATAGAACGCTAGAAAGAAGAATACTGAGTAAGTTCTTTGTGTTGCCTCTATTCAACTCACAGAGGTGAACTGTCCTTTAGACAGAGCAGATGTGAAACCCTCTTTTTGTGATATTTGCAGGTGGAGATTTCAAGCGCTTTTAGGCCAAATGTAGAAAAGGAAATATCTTCGTATAAAAACTAGACAGAATCATTCTCAGAAACTACTTTGTGATGTGTGCGTTCAATTCACAGAGTATAACCTTTCTTTTGATGGAGGAGTTTGGAGACACTGTCTTTGTAAAGTCTGCAAGTGGATATTTGGACCTCTTTGAGGCCTTCGTTGGAAACGGGATTTCCTCATATAATGTTACACAGAAGAATTCTCAGTAACTTATTTGTGGTGTGTGTATTCAACTCACAGAGATGAACCTTCCTTCAGAAAGAGCAGATTTGAAACACTCTTTTTGTGGAGTTTCCATGTGGAGATTTCAATCGCTTTGAGACCAAAGGTAGAAAAGGAAACATCTTCGTATAACAACTAGACAGAATCATTCACAGAAACTACTTTGTGATGTGTGTGTTCAACTCAAGGAGTTTAACCTTTCTTTTGATGGAGCAGTTTGGAAAAACTCTGTCTGTAAAGTCTGCAGGCAGATATTTGGACCTCTTTGGGGCCTTCGTTGGAAATGGGATTTCTTCATAGAATGCTAGAAAGAAGAATACTGAGTAAGTTCTTTGTGTTGCCTCTATTCAACTCACAGAGGTGAACTGTCCTTTAGACAGAGCAGATGTGAAACCCTCTTTTTGTGATATTTGCAGGTGGAGATTTCAAGCGCTTTTAGGCCAAATGTAGAAAAGGAAATATCTTCGTATAAAAACTAGACAGAATCATTCTCAGAAACTACTTTGTGATGTGTGCGTTCAATTCACAGAGTATAACCTTTGTTTTGATGGAGGAGTTTGGAGACACTGTCTTTGTAAAGTCTGCAAGTGGATATTTGGACCTCTTTGAGGCCTTCGTTGGAAACGGGATTTCCTCATATAATGTTCCACAGAAGAATTCTCAGTAACTTATTTGTGGTGTGTGTATTCAACTCACAGAGTTGAACCTTCCTTCAGAAAGAGCAGATTTGAAACACTCTTTTTGTGGAGTTTCCATGTGGAGATTTCAATCGCTTTGAGACCAAAGGTAGAAAAGGAAACATCTTCGTATAAAAACTAGACAGAATCATTCACAGAAACTACTTTGTGATGTGTGTGTTCAACTCAAGGAGTTTAACCTTTCTTTTGATGGAGCTGTTTGGAAAAACTCTGTCTGTAAAGTCTGCAAGCAGATATTTGGACCTTTTGGGGCCTTCGTTGGAAACGGGATTTCTTCATATAATGTTTGATAGGAGAAGTCTCAGTAACTTCTTTGTGCTGTGTGTATTCAACTCATAGAGTTGAACTTTCCTTTAGAAGAGCAGATGTTAAACACCCTTTTTGTGGAATTTGCAGCTGGAGATTTCAAGCGCTTTGAGGCCTACGGTAGAAAAGGAAACATCTTCTTATAAAATCTAGACAGAATCATTCACAGAAACTTCTTTTTGATGTGTGTGTTCAGCTCACAGAGTTTAACCTTTCTTTTGATGGAGCAGTTTGGAAACACTCTGTTTGTAATGTCTGCAAGTGGATATTTGGACCTCTTTGAGGCCTTCTTTGGAAACGGGATTTCTTCAAGTAATGTTCGACAGAAGAATTCTCAGTAACTTATTTGTGGTGTGTGTATTCAACTCACAGAGTTGAACCTTCCTTTAGACAGAGCAGATTTGAAACAGCCTATTTGTGCAGTTTCCAGTTGGAGATTTCAAGAGCTTTGAGACCAAATGTAGAAAAGGAAACATCTTCGTATAAAAACTAGACAGAATCATTCTCAGAAACTACTTTGTGATGTGTGCGTTCAACTCAAGGAGTTTAAGCTTTCTTTTCATAGAGTAGTTTGGAAACACTCTGTCTGTAAAGTCTGCAAGCAGATATTTGACCTCTTTGAGGCCTTCGTTGGAAACGGGATTTCTTCATAGAACGCTAGAAAGAAGAATACTCAGTAACTTCTTTGTGCTGCCTCTATTCAACTCACAGAGGTGAACTGTCCTTTAGACAGAGCAGATGTGAAACCCTCTTTTTGTGATATTTGCAGGTGGAGATTTCAAGCGCTTTTAGGCCAAATGTAGAAAAGGAAATATCTTCGTATAAAAACTAGACAGAATCATTCTCAGAAACTACTTTGTGATGTGTGCGTTCAATTCACAGAGTATAACCTTTCTTTTGATGGAGGAGTTTGGAGACACTGTCTTTGTAAAGTCTGCAAGTGCATATTTGGACCTCTTTGAGGCCTTCGTTGGAAACGGGATTTCCTCATATAATGTTACACAGAAGAATTCTCAGTAACTTATTTGTGGTGTGTGTATTCAACTCACAAGAGTTGAACCTTCCTTCAGAAAGAGCAGATTTGAAACACTCTTTTTGTGGAGTTTCCATGTGGAGATTTCAATCGCTTTGAGACCAAAGGTAGAAAAGGAAACATCTTCGTATAAAAACTAGACAGAATCATTCACAGAAACTACTTTGTGATGTGTGTGTTCAACTCAAGGAGTTTAACCTTTCTTTTGATGGAGCAGTGTGGAAAAACTCTGTCTGTAAAGTCTGTAAGCAGATATTTGGACCTCTTTGAGGCCTTCGTTGGAAACAGGATATCTTCATATAATGTTTGATAGGAGAAGTCTCAGTAACTTCTTTGTGCTGTGTGTATTCAACTCATAGAGTTGAACTTTCCTTTAGAAGAGCAGATGTTAAACACCCTTTTTGTGGAATTTGCAGCTGGAGATTTCAAGCGCTTTGAGGCCTACGGTAGAAAAGGAAACATCTTCTTATAAAATCTAGACAGAATCATTCACAGAAACTTCTTTTTGATGTGTGTGTTCAGCTCACAGAGTTTAACCTTTCTTTTGATGGAGCAGTTTGGAAACACTCTGTTTGTAATGTCTGCAAGTGGATATTTGGACCTCTTTGAGGCCTTCGTTGGAAACGGGATTTCTTCATGTAATGTTCGACAGAAGAATTCTCAGTAACTTATTTATGGTGTGTGTATTCAACTCACAGAGTTGAACCTTCCTTTAGACAGAGCAGATTTGAAACACCCTATTTGTGCAGTTTCCAGTTGGAGATTTCAATGGCTTTGAGACCAAATGTAGAAAAGGAAACATCTTCGTACAAAAACTAGACAGCATCATTCTCAGAAACTACTTTGTGATGTGTGCGTTCAACTCATGGAGTTTAAGCTTTCTTTTCATAGAGTACTTTGGAAACACTCTGTCTGTAAAGTCTGCAAGCAGATATTTGGACCTCATTGGGGTCTTCGTTGGAAACGGGATTTCTTCATAGAACGCTAGAAAGAAGAATACTGAGTACGTTCTTTGTGTTGCCTCTATTCAACTCACAGAGGTGAACTGTCCTTTAGACAGAGCAGATGTGAAACCCTCTTTTTGTGATATTTGCAGGTGGAGATTTCAAGCGCTTTTAGGCCAAATGTAGAAAAGGAAATATCTTCGTATAAAAACTAGACAGAATCATTCTCAGAAACTACTTTGTGATGTGTGCGTTCAATTCACAGAGTATAACCTTTCTTTTGATGGAGGAGTTTGGAGACACTGTCTTTGTAAAGTCTGCAAGTGGATATTTGGACCTCTTTGAGGCCTTCGTTGGAAACGGGATTTCCTCATATAATGTTACCCAGAAGAATTCTCAGTAACTTATTTGTGGTGTGTGTATTCAACTCACAGAGTTGAACCTTCCTTCAGAAAGAGCAGATTTGAAACACTCTTTTAGTGGAGTTTCCATGTGGAGATTTCAATCGCTTTGAGACCAAAGGTAGAAAAGGAAACATCTTCAAATAAAAACTAGACAGAATCATTCACAGAAACTACTTTGTGATGTGTGTGTTCAGCTCACAGAGTTTAACCTTTCTTTTGATGGTGCAGTTTGGAAAAACTCCGTTTGACAAGTCTGCAAGTGGATATTTGGACCTCTTTGAGGCCTTCGTTGGAAAAGGGAGTTCTTCATATAATGTTAGACAGAAGACTTCTCAGTAACTTATTTGTGGTGTGTGTATTCAACTCACAGAGCTGAACCTTCCTTTAGACAGAGCAGATTTGAAACAGCCTATTTGTGCAGTTTCCAGTTGGAGATTTCAATCGCTTTGAGACCAAATGTAGAAAAGGAAACATCTTCGTATAAAAACTAGACAGAATCATTCTCAGAAACTACTTTGTGATGTGTGCGTTTAACTCAAGGAGTTTAAGCTTTCTTTTCATAGAGTAGTTTGGAAACACTCTGTCTGTAAAGTCTGCAAGCAGATATTTGGACCTCTTTGAGGCCTTCGTTGGAAACGGGATTTACTTCATAGAACGCTAGAAAGAAGAATACTGAGTAAGTTCTTTGTGTTGCCTCTATTCAACTCACAGAGGTGAACTGTCCTTTAGACAGAGCAGATGTGAAACCCTCTTTTTGTGATATTTGCAGGTGGAGATTTCAAGCGCTTTGAGGCCAAATGTAGAAAAGGAAATATCTTCGTATAAAAACTAGACAGAATCATTCTCAGAAACTACTTTGTGATGTGTGCGTTGAATTCACAGAGCATAACCTTTCTTTTGATGGAGGAGTTTGGAGACACTGTCTTTGTAAAGTCTGCAAGTGGATATTTGGACCTCTTTGAGGCCTTCGTTGGAAACGGGATTTCCTCATATAATGTTACACAGAAGAATTCTCAGTAACTGATTTGTGGTGTGTGTATTCAACTCACAGAGTTGAACCTTCCTTCAGAAAGAGCACATTTGAAACACTCTTTTTGTGGAGTTTCCATGTGGAGATTTCAATCGCTTTGAGACCAAAGGTAGAAAAGGAAACATCTTCGTATAAAAACTAGACAGAATCATTCACAGAAACTACTTTGTGATGTGTGTGTTCAGCTCACAGAGTTTAACCTTTCTTTTGATGGTGCAGTTTGGAAACACTCTGTTTGACAAGTCTGCAAGTGGATATTTGGACCTCTTTGAGGCCTTCGTTGGAAACGGGATTTCTTCATATAATGTTAGACAGAAGAAGTCTCAGTAACTTCTTTGTGCTGTGTGTATTCAAATCACAGAGCTGAACTTTACCTTAGAACGAGCAGATGTTAAACACACTTTTTGTGGAATTTGCAGCTGGAGATTTCTAGCGCTTTGAGGCCTATGGTAGAAAAGGAAACATCTTCTTATAAAATCTAGACACAATCATTCACAGAAACTTCTTTTTGATGTGTGTGTTCATCTCACAGAGTTTAACCTTTCTTCTGACGGAGCAGTTTGCAAACACTGTGATTGCCATGTCGGCAAGTAGATATTTGGAACTCTTTGAGGCCTTCGTTGGAAACGGGATTTCTTCATGTAATGTTCGACAGAAGAATTCTCAGTAACTTATTTGTGGTGTGTGTATTCAACTCACGGAGTTGAACCTTCCTTTAGACAGAGCAGATTTGAAACACCCTGTTTGTGCAGTTTCCAGTTGGAGATTTCAATCGCTTTGAGGCCAATCGTAGAAACGGAAATATACTTCGTATAAAAACAAGACAGAATCATTCTCAGAAACTACTTTGTGATGTGTGCGTTCAACTCAAGGAGTTTAAGCTTTCTTTTCATAGAGTAGTTTGGAAACACTCTGTCTGTAAAGTCTGCAAGCAGATATTTGGACCTCTTTGGGTCCTTCGTTGGAAACGGCGTTTCTTCATAGAACCCTAGAAAGAAGAATACTGAGTAAGTTCTTTGTGTTGCCTCTATTCAACTCACAGAGGTGAACTGTCCTTTAGACAGAGCAGATGTGAAACCCTCTTTTTGTGATATTTGCAGGTGGAGATTTCAAGCGCTTTTAGGCCAAATGTAGAAAAGGAAATATCTTCGTATAAAAACTAGACAGAATCATTCTCAGAAACTACTTTGTGATGTGTGCGTTCAATTCACAGAGTATAACCTTTCTTTTGATGGAGGAGTTTGGAGACACTGTCTTTGTAAAGTCTGCAAGTGGATATTTGGACCTCTTTGAGGCCTTCGTTGGAAACGGGATTTCCTCATATAATGTTACACAGAAGAATTCTCAGTAACTTATTTGTGGTGTGTGTATTCAACTCACAGAGTTCAACCTTCCTTCAGAAAGAGCAGATTTGAAACACTCTTTTTTGTGGAGTTTCCATGTGGAGATTTCAATCGCTTTGAGACCAAAGGTAGAAAAGGAAACATCTTCGTATAAAAACTAGACAGAATCATTCACAGAAACTACTTTGTGATGTGTGTGTTCAACTCAAGGAGGTTAACCTTTCTTTTGATGGAGCAGTTTGGAAACACTCTGTCTGTAAAGTCTGCAAGCAGATATTTGGACCTCTTTGAGGCCTTCGTTGGAAACGGGATTTCTTC
Source organism: Homo sapiens (assembly GCF_000001405.40). Lineage (NCBI taxonomy): Eukaryota > Metazoa > Chordata > Mammalia > Primates > Hominidae > Homo > Homo sapiens. The sequence goes on from NC_000012.12 coordinate 36,143,705, forward strand.
ATATAATGTTTGATAGGAGAAGTCTCAGTAACTTCTTTGTGCTGTGTGTATTCAACTCATAGAGTTGAACTTTCCTTTAGAAGAGCAGATGTTAAACACCCTTTTTGTGGAATTTGCAGCTGGAGATTTCAAGCGCTTTGAGGCCTACGGTAGAAAAGGAAACATCTTCTTATAAAATCTAGACAGAATCATTCACAGAAACTTCTTTTCGATGTGTGTGTTCAGCTCACAGAGTTTAACCTTTCTTTTGATGGAGCAGTTTGGAAACACTCTGTTTGTAATGTCTGCAAGTGGATATTTGGACCTCTTTGAGGCCTTCGTTGGAAACGGGATTTCTTCAAGTAATGGTCGACAGAAGAATTCTCAGTAACTTATTTGTGGTGTGTGTATTCAACTCACAGAGTTGAACCTTCCTTTAGACAGAGCAGATTTGAAACACCCTATTTGTGCAGTTTCCAGTTGGAGATTTCAATCGCTTTGAGACCAAATGTAGAAAAGGAAACATCTTCGTATAAAAACTAGACAGAATCATTCTCAGAAACTACCTTGTGATGTGTGCGTTCAACTCAAGGAGTTTAAGCTTTCTTTTCATAGAGTAGTTTGGAAACACTCTGTCTGTAAAGTCTGCAAGCAGATATTTGGACCTCCTTGAGGCCTTCGTTGGAAACGGGATTTCTTCAGAGAACGCTGGAAAGAAGAATACTGAGTAAGTTCTTTGTGTTGCCTCTATTCAACTCACAGAGGTGAACTGTCCTTTAGACAGAGCAGATGTGAAACCCTCTTTTTGTGATATTTGCAGGTGGAGATTTCAAGCGCTTTTAGGCCAAATGTAGAAAAGGAAATATCTTCGTATAAAAACTAGACAGAATCATTCTCAGAAACTACTTTGTGATGTGTGCGTTCAATTCACAGAGTATAACCTTTCTTTTGATGGAGGAGTTTGGAGACACTGTCTTTGTAAAGTCTGCAAGTGGATATTTGGACCTCTTTGAGGCCTTCGTTGGAAACGGGATTTCCTCATATAATGTTACACAGAAGAATTCTCAGTAACTTATTTGTGGTGTGTGTATTCAACTCACAGAGTTGAACCTTCCTTCAGAAAGAGCAGATTTGAAACACTCTTTTTGTGGAGTTTCCATGTGGAGATTTCAATCGCTTTGAGACCAAAGGTAGAAAAGGAAACATCTTCGTATAAAAACTAGACAGAATCATTCACAGAAACTACTTTGTGATGTGTGTGTTCAACTCAAGGAGTTTAACCTTTCTTTTGATGGAGCAGTTTGGAAAAACTCTGTCTGTAAAGTCTGCAAGCAGATATTTGGACCTCTTTGAGGCCTTCGTTGGAAACGGGATTTCTTCATATAATGTTTGATAGGAGAAGTCTCAGTAACTTCTTTGTGCTGTGTGTATTCAACTCATAGAGTTGAACTTTCCTTTAGAAGAGCAGATGTTAAACACCCTTTTTGTGGAATTTGCAGCTGGAGATTTCAAGCGCTTTGAGGCCTACGGTAGAAAAGGAAACATCTTCTTATAAAATCTAGACAGAATCATTCACAGAAACTTCTTTTTGATGTGTGTGTTCAGCTCACAGAGTTTAACCTTTCTTTTGATGGAGCAGTTTGGAAACACTCTGTTTGTAATGTCTGCAAGTGGATATTTGGACCTCTTTGAGGCCTTCGTTGGAAACGGGATTTCTTCAAGTAATGTTCGACAGAAGAATTCTCAGTAACTTATTTGTGGTGTGTGTATTCAACTCACAGAGTTGAACCTTCCTTTAGACAGAGCAGATTTGAAACACCCTATTTGTGCAGTTTCCAGTTGGAGATTTCAATCGCTTTGAGACCAAATGTAGAAAAGGAAACATCTTCGTATAAAAACTGGACAGAATCATTCTCAGAAACTACTTTGTGATGTGTGCGTTCAACTCAAGGAGTTTAAGCTTTCTTTTCATAGAGTACTTTGGAAACACTCTGTCTGTAAAGTCTGCAAGCAGATATTTGGACCTCATTGGGGCCTTCGATGGAAACGGGATTTCTTCATAGAACGCTAGAAAGAAGAATACTGAGTAAGTTCTTTGTGTTGCCTCTATTCAACTCACAGAGGTGAACTGTCCTTTAGACAGAGCAGATGTGAAACCCTCTTTTTGTGATATTTGCAGGTGGAGATTTCAAGCGCTTTTAGGCCAAATGTAGAAAAGGAAATATCTTCGTATAAAAACTAGACAGAATCATTCTCAGAAACTACATTGTGATGTGTGCGTTCAATTCACATAGTATATCCTTTCTTTTGATGGAGGAGTTTGGAGACACTGTCTTTGTAAAGTCTGCAAGTGGATATTTGGACCTCTTTGAGGCCTTCGTTGGAAACGGGATTTCTTCATATAATGTTACACAGAAGAATTCTCAGTAACTTATTTGTGGTGTGTGTATTCAACTCACAGAGTTGAACCTTCCTTCAGAAAGAGCAGATTTGAAACACTCTTTTTGTGGAGTTTCCATGTGGAGATTTCAATCGCTTTGAGACCAAAGGTAGAAAAGGAAACATCTTCGTATAAAAACTAGACAGAATCATTCACAGAAACTACTTTGTGATGTGTGTGTTCAACTCAAGGAGTTTAACCTTTCTTTTGATGGAGCAGTTTGGAAAAACTCTGTCTTTAAAGTCTGCAAGCAGATATTTGGACCTCTTTGAGGCCTTCGTTGGAAACGGGATTTCTTCATATAATGTTTGATAGGAGAAGTCTCAGTAACTTCTTTGTGCAGTGTGTATTCAAATCACAGAGCTGAACTTTACTTTAGAACGAGCAGATGTTAAACACACTTTTTGTGGAATTTCCATCTGGAGATTTCTAGCGCTTTGAGGCCTACGGTAGAAAAGGAAACATCTTCTTATAAAATCTAGACACAATCATTCACAGAAACTTCTTTTTGATGTGTGTGTTCATCTCACAGAGTTTAACCTTTCTTCTGACGGAGCAGTTTGCAAACACTGTGTTTGCCATGTCGGCAAGTAGATATTTGGAACTCTTTGAGGCCTTCGTTGGAAACGGGATTTCTTCATGTAATGTTCGAGAGAAGAATTCTCAGTAACTTATTTGTGGTGTGTGTATTCAACTCACAGAGTTGAACCTTCCTTTAGACAGAGCAGATTTGAAACAGCCTATTTGTGCAGTTTCCAGTTGGAGATTTCAATCGCTTTGAGACCAAATGTAGAAAGGGAAACATCTTCGTATAAAAACTAGACAGAATCATTCTCAGAAACTACTTTGTGATGTGTGCGTTCAACTCAAGGAGTTTAAGCTTTCTTTTCATAGAGTAGTTTGGAAACACTCTGTCTGTAAAGTCTGCAAGCAGATATTTGACCTCTTTGAGGCCTTCGTTGGAAACGGGATTTCTTCATAGAACGCTAGAAAGAAGAATACTGAGTAAGTTCTTTGTGTTGCCTCTATTCAACTCACAGAGGTGAACTGTCCTTTAGACAGAGCAGATGTGAAACCCTCTTTTTGTGATATTTGCAGGTGGAGATTTCAAGCGCTTTTAGGCCAAATGTAGAAAAGGAAATATCTTCGTATAAAAACTAGACAGAATCATTCTCAGAAACTACTTTGTGATGTGTGCGTTCAATTCACAGAGTATAACCTTTCTTTTGATGGAGGAGTTTGGAGACACTGTCTTTGTAAAGTCTGCAAGTGGATATTTGGACCTCTTTGAGGCCTTCGTTGGAAACGGGATTTCCTCATATAATGTTACACAGAAGAATTCTCAGTAACTTATTTGTGGTGTGTGTATTCAATTCACAGAGTTGAACCTTCCTTCAGAAAGAGCAGATTTGAAACACTCTTTTTGTGGAGTTTTCCATGTGGAGATTTCAATCGCTTTGAGACCAAAGGTAGAAAAGGAAACATCTTCGTATAAAAACTAGACAGAATCATTCACAGAAACTACTTTGTGATGTGTGTGTTCAACTCAAGGAGTTTAACCTTTCTTTTGATGGAGCAGTTTGGAAACACTCTGTCTGTAAAGTCTGCAAGCAGATATTTGGACCTCTTTGAGGCCTTCGTTGGAAACGGGATTTCTTCATATAATGTTTGATAGGAGAAGTCTCAGTAACTTCTTTGTGCTGTGTGTATTCAACTCATAGAGTTGAACTTTCCTTTAGAAGAGCAGATGTTAAACACCCTTTTTGTGGAATTTGCAGCTGGAGATTTCAAGCGCTTTGAGGCCTACGGTAGAAAAGGAAACATCTTCTTATAAAATCTAGACAGAATCATTCACAGAAACATCTTTTTGATGTGTGTGTTCAGCTCACAGAGTTTAACCTTTCTTTTGATGGAGCAGTTTGGAAACACACTGTTTGTAATGTCTGCAAGTGGATATTTGGACCTCTTTGAGGCCTTCGTTGGAAACGGGATTTCTTCCTGTAATGTTCGACAGAAGAATTCTCAGTAACTTATTTGTGGTGTGTGTATTCAACTCACAGAGTTGAACCTTCCTTTAGACAGAGCAGATTTGAAACACCCTATTTGTGCAGTTTCCAGTTGGAGATTTCAATCGCTTTGAGACCAAATGTAGAAAAGGAAACATCTTCGTACAAAAACTAGACAGCATCATTCTCAGAAACTACTTTGTGATGTGTGCGTTCAACTCAAGGAGTTTAAGCTTTCTTTTCATAGAGTAGTTTGGAAACACTCTGTCTGTAAAGTCTGCAAGCAGATATTTGGACTTCATTGGGGTCTTCGTTGGAAACGGGATTTCTTCATAGAACGCTAGAAAGAAGAATACTGAGTAAGTTCTTTGTGTTGCCTCTATTCAACTCACAGAGGTGAACTGTCCTTTAGACAGAGCAGATGTGAAACCCTCTTTTTGTGATATTTGCAGGTGGAGATTTCAAGCGATTTTAGGCCAAATGTAGAAAAGGAAATATCTTCGTATAAAAACTAGACAGAATCATTCTCAGAAACTACTTTGTGATGTGTGCGTTCAATTCACAGAGTATAACCTTTCTTTTGATGGAGGAGTTTGGAGACACTGTCTTTGTAAAGTCTGCAAGCAGATATTTGGACCTCTTTGAGGCCTTCGTTGGAAACGGGATTTCTTCATATGATGTTTGATAGGAGAATTCTCACTAACTTATTTGTGGTGTGTGTATTCAACTCACAGAGATGAACCTTCCTTCAGAAAGAGCAGATTTGAAACACTCTTTTTGTGGAGTTTCCATGTGGAGATTTCAATCGCTTTGAGACCAAAGGTAGAAAAGGAAACATCTTCGTATAACAACTAGACAGAATCATTCACAGAAACTACTTTGTGATGTGTGTGTTCAACTCAAGGAGTTTAACCTTTCTTTTGATGGAGCAGTTTGGAAACACTCTGTCTGTAAAGTCTGCAAGTAGATATTTGGACCTCTTTGAGGCCTTCGTTGGAAACGGGATTTCTTCATATAATGTTTGATAGGAGAAGTCTCAGTAACTTCTTTGTGCTGTGTGTATTCAACTCATAGAGTTGAACTTTCCTTTAGAAGAGCAGATGTTAAACACCCTTTTTGTGGAATTTGCAGCTGGAGATTTCAAGCGCTTTGAGGCCTACGGTAGAAAAGGAAACATCTTCTTATAAAATCTAGACAGAATCATTCACAGAAACTTCTTTTTGATGTGTGTGTTCAGCTCACAGAGTTTGACCTTTCTTTTGATGGAGCAGTTTGGAAACACTCTGTTTGTAATGTCTGCAAGGGGATATTTGGACCTCTTTGAGGCCTTCGTTGGAAACGGGATTTCTTCATGTAATGTTCGACAGAAGAATTCTCAGTAACTTATTTGTGGTGTGTGTATTCAACTCACAGAGTTGAACCTTCCTTTAGACAGAGCAGATTTGAAACACCCTATTTGTGCATTTTCCAGTTGGAGATTTCAATCGCTTTGAGGCCAATCATAGAAACGGAAATATCTTCGTATAAAAACAAGACAGAATCATTCTCAGAAACTACTTTGTGATGTGTGCGTTCAACTCAAGGAGTTTAAGCTTTCTTTTCATAGAGTAGTTTGGAAACACTCTCTCTGTAAAGTCTGCAAGCAGATATTTGGACCTCTTTGAGGCCTTCGTTGGAAACGGGATTTCTTCATAGAACGCTAGAAAGAAGAATACTGAGTAAGTTCTTTGTGTTGCCTCTATTCAACTCACAGAGGTGAACTGTCCTTTAGACAGAGCAGATGTGAAACCCTCTTTTTGTGATATTTGCAGGTGGAGATTTCAAGCGCTTTGAGGCCAAATGTAGAAAAGGAAATGTCTTCGTATAAAAACTAGACAGAATCATTCTCAGAAACTTACTTTGTGATGTGTGCGTTCAATTCACAGAGTATAACCTTTCTTTTGATGGAGGAGTTTGGAGACACTGTCTTTGTAAAGTCTGCAAGTGGATATTTGGACCTCTTTGAGGCCTTCGTTGGAAACGGGATTTCCTCATATAATGTTACACAGAAGAATTCTCAGTAACTTATTTGTGGTGTGTGTATTCAACTCACAGAGTTGAACCTTCCTTCAGAAAGAGCAGATTTGAAACACTCTTTTTGTGGAGTTTCCATGTGGAGATTTCAATCGCTTTGAGACCAAAGGTAGAAAAGGAAACATCTTCGTATAAAAACTAGACAGAATCATTCACAGAAACTACTTTGTGATGTGTGTGTTCAACTCAAGGAGTTTAACCTTTCTTTTGATGGAGCAGTTTGGAAATACTCTGTCTGTAAAGTCTGCAAGCAGATATTTGGACCTCTTTGAGGCCTTCGTTGGAAACGGGATTTCTTCATATAATGTTTGATAGGAGAAGTCTCAGTAACTTCTTTGTGCTGTGTGTATTCAACTCATAGAGTTGAACTTTCCTTTAGAAGAGCAGATGTTAAACACCCTTTTTGTGGAATTTGCAGCTGGAGATTTCAAGCGCTTTGAGGCCTACGGTAGAAAAGGAAACATCTTCTTATAAAATCTAGACAGAATCATTCACAGAAACTTCTTTTTGATGTGTGTGTTCAGCTCACAGAGTTTAACCTTTCTTTTGATGGAGCAGTTTGGAAACACTCTGTTTGTAACGTCTGCAAGTGGATATTTGGACCTGTTTGAGGCCTTCGTTGGAAACGGGATTTCTTCAAGTAATGTTCGACAGAAGAATTCTCAGTAACTTATTTGTGGTGTGTGTATTCAACTCACAGAGTTGAACCTTCCTTTAGACAGAGCAGATTTGAAACACCCTATTTGTGCAGTTTCCAGTTGGAGATTTCAATCGCTTTGAGACCAAATGTAGAAAAGGAAACATCTTCGTATAAAAACTAGACAGAATCATTCTCCGAAACTACTTTGTGATGTGTGCGTTCAACTCAAGGAGTTTAAGCTTTCTTTTCATAGAGTAGTTTGGAAACACTCTGTCTGTAAAGTCTGCAAGCAGATATTTGGACCTCTTTGGGGCCTTCGTTGGAAACGGGATTTCTTCATAGAACGCTAGAAAGAAGAATACTGAGTAAGTTCTTTGTGTTGCCTCTATTCAACTCACAGAGGTGAACTGTCCTTTAGACAGAGCAGATGTGAAACCCTCTTTTTGTGATATTTGCACGTGGAGATTTCAAGCGCTTTTAGGCCAAATGTAGAAAAGGAAATGTCTTCGTATAAAAACTAGACAGAATCATTCTCAGAAACTACTTTGTGATGTGTGCGTTCAATTCACAGAGTATAACCTTTCTTTTGATGGAGAAGTTTGGAGACACTGTCTTTGTAAAGTCTGCAAGTGGATATTTGGACCTCTTTGAGGCCTTCGTTGGAAACGGGATTTCCTCATATAATGTTACACAGAAGAATTCTCAGTAACTTATTTGTGGTGTGTGTATTCAACTCACAGAGTTGAACCTTCCTTCAGAAAGAGCAGATTTGAAACACTCTTTTTGTGGAGTTTCCATGTGGAGATTTCAATCGCTTTGAGACCAAAGGTAGAAAAGGAAACACCTTCGTATAAAAACTAGACAGAATCATTCTCAGTAAACTACTTTGTGATGTGTGCGTTCAATTCACAGAGTATAACCTTTCTTTTGATGGAGGAGTTTGGAGACACTGTCTTTGTAAAGTCTGCAAGCAGATATTTGGACCTCTTTGGGGCCTTCGTTGGAAACGGGATTTCTTCATATAATGTTTGATAGGAGAAGTCTCAGTAACTTCTTTGTGCTGTGTGTATTCAACTCATTGAGTTGAACTTTCCTTTAGAAGAGCAGATGTTAAACACCCTTTTTGTGGAATTTGCAGCTGGAGATTTCAAGCGCTTTGAGGCCTACGGTAGAACAGGAAACATCTTCTTATAAAATCTAGACAGAATCATTCACAGAAACTTCTTTTTGATGTGTGTGTTCAGCTCACAGAGTTTAACCTTTCTTTTGATGGAGCAGTTGGGAAACACACTGTTTGTAATGTCTGCAAGTGGATATTTGGACCTCTTTGAGGCCTTCGTTGGAAACGGGATTTCTTCCTGTAATGTTCGACAGAAGAATTCTCAGTAACTTATTTGTGGTGTGTGTATTCAACTCACAGAGTTGAACCTTCCTTTAGACAGAGCAGATTTGAAACACCCTATTTGTGCAGTTTCCAGTTGGAGATTTCAATCGCTTTGAGACCAAATGTAGAAAAGGAAACATCTTCGTATAAAAACTAGACAGAATCATTCTCAGAAACTACTTTGTGATGTGTGCGTTCAACTCAAGGAGTTTAAGCTTTCTTTTCATAGAGTAGTTTGGAAACACTCTGTCTGTTAAGTCTGCAAGCAGATATTTGGACCTCTTTGGGGCCTTCGTTGGAAACGGGATTTCTTCATAGAACGCTAGAAAGAAGAATACTGAGTAAGTTCTTTGTGTTGCCTCTATTCAACTCACAGAGGTGAACTGTCCTTTAGACAGAGCAGATGTGAAACCCTCTTTTTGTGATATTTGCAGGTGGAGATTTCAAGCGCTTTTAGGCCAAATGTAGTAAAGGAAATATCTTCGTATAAAAACTGGACAGAATCATTCTCAGAAACTACTTTGTGATGTGTGCGTTCAATTCACAGAGTATAACCTTTCTTTTGATGGAGGAGTTTGGAGACACTGTCTTTGTAAAGTCTGCAAGTGGATATTTGGACCTCTTTGAGGCCTTCGTTGGAAACGGGATTTCCTCATATAATGTTACACAGAAGAATTCTCAGTAACTTATTTGTGGTGTGTGTATTCAACTCACAGAGTTGAACCTTCCTTCAGAAAGAGCAGATTTGAAACACTCTTTTTGTGGAGTTTCCATGTGGAGATTTCAATCGCTTTGAGACCAAAGGTAGAAAAGGAAACATCTTCGTATAAAAACTAGACAGAATCATTCACAGAAACTACTTTGTGATGTGTGTGTTCAACTCAAGGAGTTTAACCTTTCTTTTGATGGAGCAGTTTGGAAACACTCTGTCTGTAAAGTCTGCAAGCAGATATTTGGACCTCTTTGAGGCCTTCGTTGGAAACGGGATTTCTTCATATAATGTTTGATAGGAGAAGTCTCAGTAACTTCTTTGTGCTGTGTGTATTCAACTCATAGAGTTGAACTTTCCTTTAGAAGAGCAGATGTTAAACACCCTTTTTGTGGAATTTGCAGCTGGAGATTTCAAGCGCTTTGAGGCCTACGGTAGAAAAGGAAACATCTTCTTATAAAATCTAGACAGAATCATTCACAGAAACTTCTTTTCGGTGTGTGTGTTCAGCTCACAGAGTTTAACCTTTCTTTTGATGGAGCAGTTTGGAAACACTCTGTTTGTAATGTCTGCAAGTGGATATTTGGACCTCTTTGAGGCCTTCGTTGGAAACGGGATTTCTTCAAGTAATGGTCGACAGAAGAATTCTCAGTAACTTATTTGTGGTGTGTGTATTCAACTCACAGAGTTGAACCTTCCTTTAGACAGAGCAGATTTGAAACACCCTATTTGTGCAGTTTCCAGTTGGAGATTTCAATCGCTTTGAGACCAAATGTAGAAAAGGAAACATCTTCGTATAAAAACTAGACAGAATCATTCTCAGAAACTACTTTGTGATGTGTGCATTCAACTCAAGGAGTTTAAGCTTTCTTTTCATAGAGTAGTTTGGAAACACTCTGTCTGTAAAGTCTGCAAGCAGATATTTGGACCTCTTTGGGGCCTTCGTTGGAAACGGGATTTCTTCATAGAACGCTAGAAAGAAGAATACTGAGTAAGTTCTTTGTGTTGCCTCTATTCAACTCACAGAGGTGAACTGTCCTTTAGACAGAGCAGATGTGAAACCCTCTTTTTGTGATATTTGCAGGTGGAGATTTCAAGCGCTTTTAGGCCAAATGTAGAAAAGGAAATATCTTCGTATAAAAACTAGACAGAATCATTCTCAGAAACTACTTTGTGATATGTGCGTTCATTTCACAGAGTATAACCTTTCTTTTGATGGAGGAGTTTGGAGACACTGTGTTTCTAAAGTCTGCAAGTGGATATTTGGACCTCTTTGAGGCCTTCGTTGGAAACGGGATTTCCTCATATAATGTTACACAGAAGAATTCTCAGTAACTTATTTGTGGTGTGTGTATTCAACTCACAGAGTTGAACCTTCCTTCAGAAAGAGCAGATTTGAAACACTCTTTTTGTGAAGTTTCCATGTGGAGATTTCAATCGCTTTGAGACCAAAGGTAGAAAAGGAAACATCTTCGTATAAAAACTAGACAGAATCATTCACAGAAACTACTTTGTGATGTGTGTGTTCAACTCAAGGAGTTTAACCTTTCTTTTGATGGAGCAGTTTGGAAACACTCTGTCTGTAAAGTCTGCAAGCAGATATTTGGACCTCTTTGAGGCCTTCGTTGGAAACGGGATTTCTTCATATAATGTTTGATAGGAGAAGTCTCAGTAACTTCTTTGTGCTGTGTGTATTCAACTCGTAGAGTTGAACTTTCCTTTAGAAGGGCAGATGTTAAACACCATTTTTGTGGAATTTGCAGCTGGAGATTTCAAGCGCTTTGAGGCCTACGGTAGAAAAGGAAACATCTTCTTATAAAATCTAGACAGAATCATTCACAGAAACTTCTTTTTGATGTGTGTGTTCAGCTCACAGAGTTTAACCTTTCTTTTGATGGAGCAGTTTGGAAACACTCTGTTTGTAATGTCTGCAAGTGGATATTTGGACCTCTTTGAGGCCTTCGTTGGAAACGGGATTTCTTCAAGTAATGTTCGGGAGAAGAATTCTCGGTAACTTATTTGTGGTGTGTGTATTCAACTCAAAGAGTTGAACCTTCCTTTAGACAGAGCAGATTTGAAACACCCTATTTGTGCAGTTTCCAGTTGGAGATTTCAATCGCTTTGAGACCAAATGTAGAAAAAGAAACATCTTCGTATAAAAACTAGACAGAATCATTCTCAGAAAATACTTTGTGATGTGTGCGTTCAACTCAAGAAGTTTAAGCTTTCTTTTCATAGAGTAGTTTGGAAACACTCTGTCTGTAAAGTCTGCAAGCAGATATTTGGACCTCATTGGGGCCTTCGTTGGAAACGTGATTTCTTCATAGAACGCTAGAAAGAAGAATACTGAGTAAGTTCTTTGTGTTGCCTCTACTCAACTCACAGAGGTGAACTGTCCTTTAGACAGAGCAGATGTGAAACCCTCTTTTTGTGATATTTGCAGGTGGAGATTTCAAGCGCTTTTAGGCCAAATGTAGAAAAGGAAATATCTTCGTATAAAAACTAGACAGAATCATTCTCAGAAACTACTTTGTGATGTGTGCGTTCAATTCACAGAGTATAACCTTTCTTTTGATGGAGGAGTTTGGAGACACTGTCTTTGTAAAGTCTGCAAGTGGATATTTGGACCTCTTTGAGGCCTTCGTTGGAAACGGGATTTCCTCATATAATGTTACCCAGAAGAATTCTCAGTAACTTATTTGTGGTGTGTGTATTCAACTCACAGAGTTGAACCTTCCTTCAGAAAGAGCAGATTTGAAACACTCTTTTTGTGGAGTTTCCATGTGGAGATTTCAATCGCTTTGAGACCAAAGGTAGAAAAGGAAACATCTTCGTATAAAAACTAGACAGAATCATTCACAGAAACTACTTTGTGATGTGTGTGTTCAACTCAAGGAGTTTAACCTTTCTTTTGATGGAGCTGTTTGGAAAAACTCTGTCTGTAAATTCTGCAAGCAGATATTTGGACCTCTTTGGGGCCTTCGTTGGAAACGGGATTTCTTCATATAATGTTTGATAGGAGAAGTCTCAGTAACTTCTTTGTGCTGTGTGTATTCAACTCATAGAGTTGAACTTTCCTTTAGAAGAGCAGATGTTAAACACCCTTTTTGTGGAATTTGCAGCTGGAGATTTCAAGCGCTTTGAGGCCTACGGTAGAAAAGGAAACATCTTCTTATAATATCTAGACAGAATCATTCACAGAAACTTCTTTCTGATGTGTGTGTTCATCTCACAGAGTTTAACCTTTCTTTTGATGGAGCTGTTTGCAAACACTGTGTTTGCATTGTCGGCAACTGGATATTTGGACCTCTTTCAGGCCTTCGTTGGAAACGGGATTTCTTCATGTAATGTTCGAGAGAAGAATTCTCAGTAACTTATTTGTGGTGTGTGTATTCAACTCACAGAGTTGAACCTTCCTTTAGACAGAGCAGATTTGAAACACCCTATTTGTGCAGTTTCCAGTTGGAGATTTCAATCCCTTTGAGGCCAATCGTAGAAACGGAAATATCTTCGTATAAATACAAGACAGAATCATTCTCAGAAACTACTTTGTGATGTGTGCGTTCAACTCACGGAGTTTAAGCTTTCTTTTCTTAGAGTAGTTTGGAAACACTCTGTCTGTAAAGTCTGCAAGCAGATATTTGGACCTCTTTGAGGCCTTCGTTGGAAACGGGATTTCTTCATAGAACACTAGAAAGAAGAATACTGAGTAAGTTCTTTGTGTTGCCTCTATTCAACTCACAGAGGTGAACTGTCCTTTAGACAGAGCAGATGTGAAACCCTCTTTTTGTGATATTTGCAGGTGGAGATTTCAAGCGCTTTTAGGCCAAATGTAGAAAAGGAAATATCTTCGTATAAAAACTAGACAGAATCATTCTCAGAAACTACTTTGTGATGTGTGCGTTCAATTCACAGAGTATAAGCTTTCTTTTGATGGAGGAGTTTGGAGACACTGTCTTTGTAAAGTCTGCAAGTGGATATTTGGACCTCTTTGAGGCCTTCGTTGGAAACGGGATTTCCTCATATAATGTTACACAGAAGAATTCTCAGTAACTTATTTGTGGTGTGTGTATTCAACTCACAGAGTTGAACCTTCCTTCAGAAAGAGCAGATTTGAAACACTCTTTTTGTGGAGTTTCCATGTGGAGATTTCAATCGCATTGAGACCAAAGGTAGAAAAGGAAACATCTTCGTATAAAAACTAGACAGAATCATTCACAGAAACTACTTTGTGATGTGTGTGTTCAACTCAAGGAGTTTAACCTTTCTTTTGATGGAGCTGTTTGGAAAAACTCTGTCTGTAAAGTCTGCAAGCAGATATTTGGACCTCTTTGGGGCCTTCGTTGGAAACGGGATTTCTTCATATAATGTTTGATAGGAGAAGTCTCAGTAACTTCTTTGTGCTGTGTGTATTCAACTCATAGAGTTGAACTTTCCTTTAGAAGAGCAGATGTTAAACACCCTTTTTGTGGAATTTGCAGCTGGAGATTTCAAGCGCTTTGAGGCCTACGGTAGAAAAGGAAACATCTTCTTATAAAATCTAGACAGAATCATTCACAGAAACTTATTTTTGATGTGTGTGTTCAGCTCACAGAGTTTAACCTTTCTTTTGATGGAGCAGTTTGGAAACACTCTGTTTGTAATGTCTGCAAGTGGATATTTGGACCTCTTTGAGGCCTTCGTTGGAAACGGGATTTCTTCCTGTAATGTTCGACAGAAGAATTCTCAGTAACTTATGTGTGGTGTGTGTATTCAACTCACAGAGTTGAACCTTCCTTTAGACAGAGCAGATTTGAAACACCCTATTTGTGCAGTTTCCAGTTGGAGATTTCAATCGCTTTGAGACCAAATGTAGAAAAGGAAACATCTTCGTATAAAAACTAGACAGAATCATTCTCAGAAACTACTTTGTGATGTGTGCGTTCAACTCAAGGAGTTTAAGCTTTCTTTTCATAGAGTAGTTTGGAAACACTCTGTCTGTAAAGTCTGCAAGCAGATATTTGGACCTCATTGAGGCCTTCGTTGGAAACGGGATTTCTTCATAGAACGCTAGAAAGAAGAATACTGAGTAAGTTCTTTGTGTTGCCTCTACTCAACACACAGAGGTGAACTGTCCTTTAGACAGAGCAGATGTGAAACCCTCTTTTTGTGATATTTGCAGGTGGAGATTTAAAGCGCTTTTAGGCCAAATGTAGAAAAGGAAATATCTTCGTATAAAAACTAGACAGAATCATTCTCAGAAACTACTTTGTGATGTGTGCGTTCAATTCACAGAAGATAAGCTTTCTTTTGATGGAGGAGTTTGGAGACACTGTCTTTGTAAAGTCTGCAAGTGGATATTTGGACCTCTTTGAGGCCTTCGTTGGAAACGGGATTTCCTCCTATAATGTTACACAGAAGAATTCTCAGTAACTTATTTGTGTTGTGTGTATTCAACTCACAGAGTTGAACCTTCCTTCAGAAAGAGCACATTTGAATCACTCTTTTTGTGGAGTTTCCATGTGGAGATTTCAATCGCTTTGAGACCAAAGGTAGAAAAGGAAACATCTTCGTATAAAAACTGGACAGAATCATTCACAGAAACTACTTTGTGATGTGTGTGTTCAACTCAAGGAGTTTAACCTTTCTTTTGATGGAGCAGTTTGGAAACACTCTGTCTGTAAAGTCTGCAAGCAGATACTTGGACCTCTTTGAGGCCTTCGTTGGAAACGGGATTTCTTCATATAATGTTTGATAGGAGAAGTCTCAGTAACTTCTTTGTGCTGTGTGTATTCAACTCATAGAGTTGAACTTTCCTTTAGAAGAGCAGATGTTAAACACCCTTTTTGTGGAATTTGCAGCTGGAGATTTCAAGCGCTTTGAGGCCTACGGTAGAAAAGGAAACATCTTCTAATAAAATCTAGACAGAATCATTCACAGAAACTTCTTTATGATCTGTGTGTCCAGCTCACAGAGTTTAACCTTTCTTTTGATGGAGCAGTTGGGAAACACACTGTTTGTAATGTCTGCAAGTGGATATTTGGACCTCTTTGAGGCCTTCGTTGGAAACGGGATTTCTTCCTGTAATGTTCGACAGAAGAATTCTCAGTAACTTATTTGTGGTGTGTGTATTCAACTCACAGAGTTGAACCTTCCTTTAGACAGAGCAGATTTGAAACACCCTATTTGTGCAGTTTCCAGTTGGAGATTTCAATCGCTTTGAGACCAAATGTAGAAAAGGAAACATCTTCGTATAAAAACTAGACAGAATCATTCTCAGAAACTACTTTTTGATGTGTGCGTTCAACTCACGGAGTTTAAGCTCTCTTTTCATAGAGTAGTTTGGAAACACTCTGTCTGTAAAGTCTGCAAGCAGATATTTGGACCTCTTTGAGTCCTTCGTTGGAAACGGGATTTCTTCATATAACGCTAGAAAGAAGAATACTGAGTAAGTTCTTTGTGTTGCCTCTATTCAACTCACAGAGGTGAACTGTCCTTTAGACAGAGCAGATGTGAAACCCTCTTTTTGTGATGTTTGCAGGTGGAGATTTCAAGCGCTTTTAGGCCAAATGTAGAAAAGGAAATATCTTCGTATAAAAACTAGACAGAATCATTCTCAGAAACTACTTTGTGATGTGTGCGTTCAATTCACAGAGTATAACCTTTCTTTTGATGGAGGAGTTTGGAGACACTGTCTTTGTAAAGTCTGCAAGTGGATATTTGGACCTCTTTGAGGCCTTCGTTGGAAACGGGATTTCCTCATATAATGTTACACAGAAGAATTCTCAGTAACTTATTTGTGGTGTGTGTATTCAACTCACAGAGATGAACCTTCCTTCAGAAAGAGCAGATTTGAAACACTCTTTTTGTGGAGTTTCCATGTGGAGATTTCAATCGCTTTGAGACCAAAGGTAGAAAAGGAAACATCTTCGTATAAAAACTAGACAGAATCATTCACAGAAACTACTTTGTGATGTGTGTGTTCAACTCAAGGAGTTTAACCTTTCTTTTGATGGAGCAGTTTGGAAAAACTCTGTCTGTAAAGTCTGCAAGCAGATATTTGGACCTCTTTGAGGCCTTCGTTGGAAACGGGATTTCTTCATATAATGTTTGATAGGAGAAGTCTCAGTAACTTCTTTGTGCTGTGTGTATTCAACTCATAGAGTTGAACTTTCCTTTAGAAGAGCAGATGTTAAACACCCTTTTTGTGGAATTTGCAGCTGGAGATTTCAAGCGCTTTGAGGCCTACGGTAGAAAAGGAAACATCTTCTTATAAAATCTAGACAGAATCATTCACAGAAACTTCTTTTTGATGTGTGTGTTCAGCTCACAGAGTTTAACCTTTCTTTTGATGGAGCAGTTTGGAAACACTCTGTTTGTAATGTCTGCAAGTGGATATTTGGACCTCTTTGAGGCCTTCATTGGAAACGGGATTTCTTCAAGTAATGTTCGACAGAAGAATTCTCAGTAACTTATTTGTGGTGTGTGTATTCAACTCACAGAGTTGAACCTTCCTTTAGACAGAGCAGATTTGAAACACCCTATTTGTGCAGTTTCCAGTTGGAGATTTCAATCGCTTTGAGACCAAATGTAGAAAAGGAAACATCTTCGTATAAAAACTAGACAGAATCATTCTCAGAAACTACTTTGTGATGTGTGCGTTCAACTCACGGAGTTTAAGCTTTCTTTTCATAGAGTAGTTTGGAAACACTCTGTCTGTAAAATCTGCAAGCAGATATTTGGACCTCTTTGAGGCCTTCGTTGGAAACGGGATTTCTTCATATAACGCTAGAAAGAAGAATACTGAGTAAGTTCTTTGTGTTGCCTCTATTCAACTCACAGAGGTGAACTCTCCTTTAGATAGAGCAGATGTGAAACCCTCTTTTTGTGATATTTGCAGGTGGAGATTTCAAGCGCTTTTAGGCCAAATGTAGAAAAGGAAATATCTTCGTATAAAAACTAGACAGAATCATTCTCAGAAACTACTTTGTGATGTGTGCGTTCAATTCACAGAGTATAACCTTTCTTTTGATGGAGGAGTTTGGAGACACTGTCTTTGTAAAGTCTGCAAGTGGATATTTGGACCTCTTTGAGGCCTTCGTTGGAAACGGGATTTCCTCATATAATGTTACACAGAAGAATTCTCAGTAACTTATTTGTGGTGTGTGTATTCAACTCACAGAGTTGAACCTTCCTTCAGAAAGAGCAGATTTGAAACACTCTTTTTGTGGAGTTTCCATGTGGAGATTTCAATCGCTTTGAGACCAAAGGTAGAAAAGGAAACATCTTCGTATAAAAACTAGAGAGAATCATTCACAGAAACTACTTTGTGATGTGTGTTTTCAACTCAAGGAGTTTAACCTTTCTTTTGATGGAGCAGTTTGGAAAAACTCTGTCTTTAAA
The DNA here is from genome assembly GCF_000001405.40 of Homo sapiens. Classification (NCBI taxonomy): domain Eukaryota; kingdom Metazoa; phylum Chordata; class Mammalia; order Primates; family Hominidae; genus Homo; species Homo sapiens. The sequence continues at coordinate 36,161,318 of NC_000012.12, forward strand.
GTCTGCAAGCAGATATTTGGACCTCTTTGAGGCCTTCGTTGGAAACGGGATTTCTTCATATAATGTTTGATAGGAGAAGTCTCAGTAACTTCTTTGTGCTGTGTGTATTCAACTCATAGAGTTGAACTTTCCTTTAGAAGAGCAGATGTTAAACACCCTTTTTGTGGAATTTGCAGCTGGAGATTTCAAGCGCTTTGAGGCCTACGGTAGAAAAGGGAACATCTTCTTATAAAATCTAGACAGAATCATTCACAGAAACTTCTTTTTGATGTGTGTGTTCAGCTCACAGAGTTTAACCTTTCTTTTGATGGAGCAGTTTGGAAACACACTGTTTGTAATGTCTGCAAGTGGATATTTGGACCTCTTTGAGGCCTTCGTTGGAAACGGGATTTCTTCCTGTAATGTTCGACAGAAGAATTCTCAGTAACTTATTTGTGGTGTGTGTATTCAACTCACAGAGCTGACCCTTCCTTTAGACAGAGCAGATTTGAAACAGCCTATTTGTGCAGTTTCCAGTTGGAGATTTCAATCGCTTTGAGACCAAATGTAGAAAAGGAAACATCTTCGTATAAAAACTAGACAGAATCATTCTCAGAAACTACATTGTGATGTGTGCGTTCAACTCAAGGAGTTTAAGCTTTCTTTTCATAGAGTAGTTTGGAAACACTCTGTCTGTAAAGTCTGCAAGCAGATATTTGACTTCTTTGTGGCCTTCGTTGGAAACGGGATTTCTTCATAGAACGCTAGAAAGAAGAATACTGAGTAAGTTCTTTGTGTTGCCTCTATTCAACTCACAGACGTGAACTGTCCTTTAGACAGAGCAGATGTGAAACCCTCTTTTTGTGATATTTGCAGGTGGAGATTTCAAGCGCTTTTAGGCCAAATGTAGAAAAGGAAATATCTTCGTATAAAAACTAGACAGAATCATTCTCAGAAACTACTTTGTGATGTGTGCGTTCAATTCACACAGTATAACCTTTGTTTTGATGGAGGAGTTTGGAGACACTGTCTTTGTAAAGTCTGCAAGTGGATATTTGCACCTCTTTGAGGCCTTCGTTGGAAACGGGATTTCCTCACATAATGTTACACAGAAGAATTCTCAGTAACTTATTTGTGGTGTGTGTATTCAACTCACAGAGTTGAACCTTCCTTCAGAAAGAGCAGATTTGAAACACTCTTTTTGTGGAGTTTCCATGTGGAGATTTCAATCGCTTTGAGACCAAAGGTAGAAAAGGAAACATCTTCGTATAAAAACTAGACAGAATCATTCACAGAAACTACTTTGTGATGTGTGTGTTCAACTCAAGGAGTTTAACCTTTCTTTTGATGGAGCAGTTTGGAAAAACTCTGTCTGTAAAGTCTGCAAGCAGATATTTGGACCTCTTTGAGGCCTTCGTTGGAAACGGGATTTCTTCATATAATGTTTGATAGGAGAAGTCTCAGTAACTTCTTTGTGCTGTGTGTATTCAACTCATAGAGTTGAACTTTCCTTTAGAAGAGGAGATGTTAAACACCCTTTTTGTGGAATTTGCAGCTGGAGATTTCAAGCGCTTTGAGGCCTACGGTAGAAAAGGAAACATCTTCTTATAAAATCTAGACAGAATCATTCACAGAAACTTCTTTTTGATGTGTGTGTTCAGCTCACAGAGTTTAACCTTTCTTTTGATGGAGCAGTTTGGAAACACTCTGTTTGTAATGTCTGCAAGTGGATATTTGGACCTCTTTGAGGCCTTCGTTGGAAACGGGATTTCTTCCTGTAATGTTCGACAGAAGAATTCTCAGTAACTTATTTGTGGTGTGTGTATTCAACTCACAGAGTTGAACCTTCCTTTAGACAGAGCAGATTTGAAACACCCTATTTGTGCAGTTTGCAGTTGGAGATTTCAATCGCTTTGAGACCAAATGTAGAAAAGGAAACATCTTCGTATAAAAACTAGACAGAATCATTCTCAGAAACTACTTTGTGATGTGTGCGTTCAACTCAAGGAGTTTAAGCTTTCTTTTCATAGAGTAGTTTGGAACCACTCTGTCTGTAATGTCTGCAAGCAGATATTTGGACCTCTTTGAGGCCTTCGTTGGAAACGGGATTTCTTCATATAACGCTAGAAAGAAGAATACTGAGTAAGTTCTTTGTGTTGCCTCTATTCAACTCACAGAGGTGAACTGTCCTTTAGACAGAGCAGATGTGAAACCCTCTTTTTGTGATATTTGCAGGTGGAGATTTCAAGCGCTTTTAGGCCAAATGTAGAAAAGGAAATATCTTCGTATAAAAACTAGACAGAATCATTCTCAGAAACTACTTTGTGATGTGTGCGTTCAATTCACAGAGTATAACCTTTCTTTTGATGGAGGAGTTTGGAGACACTGTCTTTGTAAAGTCTGCAAGTGGATATTTGGACCTCTTTGAGGCCTTCGTTGGAAACGGGATTTCCTCATATAATGTTACACAGAAGAATTCTCAGTAACTTATTTGTGGTGTGTGTATTCAACTCACAGAGTTGAACCTTCCTTCAGAAAGAGCAGATTTGAAACACTCTTTTTGTGGAGTTTCCATGTGGAGATTTCAATCGCTTTGAGACCAAAGGTAGAAAAGGAAACATCTTCGTATAAAAACTAGACAGAATCATTCACAGAAACTACTTTGTGATGTGTGTGTTCAACTGAAGGAGGTTAACCTTCCTTTTGATGGAGCAGTTTGGAAACACTCTGTCTGTAAAGTCTGCAAGCAGATATTTGGACCTCTTTGAGGCCTTCGTTGGAAACGGGATTTCTTCATATAATGTTTGATAGGAGAAGTCTCAGTAAACTTCTTTGTGCTGTGTGTATTCAACTCATAGAGTTGAACTTTCCTTTAGAAGAGCAGATGTTAAACACCCTTTTTGTGGAATTTGCAGCTGGAGATTTCAAGCGCTTTGAGGCCTCCGGTAGAAAAGGAAACATCTTCTTATAAAATCTAGACAGAATCATTCACAGAAACTTCTTTTCGATGTGTGTGTTCAGCTCACAGAGTTTAACCTTTCTTTTGATGGAGCAGTTTGGAAACACTCTGTTTGTAATGTCTGCAAGTGGATATTTGGACCTCTTTGAGGCCTTCGTTGGAAACGGGATTTCTTCAAGTAATGTTCGACAGAAGAATTCTCAGTAACTTATTTGTGGTGTGTGTATTCAACTCACAGAGTTGAACCTTCCTTTAGACAGAGCAGATTTGAAACAGCCTATTTGTGCAGTTTCCAGTTGGAGATTTCAATCGCTTTGAGACCAAATGTAGAAAAGGAAACATCTTCGTATAAAAACTAGACAGAATCATTCTCAGAAACTACTTTGTGATGTGTGCGTTCAACTCAAGGAGTTTAAGCTTTCTTTTCATAGAGTAGTTTGGAAACACTCTGTCTGTAAAGTCTGCAAGCAGATATTTGGACCTCTTTGGGGCCTTCGTTGGAAACGGGATTTCTTCATAGAACGCTAGAAAGAAGAATACTGAGTAAGTTCTTTGTGTTGCCTCTATTTAACTCACAGAGGTGAACTGTCCTTTAGACAGAGCAGATGTGAAACCCTCTTTTTGTGATATTTGCAGGTGGAGATTTCAAGCGCTTTTAGGCGAAATGTAGAAAAGGAAATATCTTCGTATAAAAACTAGACAGAATCATTCTCAGAAACCACTTTGTGATGTGTGCGTTCAATTCACAGAGTATAACCTTTCTTTTGGTGGAGGAGTTTGGAGACACTGTCTTTGTAAAGTCTGCAAGTGGATATTTGGACCTCTTTGAGGCCTCCGTTGGAAACGGGATTTCCTCATATAATGTTACACAGAAGAATTCTCAGTAACTTATTTGTGGTGTGTGTATTCAACTCACAGAGATGAACCTTCCTTCAGAAAGAGCAGATTTGAAACACTCTTTTTGTGGAGTTTCCATGTGGAGATTTCAATCGCTTTGAGACCAAAGGTAGAAAAGGAAACATCTTCGTATAACAACTAGACAGAATCATTCTCAGAATCTACTTTGTGATGTGTGCGTTCAACTCAAGGAGTTTAAGCTTTCTTTTCATAGAGTAGTTTGGAAACACTCTGTCTGTAAAGTCTGCAAGCAGATATTTGGACCTCTTTGAGGCCTTCGTTGGAAACGAGATTTCTTCATATAATGTTTGATAGGAGAAGTCTCAGTAACTTCTTTGTGCTGTGTGTATTCAACTCATAGAGTTGAACTTTCCTTTAGAAGACCAGATGTTAAACACCCTTTTTGTGGAATTTGCAGCTGGAGATTTCAAGCGCTTTGAGGCCTACGGTAGAAAAGGAAACATCTTCTTATAAAATCAAGACAGAATCATTCACAGAAACTTCTTTTTGATGTGTGTGTTCAGCTCACAGGGTTTAAACTTTCTTTTGATGGAGCAGTTTGGAAACACTCTGTTTGTAATGTCTGCAAGTGGATATTTGGACCTCTTGGAGGCCTTCGTTGGAAACGGGATTTCTTTAAGTAATGTTCGACAGAAGAATTCTCAGCAACTTATTTGTGGTGTGTGTATTCAACTCACAGAGTTGAACCTTCCTTTAGACAGAGCAGATTTGAAACACCCTATTTGTGCAGTTTCCAGTTGGAGATTTCAATGGCTTTGAGGCCAATCATAGAAACGGAAATATCTTCCTATAAAAACAAGACAGAATCATTCTCAGAAACCACTTTGCATTGTGTGCGTTCAACTCAAGGAGTTTAAGCTTTCTTTTCATAGAATAGTTTGGAAACACTCTGTCTGTAAAGTCTGCAAGCAGATATTTGGACTTCTTTGAGGCCTTCGTTGGAAACGGGATTTCTTCATATAACGCTAGAAAGAAGAATACTGAGTAAGTTCTTTGTGTTGCCTCTATTCAACTCACAGAGGTGAACTGTCCTTTAGACAGAGCAGATGTGAAACCCTCTTTTTGTGATATTTGCAGATGGAGATTTCAAGCGCTTTTAAGCCAAATGTAGAAAAGGAAATATCTTCGTATAAAAACTAGACAGAATCATTCTCAGAAACTACTTTGTGATGTGTGCGTTCAATTCACACAGTATAACCTTTCTTTTGATGGAGGAGTTTGGAGACACTGTCTTTTTAAAATCTGCAAGTGGATATTTGGACCTCTTTGAGGCCATCGTTGGAAACGGGATTTCCTCATATAATGTTACACAGAAAGAATTCTCAGTAACTTATTTGTGGTGTGTGTATTCAACTCACAGAGATGAACCTTCCTTCAGAAAGAGCAGATTTGAAACACTCTTTTTGTGGAGTTTCCATGTGGAGATTTCAATCGCTTTGAGACCAAAGGTAGAAAAGGAAACATCTTCGTATAAAAACTAGACAGAATCATTCACAGAAACTACTTTGTGATGTGTGTGTTCAACTCAAGGAGTTTAACCTTTCTTTTGATGGAGGAGTTTGGAAACACTCTGTCTGTAAAGTCTGCAAGCAGATATTTGGACCTCTTTGAGGCCTTCGTTGGAAACGGGATTTCTTCATATAATGTTTGATAGGAGAAGTCTCAGTAACTTCTTTCTGCTGTGTGTATTCAATGCATAGAGTTGAACTTTCCTTTAGAAGAGCAGATGTTAAACACCCTTTTTGTGGAATTTGCAGCTGGAGATTTCAAGCGCTTTGAGGCCTACGGTAGAAAAGGAAACATCTTCTTATAAAATCTAGACAGAATCATTCACAGAAACTTCTTTTTGATGTGTGTGTTCAGCTCACAGAGTTTAACCTTTATTTTGATGGAGCAGTTTGGAAACACTCTGTTTGTAATGTCTGCAAGTGGATATTTGGACCTCTTTGAGGCCTTCGTTGGAAACGCGGATTTCTTCATGTAATGTTTGACAGAAGAATTCTCAGTAACTTATTTGTGGTGTGTGTATTCAACTCACAGAGTTGAACCTTCCTTTAGACAGAGCAGATTTGAAACACCCTATTTGTGCAGTTTCCAGTTGGAGATTTCAATCGCTTTGAGACCAAATGTAGAAAAGGAAACATCTTCGTATAAAAACTAGACAGAATCATTCTCAGAAACTACTTTGTGATGTGTGCGTTCAACTCAAGGAGTTTAAGCTTTCTTTTCATAGAGTAGTTTGGAAACACTCTGTCTGTAAAGTCTGCAAGCAGATATTTGGACCTCTTTGGGGCCTTCGTTGGAAACGGGATTTCTTCATAGAACGCTAGAAAGAAGAATACTGAGTAAGTTCTTTGTGTTGCCTCTATTCAACTCACAGAGGTGAACTGTCCTTTAGACAGAGCAGATGTGAAACCCTCTTTTTGTGATATTTGCAGGTGGAGATTTCAAGCGCTTTGAGGCCAAATGTAGAAAAGGAAATATCTTCGTATAAAAACTAGACACAATCATTCTCAGAAACTACTTTGTGATGTGTGCGTTCAATTCACAGAGTAAAACCTTTCTTTTGATGGAGGAGTTTGGAGACACTGTCTTTGTAAAGTCTGCAAGCAGATATTTGGACCTCTTTGAGGCCTTCGTTGGAAACGGGATTTCTTCATATAATGTTTGATAGGAGAAGTCTCAGTAACTTCTTTGGGCTGTGTGTATTCAACTCATTGAGTTGAACTTTCCTTTAGAAGAGCAGATGTTAAACACCCTTTTTGTGGAATTTGCAGCTGGAGATTTCAAGCACTTTGAGGCCTACGGTAGAAAAGGAAACATCTTCTTATAAAATCTAGACAGAATCATTCACAGAAACTTCTTTTTGATGTGTGTGTTCAGCTCACAGAGTTTAACCTTTGTTTTGATGGAGCAGTTTGGAAACACTCTGTTTGTAATGTCTGCAAGTGGATATTTGGACCTCTTTGAGGCCTTCGTTGGAAACGGGATTTCTTCAAGTAATGTTCGACAGAAGAATTCTCAGTAACTTATTTGTGGTGTGTGTATTCAACTCAAAGAGTTGAACCTTCCTTTAGACAGAGCAGATTTGAAACACCCTATTTGTGCAGTTTCCAGTTGGAGATTTCAATCGCTTTGAGACCAAATGTAGAAAAGGAAACATCTTCGTATAAAAACTAGACAGAATCATTCTCAGAAACTACTTTGTGATGTGTGCGTTCAACTCAAGGAGTTTAAGCTTTCTTTTCATAGAGTACTTTGGAAACACTCTGTCTGTAAAGTCTGCAAGCAGATATTTGGACCTCATTGGGGCCTTCGATGGAAACGGGATTTCTTCATAGAACGCTAGAAAGAAGAATACTGAGTAAGTTCTTTGTGTTGCCTCTATTCAACTCACAGAGGTGAACTGTCCTTTAGACAGAGCAGATGTGAAACCCTCTTTTTGTGATATTTGCAGGTGGAGATTTCAAGCGCTTTTAGGCCAAATGTAGAAAAGGAAATATCTTCGTATAAAAACTAGACAGAATCATTCTCAGAAACTACTTTGTGATGTGTGCGTTCAATTCACAGAGTATAACCTTTCTTTTGATGGAGGAGTTTGGAGACACTGTCTTTGTAAAGTCTGCAAGTGGATATTTGGACCTCTTTGAGGCCTTCGTTGGAAACGGGATTTCCTCATATAATGTTACCCAGAAGAATACTGAGTACGTTCTTTGTGTTGCCTCTATTCAACTCACAGAGGTGAACTGTCCTTTAGACAGAGCAGATGTGAAACCCTCTTTTTGTGATATTTGCAGGTGGAGATTTCAAGCGCTTTTAGGCCAAATGTAGAAAAGGAAATATCTTCGTATAAAAACTAGACAGAATCATTCTCAGAAACTACTTTGTGATGTGTGCGTTCAATTCACAGAGTATAACCTTTCTTTTGATGGAGGAGTTTGGAGACACTGTCTTTGTAAAGTCTGCAAGTGGATATTTGGACCTCTTTGAGGCCTTCGTTGGAAACGGGATTTCCTCATATAATGTTACATAGAAGAATTCTCAGTAACTTATTTGTGGTGTGTGTATTCAACTCACAGAGATGAACCTTCCTTCAGAAAGAGCAGATTTGAAACACTCTTTTTGTGGAGTTTCCATGTGGAGATTTCAATCGCTTTGAGACCAAAGGTAGAAAAGGAAACATCTTCGTATAACAACTAGACAGAATCATTCACAGAAACTACTTTGTGATGTGTGTGTTCAACTCAAGGAGTTTAACCTTTCTTTTGATGGAGCAGTTTGGAAACACTCTGTCTGTAAAGTCTGCAAGCAGATATTTGGACCTCTTTGAGGCCTTCGTTGGAAACGGGATTTCTTCATATAATGTTTGATAGGAGAAGTCTCAGTAACTTCTTTGTGCTGTGTGTATTCAACTCATAGAGTTGAACTTTCCTTTAGAAGAGCAGATGTTAAACACCCTTTTTGTGGAATTTGCAGCTGGAGATTTCAAGCGCTTTGAGGCCTACGGTAGAAAAGGAAACATCTTCTTATAAAATCTAGACAGAATCATTCACAGAAACTACTTTTTGATGTGTGTGTTCATCTCACAGAGTTTAACCTTTCTTTTGACGGAGCAGTTTGCAAACACTGTGTTTGCCATGTCGGCAAGTGGATATTTGGACCTCTTTGAGGCCTTCGTTGGAAACGGGATTTCTTCATGTAATGTTCGACAGAAGAATTCTCAGTAACTTCTTTGTGGTGTGTGTATTCAACTCACAGAGTTGAACCTTCCTTTAGACAGAGCAGATTTGAAACACCCTATTTGTGCAGTTTCCAGTTGGAGATTTCAATCGCTTTGAGACCAAATGTAGAAAAGGAAACATCTTCGTATAAAAACTAGACAGAATCATTCTCAGAAACTACTTTGTGATGTGTGCGTTCAACTCAAGGAGTTTAAGCTTTCTTTTCATAGAGTAGTGTGGAAACACTCTGTCTGTAAAGTCTGCAAGCAGATATTTGGACCTCTTTGGGGCCTTCGTTGGAAACGGGATTTCTTCATAGAACGCTAGAAAGAAGAATACTGAGTAAGTTCTTTGTGTTGCCTCTATTCAACTCACAGAGGTGAACTGTCCTTTAGACAGAGCAGATGTGAAACCCTCTTTTTGTGATATTTGCAGGTGGAGATTTCAAGCGCTTTTAGGCCAAATGTAGAAAAGGAAATATCTTCGTATAAAAACTAGACAGAATCATTCACAGAAACTACTTTTTGATGTGTGTGTTCAGCTCACAGGGTTTAACCTTTCCTTTGATGAAGCAGTTTGGAAACACTCTGTTTGTAATGTCTGCAAGTGGATATTTGGACCTCTTTGAGGCCTTCGTTGGAAACGGGATTTCCTCATATAATGTTACACAGAAGAATTCTCAGTTACTTATTTGTGGTGTGTGTATTCAACTCACAGAGTTGAACCTTCCTTCAGAAAGAGGAGATTTGAAACACTCTTTTTGTGGAGTTTCCATGTGGAGATTTCAATCGTTTTGAGACCAGAGGTAGAAAAGGAAATATCTTCGTATAAAAACTAGACAGAATCATTCACAGAAACTACTTTGAGATGTGTGTGTTCAACTCACAGAGTTTAACCTTTCTTTTGATGGAGCACTTTGGAAACACTCTGTTTGTCACGTCTGCAAGTGGATATTTGGACCTCTTTGAGGCCTTCGTTGGAAACGGGATTTCTTCATATAATGTTTGATAGGAGAAGTCTCAGTAACTTCTTTGTGCTGTGTGTATTCAACTCATAGAGTTGAACTTTCCTTTAGAAGAGCAGATGTTAAACACCCTGTTTGTGGAGTTTGCAGCTGGAGATTTCAAGCGCTTTGAGCCCTACGGTAGAAAAGGAAACATCTTCTTATAAAATCTAGACAGAAATCATTCACAGAAACTTCTTTTTGATGTGTGTGTTCAGCTCACAGAGTTTAACCTTTCTTTTGATGGAGCAGTTTGGAAACACTCTGTTTGTAATGTCTGCAAGTCGATAATTGGACCTCTTTGAGGCCTTCGTTGGAAACGGGATTTCTTCAAGTAATGTTCGACAGAAGAATTCTCAGTAACTTATTTGTGGTGTGTGTATTCAACTCAAAGAGTTGAACCTTCCTTTAGACAGAGCAGATTTGAAACACCCTATTTGTGCAGTTTCCAGTTGGAGATTTCAATCGCTTTGGGACCAAATGTAGAAAAGGAAACATCTTCGGTATAAAAACTAGACAGAATCATTCTTAGAAACTACTTTGTGATGTGTGCGTTCAACTCAAGGAGTTTAAGCTTTCTTTTCATAGAGTAGTTTGGAAACACTCTGTCTGTAAAGTCTGCAAGCAGATATTTGGACCTCTTTGAGGCCTTCGTTGTAAACGGGATTTCTTCATAGAACGCTAGAAAGAAAAATACTGAGTAAGTTCTTTGTGTTGCCTCTATTCAACTCACGGAGGTGAACTGTCCTTTAGAAAGAGGAGATGTGAAACCCTCTTTTTGTGATATTTGCAGGTGGAGATTTCAAGCGCTTTTAGGCCAAATGTAGAAAAGGAAATATCTTCGTATAAAAACTAGACAGAATCATTCTCAGAAACTACTTTGTGATGTGTGCGTTCAATTCACAGAGTATAACCTTTCTTTTGATGGAGGAGTTTGGAGGCACTGTCTTTGTAAAGTCTGCAAGTGGATATTTGGACCTCTTTGAGGCCTTCGTTGGAAACGGGATTTCCTCATATAATGTTACACAGAAGAATTCTCAGTAACTTATTTGTGGTGTGTGTATTCAATTCACAGAGTTGAACCTTCCTTCAGAAAGAGCAGATTTGAAACACTCTTTTTGTGGAGTTTCCATGTGGAGATTTCAATCGCTTTGAGACCAAAGGTAGAAAAGGAAACATCTTCGTATAAAAACTAGACAGAATCATTCACAGAAACTACTTTGTGATGTGTGTGTTCAACTCATGGAGTTTAACCTTTCTTTTGATGGAGCAGTTTGGAAAAACTCTGTCTTTAAAGTCTGCAAGCAGATATTTGGACCTCTTTGAGGCCTTCGTTGGAAACGGGATTTCTTCATATAATGTTTGATAGGAGAAGTCTCAGTAACTTCTTTGTGCTGTGTGTATTCAACTCATAGAGTTGAACTTTCCTTTAGAAGAGCAGATGTTAAACACCCTTTTTGTGGAATTTGCAGCTGGAGATTTCAAGCGCTTTGAGTCCTACGGTAGAAAAGGAAACATCTTCTTATAAAATCTAGACAGAATCATTCACAGAAACTTCTTTTTGATGTGTGTGTTCAGCTCACAGAGTTTACCTTTCTTTTGATGGAGCAGTTTGGAAACACTCTGTTTGTAATATCTGCAAGTGAATATTTGGACCTGTTTGAGGCCTTCGTTGGAAACGGGATTTCTTCAAGTAATGTTCGACAGAAGAATTCTCAGTAACTTATTTGTGGTGTGTGTATTCAACTCACAGAGTTGAACCTTCCTTTAGAAAGAGCAGATTTGAAACACCCTATTTGTGCAGTTTCCAGTTGGAGATTTCAATCGCTTTGAGACCAAATGTAGAAAAGGAAACATCTTCGTATAAAAACTGGACAGAATCATTCTCAGAAACTACTTTGTGATGTGTGCGTTCAACTCAAGGAGTTTAAGCTTTCTTTTCATAGAGTAGTTTGGAAACACTCTGTCTGTAAAGTCTGCAAGCAGATATTTGGACCTCTTTGGGGCCTTCGTTGGAAACGGGATTTCTTCATAGAACGCTAGAAAGAAGAATACTGAGTAAGTTCTTTGTGTTGCCTCTATTCAACTCACAGAGGTGAACTGTCCTTTAGACAGAGCAGATGTGAAACCCTCTTTTTGTGATATTTGCAGGTGGAGATTTCAAGCGCTTTTAGGCCAAATGTAGAAAAGGAAATATCTTCGTATAAAAACTAGACAGAATCATTCTCAGAAACTACTTTGTGATGTGTGCGTTCAATTCACAGAGTATAACCTTTCTTTTGATGGAGGAGTTTGGAGACACTGTCTTTGTAAAGTCTGCAAGTGGATATTTGGACCTCTTTGAGGCCTTCGTTGGAAACGGGATTTCCTCATATAATGTTACACAGAAGAATTCTCAGTAACTTATTTGTGGTGTGTGTATTCAACTCACAGAGATGAACCTTCCTTCAGAAAGAGCAGATTTGAAACACTCTTTTTGGGGAGTTTCCATGTGGAGATTTCAATCGCTTTGAGACCAAAGGTAGAAAAGGAAACATCTTCGTATAACAACTAGACAGAATCATTCACAGAAACTACTTTGTGATGTGTGTGTTCAACTCAAGGAGTTTAACCTTTCTTTTGATGGAGCAGTTTGGAAACACTCTGTCTGTAAAGTCTGCAAGCAGATATTTGGACGTCTTTGAGGCCTTCGTTGGAAAAGGGATTTCTTCATATAATGTTTGATAGGAGAAGTCTCAGTAACTTCTTTGTGCTGTGTGTATTCAACTCATAGAGTTGAACTTTCCTTTGGAAGAGCAGATGTTAAACACCCTTTTTGTGTAATTTGCAGCTGGATATTTCAAGCGCTTTGAGGCCTACGGTAGAAAAGGAAACATCTTCTTATAAAATCTAGACAGAATCATTCACAGAAACTTCTTTTTGATGTGTGTGTTCAGCTCACAGAGTTTAACCTTTCTTTTGATGGAGCAGTTTGGAAACACTCTGTTTGTAATGTCTGCAAGTGGATATTTGGACCTCTTTGAGGCCTTCGTTGGAAACGGGATTTCTTCATGTAATGTTCGACAGAAGAATTCTCAGTAACTTATTTGTGGTGTGTGTATTCAACTCACAGAGTTGAACCTTCCTTTAGACAGAGCAGATTTGAAACACCCTATTTGTGCAGTTTCCAGTTGGAGATTTCAATCGCTTTGAGACGAAATGTAGAAAAGGAAACATCTTCGTATAAAAACTAGACAGAATCATTCTCAGAAACTACTTTGTGATGTGTGCGTTCAACTCAAGGAGTTTAAGCTTTCTTTTCATAAAGTTGTTTGGAAACACTCTGTCTGTAAAGTCTGCAAGCAGATATTTGGACCTCTTTGAGGCCTTCGTTGGAAACGGGTTTTCTTCATGGAACGCTAGAAAGAAGAATACTGAGTAAGTTCTTTGTGTTGCCTCTATTCAACTCACAGAGGTGAAATGTCCTTTAGGCAGAGCAGATGTGAAACCCTCTTTTTGTGATATTTGCAGGTGGAGATTTCAAGCGCTTTTAGGCCAAATGTAGAAAAGGAAATATCTTCGTATAAAAACTAGACAGAATCATTCTCAGAAACTACTTTGTGACGTGTGTGTTCAATTCACAGAGTATAACCTTTCTTTTGATGGAGGAGTTTGGAGACACTGTCTTTGTAAAGTCTGCAAGTGGATATTTGGACCTCTTTGAGGCCTTCGTTGGAAACGGGATTTCCTCATATAATGTTACACAGAAGAATTATCAGTAACTTATTTGTGGTGTGTGTATTCAACTCACAGAGTTGAACCTTCCTTCAGAAAGAGCAGATTTGAAACACTCTTTTTGTGGAGTTTCCATGTGGAGATTTCAATCGCTTTGAGACCAAAGGTAGAAAAGGAAACATCTTCGTATAAAAACTAGACAGAATCATTCACAGAAACTACTTTGTGATGTGTGTGTTCAACTCAAGGAGTTTAACCTTTCTTTTGATGGAGCAGTTTGGAAACACTCTGTCTGTAAAGTCTGCAAGCAGATATTTGGACCTCTTTGAGGCCTTCGTTGGAAACGGGATTTCTTCATATAATGTTTGATAGGAGAAGTCTCAGCAACTTCTTTGTGCTGTGTGTATCCAACTCATAGAGTTGAACTTTCCTTTAGAAGAGCAGATGTTAAACACCCTTTTTGTGGAATTTGCAGCTGGAGATTTCAAGCGCTTTGAGGCCTACGGTAGAAAAGGAAACATCTTCTTATAAAATCTAGACAGAATCATTCACAGAAACTTCTTTTCGATGTGTGTGTTCAGCTCACAGAGTTTAACCTTTCTTTTGATGGAGCAGTTTGGAAACACTCTGTTTGTAATGTCTGCAAGTGGATATTTGGACCTCTTTGAGGCCTTCGTTGGAAACGGGATTTCTTCAAGTAATGGTCGACAGAAGAATTCTCAGTAACTTATTTGTGGTGTGTGTATTCAACTCACAGAGTTGAACCTTCCTTTAGACAGAGCAGATTTGAAACACCCTATTTGTGCAGTTTCCAGTTGGAGATTTCAATCGCTTTGAGACCAAATGTAGAAAAGGAAACATCTTCGTATAAAAACTAGACAGAATCATTCTCAGAAACTACTTTGTGATGTGTGCGTTCAACTCAAGGAGTTTAAGCTTTCTTTTCATAGAGTAGTTTGGAAACACTCTGTCTGTAAAGTCTGCAAGCAGATATTTGACCTCTTTGAGGCCTTCGTTGGAAACGGGATTTCTTCATAGAACGCTGGAAAGAAGAATACTGACTAAGTTCTTTGTGTTGCCTCTATTCAACTCACAGAGGTGAACTGTCCTTTAGACAGAGCAGATGTGAAACCCTCTTTTTGTGATATTTGCACTTGGAGATTTCAAGCGCTTTTAGGCCAAATGTAGAAAAGGAAATATCTTCGTATAAAAACTAGACAGAATCATTCTCAGTAAACTACTTTGTGATGTGTGCGTTCAATTCACAGAGTATAACCTTTCTTTTGATGGAGGAGTTTGGAGACACTGTCTTTGTAAAGTCTGCAAGTGGATATTTGGACCTCTTTGAGGCCTTCATTGGAAACGGGATTTCCTCATATAATGTTACACAGAAGAATTTTCAGTAACTTATTTGTGGTGTGTGTATTCAACTCACAGAGTTGAACCTTCCTTCAGAAAGAGCAGATTTGAAACACTTTTTGTGGAGTTTCCATGTGAAGATTTCAATCGCTTTGAGACCAAAGGTAGAAAAGGAAACATCTTCGTATAAAAACTAGACAGAATCATTCACAGAAACTACTTTGTGATGTGTGTGTTCAACTCAAGGAGTTTAACCTTTCTTTTGATGGAGCAGTTTGGAAACACTCTGTCTGTAAAGTCTGCAAGCAGATATTTGGACCTCTTTGAGGCCTTCTTTGGAAACGGGATTTCTTCATATAATGTTTGATAGGAGAAGTCTCAGTAACTTCTTTGTGCTGTGTGTATTCAACTCATAGAGTTGAACTTTCCTTTAGAAGAGCAGATGTTAAACACCCTTTTTGTGGAATTTGCAGCTGGAGATTTCAAGCGCTTTGAGGCCTACGGTAGAAAAGGAAACATCTTCTTATAAAATCTAGACAGAATCATTCACAGAAACTTCTTTTCGATGTGTGTGTTCAGCTCACAGAGTTTAACCTTTCTTTTGATGGAGCAGTTTGGAAACACTCTGTTTGTAATGTCTGCAAGTGGATATTTGGACCTCTTTGAGGCCTTCGTTGGAAACGGGATTTCATCAAGTAATGTTCGACAGAATAATTCTCAGTAACTTATTTGTGGTGTGTGTATTCAACTCACAGAGTTGAACCTTCCTTTAGACAGAGCAGATTTGAAACACCCTATTTGTGCAGTTTCCAGTTGGAGATTTCAATCGCTTTGAGACCAAATGTAGAAAAGGAAACATCTTCGTATAAAAACTAGACAGAATCATTCTCAGAAACTACTTTGTGATGTGTGCGGTTCAACTCAAGGAGTTTAAGCTTTCTTTTCATAGAGTAGTTTGGAAACACTCTGTCTGTAAAGTCTGCAAGCAGATATTTGGACCTATTTGAGGCCTTCGTTGGAAAAGGGATTTCTTCATAGAACGCTGGAAAGAAGAATACTCAGAAACTTCTTTTTGTTGCCTCTATTCAACTCAGAGAAGTGAACTGTCCTTTAGACAGAGCAGATGTGAAACCCTCTTTTTGTGATATTTGCAGGTGGAGATATCAAGCGCTTTTAGGCCAAATGTAGAAAAGGAAATATCTTCGTATAAAAACTAGACAGAATCATTCTCAGAAACTACTTGGTGATGTGTGCGTTCAATTCACAGAGTATAACCTTTCTTTTGATGGAGGAGTTTGGAGACACTGTCTTTGTAAAGTCTGCAAGTGGATATTTGGACCTCTTTGAAGCCTTCGTTAGATACGGATTTTCCTCATATAAAGTTACACAGAAGAATTCTCAGTAACTTATTTGTGGTGTGTGTATTCAACTCACAGAGTTGAACCTTCCTTCAGAAAGAGCAGATTTGAAACACTCTTTTTGTGGAGTTTCCATGTGGAGATTTCAATCGCTTTGAGACCAAAGGTAGAAAAGGAAACATCTTCGTATAAAAACTGGACAGAATCATTCACAGAAACTACTTTGTGATGTGTGTGTTCAACTCAAGGAGTTTAACCTTTCTTTTGATGGAGCAGTTTGGAAACACTCTGTCTGTAAAGTCTGCAAGCAGATATTTGGACCTCTTTGAGGCCTTCGTTGGAAACGGGATTTCTTCATATAATGTTTGATAGGAGAAGTCTCAGTAACTTCTTTGTGCTGTGTGTATTCAACTCATAGAGTTGAACTTTCCTTTAGAAGAGCAGATGTTAAACACCCTTTTTGTGGAATTTGCAGCTGGAGATTTCAAGCCCTTTGAGTCCTACGGTAGAAAAGGAAACATCTTCTTATAAAATCTAGACAGAATCATTCACAGAAACTTGTTTTTGATGTGTGTGTTCAGCTCACAGAGTTTAACCTTTCTTTTGATGGAGCAGTTTGGAAACACTCTGTTTGTAATATCTGCAAGTGAATATTTGGACCTCTTTGAGGCCTTCGTTGGAAACGGGATTTCTTCAAGTAATGTTCGACAGAAGAATTCTCAGCAACTTATTTGTGGTGTGTGTATTCAACTCACAGAGTTGAACCTTCCTTTAGACAGAGCAGATTTGAAACACCCTATTTGTGCAGTTTCCAGTTGGAGATTTCAATTGCTTTGAGGCCATAGAAACGGAAATACATTTGTATAAAAACAAGACAGAATCATTCTCAGAAACTACTTTGTGATGTGTGCGTTCAACTCAAGGAGTTTAAGCTTTCTTTTCATAGAGTAGTTTGGAAACACTCTGTCTGTAAAGTCTGCAAGCAGATATTTGGACCTCATTGGGGTCTTCGTTGGAAACGGGATTTCTTCATAGAACGCTAGAAAGAAGAATACTGAGTACGTTCTTTGTGTTGCCTCTATTCAACTCACAGAGGTGAACTGTCCTTTAGACAGAGCAGATGTGAAACCCTCTTTTTGTGATATTTGCAGGTGGAGATTTCAAGCGCTTTTAGGCCAAATGTAGAAAAGGAAATATCTTCGTATAAAAACTAGACAGAATCATTCTCAGAAACTACTTTGTGATGTGTGCGTTCAATTCACAGAGTATAACCTTTCTTTTGATGGAGGAGTTTGGAGACACTGTCTTTGTAAAGTCTGCAAGTGGATATTTGGACCTCTTTGAGGCCTTCGTTGGAAACGGGATTTCCTCATATAATGTTACCCAGAAGAATTCTCAGTAACTTATTTGTGGTGTGTGTATTCAACTCACAGAGTTGAAACTTCCTTCAGAAAGAGCAGATTTGAAACACTCTTTTTGTGGAGTTTCCATGTGGAGATTTCAATCGCTTTGAGACCAAAGATAGAAAAGGAAACATCTTCGTATAAAAACTAGACAGAATCATTCACAGAAACTACTTTGTGATGTGTGTGTTCAACTCAAGGAGTTTAACCTTTCTTTTGATGGAGCAGTTTGGAAACACTCTGTCTGTAAAGTCTGCAAGTGGATATTTGGACCTCTTTGAGGCCTTCGTTGGAAACGGGATTTCTTCATATAATGTTTGATAGGAGAAGTCTCAGTAACTTCTTTGTGCTGTGTGTATTCAACTCATAGAGTTGAACTTTCCTTTAGAAGAGCAGATGTTAAACACCCTTTTTGTGGAATTTGCAGCTGGAGATTTCAAGCGCTTTGAGGCCTACGGTAGAAAAGGAAACATCTTCTTATAAAATCTAGACAGAATCATTCACAGAAACTTCTTTTCGATGTGTGTGTTCAGCTCACAGAGTTTAACCTTTCTTTTGATGGAGCAGTTTGGAAACACTCTGTTTGTAATGTCTGCAAGTGGATATTTGGACCTCTTTGAGGCCTTCGTTGGAAACGGGATTTCTTCAAGTAATGGTCGACAGAAGAATTCTCAGTAACTTATTTGTGGTGTGTGTATTCAACTCACAGAGTTGAACCTTCCTTTAGACAGAGCAGATTTGAAACACCCTATTTGTGCAGTTTCCAGTTGGAGATTTCAATCGCTTTGAGACCAAATGTAGAAAAGGAAACATCTTCGTATAAAAACTAGACAGAAGCATTCTCAGGAACTACTTTGCGATGTGTGCGTTCAACTCAAGGAATTTAAGCTTTCTTTTCATAGAGTAGTTTGGAAACACTCTGTCTGTAAAATCTGCAAGCAGATATTTGGACCTCTTTGAGGCCTTCCTTGGAAAAGGGATTTCTTCGTATAACGCTAGAAAGAAGAATACTGAGTAAGTTCTTTGTGTTGCCTCTATTCAACTCACAGAGGTGAACTGTCCTTTAGACAGAGCAGATGTGAAACCCTCTTTTTGTGATATTTGCAGGTGGAGATTTCAAGCGCTTTTAGGCCAAATGTAGAAAAGGAAATATTCTTCGTATAAAAACTAGACAGAATCATTCTCAGAAACTACTTTGTGATGTGTGCGTTCAATTCACAGAGTATAACCTTTCTTTTGATGGAGGAGTTTGCAGACACTGTCTTTGAAAAGTCTGCAAGTGGATATTTGGACCTCTTTGTGGCCTTCGTTGGAAACGGGATTTCCTCATATAATGTTACACAGAAGAATTCTCAGTAACTTATTTGTGGTGTGTATATTCAACTCACAGAGTTGAACCTTCCTTCAGAAAGAGTAGATTTGAAACACTCTTTTTGTGTAGTTTCCATGTGGAGATTTCAATCGCTTTGAGACCAAAGGTAGAAAAGGAAACATCTTCGTATAAAAACTAGACAGAATCATTCACAGAAACTACTTTGTGATGTGTGTGTTCAACTCAAGGAGTTTAACCTTTCTTTTGATGGAGCAGTTTGGAAATACTCTGTCTGTAAAGTCTGCAAGCAGATATTTGGACCTCTTTGAGGCCTTCGTTGGAAACGGGATTTCTTCATATAATGTTTGATAGGAGAAGTCTCAGTAACTTCTTTGTGCTGTGTGTATTCAACTCATAGAGTTGAACTTTCCTTTAGAAGAGCAGATGTTAAACACCCTTTTTGTGGAATTTGCAGCTGGAGATTTCAAGCGCTTTGAGGCCTACGGTAGAAAAGGAAACATCTTCTTATAAAATCTAGACAGAATCATTCACAGTAAACTTCCTTTTGATGTGTGTGTTCAGCTCACAGAGTTTAACCTTTCTTTTGATGGAGCAGTTTGGAAACACACTGTTTGTAATGTCTGCAAGTGGATATTTGGACCTCTTTGAGGCCTTCGTTGGTAACGGGATTTCTTCATGTAATGTTCGACAGAAGAATTCTCAGTAACTTATTTGTGGTGTGTGTATTCAACTCACAGAGTTGAACCTTCCTTTAGACAGAGCAGATTTGAAACAGCCTATTTGTGCAGTTTCCAGTTGGAGATTTCAAGAGCTTTGAGACCAAATGTAGAAAAGGAAACATCTTCGTATAAAAACTAGACAGAATCATTCTCAGAAACTCTTTGTGATGTGTGCGTTCAACTCAAGGAGTTTAAGCTTTCTTTTCATAGAGTAGTTTGGAAACACTCTGTCTGTAAAGTGTGCAAGCAGATATTTGGACCTCTTTGGGGCCTTCGTTGGAAACGGGATTTCTTCATAGAACGCTAGAAAGAAGAATACTGAGTAAGTTCTTTGTGTTGCCTCTATTCAACTCACAGAGGTGAACTGTCCTTTAGACAGAGCAGATGTGAAACCCTCTTTTTGTGATATTTGCAGGTGGAGATTTCAAGCGCTTTTAGGCCAAATGTAGAAAAGGAAATATCTTCGTATAAAAACTAGACAGAATCATTCTCAGAAACTACTTTGTGATGTGTGCGTTCAATTCACAGAGTATAACCTTTCTTTGGATGGAGGAGTTTGGAGACACTGTCTTTGTAAAGTCTGCAAGTGGATATTTGGACCTCTTTGAGACCTTCGTTGGAAACGGGATTTCCTCATATAATGTTACACAGAAGAATTCTCAGTAACTTATCTGTGGTGTGTGTATTCAACTCACAGAGTTGAACCTTCCTTCAGAAAGAGCAGATTTGAAACTCTCTTTTTGTGGAGTTTCCAAGTGGAGATTTCAATCGCTTTGAGACCAAAGGTAGAAAAGGAAACATCTTCGTATAAAAACTAGACAGAATCATTCACAGAAACTACTTTGTGATGTGTGTGTTCAACTCAAGGAGTTTAACCTTTCTTTTGATGGAGCAGTTTGGAAACACTCTGTCTGTAAAGTCTGCAAGCAGATATTTGGATCTCTTTGAGGCCTTCGTTGGAAAAGGGATTTCTTCATATAATGTTTGGTAGGAAGAAGTCTCAGTAACTTCTTTATGCTGTGTGTATTCAACGCATAGAGTTGAACTTTCCTTTAGAAGAGCAGATGTTAAACACCCTTTTTGTGGAATTTGCAGCTGGAGATTTCAAGCGCTTTGAGGCCTACGGTAGAAAAGGAAACATCTTCTTATAAAATCTAGACAGAATCATTCACAGAAACTTCTTTTTGATGTGTGTGTTCAGCTCACAGAGTTTAACCTTTCTTTTGATGGAGCAGTTTGGAAACACTCTGTTTGTAATGTCTGCAAGTGGATATTTGGACCTCTTTGAGGCCTTCGTTGGAAACGGGATTTCTTCAAGTAATGTTCGACAGAAGAATTCTCAGTAACTTATTTGTGGTGTGTGTATTCAACTCACAGAGTTGAACCTTCCTTTAGACAGAGCAGATTTGAAACACCCTATTTGTGCAGTTTCCAGTTGGAGATTTCAATCGCTTTGAGACCAAATGTAGAAAAGGAAACATCTTCGTATAAAAACCAGACAGAATCATTCTCAGAAACTACTTTGTGATGTGTGCGTTCAACTCAAGGAGTTTAAGCTTTCTTTTCATAGAGTAGTTTGGAAACACTCTGTCTGTAAAGTCTGCAAGCAGATATTTGGACCTCTTTGGGGCCTTCGTTGGAAACGGGATTTCTTCATAGAACGCTAGAAAGAAGAATACTGAGTAAGTTCTTTGTGTTGCCTCTATTCAACTCACAGAGGTGAACTGTCCTTTAGACAGAGCAGATGTGAAACCCTCTTTTTGTGATATTTGCAGGTGGAGATTTCAAGCGCTTTTAGGCCAAATGTAGAAAAGGAAATATCTTCGTATAAAAACTAGACAGAATCATTCTCAGAAACTACTTTGTGATGTGTGCGTTCAATTCACAGAGTATAACCTTTCTTTTGATGGAGGAGTTTGGAGACACTGTCTTTGTAAAGTCTGCAAGTGGATATTTGGACCTCTTTGAGGCCTTCGTTGGAAACGGGATTTCCTCATATAATGTTACACAGAAGAATTCTCAGTAACTTATTTGTGGTGTGTGTATTCAACTCACAGAGATGAACCTTCCTTCAGAAAGAGCAGATTTGAAACACTCTTTTTGTGGAGTTTCCATGTGGAGATTTCAATAGCTTTGAGACCAAAGGTAGAAAAGGAAACATCTTCGTATAAAAACTGGACAGAATCATTCACAGAAACTACTTTGTGATGTGTGTGTTCAACTCAAGGAGTTTAACCTTTCTTTTGATGGAGCAGTTTGGAAACACTCTGTCTGTAAAGTCTGCAAGCAGATATTTGGACCTCTTTGAGGCCTTCGTTGGAAACGGGATTTCTTCATATAATGTTTGATAGGAGAAGTCTCAGTAACTTCTTTGTGCTGTGTGTATTCAACTCATAGAGTTGAACTTTCCTTTAGAAGAGCAGATGTTAAACACCCTTTTTGTGGAATTTGCAGCTGGAGATTTCAAGCGCTTTGAGGCCTACGGTAGAAAAGGAAACATCTTCTTATAAAATCTAGACAGAAATCATTCACAGAAACTTCTTTTTGATGTGTGTGTTCAGCTCACAGAGTTTAACCTTTCTTTTGATGGAGCAGTTTGGAAACACTCTGTAATGTCTGCAAGTGGATATTTGGACCTCTTTGAGGCCTTCGTTGGAAAAGGGATTTCTTCATGCAGTGTTCGACAGAAGAATTCTCAGTAACTTATTTGTGGTGTGTGTATTCAACTCACAGAGTTGACCCTTCCTTTAGACAGAGCAGATTTGAAACTCCCTATTTGTGCAGTTTCCAGTTGGAGATTTCAATCGTTTTGAGACCAAATGTAGAAAAGGAAACATCTTCGTATAAAAACTAGACAGAATCATTCTCAGAAACTACTTTGTGATGTGTGCGTTCAACTCAAGGAGTTTAAGCTTTCTTTTCATAGAGTAGTTTGGAAACACTCTGTCTGTAAAGTCTGCAAGCAGATATTTGGACCTCTTTGGGGCCTTCGTTGGAAACGGGATTTCTTCATAGAACGCTAGAAAGAAGAAGTCTCAGTAACTTCTTTGGGCTGTGTGTATTCAACTCATGGAGTTGAACTTTCCTTTAGAAGAGCAGATGTTAAACACCCTTTTTGTGGAATTTGCAGCTGGAGATTTCAAGCGCTTTGAGGCCTACGGTAGAAAAGGAAACATCTTCTTCTAAAGTCTAGACAGAATCATTCACAGAAACTTCTTTTTGATGTGTGTGTTCAGCTCACAGAGTTTAACCTTTCTTTTGATGGAGCAGTTTGGAAACACTCTGTTTGTAATGTCTGCAAGGGGATATTTGGACCTCTTTGAGGCCTTCATTGGAAACGGGATTTCCTCCTATAATGTTACACAGAAGAATTCTCAGTAACTTATTTGTGGTGTGTGTATTCAACTCACAGAGTTGAACCTTCCTTCAGAAAAAGCAGATTTGAAACACTCTTTTTGTGGAGTTTCCATGGGGAGATTTCAATGGCTTTGAGACCAAAGGTAGAAAAGGAAACATCTTCGTATAAAAACTAGACAGAATCATTCACAGAAACTACTTTGTGATGTGTGTGTTCAACTCACAGAGTTTAACCTTTCTTTTGATGGAGCAGTTTGGAAAAACTCTGTTTGTCACGTCTGCAAGTGGATATTTGGACCTCTTTGAGGCCTTCATTGGAAACGGGATTTCTTCATATAATGTTTGATAGGAGAAGTCTCAGTAACTTCTTTGTGCTGTGTGTATTCAACTCATAGAGTTGAACTTTCCTTTAGAGGAGCAGATGTTAAACACCCTTTTTGTGGAATTTGCAGCTGGAGATTTCAAGCGCTCTGAGGCCTACGGTAGAAAAGGAAACAACTTCTTCTAAAATCTAGACAGAATCATTCACAGAAACTTCTTTTTGATGTGTGTGTTCAGCTCACAGGGTTTAATCTTTCTTTTGATGGAGCAGTTTGGAAACACTCTGTTTGTAATGTCTGCAAGTGGATATTTGGACCTCTTTGAGGCCTTCGTTGGAAACGGGATTTCTTCAAGTAATGTTCGACAGAAGAATTCTCAGTAACTTAATTGTGGTGTGTGTATTCAACTCACAGAGTTGAACCTTCCTTTAGACAGAGCAGATTTGAAACACCCTATTTGTGCAGTTTCCAGTTGGAGATTTCAATCGCTTTGAGACCAAATGTAGAAAAGGAAACATCTTCGTATAAAAACTAGACAGAATCATTCTCAGAAACTACTTTGTGATGTGTGCATTCAACTCAAGGAGTTTAAGCTTTCTTTTCATAGAGTAGTTTGGAAACACTCTGTCTGTAAAGTCTGCAAGCAGATATTTGGACCTCTTTGGGGCCTTCGTTGGAAACGGGATTTCTTCATAGAACGCTAGAAAGAAGAATACTGAGTAAGTTCTTTGTGTTGCCTCTATTCAACTCACAGAGGTGAACTGTCCTTTAGACAGAGCAGATGTGAAACCCTCTTTTTGTGATATTTGCAGGTGGAGATTTCAAGCACTTTTAGGCCAAATGTAGAAAAGGAAATATCTTCGTATAAAAACTAGACAGAATCATTCTCAGAAACTACTTTGTGATGTGTGCGTTCAATTCACAGAGTATAACCTTTCTTTTGATGGAGGAGTTTGGAGACACTGTCTTTGTAAGGTCTGCAAGTGGATATTTGGACCTCTTTGAGGCCTTCGTTGGAAACGGGATTTCCTCATATAATGTTACACAGAAGAATTCTCAGTAACTTATTTGTGGTGTGTGTATTCAACTCACAGAGATGAACCTTCCTTCAGAAAGAGCAGATTTGAAACACTCTTTTTGTGGAGTTTCCATGTGGAGATTTCAATCGCTTTGAGACCAAAGGTAGAAAAGGAAACATCTTCGTATAACAACTAGACAGAATCATTCACAGAAACTACTTTGTGATGCGTGTGTTCAACTCAAGGAGTTTAACCTTTCTTTTGATGGAGCAGTTTGGAAAAACTCTGTCTGTAAAGTCTGCAAGCACATATTTGGACCTCTTTGGGGCCTTCGTTGGAAACGGGATTTCTTCATAGAATGCTAGAAAGAAGAAGTCTCAGTAACTTCTTTGTGCTGTGTGTATTCAACTCATAGAGTTGAACTTTCCTTTAGAAGAGCAGATGTTAAACACCCTTTTTGTGGAATTTGCAGCTGGAGATTTCAAGCGCTTTGAGGCCTACGGTAGAAAAGGAAACATCTTCTTATAAAATCTAGACAGAATCATTCACAGTAAACTTCTTTTTGATGTGTGTGTTCAGCTCACAGAGTTTAACCTTTCTTTTGATGGAGCAGTTTTGGAAACACTCTGTTTGTAATGTCTGCAAGTGGATATTTGGACCTCTTTGAGGCCTTCGTTGGAAACGGGATTTCTTCAAGTAATGTTCGACGGAAGAATTCTCAGTAACTTCTTTGTGGTGTGTGTATTCAACTCACAGAGTTGAACCTTCCTTTAGACAGAGCAGATTTGAAACACCCTATTTGTGCAGTTTCCAGTTGGAGATTTCAATCGCTTTGAGACCAAATGTAGAAAAGGAAACATCTTCGTATAAAAACTAGACAGAATCATTCTCCGAAACTACTTTGTGATGTGTGCGTTCAACTCAAGGAGTTTAAGCTTTCTTTTCATAGAGTAGTTTGGAAACACTCTGTCTGTAAAGTCTGCAAGCAGATATTTGGACCTCTTTGGGGCCTTCGTTGGAAACGGGATTTCTTCATAGAACGCTAGAAAGAAGAATACTGAGTAAGTTCTTTGTGTTGCCTCTATTCAACTCACAGAGGTGAACTGTCCTTTAGACAGAGCAGATGTGAAACCCTCTTTTTGTGATATTTGCAGGTGGAGATTTCAAGCGCTTTTAGGCCAAATGTAGAAAAGGAAATATCTTCGTATAAAAACTAGACAGAATCATTCTCAGAAACTACTTTGTGATGTGTGCGTTCAATTCACAGAGTATAACCTTTCTTTTGATGGAGGAGTTTGGAGACACTGTCTTTGTAAAGTCTGCAAGTGGATATTTGGACCTCTTTGAGGCCTTCGTTGGAAACGGGATTTCCTCATATAATGTTACACACAAGAATTCTCAGTAACTTATTTGTGGTGTGTGTATTCAACTCACAGGGTTGAACCTTCCTTCAGAAAGAGCAGATTTGAAACACTCTTTTTGTGGAGTTTCCATGTGGAGATTTCAATCGCTTTGAGACCAAAGGTAGAAAAGGAAACATCTTCGTATAAAAACTAGACAGAATCATTCACAGAAACTACTTTGTGATGTGTGTGTTCAACTCAAGGAGTTTAACCTTTCTTTTGATGGAGCAGTTTGGAAACACTCTGTCTGTAAAGTCTGCAAGCAGATATTTGGACCTCTTTGAGGCCTTCGTTGGAAACGGGATTTCTTCATATAATGTTTGATAGGAGAAGTCTCAGTAACTTCTTTGTGCTGTGTGTATTCAACTCATAGAGTTGAACTTTCCTTTAGAAGAGCAGATGTTAAACACCCTTTTTGTGGAATTTGCAGCTGGAGATTTCAAGCGCTTTGAGGCCTACAGTAGAAAAGGAAACATCTTCTTATAAAATCTAGACAGAATCATTCACAGAAACTACTTTTTCATGTGTGTGTTCAGCTCACAGAGTTTAATCTTTCTTTTGATGGAACAGTTTGGAAACACTCTGTTTGTAATGTCTGCAAGTGGATATTTGGTCCTCTTTGAGGCCTTCGTTGGAAACGGGATTTCTTCATATAATGTTTGATAGGAGAATTCTCAGTAACTTATTTGTGGTGTGTGTATTCAACTCACAGAGTTGAACCTTCCCTTTAGACAGAGCAGATTTGAAACACCCTATTTGTGCAGTTTCCAGTTGGAGATTTCAATCGCTTTGAGACCAAATGTAGAAAAGGAAACATCTTCGTATAAAAACTAGACAGAATCATTCTCAGAAACTACTTTGTGATGTGTGCGTTCAACTCAAGGAGTTTAAGCTTTCTTTTCATAGAGTAGTTTGGAAACACTCTGTCTGTAAAGTCTGCAAGCAGATATTTGGACCTCTTTGGGGCCTTCGTTGGAAACGGGATTTCTTCATAGAACGCTAGAAAGAAGAATACTGAGTAAGTTCTTTGTGTTGCCTCTATTCAACTCACAGAGGTGAACTGTCCTTTAGACAGAGCAGATGTGAAACCCTCTTTTTGTGATATTTGCAGGTGGAGATTTCAAGCGCTTTTAGGCCAAATGTAGAAAAGGAAATATCTTCGTATAAAAACTAGACAGAATCATTCTCAGAAACTACTTTGTGATGTGTGCGTTCAATTCACAGAGTATAACCTTTCTTTTGATGGAGGAGTTTGGAGACACTGTCTTTGTAAAGTCTGCAAGTGGATATTTGGACCTCTTTGAGGCCTTCGTTGGAAACGGGATTTCCTCATATAATGTTACACAGAAGAATTCTCAGTAACTTATTTGTGGTGTGTGTATTCAACTCACAGAGTTGAACCTTCCTTCAGAAAGAGCAGATTTGAAACACTCTTTTTGTGGAGTTTCCATGTGGAGATTTCAATCGCTTTGAGACCAAAGGTAGAAAAGGAAACATCTTCGTATAAAAACTAGACAGAATCATTCACAGAAACTACTTTGTGATGTGTGTGTTCAACTCAAGGAGTTTCACCTTTCTTTTGATGGAGCAGTTTGGAAACACTCTGTCTGTAAAGTCTGCAAGCAGATATTTGGACCTCTTTGAGGCCTTCGTTGGAAGCGGGATTTCTTCATATAACGTTTGATAGGAGAAGTCTCAGTAACTTCTTTGTGCTGTGTGTATTCAACTCATAGAGTTGAACTTTCCTTTAGAAGAGCAGATGTTAAACACCCTTTTTGTGGAATTTGCAGCTGGAGATTTCAAGCGCTTTGAGGCCTACGGTAGAAAAGGAAACATCTTCTTATAAAATCTAGACAGAATCATTCACAGAAACTTCTTTTTAATGTGTGTGTTCAGCTCACAGAGTTTAACCTTTCTTTTGATGGAGCAGTTTGGAAACACTCTGTTTGTAATGTCTGCAAGTGGATATTTGGACCTCTTTGAGGCCTTCGTTAGAAACGGGATTTCTTCAAGTAATGTTCGACAGAAGAATTCTCAGTAACTTATTTGTGGTGTGTGTATTCAACTCACAGAGTTGAGCCTTCCTTTAGACAGAGCAGATTTGAAACACTCTTTTTGTGGAGTTTCCAGTTGGAGATTTCAATCACTTTGAGACCAAATGTAGAAAAGGAAACATCTTCGTATAAAAACTAGACAGAATCATTCTCAGAAACTACTTTGTGATGTGTGCGTTCAACTCAAGGAGTTTAAGCTTTCTTTTCATAGAGTAGTTTGGAAACACTCTGTCTGTAAAGTCTGCAAGCAGATATTTGACCTCTTTGAGGCCTTCGTTGGAAACGGGATTTCTTCATAGAACGCTAGAAAGAAGAATACTGAGTAAGTTCTTTGTGTTGCCTCTATTCAACTCACAGAGGTGAACTGTCCTTTAGACAGAGCAGATGTGAAACCCTCTTTTTGTGATATGTGCAGGTGGAGACTTCAAGCGCTTTTAGGCCAAATGTAGAAAAGGAAATATCTTCGTATAAAAACTAGACAGAATCATTCTCAGAAACTACTTTGTGATGTGTGCGTTCAATTCACAGAGTATAACCTTTCTTTTGATGGAGGAGTTTGGAGACACTGTCTTTGTAAAGTCTGCAAGTGGATATTTGGATCTCTTTGAGGCCTTCGTTGGAAACGGGATTTCTTCATATAATGTTACACAGAAGAATTCTCAGTAACTTATTTGTGGTGTGTGTATTCAACTCACAGAGTTGAACCTTCCTTCAGAAAGAGCAGATTTGAAACACTCTTTTTGTGGAATTTCCATGTGGAGATTTCAATCGCTTTGAGACCAAAGGTAGAAAAGGAAACATCTTCGTATAAAAACTAGACAGAATCATTCACAGAAACTACTTTGTGACGTGTGTGTTCAACTCAAGGAGTTTAACCTTTCTTTTGATGGAGCAGTTTGGAAAAACTCTGTCTGTAAAGTCTGCAAGCAGATATTTGGACGTCTTTGGGGTCTTCGTTGGAAAGGGGATTTCTTCATAGAACGCTAGAAAGAAGAATACTGAGTAAGTTCTTTGTGTTGCCTCTATTCAACTCACAGCAGGTGAACTGTCCTTTAGACAGAGCAGATGTGAAACCCTCTTTTTGTGATATTTGCAGGTGGAGATTTCAAGCGCTTTTAGGCCAAATGTAGAAAAGGAAATATCTTCGTATAAAAACTAGACAGAATCATTCTCAGAAACTACTTTGTGATGTGTGCGTTCAATTCACAGAGTATAACCTTTCTTTTGATGGAGGAGTTTGGAGACACTGTCTTTGTAAAGTCTGCAAGTGGATATTTGGACCTCTTTGAGGCCTTCGTTGGAAACGGGATTTCCTCATATAATGTTACCCAGAAGAATTCTCAGTAACTTATTTGTGGTGTGTGTATTCAACTCACAGAGATGAACCTTCCTTCAGAAAGAGCAGATTTGAAACACTCTTTTTGTGGAGTTTCCATGTGGAGATTTCAATCGCTTTGAGACCAAAGGTAGAAAAGGAAACATCTTCTGTATAACAACTAGACAGAATCATTCACAGAAACTACTTTGTGATGTGTGTGTTCAACTCAAGGAGTTTAACCTTTCTTTTGATGGAGCAGTTTGGAAACACTCTGTCTGTAAAGTCTGCAAGCAGATATTTGGACCTCTTTGAGGCCTTCGTTGGAAACGGGATTTCTTCATATAATGTTTGATAGGGAGAAGTCTCAGTAACTTCTTTGTGCTGTGTGTATTCAACTCATAGAGTTGAACTTTCCTTTAGAAGAGCAGATGTTAAACACCCTTTTTGTGGAATTTGCAGCTGGAGATTTCAAGCGCTTTGAGGCCTACGGTAGAAAAGGAAACATCTTCTTATAAAATCTAGACAGAATCATTCACAGAAACTACTTTGTGATGTGTGTGTTCAGCTCACAGAGTTTAACCTTTCTTTTGATGGTGCAGTTTGGAAACACTCTGTTTGACAAGTCTGCAAGTGGATATTTGGACCTCTTTGAGGCCTTCGTTGGAAACGGGATTTCTTCATATAATGTTAGACAGAAGAATTCTCAGTAACTTATTTGTGGTGTGTGTATTCAACTCACAGAGTTGAACCTTCCTTTAGACAGAGCAGATTTGAAACACCCTATTTGTGCAGTTTCCAGTTGGAGATTTCAATCGCTTTGAGACCAAATGTAGAAAAGGAAACATCTTCGTATAAAAACTGGACAGAATCATTCTCAGAAACTACTTTGTGATGTGTGCGTTCAACTCAAGGAGTTTAAGCTTTCTTTTCATAGAGTACTTTGGAAACACTCTGTCTGTAAAGTCTGCAAGCAGATATTTGGACCTCATTGGGGCCTTCGTTGGAAACGGGATTTCTTCATAGAACGCTAGAAAGAAGAATACTCAGTAGGTTCTTTGTATTGCCTCTATTCAACTCACAGAGGTGAACTGTCCTTTAGACAGAGCAGATGTGAAACCCTCTTTTTGTGATATTTGCAGGTGGAGATTTCAAGCGCTTTTAGGCCAAATGTAGAAAAGGAAATATCTTCGTATAAAAACTAGACAGAATCATTCTCAGAAACTACTTTGTGATGTGTGCGTTCAATTCACAGAGTATAACCTTTCTTTTGATGGAGGAGTTTGGAGACACTGTCTTTGTAAAGTCTGCAAGTGGATATTTGGACCTCTTTGAGGCCTTCGTTGGAAACGGGATTTCCTCATATAATGTTACACAGAAGAATTCTCAGTAACTTATTTGTGGTGTGTGTATTCAACTCACAGAGTTGAACCTTCCTTCAGAAAGAGCAGATTTGAAACACTCTTTTGGTGGAGTTTCCATGTGGAGATTTCAATCGCTTTGAGACCAAAGGTTGAAAAGGAAACATCTTCGTATAAAAACTAGACAGAATCATTCACAGAAACTACTTTGTGATGTGTGTGTTCAACTCAAGGAGTTTAACCTTTCTTTTGATGGAGCAGTTTGGAAACACTCTGTCTGTAAAGTCTGCAAGCAGATATTTGGACCTCTTTGAGGCCTTCGTTGGAAACGGGATTTCTTCATATAATGTTTGATAGGAGAAGTCTCAGTAACTTCTTTGTGCTGTGTGTATTCAACTCATAGAGTTGAACTTTCCTTTAGAAGAGCAGATGTTAAACACCATTTTTGTGGAATTTGCAGCTGGAGATTTCAAGCGCTTTGAGGCCTACGGTAGAAAAGGAAACATCTTCTTATAAAATCTAGACAGAATCATTCACAGAAACTTCTTTTTGATGTGTGTGTTCAGCTCACAGAGTTTAACCTTTCTTTTGATGGAGCAGTTGGGAAACACACTGTTTGTAATGTCTGCAAGTGGATATTTGGACCTCTTTGAGGCCTTCGTTGGAAACGGGATTTCTTCCTGTAATGTTCGACAGAAGAATTCTCAGTAACTTATTTGTGGTGTGTGTATTCAACTCACAGAGTTGAACCTTCCTTTAGACAGAGCAGATTTGAAACACCCTATTTGTGCAGTTTCCAGTTGGAGATTTCAATCGCTTTGAGACCAAATGTAGAAAAGGAAACATCTTCGTATAAAAACTAGACAGAATCATTCTCAGAAACTACTTTGTGATGTGTGCGTTCAACTCAAGGAGTTTAAGCTTTCTTTTCATAGAGTAGTTTGGAAACACTCTGTCTGTAAAGTCTGCAAGCAGATATTTGGACCTCTTTGAGGCCTTCGTTGTAAACGGGATTTCTTCATAGAACGCTAGAAAGAAGAATACTCAGTAAGTTCTTGGTGTTGCCTCTATTCAACTCACAGAGGTGAACTGTCCTTTAGACAGAGCATATGTGAAACCCTCTTTTTGTGATATTTGCAGGTGGAGATTTCAAGCGCTTTTACGCCAAATGTAGAAAAGGAAATATCTTCGTATAAAAACTAGACAGAATCATTCTCAGAAACTACTTTGTGATGTGTGCGTTCAATTCACAGAGTATAACCTTTCTTTTGATGGAGGAGTTTGGAGACACTGTCTTTGTAAAGTCTGCAAGTGGATATTTGGACCTCTTTGAGGCCTTCGTTGGAAAAGGGATTTCCTCATATAATGTTACACAGAAGAATTCTCAGTAACTTATTTGTGGTGTGTGTATTCAACTCACAGAGTTGAACCTTCCTTCAGAAAGAGCAGATTTGAAACACTCTTTTTGTGGAGTTTCCATGTGGAGATTTCAATCGCTTTGAGACCAAAGGTAGAAAAGGAAACATCTTCGTATAAAAACTAGACAGAATCATTCACAGAAACTACTTTGTGAAGTGTGTGTTCAACTCAAGGAGGTTAACCTTTCTTTTGATGGAGCAGTTTGGAAACACTCTGTCTGTTAAGTCTGCAAGCAGATATTTGGACCTCTTTGTGGCCTTCGTTGGAAACGGGATTTCTTCTTATAACGCTAGAAAGAATAATACTGAGTAAGTTCTTTCTGTTGCCTCTATACAACTCACAGAGGTGAACTGTCCTTCAGACAGAGCAGATGTGAAACCCTCTTTTTGTGATATTTGCAGGTGGAGATTTCAAGCGCTTTTAGGCCAAATGTAGAAAAGGAAATATCTTCGTATAAAAACTAGACAGAATCTTTCTCAGAAACTACTTTGTGATGTGTGCGTTCAATTCACACAGTATAACCTTTCTTTTGATGGAGGAGTTTGGAGACACTGTCTTTGTAAAGTCTGCAAGTGGATATTTGGACCTGTTTGAGGCCTTCGTTGGAAACGGGATTTCCTCACATAATGTTACACAGAAGAATTCTCAGCAACTTATTTGTGGTGTGTGTATTCAACTCACAGAGTTGAACATTCCTTCAGAAAGAGCAGATTTGAAACACTCATTTTGTGGAGTTTCCATGTGGAGATTTCAATCGCTTTGAGACCAAAGGTAGAAAAGGAAACATCTTCGTATAAAAACTAGACAGAATCATTCACAGAAACTACTTTGTGATGTGTGTGTTCAACTCAAGGAGTTTAACCTTTCTTTTGATGGAGCAGTTTGGAAACACTCTGTCTGTAAAGTCTGCAAGCAGATATTTGGACCTCTTTGAAGCCTTCGTTGGAAACGGGATTTCTTCATATAATGTTTGATAGGAGAAGTCTCAGTAACTTCTTTGTGCTGTGTGTATTCAACTCATAGAGTTGAACTTTCCTTTAGAAGAGCAGATGTTAAACACCCTTTTTGTGGAATTTGCAGCTGGAGATTTCAAGCGCTTTGAGGCCTACGGTAGAAAAGGAAACATCTTCTTATAAAATCTAGACAGAATCATTCACAGAAACTTCTTTTTGATGTGTGTGTTCAGGTCACAGAGTTTAACCTTTCCTTTGATGGAGCAGTTTGGAAACACTCTGTTTGTCACGTCTGCAAGTGGATATTTGGACCTCTTTGAGGCCTTCTTTGGAAACGGGATTTCTTCATATAATGTTTGATAGGAGAATTCTCAGTAACTTATTTATGGTGTGTGTATTCAACTCACAGAGTTGAACCTTCCTTTAGACAGAGCAGATTTGAAACACCCTATTTGTGCAGTTTCCAGTTGGAGATTTCAATGGCTTTGAGACCAAATATAGAAAAGGAAACATCTTCGTACAAAAACTAGACAGCATCATTCTCAGAAACTACTTGGTGATGTGTGCGTTCAACTCAAGGAGTTTAAGCTTTCTTTTCATAGAGTAGTTTGGAAACACTCTGTCTCTAAAGTCTGCAAGCAGATATTTGGACCTCATTGGGGTCTTCATTGGAAACGGGATTTCTTCATAGAACGCTAGAAAGAAGAATACTGAGTAAGTTCTTTGTGTTGCCTCTATTCAACTCACAGAGGTGAACTGTCCTTTAGACAGAGCAGATGTGAAACCCTCTTTTTGTGATATTTGCACGTGGAGATTTCAAGCGCTTTTAGGCCAAATGTAGAAAAGGAAATATCTTCGTATAAAAACTAGACAGAATCATTCTCAGAAACTACTTTGTGATGTGTGCGTTCAATTCACAGAGTATAACCTTTCTTTTGATGGAGGAGTTTGGAGACACTGTCTTTGTAAAGTCTGCAAGTGGATATTTGGACCTCTTTGAGGCCTTCGTTGGAAACGGGATTTCCTCATATAATGTTACACAGAAGAATTCTCAGTAACTTATTTGTGGTGTGTGTATTCAACTCACAGAGATGAACCTTCCTTCAGAAAGAGCAGATTTGAAACACTCTTTTTGTGGAGTTTCCATGTGGAGATTTCAATCGCTTTGAGACCAAAGGTAGAAAAGGAAACATCTTCGTATAAAAACTAGACAGAATCATTCACAGAAACTACTTTGTGATGTGTGTGTTCAACTCAAGGAGTTTAACCTTTCTTTTGATGGAGCAGTTTGGAAACACTCTGTCTGTAAAGTCTGCAAGCAGATATTTGGACCTCTTTGAGGCCTTCGTTGGAAACGGGATTTCTTCATATAATGTTTGATAGGAGAAGTCTCAGTAACTTCTTTGTGCTGTGTGCATTCAACTCATAGAGTTGAAATTTCCTTTAGAAGAGCAGATGTTAAACACCCTTTTTGTGGAATTTGCAGCTGGAGATTTCAAGCGCTTTGAGGCCTACTGTAGAAAAGGAAACATCTTCTTATAAAATCTAGACAGAATCATTCACAGAAACTTCTTTTCGATGTGTGTGTTCAGCTCACAGAGTTTAACCTTTCTTTTGATGGAGCAGTTTGGAAACACTCTGTTTGTAATGTCTGCAAGTGGATATTTGGACCTCTTTGAGGCCTTCGTTGGAAACGGGATTTCTTCAAGTAATGTTCGACAGAAGAATTCTCAGTAACTTATTTGTGGTGTGTGTATTCAACTCACAGAGTTGAACCTTCCTTTAGACAGAGCAAATTTGAAACACCCTATTTGTGCAGTTTCCAGTTGGAGATTTCAATCGCTTTGAGACCAAATGTAGAAAAGGAAACATCTTCGTATAAAAACTAGACAGAATCATTCTCAGAAACTCTTTGTGATGTGTGCGTTCAACTCAAGGAGTTTAAGCTTTCTTTTCATAGAGTAGTTTGGAAACACTCTGTCTGTAAAGTGTGCAAGCAGATATTTGGACCTCTTTGGGGCCTTCGTTGGAAACGGGATTTCTTCATAGAACGCTAGAAAGAAGAATACTGAGTAAGTTCTTTGTGTTGCCTCTATTCAACTCACAGAGGTGAACTGTCCTTTAGACAGAGCAGATGTGAAACCCTCTTTTTGTGATATTTGCAGGTGGAGATTTCAAGCGCTTTTAGGCCAAATGTAGAAAAGGAAATATCTTCGTATAAAAACTAGACAGAATCATTCTCAGAAACTACTTTGTGATGTGTGCGTTCAATTCACAGAGTATAACCTTTCTTTTGATGGAGGAGTTTGGAGACACTGTCTTTGTAAAGTCTGCAAGTGGATATTTGGACCTCTTTGAGGCCTTCGTTGGAAACGGGATTTCCTCATATAATGTTACACAGAAGAATTCTCAGTAACTTATTTGTGGTGTGTGTATTCAACTCACAGAGTTGAACCTTCCTTCAGAAAGAGCAGATTTGAAACACTCTTTTTGTGGAGTTTCCATGTGGAGATTTCAATCGCTTTGAGACCAAAGGTAGAAAAGGAAACATCTTCGTATAAAAACTAGACAGAATCATTCACAGAAACTACTTTGTGATGTGTGTGTTCAACTCAAGGAGTTTAACCTTTGTTTTGATGGAGCAGTTTGGAAAAACTCTGTCTGTAAAGTCTGCAAGCAGATATTTGGACCTCTTTGAGGCCTTCGTTGGAAACGGGATTTCTTCATATAATGTTTGATAGGAGAAGTCTCAGTAACTTCTTTGTGCTGTGTGTATTCAACTCATAGAGTTGAACTTTCCTTTAGAAGAGCAGATGTTAAACACCCTTTTTGTGGAATTTGCAGCTGGAGATTTCAAGCGCTTTGAGGCCTACGGTAGAAAAGGAAACATCTTCTTATAAAATCTAGACAGAATCATTCACAGAAACTTCTTTTTCATGTGTGTGTTCAGCTCACAGAGTTTAACCTTTCTTTTGATGGAGCAGTTTGGAAACACTCTGTTTGTAATGTCTGCAAGTGGATATTTGGACCTCTTTGAGGCCTTCTTTGGAAACGGGATTTCTTCAAGTAATGTTCGACAGAAGAATTCTCAGTAACTTATTTGTGGTGTGTGTATTCAACTCACAGAGTTGAACCTTCCTTTAGACAGAGCAGATTTGAAACACCCTATTTGTGCAGTTTCCAGTTGGAGATTTCAATCGCTTTGAGACCAAATGTAGAAAACGAAACATCTTCGTATAAAAACTAGACAGAATCATTCTCAGAAACTACTTTGTGATGTGTGCGTTCAACTCAAGGAGTTTAAGCTTTCTTTTCATAGAGTAGTTTGGAAACACTCTGTCTGTAAAGTCTGCAAGCAGATATTTGGACCTCTTTGAGGCCTTCGTTGGAAACGGGATTTCTTCATAGAACGCTAGAAAGAAGAATACTGAGTAAGTTCTTTGTGTTGCCTCTATTCAACTCACAGAGGTGAACTGTCCTTTAGACAGAGCAGATGTGAAACCCTCTTTTTGTGATATTTGCAGGTGGAGATTTCAAGCGCTTTTAGGCCAAATGTAGAAAAGGAAATATCTTCGTATAAAAACTAGACAGAATCATTCTCAGAAACTACTTTGTGATGTGTGCGTTCAATTCACAGAGTATAACCTTTCTTTTGATGGAGGAGTTTGGAGACACTGTCTTTGTAAAGTCTGCAAGTGGATATTTGGACCTCTTTGAGGCCTTCGTTGGAAACGGGATTTCCTCATATAATGTTACACAGAAGGATTCTCAGTAACTTATTTGTGGTGTGTGTATTCAACTCACAGAGTTGAACCTTCCTTCAGAAAGAGCAGATTTGAAACACTCTTTTTGTGGAGTTTCCATGTGGAGATTTCAATCGCTTTGAGACCAAAGGTAGAAAAGGAAACATCTTCGTATAAAAACTAGACAGAATCATTCTCAGAAACTACTTTGTGATGTGTGCGTTTAACTCAAGGAGTTTAAGCTTTCTTTTCATAGAGTAATTTGGAAACACTCTGTCTGTAAAGTCTGCAAGCAGATATTTGGACCTCCTTGAGGCCTTCGTTGGAAACGGGATTTCTTCATATAATGTTTGATAGGAGAAGTCTCAGTAACTTCTTTGTGCTGTGTGTATTCAACTCATAGAGTTGAACTTTCCTTTAGAAGAGCAGATGTTAAACACCCTTTTTGAGGAATTTGCAGCTGGAGATTTCAAGCGCTTTGAGGCCTACGGTAGAAAAGGAAACATCTTCTTATAAAATCTAGACAGAATCATTCACAGAAACTTCTTTTCGATGTGTGTGTTCAGCTCACAGAGTTTAACCTTTCTTTTGATGGAGCAGTTTGGAAACACTCTGTTTGTAATGTCTGCAAGTGGATATTTGGACTTCTTTGAGGCCTTCGTTGGAAACGGGATTTCTTCAAGTAATGTTCGACAGAAGAATTCTCAGTAACTTATTTGTGGTGTGTGTATTCAACTCACAGAGTTGAACCTTCCTTTAGACAGAGCAGATTTGAAACACCCTATTTGTGCAGTTTCCAGTTGGAGATTTCAATCGCTTTGAGACCAAATGTAGAAAAGGAAACATCTTCGTATAAAAACTAGACAGAATCATTCTCAGAAACTACTTTGTGATGTGTGCATTCAACTCAACGAGTTTAAGCTTTCTTTTCATAGAGTAGTTTGGAAACACTCTGTCTGTAAAGTCTGCAAGCAGATATTTGGACCTCTTTGGGGCCTTCGTTGGAAACGGGATTTCTTCATAGAACGCTAGAAAGAAGAATACTGAGTAAGTTCTTGGTGTTGCCTCTATTCAACTCACATAGGTGAACTGTCCTTTAGACAGAGCAGATGTGAAACCCTCTTTTTGTGATATTTGCAGGTGGAGATTTCAAGCGCTTTTAGGCCAAATGTAGAAAAGGAAATATCTTCGTATAAAAACTAGACAGAATCATTCTCAGAAACTACTTTGTGATGTGTGCGTTCAATTCACAGAGGATAACCTTTCTTTTGATGGAGGAGTTTGGAGACACTGTCTTTGTAAAGTCTGCAAGTGGATATTTGGACCTCTTTGAGGCCTTCGTTGGAAACGGGATTTCCTCCTATAATGTTACACAGAAGAATTCTCAGTAACTTATTTGTGGTGTGTTTATTCAACTCACAGAGGTGAACCTTCCTTCAGAAAGAGCAGATTTGAAACACTCTTTTTGTGGAGTTTCCATGTGGAGATTTCAATCGCTTTGAGACCAAAGGTAGAAAAGGAAACATCTTCGTATAAAAACTAGACAGAATCATTCACAGAAACTACTTTGTGATGTGTGTGTTCAACTCAAGGAGTTTAACCTTTCTTTTGATGGAGCAGTTTGGAAACACTCTGTCTGTAAAGTCTGCAAGCAGATATTTGGACCTCTTTGAGGCCTTCGTTGGAAACGGGATTTCTTCATATAATGTTTGATAGGAGAAGTCTCAGTAACTTCTTTGTGCTGTGTGTATTCAACTCATAGAGTTGAACTTTCCTTTAGAAGAGCAGATGTTAAACACCCTTTTTGTGGAATTTGCAGCTGGAGATTTCAAGCGCTTTGAGGCCTACGGTAGAAAAGGAAACATCTTCTTATAAAATCTAGACAGAATCATTCACAGAAACTTCTTTTTGATGTGTGTGTTCAGCTCACAGAGTTTAACCTTTCTTTTGATGGAGCAGTTTGGAAACACACTGTTTGTAATGTCTGCAAGTGGATATTTGGACCTCTTTGAGGCCTTCGTTGGAAACGGGATTTCTTCCTGTAATGTTCGACAGAAGAATTCTCAGTAACTTATTTGTGGTGTGTGTATTCAACTCACAGAGTTGAACCTTCCTTTAGACAGAGCAGATTTGAAACACTCTTTTTGTGGAGTTTCCAGTTGGAGATTTCAATCGCTTTGAGACCAAATGTAGAAAAGGAAACATCTTCGTATAAAAACTAGACAGAATCATTCTCAGAAACTACTTTGTGATGTGTGCGTTCAACTCAAGGAGTTTAAGCTTTCTTTTCATAGAGTAGTTTGGAAACACTCTGTCTGTAAAGTCTGCAAGCAGATATTTGGACCTCTTTGGGGCCTTCGTTGGAAACGGGATTTCTTCATAGAACGCTAGAAAGAAGAATACTGAGTAAGTTCTTTGTGTTGCCTCTATTCAACTCACAGAGGTGAACTGTCCTTTAGACAGAGCAGATGTGAAACCCTCTTTTTGTGATATTTGCAGGTGGAGATTTCAAGCGCTTTTAGGCCAAATGTAGAAAAGGAAATATCTTCGTATAAAAACTAGACAGAATCATTCTCAGAAACTACTTTGTGATGTGTGCGTTCAATTCACAGAGTATAACCTTTCTTTTGATGGAGGAGTTTGGAGACACTGTCTTTGTAAGTCTGCAAGTGGATATTTGGACCTCTTTGAGGCCTTCGTTGGAAACGGGATTTCCTCATATAATGTTACACAGAAGAATTCTCAGTAACTTATTTGTGGTGTGTGTATTCAACTCACAGAGATGAACCTTCCTTCAGAAAGAGCAGATTTGAAACACTCTTTTTGTGGAGTTTCCATGTGGAGATTTCAATCGCATTGAGACCAAAGGTAGAAAAGGAAACATCTTCGTATAAAAACTAGACAGAATCATTCACAGAAACTACTTTGTGATGTGTGTGTTCAACTCAAGGAGTTTAACCTTTCTTTTGATGGAGCAGTTTGGAAACACTCTGTCTGTAATGTCTGCAAGCAGATATTTAGACCTCTTTGAGGCCTTCGTTGGAAACGGGATTTCTTCATATAATGTTTGATAGGAGAAGTCTCAGTAACTTCTTTGTGCTGTGTGTATTCAACTCATAGAGTTGAACTTTCCTTTAGAAGAGCAGATGTTAAACACCCTTTTTGTGGAATTTGCAGCTGGAGATTTCAAGCGCTTTGAGGCCTACGGTAGAAAAGGAAACATCTTCTTATAAAATCTAGACAGAATCATTCACAGAAACTTCTTTTTGATGTGTGTGTTCAGCTCACAGAGTTTAACCTTTCTTTTGATGGAGCAGTTTGGAAACACTCTGTTTGTAATGTCTGCAAGAGGATATTTGGACCTCTTTGAGGCCTTAGTTGGAAACGGGATTTCTTCAAGTAATTTTCGACAGAAGAATTCTCAGTAACTTATTTGTGGTGTGTGTATTCAACTCACAGAGCTGAACCTTCCTTTAGACAGAGCAGATTTGAAACAGCCTCTTTGTGCAGTTTCCAGTTGGAGATTTCAAGAGCTTTGAGACCAAATGTAGAAAAGGAAACATCTTCGTATAAAAACTAGACAGAATCATTCTCAGAAACTACTTTGTGATGTGTGCGTTCAACTCAAGGAGTTTAAGCTTTCTTTTCATAGAGTAGTTTGGAAACACTCTGTCTGTAAAGTCTGCAAGCAGATATTTGACCTCTTTGAGGCCTTCGTTGGAAACGGGATTTCTTCATAGAACGCTAGAAAGAAGAATACTGAGTAAGTTCTTTGTGTTGCCTCTACTCAACTCACAGAGGTGAACTGTCCTTTAGACAGAGCAGATGTGAAACCCTCTTTTTGTGATATTTGCAGGTGGAGATTTCAAGCGCTTTTAGGCCAAATGTAGAAAAGGAAATATCTTCGTATAAAAACTAGACAGAATCATTCTCAGAAACTACTTTGTGATGTGTGCGTTCAATTCACAGAGTATAACCTTTCTTTTGATGGAGGAGTTTGGAGACACTGTCTTTGTAAGTCTGCAAGTGGATATTTGGACCTCTTTGAGGCCTTCGTTGGAAACGGGATTTCCTCATATAATGTTACACAGAAGAATTCTCAGTAACTTATTTGTGGTGTGTGTACTCAACTCACAGAGATGAACCTTCCTTCAGAAAGAGCAGATTTGAAACACTCTTTTTGTGGAGTTTCCATGTGGAGATTTCAATCGCTTTGAGACCAAAGGTAGAAAAGGAAACATCTTCGTATAAAAACTAGACAGAATCATTCACAGAAACTACTTTGTGATGTGTGTGTTCAACTCAAGGAGTTTAACCTTTCTTTTGATGGAGCAGTTTGGAAAAACTCTGTCTGTAAAGTCTGCAAGCAGATATTTGGACCTCTTTGAGGCCTTCGTTGGAAACGGGATTTCTTCATATAATGTTTGATAGGAGAAGTCTCAGTAACTTCTTTGTGCTGTGTGTATTCAACTCATAGAGTTGAACTTTCCTTTAGAAGAGCAGATCTTAAACACCCTTTTTGTGGAATTTGCAGTTGGAGATTTCAAGCTCTTTGAGGACTACAGTAGAAAAGGAAACATCTTCTTATAAAATCTAGACAGAATCATTCACAGAAACTTCTTTTTGATGTGTGTGTTCAGCTCACCGAGTTTAACCTTTCTTTTGATGGAGCAGTTTGGAAACACTCTGCTTGTAATATCTGCAAGTGGATATTTGGACCTCTTTGAGGTCTTCGTTGGAAACGGGATTTCTTCAAGTAATGTTCGACAGAAGAATTCTCAGTAACTTATTTGTGGTGTGTGTATTCAACACACAGAGCTGAACCTTCCTTTAGACAGAGCAGATTTGAAACAGCCTATTTGTGCAGTTTCCAGTTGGAGATTTCAATCGCTTTGAGACCAAATGTAGAAAAGGAAACATCTTCGTATAAAAACTAGACAGAATCATTCTCAGAAACTACTTTGTGATGTGTGCGTTCAACTCAAGGAGTTTAAGCTTTCTTTTCATAGAGTAGTTTGGAAACACTCTGTCTGTAAAGTCTGCAAGCAGATATTTGACCTCTTTGAGGCCTTCGTTGGAAACGGGATTTCTTCATAGAACGCTAGAAAGAAGAATACTGAGTAAGTTCTTTGTGTTGCCTCTATTCAACTCACAGAGGTGAACTGTCCTTTAGATAGAGCAGATGTGAAACCCTCTTTTTGTGATATTTGCAGGTGGAGATTTCAAGCGCTTTTAGGCCAAATGTAGAAAAGGAAATATCTTCGTATAAAAACTAGACAGAATCATTCTCAGAAACTACTTTGTGATGTGTGCGTTCAATTCACAGAGTATAACCTTTCTTTTGATGGAGGAGTTTGGAGACACTGTCTTTGTAAAGTCTGCAAGTGGATATTTGGACCTCTTTGAGGCCTTCGTTGGAAACGGGATTTCCTCATATAATGTTACACAGAAGAATTCTCAGTAACTTATTTGTGGTGTGTGTATTCAACTCACAGAGTTGAACCTTCCTTCAGAAAGAGCAGATTTGAAACACTCTTTTTGTGGAGTTTCCATGTGGAGATTTCAATCGCTTTGAGACCGAAGGTAGAAAAGGAAACATCTTCGTAGAAAAACTAGACAGAATCATTCACAGATACTACTTTGTGACGTGTGTGTTCAACTCAAGGAGTTTAACCTTTCTTTTGATGGAGCAGTTTGGAAAAACTCTGTCTGTAAAGTCTGCAAGCAGATATTTGGACGTCTTTGGGGTCTTCGTTGGAAAGGGGATTTCTTCATAGAACGCTAGAAAGAAGAATACTGAGTAAGTTCTTTGTGTTGCCTCTATTCAACTCAGAGAGGTGAACTGTCCTTTAGACAGAGCAGATGTGAAACCCTCTTTTTGTGATATTTGCAGGTGGAGATTTCAAGCGCTTTTAGGCCAAATGTAGAAAAGGAAATATCTTCGTATAAAAACTAGACAGAATCATTCTCAGAAACTACTTTGTGATGTGTGCGTTCAATTCACAGAGTATAACCTTTCTTTTGATGGAGGAGTTTGGAGACACTGTCTTTGTAAAGTCTGCAAGTGGATATTTGGACCTCTTTGAGGCCTTCGTTGGAAA
This sequence comes from Homo sapiens, assembly GCF_000001405.40. Taxonomy (NCBI): domain Eukaryota; kingdom Metazoa; phylum Chordata; class Mammalia; order Primates; family Hominidae; genus Homo; species Homo sapiens. The sequence continues at coordinate 36,203,829 of NC_000012.12, forward strand.
CGGGATTTCCTCATATAATGTTACACAGAAGAATTCTCAGTAACTTATTTGTGGTGTGTGTATTCAACTCACAGAGTTGAACCTTCCTTCAGAAAGAGCAGATTTGAAACACTCTTTTTGTGGAGTTTCCATGTGGAGATTTCAATCGCTTTGAGACCAAAGGTAGAAAAGGAAACATCTTCGTATAAAAACTAGACAGAATCATTCACAGAAACTACTTTGTGATGTGTGTGTTCAACTCAAGGAGTTTAACCTTTCTTTTGATGGAGCAGTTTGGAAACACTCTGTCTGTAAAGTCTGCAAGCAGATATTTGGACTTCTTTGAGGCCTTCGTTGGAAACGGGATTTCTTCATATAATGTTTGATAGGAGAAGTCTCAGTAACTTCTTTGTGCTGTGTGTATTCAACTCATAGTAGTTGAACTTTCCTTTAGAAGAGCAGATGTTAAACACCCTTTTTGGGGAATTTGCAGCTGGAGGTTTCAAGCGCTTTGAGGCCTACTGTAGAAAAGGAAACATCTTCTTATAAAATCTAGACAGAATCATTCACAGAAACTTCTTTTTGATGTGTGTGTTCAGCTCACAGAGTTTGACCTTTCTTTTGATGGAGCAGTTTGGAAACACTCTGTTTGTAATGTCTGCAAGGGGATATTTGGACCTCTTTGAGGCCTTCGTTGGAAACGGGATTTCTTCATGTAATGGTCGACAGAAGAATTCTCAGTAACTTATTTGTGGTGTGTGTATTCAACTCACAGAGTTGAACCTTCCTTTAGACAGAGCAGATTTGAAACACCCTATTTGTGCATTTTCCAGTTGGAGATTTCAATCGCTTTGAGGCCAATCATAGAAACGGAAATATCTTCGTATAAAAACAAGACAGAATCATTCTCAGAAACTACTTTGTGATGTGTGCGTTCAACTCAAGGAGTTTAAGCTTTCTTTTCATAGAGTAGTTTGGAAACACTCTGTCTGTAAAGTCTGCAAGCAGATATTTGGACCTCTTTGAGGCCTTCTTTGGAAACGGGATTTCTTCATATAACGCTAGAAAGAAGAATACTGAGTAAGTTCTTTGTGTTGCCTCTATTCAACTCACAGAGGTGAACTGTCCTTTAGACAGAGCAGATGTGAAACCCTCTTTTTGTGATATTTGCAGGTGGAGATTTCAAGCCCTTTTAGGCCAAATGTAGAAAAGGAAATATCTTCGTATAAAAACCAGACAGAATCATTCTCAGAAACTACTTTGTGATGTGTGCGTTCAATTCACAGAGTATAACCTTTCTTTTGATGGAGGAGTTTGGAGACACTGTCTTTGTAAAGTCTGCAAGTGGATATTTGGACCTCTTTGAGGCGTTCGTTGGAAACGGGATTTCCTCATATAATGTTACACAGAAGAATTCTCAGTAACTTATTTGTGGTGTGTTTATTCAACTCACAGAGTTGAACCTTCCTTCAGAAAGAGCAGATTTGAAACACTCTTTTTGTGGAGTTTCGATGTGGAGATTTCAATCACTTTGAGAGCAAAGGTAGAAAAGGAAACATCTTCGTATAAAAACTAGACAGAATCATTCACAGAAACTACTTTGTGATGTGTGTGTTCAACTCACAGAGTTTAACCTTTCTTTTGATGGAGCAGTTTGGAAACACTCTGTTTTTCACGTCTGCAAGTGGATATTTGGACCTCTTTGAGGCCTTCGTTGGAAACGGGATTTCTTCATATAATGTTTGATAGGAGAAGTCTCAGTAACTTCTTTGTGCTGTGTGTATTCAACTCATAGAGTTGAACTTTCCTTTAGAAGAGCAGATGTTAAACACCCTTTTTGTGGAATTTGCAGCTGGAGATTTCAAGCGCTTTGAGGCCTACGGTAGAAAAGGAAACATCTTCTTATAAAATCTAGACAGAATCATTCACAGAAACTTCTTTTTGATGTGTGTGTTCAGCTCACAGAGTTTAACATTTCCTTTGATGGAGCAGTTTGGAAACACTCAGTTTGTAATATCTGCAAGTGGATATATGGACCTCTTTGAGGCCTTGGTTGGAAACGGGATTTCTTCATGTAATGTTCGACAGAAGAATTCTCAGTAACTTATTTGTCTTGTGTGTGTTCATCTCACGGAGTTGAACCTTCCTTTAGACAGAGCAGATTTGAAACACCCTATTTGTGCAGCTTCCAGTTGGAGATTTCAATCGCTTTGGGGCCAATCATAGAAACGGAAATATCTTCGTATAAAAACAAGACAGAATCATTCTCAGCAAACTACTTTGTGATGTGTGCGTTCAACTCAAGGAGTTTAAGCTTTCTTTTCATAGAGTAGTTTGGAAACACTCTGTCTGTAAAGTCTGCAAGCAGATATTTGGACCTCTTTGAGGCCTTCGTTGGAAACGGGATTTCTTCATATAACGCTAGAAAGAAGAATACTGAGTAAGTTCTTTGTGTTGCCTCTATTCAACTCACAGAGGTGAACTGTCCTTTAGACAGAGCAGATGTGAAACCCTCTTTTTGTGATATTTGCAGGTGGAGATTTCAAGCGCTTTTAGGCCAAATGTAGAAAAGGAAATATCTTCGTATAAGAACTAGACAGAATCATTCTCAGAAACTACTTTGTGATGTGTGCGTTCAATTCACAGAGTATAACCTTTCTTTTGATGGAGGAGTTTGGAGACACTGTCTTTGTAAAGTCTGCAAGTGGATATTTGGACCTCTTTGAGGCCTTCGTTGGAAACGGGATTTCCTCATATAATGTTACACAGAAGAATTCTCAGTAACTTATTTGTGGTGTGTGTATTCAACTCACAGAGTTGAACCTTCCTTCAGAAAGAGCAGATTTGAAACACTCTTTTTGTGGAGTTTCCATGTGGAGATTTCAATCGCTTTGAGACCAAAGGTAGAAAAGGAAACATCTTCGTATAAAAACTAGACAGAATCATTCACAGAAACTACTTTGTGATGTGTGTGTTCAACTCAAGGAGTTTAACCTTTCTTTTGATGGAGGAGTTTGGAAACACTCTGTCTGTAAAGTCTGCAAGCAGATATTTGGACCTCTTTGAGGCCTTCGTTGGAAACGGCATTTCTTCATATAATGTTTGATAGGAGAAGTCTCAGTAACTTCTTTGGGCTGTGTGTATTCAACTCATTGAGTTGAACTTTCCTTTAGAAGAGCAGATGTTAAACACCCTTTTTGTGGAATTTGCAGCTGGAGATTTCAAGCACTTTGAGGCCTACGGTAGAAAAGGAAACATCTTCTTATAAAATCTAGACAGAATCATTCACAGAAACTTCTTTTTGATGTGTGTGTTCAGCTCACAGAGTTTAACCTTTCTTTTGATGGAGCAGTTGGGAAACACACTGTTTGTAATGTCTGCAAGTGGATATTTGGACCTCTTTGAGGCCTTCGTTGGAAACGGGATTTCTTCCTGTAATGTTCGACAGAAGAATTCTCAGTAACTTATTTGTGGTGTGTGTATTCAACTCACAGAGTTGAACCTTCCTTTAGACAGAGCAGATTTGAAACAGCCTATTTGTGCAGTTTCCAGTTGGAGATTTCAATCGCTTTGAGACCAAACGTAGAAAAGGAAACATCTTCGTATAAAAACTAGACAGAATCATTCTCAGAAACTACTTGGTGATCTGTGCGTTCAACTCAAGGAGTTTAAGCTTTCTTTTCATAGAGTAGTTTGGAAACACTCTGTCTGTAAAGTCTGCAAGCAGATATTTGAACCTCATTGGGGCCTTCATTGGAAACGGGATTTCTTCATAGAACGCTAGAAAGAAGAATACTGAGTAAGTTCTTTGTGTTGCCTCTATTCAACTCACAGAGGTTAACTGTCCTTTAGACAGAGCAGATGTGAAACCCTCTTTTTGTGATATTTGCAGGTGGAGATTTCAAGCGCTTTGAGGCCAAATGTAGAAAAGGAAATATCTTCGTATAAAAACTAGACAGAATCATTCTCAGAAACTACTTTGTGATGTGTGCGTTCAATTCACAGAGTATAACCTTTCTTTTGATGGAGGAGTTTCGAGACACTGTCTTTGTAAAGTCTGCAAGTGGATATTTGGACCTCTTTGAGGCCTTCGTTGGAAACGGGATTTCCTCATATAATGTTACACAGAAGAATTCTCAGTAACTTATTTGTGGTGTGTGTATTCAACTCACAGAGTTGAACCTTCCTTCAGAAAGAGCAGATTTGAAACACTCTTTTTGTGGAGTTTCCATGTGGAGATTTCAATCGCTTTGAGACCAAAGGTAGAAAAGGAAACATCTTCGTATAAAAACTAGACAGAATCATTCACAGAAACTACTTTGTGATGTGTGTGTTCAACTCAAGGAGTTTAACCTTTCTTTTGATGGAGCAGTTTGGAAACACTCTGTCTGTAAAGTCTGCAAGCAGATATTTGGACCTCTTTGAGGCCTTCGTTGGAAACGGGATTTCTTCATATAATGTTTGATAGGAGAAGTCTCAGTAACTTCTTTGTGCTGTGTGTATTCAACTCATAGAGTTGAACTTTCCTTTAGAAGAGCAGATGTTAAACACCCTTTTTGTGGAATTTGCAGCTGGAGATTTCAAGCGCTTTGAGGCCTACGGTAGAAAAGGAAACATCTTCTTATAAAATCTAGACAGAATCATTCACAGAAACTTCTTTTCGATGTGTGTGTTCAGCTCACAGAGTTTAACCTTTCTTTTGATGGAGCAGTTTGGAAACACTCTGTTTGTAATGTCTGCAAGTGGATATTTGGACCTCTTTGAGGCCTTCGTTGGAAACGGGATTTCTTCAAGTAATGTTCGACAGAAGAATTCTCAGTAACTTATGTGTGGTGTGTGTATTCAACTCACAGAGTTGAACCTTCCTTTAGACAGAGCAGATTTGAAACACCCTATTTGCGCAGTTTCCAGTTGGAGATTTCAATCGCTATGAGACCAAATGTAGAAAAGGAAACATCTTCGTATAAAAACTAGACAGAATCATTCTCACAAACTACTTTGTGATGTGTGCGTTCAACTCAAGGAGTTTAAGCTTTCTTTTCATAGAGTAGTTTGGAAACACTCTGTCTGTAAAGTCTGCAAGCAGATATTTGGACCTCTTTGGGGCCTTCGTTGGAAACGGGATTTCTTCATAGAACGCTAGAAAGAAGAATACTGAGTAAGTTCTTTGTGTTGCCTCTATTCAACTCACAGAGGTGAACTGTCCTTTAGACAGAGCAGATGTGAAACCCTCTTTTTGTGATATTTGCAGGTGGAGATTTCAAGCGCTTTGAGGCCAAATGTAGAAAAGGAAATATCTTCGTATAAAAACTAGACACAATCATTCTCAGAAACTACTTTGTGATGTGTGCGTTCAATTCACAGAGTATAACCTTTCTTTTGATGGAGGAGTTTGGAGACACTGTCTTTGTAAAGTCTGCAAGTGGATATTTGGATCTCTTTGAGGCCTTCGTTGGAAACGGGATTTCCTCATATAATGTTACACAGAAGAATTCTCAGTAACTTATTAGTGGTGTGTGTATTCAACTCACAGAGTTGAACCTTCCTTCAGAGAGAGCAGATTTGAAACACACTTTTTGTGGAGTTTCCATGTGGAGATTTCAATCGCTTTGAGACCAAAGGTAGAAAAGGAAACATCTTCGTATAAAAACTAGACAGAATCATTCACAGAAACTACTTTGTGATGTGTGTGTTCAACTCAAGGAGTTTAACCTTTCTTTTGATGGAGCAGTTTAAAAACACTCTCTCTGTAAAGTCTGCAAGCAGATATTTGGACCTCTTTGAGGCCTTCGTTGGAAACGGGATTTCTTCATATGATGTTTGATAGGAGAAGTCTCAGTAACTTCTTTGTGCTGTGTGTATTCAACTCATAGAGTTGAACTTTGCTTTAGAAGAGCAGATGTTAAACACCCTTTTTGTGGAATTTGCAGCTGGAGATTTCAAGCGCTTTGAGGCCTACGGTAGAAAAGGAAACATCTTCTTATAAAATCTAGACAGAATCATTCACAGAAACTTCTTTTTGATGTGTGTGTTCAGCTCACAGAGTTTAACCTTTCTTTTGATGGAGCAGTTTGGAAACACTCTGTAATGTCTGCAAGTGGATATTTGGACCTCTTTGAGGCCTTCGTTGGAAACGGGATTTCTTCATGTAATGTTCGACAGAAGAATTCTCAGTAACTTATTTGTGGTGTGTGTATTCAACTCACAGAGTTGAACCTTCCTTTAGACAGAGCAGATTTGAAACACCCTATTTGTGCAGTTTCCAGTTGGAGATTTCAATCGCTTTGAGACCAAATGTAGAAAAGGAAACATCTTCGTATAAAAACTAGACAGAATCATTCTCAGAAACTACTTTGTGATGTGTGCGTTCAACTCAAGGAGTTTAAGCTTTCTTTTCATAGAGTAGTTTGGAAACACTCTGTCTGTAAAGTCTGCAAGCAGATATTTGGACCTCTTTGGGGCCTTCGTTGGAAACGGGATTTCTTCATAGAACGCTAGAAAGAAGAATACTGAGTAAGTTCTTTGTGTTGCCTCTATTCAACTCACAGAGGTGAACTGTCCTTTAGACAGAGCAGATGTGAAACCCTCTTTTTGTGATATTTGCAGGTGGAGATTTCAAGCGCTTTGAGGCCAAATGTAGAAAAGGAAATATCTTCGCATAAAAACTAGACACAATCATTCTCAGAAACTACTTTGTGATGTGTGCGTTCAATTCACAGAGTATAACCTTTCTTTTGATGGAGGAGTTTGGAGACACTGTCTTTGTAAAGTCTGCAAGTGGATATTTGGATCTCTTTGAGGCCTTCGTTGGAAACGGGATTTCCTCATATAATGTTACACAGAAGAATTCTCAGTAACTTATTTGTGGTGTGTGTATTCAACTCACAGAGTTGAACCTTCCTTCAGAAAGAGCAGATTTGAAACACTCTTTTTGTGGAGTTTCCATGTGGAGATTTCAATCGCTTTGAGACCAAAGGTAGAAAAGGAAACATCTTCGTATAAAAACTAGACAGAATCATTCACAGAAACTACTTTGTGATGTGTGTGTTCAACTCAAGGAGTTTAACCTTTCTTTTGATGGAGCAGTTTGGAAACACTCTGTCTGTAAAGTCTGCAAGCAGATATTTGGACCTCTTTGAGGCCTTCGTTGGAAACGGGATTTCTTCATATAATGTTTGATAGGAGAAGTCTCAGTAACTTCTTTGTGCTGTGTGTATTCAACGCATAGAGTTGAACTTTCCTTTAGAAGAGCAGATGTTAAACACCCTTTTTGTGAAATTTGCAGCTGGAGATTTCAAGCGCTTTGAGGCCTACGGTAGAAAAGGAAACATCTTCTTATAAAATCTAGACAGAATCATTCACAGAAACTTCTTTTTGATGTGTGTGTTCAGCTCACAGAGTTTAACCTTTCTTTTGATGGAGCAGTTTGGAAACACTCTGTTTGTAATATCTGCAAGTGGATATTTGGACCTCTTTGAGGCCTTCGTTGGAAACGGGATTTCTTCAAGTAATGTTCGACAGAAGAATTCTCAGTAACTTATTTGTGGTGTGTGTATTCAACTCACAGAGTTGAACCTTCCTTTAGACAGAGCAGATTTGAAACACCCTATTTGTGCAGTTTCCAGTTGGAGATTTCAATCGCTTTGAGACCAAATGTAGAAAAGGAAACATCTTCGTATAAAAACTAGACAGAATCATTCTCAGAAACTACTTTGTGATGTGTGCGTTCAACTCAAGGAGTTTAAGCTTTCTTTTCATAGAGTAGTTTGGAAACACTCTGTCTGTAAAGTCTGCAAGCAGATATTTGGACCTCTTTGGGGCCTTCGTTGGAAACGGCGTTTCTTCATAGAACCCTAGAAAGAAGAATACTGAGTAAGTTCTTTGTGTTGCCTCTATTCAACTCACAGAGGTGAACTGTCCTTTAGACAGAGCAGATGTGAAACCCTCTTTTTGTGATATTTGCAGGTGGAGATTTCAAGCGCTTTTAGGCCAAATGTAGAAAAGGAAATATCTTCGTATAAAAACTAGACAGAAGCATTCTCAGAAACTACTTTGTGATGTGTGCGTTCAATTCACAGAGTATAACCTTTCTTTTGATGGAGGAGTTTGGAGACACTGTCTTTGTAAAGTCTGCAAGTGGATATTTGGACCTCTTTGAGGCCTTCGTTGGAAACGGGATTTCCTCATATAATGTTACACAGAAGAATTCTCAGTAACTTATTTGTGGTGTGTGTATTCAACTCACAGAGTTGAACCTTCCTTCAGAAAGAGCAGATTTGAAACACTCTTTTTGTGGAGTTTCCATGTGGAGATTTCAATCGCATTGAGACCAAAGGTAGAAAAGGAAACATCTTCGTATAAAAACTAGACAGAATCATTCACTGAAACTACTTTGTGATGTGTGTGTTCAAGTCACAGACTTTAACCTTTCTTTGGATGGAGCAGTTTGGAAACACTCTGTTTGTCACGTCTGCAAGTGGATATTTGGACCTCTTTGAGGCCTTCGTTGGAAACGGGATTTCTTCATATAATGTATGATAGGAGAAGTCTCAGTAACTTCTTTGTGCTGTGTGTATTCAACTCATAGAGTTGAACTTTCCTTTAGAAGAGCAGATGTTAAACACCCTTTGTGTGGAATTTGCAGCTGGAGATTTCAAGCGCTTTGAGGCCTACAGTAGAAAAGGAAACATCTTCTTATAAAATCTAGACAGAATCATTCACAGAAACTTCTTTTTGATGTGTGTGTTCAGCTCACAGAGTTTAACCTTTCTTTTGATGGAGCAGTTTGGAAACACTCTGTTTGTAATGTCTGCAAGTGGATATTTGGACCTCTTTGAGGCCTTCGTTGGAAACGGGATTTCTTCATGTAATGTTCGACAGAAGAATTCTCAGTAAATTATTTGTGGTGTGTGTATTCAACTCACAGAGTTGAACCTTCCTTTAGACAGAGCAGATTTGAAACACCCTATTTGTGCAGTTTCCAGTTGGAGATTTCAATCGCTTGGAGGCCAATCATAGAAACGGAAATATCTTCGTATAAAAACAAGACAGAATCATTCTCAGAAACTACTTTGTGATGTGTGCGTTCAACTCAAGGAGTTTAAGCTTTCTTTTCATAGAGTAGTTTGGAAACACTCTGTAAAGTCTGCAAGCAGATATTTGGACCTCTTTGAGGCCTTCGTTGGAAAAGGGATTTCTTCATAGAACGCTAGAAAGAAGAATACTGAGTAAGTTCTTTGTGTTGCCTCTATTCAACTCACAGAGGTGAACTGTCCTTTAGACAGAGCAGATGTGAAACCCTCTTTTTGTGATATTTGCAGGTGCAGATTTCAAGCGCTTTTAGGCCAAATGTAGAAAAGGAAATATCTTCGTATAAAAACTAGACAGAATCATTCTCAGAAACTACTTTGTGATGTGTGCGTTCAATTCACAGAGTATAACCTTTCTTTTGATGGAGGAGTTTGGAGACACTGTCTTTGTAAAGTCTGCAAGTGGATATTTGGACCTCTTTGAGGCCTTCGTTGGAAACGGGATTTCCTCATATAATGTTACACAGAAGAATTCTCAGTAACTTATTTGTGGTGTGTGTATTCAACTCACTGAATTGAACCTTCCTTCAGAAAGAGCAGATTTGAAACACTCTTTTTGTGGAGTTTCCATGTGGAGATTTCAATCGCTTTGAGACCAAAGGTAGAAAAGGAAACATCTTCGTATAAAAACTAGACAGAATCATTCACAGAAACTACTTTGTGATGTGTGTGTTCAACTCAAGGAGTTTCACCTTTCTTTTGATGGAGCAGTTTGGAAAAACTCTGTCTGTAAAGTCTGCAAGCAGATATTTGGACCTCTTTGAGGCCTTCGTTGGAAACGGGATTTCTTCATATAATGTTTGATAGGAGAAGTCTCAGTAACTTCTTTGTGCTGTGTGTATTCAACGCATAGAGTTGAACTTTCCTTTAGAAGAGCAGATGTTAAACACCCTTTTTGTGGAATTTGCAGCTGGAGATTTCAAGCGCTTTGTGGCCTACGGTAGAAAAGGAAACATCTTTTTATAAAATCTAGACAGAATCATTCACAGAAACTTCTTTTTGATGTGTGTGTTCAGCTCACAGAGTTTAACCTTTCTGTTGATGGAGCAGTTTGGAAACACTCGGTTTGTAATGTCTGCAAGTGGATATTTGGACCTCTTTGAGGCCTTCGTTGGAAACGGGATTTCTTCAAGTAATGTTCGACAGAAGAATACTCAGTAACTTATTTGTGGTGTGTGTATTCAACTCACAGAGTGGAACCTTCCTTTAGACAGAGCAGATTTGAAACACCCTATTTGTGCAGTTTCCAGTTGGAGATTTCAATCGCTTTGAGACCAAATGTAGAAAAGGAAACATCTTCGTATAAAAACTAGACAGAATCATTCACAGAAACTTCTTTTTGATGTGTGTGTTCAGCTCACAGAGTTTAACCTTTCTTTTGATGGAGCAGTTTGGAAACACACTGTTTGTAATGTCTGCAAGAGGATATTTGGACCTCTTAGAGGCCTTCGTTGGAAACGGGATTTCTTCATAGAACGCTAGAAAGAAGAATACTGAGTAAGTTCTTTGTGTTGCCTCTATTCAACTCACAGAGGTGAACTGTCCTTTAGACAGAGCAGATGTGAAACCCTCTTTTTGTGATATTTGCAGGTGGAGATTTCAAGCGCTTTGAGGCCAAATGTAGAAAAGGAAATATCTTCGTATAAAAACTAGACAGAATCATTCTCAGAAACTACTTTGTGATGTGTGCGTTCAATTCACAGAGTATAACCTTTCTTTTGATGGAGGAGTTTGGAGACACTGTCTTTGTAAAGTCTGCAAGTGGATATTTGGACCTCTTTGAGGCCTTCGTTGGAAACGGGATTTCCTCATATAATGTTACACAGAAGAATTCTTAGTAACTTATTTGTGGTGTGTGTATTCAACTCACAGAGTTGAACCTTCCTTCAGAAAGAGCAGATTTGAAACACTCTTTTTGTGGAGTTTCCATGTGGAGATTTCAATCGCTTTGAGACCAAAGGTAGAAAAGGAAACATCTTCGTATAAAAACTAGACAGAATCATTCACAGAAACTACTTTGTGATGTGTGTGTTCAACTCAAGGAGTTTAACCTTTCTTTTGATGGAGCAGTTTGGAAAAACTCTGTCTGTAAAGTCTGCAAGCAGATATTTGGACCTCTTTGAGGCCTTCGTTGGAAACGGGATTTCTTCATATAATGTTTGATAGGAGAAGTCTCAGTAACTTCTTTGTGCTGTGTGTATTCAACTCATAGAGTTGAACTTTCCTTTAGAAGAGCAGATGTTAAACACCCTTTTTGTGGAATTTGCAGCTGGAGATTTCAAGCGCTTTGAGGCCTACGGTAGAAAAGGAAACATCTTCTTATAAAATCTAGACAGAATCATTCACAGAAACTTCTTTTCGATGTGTGTGTTCAGCTCACAGAGTTTAACCTTTCTTTTGATGGAGCAGTTTGGAAACACTCTGTTTGTAATGTCTGCAAGTGGATATTTGGACCTCTTTGAGGCCTTCGTTGGAAACGGGATTTCTTCAAGTAATGTTCGACAGAAGAATTCTCAGTAACTTATTTGTGGTGTGTGTATTCAACTCACAGAGTTGAACCTTCCTTTAGACAGAGCAGATTTGAAACACCCTATTTGTGCATTTTCCAGTTGGAGATTTCAATCGCTTTGAGACCAAATGTAGAAAAGGAAACATCTTCGTATAAAAACTAGACAGAATCATTCTCAGAAACTACTTTGTGATGTGTGCGTTCAAATCAAGGAGTTTAAGCTTTCTTTTCATAGAGTAGTTTGGAAACACTCTGTCTGTAAAGTCTGCAAGCAGATATTTGGACCTCTTTGAGGCCTTCGTTGGAAACGGGATTTCTTCATAAAAGGCTAGAAAGAAGAATACTGAGTAAGTTCTTTGTGTTGCCTCTATTCAACTCACAGAGGTGAACTGTCCTTTAGACAGAGCAGATGTGAAACCCTCTTTTTGTGATATTTGCAGGTGGAGATTTCAAGCGCTTTTAGGCCAAATGTAGAAAAGGAAATATCTTCGTATAAAAACTAGACAGAATCATTCTCAGAAACTACTTTGTGATGTGTGCGTTCAATTCACAGAGTATAACCTTTGTTTTGATGGAGGAGTTTGGAGACATTGTCTTTGTAAAGTCTGCAAGTGGATACTTGGACCTCTTTGAGGCCTTCGTTGGAAACGGGATTTCCTCATATAATGTTCCACAGAAGAATTCTCAGTAACTTATTTGTGGTGTGTGTATTCAACTCACAGAGTTGAACCTTCCTTCAGAAAGAGCAGATTTGAAACACTCTTTTTGTGGAGTTTCCATGTGGAGATTTCAATCGCTTTGAGACCAAAGGTAGAAAAGGAAACATCTTCGTATAAAAACTAGACAGAATCATTCACAGAAACTACTTTGTGATGTGTGTGTTCAACTCAAGGAGTTTAACCTTTCTTTTGATGGAGCAGTTTGGAAAAACTCTGTCTTTAAAGTCTGCAAGCAGATATTTGGACCTCTTTGAGGCCTTCGTTGGAAACGGGATTTCTTCATATAATGTTTGATAGGAGAAGTCTCAGTAACTTCTTTGTGCTGTGTGTATTCAACTCATAGAGTTGAACTTTCCTTTAGAAGAGCAGATGTTAAACACCCTTTTTGTGGAATTTGCAGCTGGAGATTTCAAGCGCTTTGAGGCCTACGGTAGAAAAGGAAACATCTTCTTATAAAATCTAGACAGAATCATTCACAGAAACTTCTTTTTGATGTGTGTGTTCAGCTCACAGAGTTTAACCTTTCTTTTGATGGAGCAGTTTGGAAACACTCTGTTTGTAATGTCTGCAAGTGGATATTTGGACCTCTTTGAGGCCTTCGTTGGGAACGGGATTTCTTCATGTAATGTTCGACAGAAGAATTCTCAGTAACTTATTTGTGGTGTGTGTATTCAACTCACAGAGTTGACCGTTCCTTTAGACAGAGCAGATTTGAAACTCCCTATTTGTGCAGTTTCCAGTTGGAGATTTCAATCGCTTTGAGACCAAATGTAGAAAAGGAAACATGTTCGTATAAAAACTAGACAGAATCATTCTCAGAAACTACTTTGTGATGTGTGCGTTCAACTCAAGGAGTTTAAGCTTTCTTTTCATAGAGTAGTTTGGAAACACTCTGTCTGTAAAGTCTGCAAGCAGATATTTGGACCTCTTTGGGGCCTTCGTTGGAAACGGGATTTCTTCATAGAACGCTAGAAGAAGAATACTGAGTAAGTTCTATGTGTTGCCTCTATTCAAATCACAGAGGTGAACTGTCCTTTAGACAGAGCAGATGTGAAACCCTCTTTTTGTGATATTTGCAGGTGGAGATTTCAAGTGCTTTTAGGCCAAATGTAGAAAAGGAAATATCTTCGTATAAAAAGTAGTCAGAATCATTCTCAGAAACTACTTTGTGATGTGTGCGTTCAATTCACAGAGTATAACCTTTCTTTTGATGGAGGAGTTTGGAGACACTGTCTTTGTAAAGTCTGCAAGTGGATATTTGGACCTCTTTGAGGCCTTCGTTGGAAACGGGATTTCCTCATATAATGTTACACAGAAGAATTCTCAGTAACTTATTTGTGGTGTGTGTATTCAACTCACAGAGTTGAACCTTCCTTCAGAAAGAGCAGATTTGAAACACTCTTTTTGTGGAGTTTCCATGTGGAGATTTCAATCGCTTTGAGACCAAAGGTAGAAAAGGAAACATCTTCGTATAAAAACTAGACAGAATCATTCACAGAAACTACTTTGTGATGTGTGTGTTCAACTCAAGGAGGTTAACCTTTCTTTTGATGGAGCAGTTTGGAAACACTCTGTCTGTAAAGTCTGCAAGCAGATATTTGGACCTCTTTGAGGCCTTCGTTGGAAACGGGATTTCTTCATATAATGTTTGATAGGAGAAGTCTCAGTAACTTCTTTGTGCTGTGTGTATTCAACTCATAGAGTTGAACTTTCCTTTAGAAGAGCAGATGTTAAACACCCTTTTTGTGGAATTTGCAGCTGGAGATTTCAAGCGCTTTGAGGCCTACGGTAGAAAAGGAAACATCTTCTTATAAAATCTAGACAGAATCATTCACAGAAACTTCTTTTCGATGTGTGTGTTCAGCTCACAGAGTTTAACCTTTCTTTTGATGGAGCAGTTTGGAAACACTCTGTTTGTAATGTCTGCAAGTGGATATTTGGACCTCTTTGAGGCCTTCGTTGGAAACGGGATTTCTTCAAGTAATGTTCGACAGAAGAATTCTCAGTAACTTATTTGTGGTGTGTGTATTCAACTCACAGAGTTGAACCTTCCTTTAGACAGAGCAGATTTGAAACACCCTGTTTGTGCAGTTTCCAGTTGGGGATTTCAATCGCTTTGAGGCCAATCGTAGAAACGGAAATATCTTCGTATAAAAACAAGACAGAATCATTCTCAGAAACTACTTTGTGATGTGTGCGTTCAACTCAAGGAGTTTAAGCTTTCTTTTCATAGAGTAGCTTGGAAACACTCTGTCTGTAAAGTCTGCAAGCAGATATTTGGACCTCTTTGAGGCCTTCGTTGGAAACGGGATTTCTTCATATAACGCTAGAAAGAAGAATACTGAGTACGTTCTTTGTGTTGCCTCTATTCAACTCACAGAGGTGAACTGTCCTTTAGACAGAGCAGATGTGAAACCCTCTTTTTGTGATATTTGCAGGTGGAGATTTCAAGCGCTTTTAGGCCAAATGTAGAAAAGGAAATATCTTCGTATAAAAACTAGACAGAATCATTCTCAGAAACTACTTTGTGATGTGTGCGTTCAATTCACAGAGTATAACCTTTCTTTTGATGGAGGAGTTTGGAGACACTGTCTTTGTAAAGTCTGCAAGTGGATATTTGGACCTCTTTGAGGCCTTCGTTGGAAACGGGATTTCCTCATATAATGTTACACAGAAGAATTCTCAGTAACTTATTTGTGGTGTGTGTATTCAACTCACAGAGTTGAACCTTCCTTCAGAAAGAGCAGATTTGAAACACTCTTTTTGTGGAGTTTCCATGTGGAGATTTCAATCGCTTTGAGACCAAAGGTAGAAAAGGAAACATCTTCGTATAAAAACTAGACAGAATCATTCACAGAAACTACTTTGTGATGTGTGTGTTCAACTCAAGGAGTTTAACCTTTCTTTTGATGGAGCAGTTTGGAAAAACTCTGTCTGTAAAGTCTGCAAGCAGATATTTGGACCTCTTTGAGGCCTTCGTTGGAAACGGGATTTCTTCATATAATGTTTGATAGGAGAAGTCTCAGTAACTTCTTTGTGCTGTGTGTATTCAACTCATAGAGTTGAACTTTCCTTTAGAAGACCAGATGTTAAACACCCTTTTTGTGGAATTTGCAGCTGGAGATTTCAAGCGCTTTGAGTCCGACGGTAGAAAAGGAAACATCTTCTTATAAAATCTAGACAGAATCATTCACAGAAACTTCTTTTTGATGTGTGTGTTCAGCTCACAGAGTTTAACCTTTCTTTTGATGGAGCAGTTTGGAAACACTCTGTTTGTAATGTCTGCAAGTGGATATTTGGACCTCTTTGAGGCCTTCGCTGGAAACGGGATTTCTTCCTGTAATGTTCGACAGAAGAATTCTCAGTAACTTATTTGGGGTGTGTGTATTCAACTCACAGAGTTGAACCTTCCTTTAGACAGAGCAGATTTGAAACACCCTATTTGTGCAGTTTCCAGTTGGAGATTTCAATCGCTTTGAGACCAAATGTAGAAAAGGAAACATCTTCGTATAAAAACTAGACAGAATCATTCTCAGAAACTACTTTGTGATGTGTGCGTTCAACTCAAGGAGTTTAAGCTTTCTTTTCATAGAGTAGTTTGGAAACACTCTGTCTGTAAAGTCTGCAAGCAGATATTTGGACCTCTTTGAGGCCTTCGTTGGAAACGGGATTTCTTCATATAACGCTAGAAAGAAGAATACTGAGTAAGTTCTTTGTGTTGCCACTATTCAACTCACAGAGGTGAACTGTCCTTTAGACAGAGCAGATGTGAAACCCTCTTTTTGTGATATTTGCAGGTGGAGATTTCAAGCGCTTTTAGGCCAAATGTAGAAAAGGAAATATCTTCGTATAAAAACTAGACAGAATCATTCTCAGAAACTACTTTGTGATGTGTGCGTTCAATTCACAGAGTATAACCTTTCTTTTGATGGAGGAGTTTGGAGACACTGTCTTTGTAAAGTCTGCAAGTGGATATTTGGACCTCTTTGAGGCCTTCGTTGGAAACGGGATTTCCTCATATAATGTTACACAGAAGAATTCTCAGTAACTTATTTGTGGTGTGTGTATTCAACTCACAGAGTTGAACCTTCCTTCAGAAAGAGCAGATTTGAAACACTCTTTTTGTGGAGTTTCCATGTGGAGATTTCAATCGCTTTGAGACCAAATGTAGAAAAGGAAACATCTTCGTATAAAAACTAGACAGAATCATTCTCAGAAACTACTTTGTGATGTGTGCGTTCAAATCAAGGAGTTTAAGCTTTCTTTTCATAGAGTAGTTTGGAAACACTCTGTCTGTAAAGTCTGCAAGCAGATATTTGGACCTCTTTGAGGCCTTCGTTGGAAACGGGATTTCTTCATAGAACGCTAGAAAGAAGAAGTCTCAGTAACTTCTTTGTGCTGTGTGTATTCAACTCATAGAGTTGAACTTTCCTTTAGAAGAGCAGATGTTAAACACCCTTTTTGTGGAATTTGCAGCTGGAGATTTCAAGCGCTTTGAGGCCTACGGTAGAAAAGGAAACATCTTCTTATAAAATCTAGACAGAATCATTCACAGAAACTTCTTTTTAATGTGTGTGTTCAGCTCACAGAGTTTAACCTTTCTTTTGATGGAGCAGTTTGGAAACACACTGTTTGTAATGTCTGCAAGTGGATATTTGGACCTCTTTGAGGCCTTCGTTGGAAACGGGATTTCTTCAAGTAATGTTCGACAGAAGAATTCTCAGTAACTTATTTGTGGTGTGTGTATTCAACTCACAGAGTTGAACCTTCCTTTAGACAGAGCAGATTTGAAACAGCCTATTTGTGCAGTTTCCAGTTGGAGATTTCAATCGCTTTGAGACCAAAGGTAGAAAAGGAAACATCTTCGTATAAAAACTAGACAGAATCATTCTCAGAAACTACTTTGTGATGTGTGCGTTCAACTCAAGGAGTTTAAGCTTTCTTTTCATAGAGTAGTTTGGAAACACTCTGTCTGTAAAGTCTGCAAGCAGATATTTGGACCTCTTTGAGGCCTTCGTTGGAAACGGGATTTCTTCATAGAACGGTAGAAAGAAGAATACTGAGTAACTTCTTTGTGTTGCCTCTATTCAACTCACAGAGGTGAACTGTCCTTTAGACAGAGCAGATGTGAAACCCTCTTTTTGTGATATTTGCAGGTGGAGATTTCAAGCGCTTTTAGGCCAAATGTAGAAAAGGAAATATCTTCGTATAAAAACTAGACAGAATCATTCTCAGAAACTACTTTGTGATGTGTGCGTTCAATTCACAGAGTATAACCTTTCTTTTGATGGAGGAGTTTGGAGACACTGTCTTTGTAAAGTCTGCAAGTGGATATTTGGACCTCTTTGAGGCCTACGTTGGAAACGGGATTTCCTCATATAATGTTACACTGATGAATTCTCAGTAACTTATTTGTGGTGTGTGTATTCAACTCACAGAGTTGAACCTTCCTTCAGAAAGAGCAGATTTGAAACACTCTTTTTGTGGAGTTTCCATGTGGAGATTTCAATCGCTTTGAGACCAAAGGTAGAAAAGGAAACATCTTCGTATAAAAACTAGACAGAATCATTCACAGAAACTACTTTGTGATGTGTGTGTTCAACTCAAGGAGTTTAACCTTTCTTTTGATGGAGCAGTTTGGAAACACTCTGTCTGTAAAGTCTGCAAGCAGATATTTGGACCTCTTTGAGGCCTTCGTTGGAAACGGGATTTCTTCATATAATGTTTGATAGGAGAAGTCTCAGTAACTTCTTTGTGCTGTCTGTATTCAACTCATAGAGTTGAACTTTCCTTTAGAAGAGCAGATGTTAAACACCCTTTTTGTGGAATTTGCAGCTGGAGATTTCAAGCGCTTTGAGGCCTACGGTAGAAAAGGAAACATCTTCTTATAAAATCTAGACAGAATCATTCACAGAAACTTCTCTTTGATGTGTGTGTTCAGCTCACAGTGTTTAACCTTTCTTTTGATGGAGCAGTTTGGAAAAACTGTGTTTGTAATGTCTGCAAGTGGATATTTGGACCCCTTGAGGCCTTCGCTGGAAACGGGATTTCTTCATGTAATGTTCGACAGAAGAATTCTCAGTAACTTATTTGTGGTGTGTGTATTCAACTCACAGAGTTGAACCTTCCTTTAGACAGAGCAGATTTGAAACAGCCTATTTGTGCAGTTTCCAGTTGGAGATTTCAATCGCTTTGAGACCAAACGTAGAAAAGGAAACATCTTCGTATAAAAACTAGACAGAATCATTCTCAGAAACTACTTTGTGATGTGTGCGTTCACCTCACGGAGTTTAAGCTTTCTTTTCATAGAGTAGTTTGGAAACACTCTGTCTGTAAAGTCTGCAAGCAGATATTTGGACCTATTTGAGGCCTTCGTTGGAAAAGGGATTTCTTCATATAACGCTAGAAAGAAGAATACTGAGTAAGTTCTTTGTGTTGCCTCTATTCAACTCACAGAGGTGAACTGTCCTTTAGAAAGAGCAGATGTGAAACCCTCTTTTTGTGATATTTGCAGGTGGAGATTTCAAGCGCTTTTAGGCCAAATGTAGAAAAAAAAATATCTTCGTATAAAAACTAGACAGAATCATTCTCAGAAACTACTTTGTGATGTGTGCGTTCAATTCACAGAGTATAACCTTTCTTTTGATGGAGGAGTTTGGAGACACTGTCTTTGTAAAGTCTGCAAGCAGATATTTGGACCTCTTTGAGGCCTTCGTTGGAAACGGGATTTCTTCATATGATGTTTGATAGGAGAATTCTCAGTAACTTATTTGTGGTGTGTGTATTCAACTCACAGAGATGAACCTTCCTTCAGAAAGAGCAGATTTGAAACACTCTTTTTGTGGAGTTTCCATGTGGAGATTTCAATCGCTTTGAGACCAAAGGTAGAAAAGGAAACATCTTCGTATAACAACTAGACAGAATCATTCACAGAAACTACTTTGTGATGTGTGTGTTCAACTCAAGGAGGTTAACCTTTCTTTTGATGGAGCAGTTTGGAAACACTCTGTCTGTAAAGTCTGCAAGCAGATATTTGGACCTCTTTGAGGCCTTCGTTGGAAACGGGATTTCTTCATATAATGTTTGATAGGAGAAGTCTCAGTAACTTCTTTGTGCTGTGTGTATTCAACTCATAGAGTTGAACTTTGCTTTAGAAGAGCAGATGTTAAACACCCTTTTTGTGGAATTTGCAGCTGGAGATTTCAAGCGCTTTGAGGCCTACGGTAGAAAAGGAAACATCTTCTTATAAAATCTAGACAGAATCATTCACAGAAACTTCTTTTTGATGTGTGTGTTCAGCTCACAGAGTTTAACCTTTCTTTTGATGGAGCAGTTTGGAAACACTCTGTAATGTCTGCAAGTGGATATTTGGACCTCTTTGAGGCCTTCGTTGGAAACGGGATTTCTTCATGTAATGTTCGACAGAAGAATTCTCAGTAACTTATTTGTGGTGTGTGTATTCAACTCACAGAGTTGAACCTTCCTTTAGACAGAGCAGATTTGAAACACCCTATTTGTGCAGTTTCCAGTTGGAGATTTCAATCCCTTTGAGGCCAATCGTAGAAACGGAAATATCTTCGGTATAAAAACAAGACAGAATCATTCTCAGAAACTATTTTGTGATGTGTGCGTTCAACTCAAGGAGTTTAAGCTTTCTTTTCATAGAGTAGTTTGGAAACACTCTGTCTGTAAAGTCTGCAAGCAGATATTTGGACCTCTTTGAGGCCTTCGTTGGAAACGGGATTTCTTCATATAACGCTAGAAAGAAGAATACTGAGTAAGTTCTTTGTGTTGCCTCTATTCAACTCACAGAGGTGAACTGTCCTTTAGACAGAGCAGATGTGAAACCCTCTTTTTGTGATATTTGCAGGTGGAGATTTCAAGCGCTTTTAGGCCAAATGTAGAAAAGGAAATATTCTTCGTATAAAAACTAGACAGAATCATTCTCAGAAACTACTTTGTGATGTGTGCGTTCAATTCACAGAGTATAACCTTTCTTTTGATGGAGGAGTTTGGAGACACTGTCTTTGTAAAGTCTGCAAGTGGATATTTGGACCTCTGTGAGGCCTTCGTTGGAAACGGGATTTCCTCATATAATGTTACACAGAAGAATTCTCAGTAACTTATTTGTGGTGTCTGTATTCAACTCACAGAGTTGAACCTTCCTTCACAAAGAGCAGATTTGAAACACTCTTTTTGTGGAGTTTCCATGTGGAGATTTCAATCGCTTTGAGACCAAAGGTAGAAAAGGAAACATCTTCGTATAAAAACTAGACAGAATCATTCTCAGAAACTACTTTGTGATGTGTGTGTTCAACTCAAGGAGTTTAACCTTTCTTTTGATGGAGCAGTTTCGAAAAACTCTGTCTGTAAAGTCTGCAAGCAGATATTTGGACCTCTTTGGGGCCTTCGTTGGAAACGGGATTTCTTCATAGAATGCTAGAAAGAAGAATACTGAGTACGTTCTTTGTGTTGCCTCTATTCAACTCACAGAGGTGAACTGTCCTTTAGACAGAGCAGATGTGAAACCCTCTTTTTGTGATATTTGCAGGTGGAGATTTCAAGCGCTTTTAGGCCAAATGTAGAAAAGGAAATATCTTCGTATAAAAACTAGACAGAATCATTCTCAGAAACTACTTTGTGATGTGTGCGTTCAATTCACAGAGTATAACCTTTCTTTTGATGGAGGAGTTTGGAGACACTGTCTTTGTAAAGTCTGCAAGTGGATATTTGGACCTCTTTGAGGCCTTCGTTGGAAACGGGATTTCCTCATATAATGTTACCCAGAAGAATTCTCAGTAACTTATTTGTGGTGTGTGTATTCAACTCACAGAGTTGAACCTTCCTTCAGAAAGAGCAGATTTCAAACACTCTTTTAGTGGAGTTTCCATGTGGAGATTTCAATCGCTTTGAGACCAAAGGTAGAAAAGGAAACATCTTCGTATAAAAACTAGACAGAATCATTCACAGAAACTTCTTTTTGATGTGTGTGTTCAGCTCACAGAGTTTAACCTTTCTTTTGATGGAGCAGTTGGGAAACACTCTGTTTGTAATGTCTGCAAGTGGATATTTGGACCTCTTTGAGGCCTTCGTTGGAAACGGGATTTCTTCCTGTAATGTTCGACAGAAGAATTCTCAGTAACTTATTTGTGGTGTGTGTATTCAACTCACATAGTTGAACCTTCCTTTAGACAGAGCAGATTTGAAACAGCCTATTTGTGCAGTTTCCAGTTGGAGATTTCAATCGCTTTGAGACCAAATGTAGAAAGGGAAACATCTTCGTATAAAAACTAGACAGAATCATTCTCAGAAACTACTTTGTGATGTGTGCGTTCAACTCAAGGAGTTTAAGCTTTCTTTTCATAGAGTAGTTTGGAAACACTCTGTCTGTAAAGTCTGCAAGCAGATATTTGGACCTCATTGGGGTCTTCGTTGGAAACCGGATTTCTCCATAGAACGCTAGAAAGAAGAATACTGATTAAGTTCTTTGTGTTGCCTCTATTCAACTCACAGAGGTGAACTGTCCTTTAGACAGAGCAGATGTGAAACCCTCTTTTTGTGATATTTGCAGGTGGAGATTTCAAGCGCTTTTAGGCCAAATGTAGAAAAGGAAATATCTTCGTATAAAAACTAGACAGAATCATTCTCAGAAACTACTTTGTGATGTGTGCGTTCAATTCACAGAGTATAACCTTTCTTTTGATGGAGGAGTTTGGAGACACTGTCTTTCTAAAGTCTGCAAGTGGATATTTGGAACTCTTTGAGGCCTTCGTTGGAAACGGGATTTCCTCATATAATGTTACACAGAAGAATTCTCAGTAACTTATTTGTGGTGTGTGTATTCAACTCACAGAGTTGAACCTTCCTTCAGAAAGAGCAGATTTGAAACACTCTTTTTGTGGAGTTTCCATGTGGAGATTTCAATCGCATTGAGACCAAAGGTAGAAAAGGAAACATCTTCGTATAAAAACTAGACAGAATCATTCTCAGAAACTACTTTGTGATGTGTGCGTTCAACTCAAGGAGTTTAAGCTTTCTTTTCATAGAGTAGTTTGGAAACACTCTGTCTGTAAAGTCTGCAAGCAGATATTTGGACCTCTTTGAGGCCTTCGTTGGAAACGGGATTTCTTCATATAATGTTTGATAGGAGAAGTCTCAGTAACTTCTTTGTGCTGTGTGTATTCAACTCATAGAGTTGAACTTTCCTTTAGAAGAGCAGATGTTAAACACCCTTTTTGTGGAATTTGCAGCTGGAGATTTCAAGCGCTTTGAGGCCTACGGTAGAAAAGGAAACATCTTCTTATAAAATCTAGACAGAATCATTCACAGAAACTACTTTGTGATGTGTGTGTTCAGCTCACAGAGTTTAACCCTTCTTTTGATGGTGCAGTTTGGAAACACTCTGTTTGACAAGTCTGCAAGTGGATATTTGGACCTCTTTGAGGCCTTCGTTGGAAACGGGATTTCTTCATATAATGTTAGACAGAAGAATTCTCAGTAACTTATTTGTGGTGTGTGTATTCAACTCACAGAGTTGAACCTTCCTTTAGACAGAGCAGATTTGAAACACCCTATTTGTGCAGTTTCCAGTTGGAGATTTCAATCGCTTTGAGACCAAATGTAGAAAAGGAAACATCTTCGTATAAAAACTAGACAGAATCATTCTCCGAAACTACTTTGTGATGTGTGCGTTCAACTCAAGGAGTTTAAGCTTTCTTTTCATAGAGTAGTTTGGAAACACTCTGTCTGTAAAGTCTGCAAGCAGATATTTGGACCACTTTGGGGCCTTCGTTGGAAACGGGATTTCTTCATAGAACGCTAGAAAGAAGAATACTGAGTAAGTTCTTTGTGTTGCCTCTATTCAACTCACAGAGGTGAACTGTCCTTTAGACAGAGCAGATGTGAAACCCTCTTTTTTTGATATTTGCAGGTGGAGATTTCAAGCGCTTTTAGGCCAAATGTAGAAAAGGAAATATCCTCGTATAAAAACTAGACAGAATCATTCTCAGAAACTACTTTCTGATGTGTGCGTTCAATTCACAGAGTATAACCTTTCTTTTGATGGAGGAGTTTGGAGACACTGTCTTTGTAAAGTCTGCAAGTGGATATTTGGACCTCTTTGAGGCCTTCGTTGGAAACGGGATTTCCTCATATAATGTTACACAGAAGAATTCTCAGTAACTTATTTGTGGTGTGTGTATTCAACTCACAGAGTTGAACCTTCCTTCAGAAAGAGCAGATTTGAAACACTCTTTTTGTGGAGTTTCCATGTGGAGATTTCAATCGCTTTGAGACCAAAGGTAGAAAAGGAAACATCTTCGTATAAAAACTAGACAGAATCATTCACAGAAACTACTTTGTGATGTGTGTGTTCAACTCAAGGAGTTTAACCTTTCTTTTGATGGAGCAGTTTGGAAAAACTCTGTCTGTAAAGTCTGCAAGCAGATATTTGGACCTCTTTGAGGCCTTCGTTGGAAACGGGATTTCTTCATAGAATGCTAGAAAGAAGAATACTGAGTAAGTTCTTTGTGTTGCCTCTATTCAACTCACAGAGGTGAACTGTCCTTTAGACAGAGCAGATGTGAAACCCTCTTTTTGTGATATTTGCAGGTGGAGATTTCAAGCGCTTTTAGGCCAAATGTAGAAAAGGAAATATCTTCGTATAAAAACTAGACAGAATCATTCTCAGAAACTACTTTGTGATGTGTGCGTTCAATTCACAGAGTATAACCTTTCTTTTGATGGAGGAGTTTGGAGACACTGTCTTTGTAAAGTCTGCAAGTGGATATTTGGACCTCTTTGAGGCCTTCGTTGGAAACGGGATTTCCTCATATAATGTTACCCAGAAGAATTCTCAGTAACTTATTTGTGGTGTGTGTATTCAACTCACAGAGTTGAACCTTCCTTCAGAAAGAGCAGATTTGAAACACTCTTTTTGTGGAGTTTCCATGTGGAGATTTCAATTGCTTTGAGACCAAAGGTAGAAAAGGAAACATCTTCGTATAAAAACTAGACAGAATCATTCACAGAAACTACTTTGTGATGTGTGTGTTCAACTCAAGGAGTTTAACCTTTCTTTTGATGGAGCAGTTTGGAAAAACTCTGTCTGTAAAGTCTGCAAGCACATATTTGGACCTCTTTGGGGCCTTCGTTGGAAACGGGATTTCTTCATAGAATGCTAGAAAGAAGAAGTCTCAGTAACTTCTTTGTGCTGTGTGTATTCAACTCATAGAGTTGAACTTTCCTTTAGAAGAGCAGATGTTAAACACCCTTTTTGTGGAATTTGCAGCTGGAGATTTCAAGCGCTTTGAGGCCTACGGTAGAAAAGGAAACATCTTCTTATAAAATCTAGACAGAATCATTCACAGAAACTTCTTTTTGATGTGTGTGTTCAGCTCACAGAGTTTAACCTTTCTTTTGATGGAGCAGTTTGGAAACACTCTGTTTGTAATGTCTGCAAGTGGATATTTGGACCTCTTTGAGGCCTTCGTTGGAAACGGGATTTCTTCAAGTAATGTTCGACAGAAGAATTCTCAGTAACTTATTTGTGGTGTGTGTATTCAACTCACAGAGTTGAACCTTCCTTTAGACAGAGCAGATTTGAAACACCCTATTTGTGCAGTTTCCAGTTGGAGATTTCAATCGCTTTGAGACCAAATGTAGAAAAGGAAACATCTTCGTATAAAAACTAGACAGAATCATTCTCAGAAACTACTTTGTGATGTGTGCGTTCAACTCAAGGAGTTTAAGCTTTCTTTTCATAGAGTAGTTTGGAAACACTCTGTCTGTAAAGTCTGCAAGCAGATATTTGGACCTCTTTGGGGCCTTCGTTGGAAACGGGATTTCTTCATAGAACGCTAGAAAGAAGAATACTGAGTAAGTTCTTTGTGTTGCCTCTATTCAACTCACAGAGGTGAACTGTCCTTTAGAGAGAGCAGATGTGAAACCCTCTTTTTGTGATATTTGCAGGTGGAGATTTCAAGCGCTTTTAGGCCAAATGTAGAAAAGGAAATATCTTCGTATAAAAACTAGACAGAATCATTCTCAGAAACTACTTTGTGATGTGTGCGTTCAATTCACAGAGTATAACCTTTCTTTTGATGGAGGAGTTTGGAGACACTGTCTTTGTAAAGTCTGCAAGTGGATATTTGGATCTCTTTGAGGCCTTCGTTGGAAACGGGATTTCCTCATATAATGTTACACAGAAGAATTCTCAGTAACTTATTTGTGGTGTGTGTATTCAACTCACAGAGTTGAACCTTCCTTCAGAAAGAGCAGATTTGAAACTCTCTTTTTGTGGAGTTTCCAAGTGGAGATTTCAATCGCTTTGAGACCAAAGGTAGAAAAGGAAACATCTTCGTATAAAAACTAGACAGAATCATTCACAGAAACTACTTTGTGATGTGTGTGTTCAACTCAAGGAGTTTAACCTTTCTTTTGATGGAGCAGTTTGGAAAAAGTCTGTCTGTAAAGTCTGCAAGCAGATATTTGGACCTCTTTGAGGCCTTCGTTGGAAACGGGATTTCTTCATATAATGTTTGATAGGAGAAGTCTCAGTAACTTCTTTGTGCTGTGTGTATTCAACGCATAGAGTTGAACTTTCCTTTAGAAGAGCAGATGTTAAACACCCTTTTTGTGGAATTTGCAGCTGGAGATTTCAAGCGCTTTGTGGCCTACGGTAGAAAAGGAAACATCTTCTTATAAAATCTAGACAGAATCATTCACAGAAACTTCTTTTTGATGTGTGTGTTCAGCTCACAGAGTTTAACCTTTCTTTTGATGGAGCAGTTGGGAAACACACTGTTTGTAATGTCCGCAAGTGGATATTTGGACCTCTTTGAGGCCTTCGTTGGAAACGGGATTTCTTCAAGTAATGTTCGACAGAAGAATTCTCAGCAACTTATTTGTGGTGTGTGTATTCAACTCACAGAGTTGAACCTTCCTTTAGACAGAGCAGATCTGAAACACCCTATTTGTGCAGTTTCCATTTGGAGATTTCAAACGCTTTGAGAAGAAATGTAGAAAAGGAAACATCTTCGTATAAAAACTAGACAGAATCATTCTCAGAAACTACTTTGTGATGTGTGCGTTCAACTCAAGGAGTTTAAGCTTTCTTTTCATAGAGTAATTTGGAAACCCTCGGCCTGTAAAGTCTGCAAGCAGATATTTGGACCTCTTTGGGGCCTTCGTTGGAAACGGGATTTCTTCATAGAACGCTAGAAAGAAGAATACTGAGTAAGTTCTTTGTGTTGCCTCTATTCAACTCACAGAGGTGAACTGTCCTTTAGACAGAGCAGATGTAAAACCCTCTTTTTGTGATATTTGCAGGTGGAGATTTCAAGCGCTTTTAGGCCAAATGTAGAAAAGGAAATATCTTCGTATAAAAACTAGACAGAATCACTCTCAGAAACTACTTTGTGATGTGTGCGTTCAATTCACAGAGTATAACCTTTCTTTTGATGGAGGAGTTTGGAGACACTGTCTTTGTAAAGTCTGCAAGCAGATATTTGGACCTCTTTGAGGCCTTTGTTGGAAACGGGATTTCTTCATATAATGTTTGATAGGAGAATTCTCAGTAACTTATTTGTGGTGTGCGTATTCAACTCACAGAGTTGAACCTTCCTTCAGAAAGAGCAGATTTGAAACACTCTTTTTGTGGAGTTTCCATGTGGAGATTTCAATCGCTTTGAGACCAAAGGTAGAAAAGGAAACATCTTCGTATAAAAACTAGACAGAATCATTCACAGAAACTACTTTGTGATGTGTGTGTTCAACTCAAGGAGTTTAACCTTTCTTTTGATGGAGCAGTTTGGAAACACTCTGTCTGTAAAGTCTGCAAGCAGATATTTGGACCTCTTTGAGGCCTTCGTTGGAAACGGGATTTCTTCATATAATGTTTGATAGGAGAAGTCTCAGTAACTTCTTTGTGCTGTGTGTATTCAACTCATAGAGTTGAACTTTCCTTTAGAAGAGCAGATGTTAAACACCCTTTTTGTGGAATTTGCAGCTGGAGATTTCAAGCGCTTTGAGGCCTACGGTAGAAAAGGAAACATCTTCTTATAAAATCTAGACAGAATCATTCACAGAAACTTCTTTTTGATGTGTGTGTTCAGCTCACAGAGTTTAACCTTTCTTTTGATGGAGCAGTTTGGAAACACTCTGTTTGTAATGTCTGCAAGTGGATATTTGGACCTCCTTTGAGGCCTTCGTTGGAAACGGGATTTCTTCAAGTAATGTTCGACAGAAGAATTCTCAGTAACTTATTTGTGGTGTGTGTATTCAACTCAAAGAGTTGAACCTTCCTTTAGACAGAGCAGATTTGAAACACCCTATTTGTGCAGTTTCCAGTTGGAGATTTCAATCGCTTTGAGACCAAATGTAGAAAAGGAAACATCTTCGTATAAAAACTAGACAGAATCATTCTCAGAAACTACTTTGTGATGTGTGCGTTCAACTCAAGGAGTTTAAGCTTTCTTTTCATAGAGTAGTTTGGAAACACTCTGTCTGTAAAGTCTGCAAGCAGATATTTGGACCTCTTTGGGGCCTTCGTTGGAAACGGGATTTCTTCATAGAACGCTAGAAAGAAGAATACTGAGTACGTTCTTTGTGTTGCCTCTATTCAACTCACAGAGGTGAACTGTCCTTTAGACAGAGCAGATGTGAAACCCTCTTTTTGTGATATTTGCAGGTGGAGATTTCAAGCGCTTTTAGGCCAAATGTAGAAAAGGAAATATCTTCGTATAAAAACTAGACAGAATCATTCTCAGAAACTACTTTGTGATGTGTGCGTTCAATTCACAGAGTATAATCTTTCTTTTGATAGAGGAGTTTGGAAACACTGTCTTTGTAAAGTCTGCAAGTACATATTTGGACCTCTTTGAAGCCTTCATTGGAAACGGGATTTCCTCATAGAATGTTACACAGAAGAATTCTCAGTAACTTATTTGTGGTGTGTGTATTCAACTCACAGAGTTGAACCTTCCTTCAGAAAGAGCAGATTTGAAACACTCTTTTTGTGGAGTTTCCATGTGGAGATTTCAATCGCTTTGAGACCAAAGGTAGAAAAGGAAACATCTTCGTATAAAAACTAGACAGAATCATTCACAGAAACTACTTTGTGATGTGTGTGTTCAACTCAAGGAGTTTAACCTTTCTTTTGATGGAGCAGTTTGGAAACACTCTGTCTGTAAAGTCTGCAAGCAGATATTTGGACCTCTTTGAGGCCTTCGTTGGAAACGGGATTTCTTCATATAATGTTTGATAGGAGAAGTCTCAGTAACTTCTTTGTGCTGTGTGTATTCAACTCATAGAGTTGAACTTTCCTTTAGAAGAGCAGATGTTAAACACCCTTTTTGTGGAATTTGCAGCTGGAGATTTCAAGCGCTTTGAGGCCTACGGTAGAAAAGGAAACATCTTCTTATAAAATCTAGACAGAATCATTCACAGAAACTTCTTTTTGATGTGTGTGTTCAGCTCACAGAGTTTAACCTTTCCTTTGATGGAGCAGTTTGGAAACACTCTGTTTGTAATGTCTGCAAGTGGATATTTGGACCTCTTTGTGGCGTTCGTTGGAAACGGGATTTCTTCATGTAATGTTCGACAGAAGAATTCTCAGTAACTTATTTGTGGTGTGTGTATTCAACTCAAAGAGTTGAACCTTCCTTTAGACAGAGCAGATTTGAAACACCCTATTTGTGCAGTTTCCAGTTGGAGATTTCAATCGCTTTGAGACCAAATGTAGAAAAGGAAACATCTTCGTATAAAAACTAGACAGAATCATTCTCAGAAACTACTTTGTGATGTGTGCGTTCAACTCAAGGAGTTTAAGCTTTCTTTTCATAGAGTAGTTTGGAAACACTCTGTCTGTAAAGTCTGCAAGCAGATATTTGGACCTCTTTAGGGCCTTCGTTGGAAACGGGATTTCTTCATAGAACGCTAGAAAGAAGAATACTGAGTAAGTTCTTTGTGTTGCCTCTATTCAACTCACAGAGGTGAACTGTCCTTTAGACAGAGCAGATGTGAAACCCTCTTTTTGTGATATTTGCAGGTGGAGATTTCAAGCGCTTTTAGGCCAAATGTAGAAAAGGAAATATCTTCGTATAAAAACTAGACAGAATCATTCTCAGAAACTACTTTGTGATGTGTGCGTTCAATTCACAGAGTATAACCTTTCTTTTGATGGAGGAGTTTGGAGACACTGTCTTTGTAAAGTCTGCAAGTGGATATTTGGACCTCTTTGAGGCCTTCGTTGGAAACGGGATTTCCTCATATAATGTTACACAGAAGAATTCTCAGTAACTTATTTGTGGTGTGTGTATTCAACTCACAGAGTTGAACCTTCCTTCAGAAATAGCAGGTTTGAAACACTCTTTTTGTGGAGTTTCCATGTGGAGATTTCAATCGCTTTGAGACCAAAGGTAGAAAAGGAAACATCTTCGTATAAAAACTAGACAGAATCATTCACAGAAACTACTTTGTGATGTGTGTGTTCAACTCAAGGAGTTTAACCTTTCTTTTGATGGAGCAGTTTGGAAACACTCTGTCTGTAAAGTCTGCAAGAAGATATTTGGACCTCTTTGAGGCCTTCGTTGGAAACGGGATTTCTTCAAGTAATGTTCGACAGAAGAAGTCTCAGTAACTTCTTTGTGCTGTGTGTATTCAACTCATAGAGTTGAACTTTCCTTTAGAAGAGCAGATGTTAAACACCCTTTTTGTGGAATTTGCAGCTGGAGATTTCAAGCGCTTTGAGGCCTACGGTAGAAAAGGAAACATCTTCTTATAAAATCTAGACAGAATCATTCACAGAAACTTCTTTTTGATGTGTGTGTTCAGCTCACAGAGTTTAACCTTTCTTTTGATGGAGCAGTTTGG
The DNA here is from genome assembly GCF_000001405.40 of Homo sapiens. Lineage (NCBI taxonomy): Eukaryota > Metazoa > Chordata > Mammalia > Primates > Hominidae > Homo > Homo sapiens. The sequence continues at coordinate 36,233,996 of NC_000012.12, forward strand.
AAACTCTCTGTTTGTAACTTCTGCAAGTGGATATTTGCACATCTTTGAGGCCTTCGTTGGAAACGGGATTTCTTCATGTAATGGTCGACAGAAGAATTCTCAGTAACTTATTTGTGGTGTGTGTATTCAACTCACAGAGTTGAACCTTCCTTTAGATAGAGCAGATTTGAAACACCCTATTTGTGCATTTTCCAGTTGGAGACTTCAATCGCTTGGAGGCCAATCATAGAAACGGAAATATCTTCGTATAAAAACAAGACAGAATCATTCTCAGAAACTACTTTGTGATGTGTGCGTTCAACTCAAGGAGTTTAAGCTTTCTTTTCATAGAGTAGTTTGGAAACACTCTGTCTGTAAAGTCTGCAAGCAGATATTTGGACCTCTTTGAGGCCTTCGTTGGAAACGGGATTTCTTCATAGAACGGTAGAAAGAAGAATACTGAGTAAGTTCTTTGTGTTGCCTCTATTCAACTCACAGAGGTGAACTGTCCTTTAGACAGAGCAGATGTGAAACCCTGTTTTTGTGATATTTGCACGTGGAGATTTCAAGCGCTTTCAGGCCAAATGTAGAAAAGGAAATATCTTCGTATAAAAACTAGACAGAATCATTCTCAGAAACTACTTTGTGATGTGTGCGTTCAATTCACAGAGTATAACCTTTCTTTTGATGGAGGAGTTTGGAGACACTGTCTTTGTAAAGTCTGCAAGTGGATATTTGGACCTCTTTGAGGCCTTCGTTGGAAACGGGATTTCCTCATATAATGTTACACAGAAGAATTCTCAGTAACTTATTTGTGGTGTGTGTATTCAACTCACAGAGATGAACCTTCCTTCAGAAAGAGCAGATTTGAAACACTCTTTTTGTGGAGTTTCCATGTGGAGATTTCAATCGCATTGAGACCAAAGGTAGAAAAGGAAACATCTTCGTATAAAAACTAGACAGAATCATTCACAGAAACTACTTTGTGATGTGTGTGTTCAACTCAAGGAGGTTAACCTTTCTTTTGATGGAGCAGTTTGGAAACACTCTGTCTGTAAAGTCTGCAAGCAGATATTTGGACCTCTTTGAGGCCTTCGTTGGAAACGGGATTTCTTCATATAATGTTTGATAGGAGAAGTCTCAGTAACTTCTTTGTGCTGTGTGTATTCAACTCATAGAGTTGAACTTTCCTTTAGAAGAGCAGATGTTAAACACCCTTTTTGTGGAATTTGCAGCTGGAGATTTCAAGCGCTTTGAGGCCTACGGTAGAAAAGGAAACATCTTCTTATAAAATCTAGACAGAATCATTCACAGAAACTTCTTTTCGATGTGTGTGTTCAGCTCACAGAGTTTAACCTTTCTTTTGATGGAGCAGTTTGGAAACACTCTGTTTGTAATGTCTGCAAGTGGATATTTGGACCTCTTTGAGGCCTTCGTTGGACAACGGGATTTCATCAAGTAATGGTCGACAGAAGAATTCTCAGTAACTTATTTGTGGTGTGTGTATTCAACTCACAGGAGTTGAACCTTCCTTTAGACAGAGCAGATTTGAAACACCCTATTTGTGCAGTTTCCAGTTGGAGATTTCAATCGCTTTGAGACCAAATGTAGAAAAGGAAACATCTTCGTATAAAAACTAGACAGAATCATTCTCAGAAACTACTTTGTGATGTGTGCGTTCAACTCAAGGAGTTTAAGCTTTCTTTTCATAGAGTAGTTTGGAAACACTCTGTCTGTAAAGTCTGCAAGCAGATATTTGGACCTCATTGGGGTCTTCGTTGGAAACCGGATTTCTTCATAGAACGCTAGAAAGAAGAATACTGAGTAAGTTCTTTGTGTTGCCTCTATTCAACTCACAGAGGTGAACTGTCCTTTAGACAGAGCAGACGTGAAACCCTCTTTTTGTGATATTTGCAGGTGGAGATTTCAAGCGCTTTTAGGCCAAATGTAGAAAAGGAAATATCTTCGTATAAAAACTAGACAGAATCATTCTCAGAAACTACTTTGTGATGTGTGCGTTCAATTCACAGAGTATAACCTTTCTTTTGATGGAGGAGTTTGGAGACACTGTCTTTGTAAAGTCTGCAAGTGGATATTTGGACCTCTTTGAGGCTTCGTTGGAAACGGGATTTCCTCATATAATGTTACACAGAAGAATTCTCAGTAACTTATTTGTGGTGTGTGTATTCAACTCACAGAGTTGAACCTTCCTTCAGAAAGAACAGATTTGAAACCCTCTTTTTGTGGAGTTTCCATGTGGAGATTTCAATGGCTTTGAGACCAAACGTAGAAAAGGAAACATCTTCGTATGAAAACTAGACAGAATCATTCACAGAAACTACTTTGTGATGTGTGTGTTCAACTCACAGAGTTTAACCTTTCTTTTGATGGAGCAGTTTGGAAACACTCTGTTTGTCACGTCTGCAAGTGGATATTTGGACCTCTTTGAGGCCTTCGTTGGAAACGGGATTTCTTCATATAATGTTTGATAGGAGAAGTCTCAGTAACTTCTTTGTGCTGTGTGTATTCAACTCATAGAGTTGAACTTTCCTTTAGAAGAGCAGATGTTAAACACCCTTTTTGTGGAATTTGCAGCTGGAGATTTCAAGCGCTTTGAGGCCTACGGTAGAAAAGGAAACATCTTCTTATAAAATCTAGACAGAATCATTCACAGAAACTTCTTTTTGATGTGTGGGTTCAGCTCACAGAGTTTAACCTTTCTTTTGATGGAGCAGTTTGGAAACACACTGTTTGTAATCTCTGCAAGTGGATATTTGGACCTCTTTGAGGCCTTCGTTGGAAACGGGATTTCTTCATGTAATGTTCGACAGAAGAATTCTCAGTAACTTATTTGTGGTGTGTGTATTCAACTCACAGAGTTGAACCTTCCTTTAGACAGAGCAGATTTGAAACACCCTATTTGTGCAGTTTCCAGTTGGAGATTTCAATCGCTTTGAGACCAAATGTAGAAAAGGAAACATCTTCTTATAAAAACTAGACAGAATCATTCTCAGAAACTACTTTGTGATGTGTGCGTTCAACTCAAGGAGTTTAAGCTTTCTTTTCATAGAGTAGTTTGGAAACACTCTGTCTGTAAAGTCTGCAAGCAGATATTTGGACCTCTTTGAGGCCTTCGTTGGAAACGGGATTTCTTCATAGAACGCTAGAAAGAAGAATACTGAGTAAGTTCTTTGTGTTGCCTCTATTCAACTCACAGAGGGGAACTGTCCTTTAGACAGAGCAGATGTGAAACCCTCTTTTTGTCATATTTGCAGGTGGAGATTTCAAGCGCTTTTAGGCCAAATGTAGAAAAGGAAATATCTTCGTATAAAAACTAGACAGAATCATTCTCAGAAACTACTTTGTGATGTGTGCGTTCAATTCACAGAGTATAACCTTTCTTTTGATGGAGGAGTTTGGAGACACTGTCTTTGTAAAGTCTGCAAGTGGATATTTGGACCTCTTTGAGGCCTTCGTTGGAAACGGGATTTCCTCCTATAATGTTACACAGAAGAATTCTCAGTAACTTATTTGTGGTGTGTGTATTCAACTCACAGAGATGAACCTTCCTTCAGAAAGAGCAGATTTGAAACACTCTTTTTGTGGAGTTTCCATGTGGAGATTTCAATCGCATTGAGACCAAAGGTAGAAAAGGAAACATCTTCGTATATAAACTAGACAGAATCATTCACAGAAACTACTTTGTGATGTGTGTGTTCAACTCAAGGAGTTTAACCTTTCTTTTGATGGAGCAGTTTGGAAAAACTCTGTCTGTAAAGTCTGCAAGCAGATATTTGGACCTCTTTGAGACCTTCGTTGGAAACGGGATTTCTTCATATAATGTTTGATAGGAGAAGTCTCAGTAACTTCTTTGTGCTGTGTGTATTCAACTCATAGAGTTGAACTTTCCTTTAGAAGAGCAGATGTTAAACACCCTTTTTGTGGAATTTGCAGCTGGAGATTTCAAGCGCTTTGAGGCCTATGGTAGAAAAGGAAACATCTTCTTATAAAATCTAGACAGAATCATTCACAGAAACTTCTTTTTGATGTGTGTGTTCAGCTCACAGAGTTTAACCTTTCTTTTGATGGAGCAGTTTGGAAACACTCTGTTTGTAACGTCTGCAAGTGGATATTTGGACCTCTTTGAGGCCTTCGTTGGAAACGGGATTTCTTCAAGTAATGTTCGACAGAAGAATTCTCAGTAACTTATTTGTGGTGTGTGTATTCAACTCACAGAGTTGAACCTTCCTTTAGACAGAGCAGATTTGAAACACCCTATTTGTGCAGTTTCCAGTTGGAGATTTCAATCGCTTTGAGACCAAATGTAGAAAAGGAAACATCTTCGTATAAAAACTAGACAGAATCATTCTCAGAAACTACTTTGTGATGTGTGCGTTCAACTCAAGGAGTTTAAGCTTTCTTTTCATAGAGTAGTTTGGAAACACTCTGTCTGTAAAGTCTGCAAGCAGATATTTGACCTCTTTGAGGCCTTCGTTGGAAACGGGATTTCTTCATAGAACGCTAGAAAGAAGAATACTGAGTAAGTTCTTTGTGTTGCCTCTATTCAACTCACAGAGGTGAACTGTCCTTTAGACAGAGCAGATGTGAAACCCTCTTTTTGTGATATTTGCAGGTGGAGATTTCAAGCGCTTTTAGGCCAAATGTAGAAAAGGAAATATCTTCGTATAAAAACTAGACAGAATCATTCTCAGAAACTACTTTGTGATGTGTGCGTTCAATTCACAGAGTATAACCTTTCTTTTGATGGAGGAGTTTGGAGACACTGTCTTTGTAAAGTCTGCAAGTGGATATTTGGACCTCTTTGAGGCCTTCGTTGGAAACGGGATTTCCTCATATAATGTTACACAGAAGAATTCTCAGTAACTTATTTGTGGTGTGTGTATTCAACTCACAGAGTTGAACCTTCCTTCAGAAAGAGCAGATTTGAAACACTCTTTTTGTGGAGTTTCCATGTGGAGATTTCAATCGCTTTGAGACCAAAGGTAGAAAAGGAAACATCTTCGTATAAAAACTAGACAGAATCATTCACAGAAACTACTTTGTGATGTGTGTGTTCAACTCAAGGAGTTTAACCTTTCTTTTGATGGAGGAGTTTGGAAAAACTCTGTCTTTAAAGTCTGCAAGCAGATATTTGGACCTCTTTGAGGCCTTCGTTGGAAACGGGATTTCTTCATATAATGTTTGATAGGAGAAGTCTCAGTAACTTCTTTGTGCTGTGTGTATTCAACTCATAGAGTTGAACTTTCCTTTAGAAGAGCAGATGTTAAACACCCTTTTTGTGGAATTTGCAGCTGGAGATTTCAAGCGCTTTGAGGCCTACGGTAGAAAAGGGAACATCTTCTTATAAAATCTAGACAGAATCATTCACAGAAACTTCTTTTTGATGTGTGTGTTCAGCTCACAGAGTTTAACCTTTCTTTTGATGGAGCAGTTTGGAAACACTCTGTTTGTAATATCTGCAAGTGGATATTTGGACCTCTTTGAGGCCTTCGTTGGAAACGGGATTTCTTCAAGTAATGTTCGACAGAAGAATTCTCAGTAACTTATTTGTGGTGTGTGTATTCAACTCACAGAGCTGAACCTTCCTTTAGACAGAGCAGATTTGAAACAGCCTATTTGTGCAGTTTCCAGTTGGAGATTTCAATCGCTTTGAGACCAAATGTAGAAAAGGAAACATCTTCGTATAAAAACTAGACAGAATCATTCTCAGTAACTACTTTGTGATGTGTGCGTTCAACTCAAGGAGTTTAAGCTTTCTTTTCATAGAGTACTTTGGAAACACTCTGTCTGTAAAGTCTGCAAGCAGATATTTGGACCTCATTGGGGTCTTCGTTGGAAACGGGATTTCTTCATAGAACGCTAGAAAGAAGAATACTGAGTAAGTTCTTTGTGTTGCCTCTATTCAACTCACAGAGGTGAACTGTCCTTTAGACAGAGCAGATGTGAAACCCTCTTTTTGTGATATTTGCACGTGGAGATTTCAAGCGCTTTTAGGCCAAATGTAGAAAAGGAAATATCTTCGTATAAAAACTAGACAGAATCATTCTCAGAAACTACTTTGTGATGTGTGCGTTCAATTCACAGAGTATAACCTTTCTTTTGATGGAGGAGTTTGGAGACACTGTCTTTGTAAAGTCTGCAAGTGGATATTTGGACCTCTTTGAGGCCTTCGTTGGAAACGGGATTTCCTCATATAATGTTACACAGAAGAATTCTCAGTAACTTATTTGTGGTGTGTGTATTCAACTCACAGAGATGAACCTTCCTTCAGAAAGAGCAGATTTGAAACACTCTTTTTGTGGAGTTTCCATGTGGAGATTTCAATCGCTTTGAGACCAAAGGTAGAAAAGGAAACATCTTCGTATAACAACTAGACAGAATCATTCACAGAAACTACTTTGTGATGTGTGTGTTCAACTCAAGGAGTTTAACCTTTCTTTTGATGGAGCAGTTTGGAAACACACTGTCTGTAAAGTCTGCAAGCAGATATTTGGACCTCTTTGAGTCCTTCGTTGGAAACGGGATTTCTTCATATAATGTTTGATAGGAGAAGTCTCAGTAACTTCTTTGTGCTGTGTGTATTCAACTCATAGAGTTGAACTTTCCTTTAGAAGAGCAGATGTTAAACACCCTTTTTGTGGAATTTGCAGCTGGAGATTTCAAGCGCTTTGAGGCCTACGGTAGAAAAGGAAACATCTTCTTATAAAATCTAGACAGAATCATTCACAGAAACTTCTTTTTGATGTGTGTGTTCAGCTCACAGAGTTTAACCTTTCTTTTGATGGAGCAGTTGGGAAACACACTGTTTGTAATGTCCGCAAGTGGATATTTGGACCTCTTTGAGGCCTTCATTGGAAACGGGATTTCTTCCTGTAATGTTCGACAGAAGAATTCTCAGTAACTTATTTGTGGTGTGTGTATTCAACTCACAGAGCTGAACCTTCCTTTAGACAGAGCAGATTTGAAACAGCCTATTTGTGCAGTTTCCAGTTGGAGATTTCAATCGCTTTCAGACCAAATGTAGAAAAGGAAACATCTTCGTATAAAAACTAGACAGAATCATTCTCAGAAACTACTTTGTGATGTGTGCGTTCAACTCAAGGAGTTTAAGCTTTCTTTTCATAGAGTAGTTTGGAAACACTCTGTCTGTAAAGTCTGCAAGCAGATATTTGGACCTCTTTGAGGCCTTCGTTGGAAACGGGATTTCTTCATAGAACGGTAGAAAGAAGAATACTAAGTTCTTTGTGTTGCCTCTATTCTACTCACAGAGGAGAACTGTCCTTTAGACAGAGCAGATGTGAAACCCTCTTTTTGGGATATTTGCAGGTGGAGATTTCAAGTGCTTTTAGGCCAAATGTAGAAAAGGAAATATCTTCGTATAAAAACTAGACAGAATCATTCTCAGAAACTACTTTGTGATGTGTGCGTTCAATTCACAGAGTATAACCTTTCTTTGATGGAGGAGTTTGGAGACACTGTCTTTGTAAAGTCTGCAAGTGGATATTTGGACCTCTTTGAGGCCTTCGTTGGAAACGGGATTTCTTCATAGAACGCTAGAAAGAAGAATACTGAGTAAGTTCTTTTTGTTGCCTCTATTCAACTCACAGAGGTGAACTGTCCTTTAGACAGAGCAGATTTGAAACAGCCTATTTGTGCAGTTTCCAGTTGGAGATTTCAATCGCTTTGAGACAAATGTAGAAAAGGAAACATCTTCGTATAAAAACTAGACAGAATCATTCCCCAAAACTACTTTGTGATGTGTGCGTTCAACTCACGGAGTTTAAGCTTTCTTTTCATAGAGCAGTTTGGAAACACTCTGTCTGTAAAGTCTGCAAGCAGATATTTGGACCTCTTTGAGGCCTTCGTTGGAAACGGGATTTCTTCATATAACGCTAGAAAGAAGAATACCCAGTAACTTCTTTGTGTTGCCTCTATTCAACTCACAGAGGTGAACTGTCCTTTAGACAGAGCAGATGTGAAACCCTCTTTTTGTGATATTTGCAGGTGGAGATTTCAAGCGCTTTTAGGCCAAATGTAGAAAAGGAAATATCTTCGCATAAAAACTAGACAGAATCATTCTCAGAAACTACTTTGTGATGTGTGCGTTCAATTCACAGAGTATAACCTTTCTTTTGATGGAGGAGTTTGGAGACACTGTCTTTGTAAAGTCTGCAAGTGGATATTTGGACCTCTTTGAGGCCTTCGTTGGAAACGGGATTTCCTCATATAATGTTACACAGAAGAATTCTCAGTAACTTATTTGTGGTGTGTGTATTCAACTCACAGAGTTCAACCTTCCTTCAGAAAGAGCAGATTTGAAACACTCTTTTTGTGGAGTTTCCATGTGGAGATTTCAATCGCTTTGAGACCAAAGGTAGAAAAGGAAACATCTTCGTATAAAAACTAGACAGAATCATTCACAGAAACTACTTTGTGATGTGTGTGTTCAACTCAAGGAGTTTAACCTTTCTTTTGATGGAGCAGTTTGGAAAAACTCTGTCTGTAAAGTCTGCAAGCAGATATTTGGACCTCTTTGAGGCCTTCGTTGGAAACGGGATTTCTTCATATAATGTTTGATAGGAGAAGTCTCAGTAACTTCTTTGTGCTGTGTGTATTCAACTCATAGAGTTGAACTTTCCTTTAGAAGACCAGATGTTAAACACCCTTTTTGTGGAATTTGCAGCTGGAGATTTCAAGCGCTTTGAGGCCGACGGTAGAAAAGGAAACATCTTCTTATAAAATCTAGACAGAATCATTCACAGAAACTACTTTGTGATGTGTGTGTTCAACTCACAGAGTTTAACCTTTCTTTTGATGGAGCAGTTTGGAAACACTCTGTTTGTAATTTCTGCAAGTGGATATTTGGACCTCTTTGGGGCCTTCGTTGGAAACGGGATTTCTTCAAGTAATGTTCGACAGAAGAATTCTCAGTAAGTTATTTGTGGTGTGTGTATTCCACTCACAGAGTTGAACCTTCCTTTAGACAGAGCAGATTTGAAACACCCTATTTGTGCAGTTTCCAGTTGGAGATTTCAATCGCTTGGAGGCCAATCATAGAAACGGAAATATCTTCGTATAAAAACAAGACACAATCATTCTCAGAAACTACTTTGTGATGTGTGCGTTCAACTCAAGGAGTTTAAGGTTTCTTTTCATAGAGTAGTTTGGAAACACTCTGTCTGTAAAGTCTGGAAGCAGATATTTGGACCTCTTTGAGGCCTTCGTTGGAAACGGGATTTCTTCATAGAACGCTAGAAAGAAGAATACTGAGTAAGTTCTTTGTGTTGCCTCTATTCAACTCACAGAGGTGAACTGTCCTTTAGACAGAGCAGATGTGAAACCCTCTTTTTGTGATATTTGCAGGTGGAGATTTCAAGCGCTTTTAGGCCAAATGTAGAAAAGGAAATATCTTCGTATAAAAACTAGACAGAATCATTCTCAGAAACTACTTTGTGATGTGTGCGTTCAATTCACAGAGTATAACCTTTCTTTTGATGGAGGAGTTTGGAGACACTGTCTTTGTAAAGTCTGCAAGTGGATATTTGGACCTCTTTGAGGCCTTCGTTGGAAACGGGATTTCCTCATATAATGTTACACAGAAGAATTCTCAGTAACTTATTTGTGGTGTGTGTATTCAACTCACAGAGTTGAACCTTCCTTCAGAAAGAGCAGATTTGAAACACTCTTTTTGTGGAGTTTCCATGTGGAGATTTCAATCGCTTTGAGACCAAAGGTAGAAAAGGAAACATCTTCGTATAAAAACTAGACAGAATCATTCACAGAAACTACTTTGTGATGTGTGTGTTCAACTCAAGGAGGTTAACCTTTCTTTTGATGGAGCAGTTTGGAAAAACTCTGTCTGTAAAGTCTGCAAGCAGATATTTGGACCTCTTTGAGGCCTTCGTTGGAAACGGGATTTCTTCATATAATGTTTGATAGGAGAAGTCTCAGTAACTTCTTTGTGCTGTGTGTATTCAACGCATAGAGTTGAACTTTCCTTTAGAAGAGCAGATGTTAAACACCCTTTTTGTGGAATTTGCAGCTGGAGATTTCAAGCGCTTTGAGGCCTACGGTAGAAAAGGAAACATCTTCTTATAAAATCTAGACAGAATCATTCACAGAAACTTCTTTTTGATGTGTGTGTTCAGCTCACAGAGTTTAACCTTTCTTTTGATGGAGCAGTTTGGAAACACTCTCTTTGTAATTTGTGCAAGTGGATATTTGGACCTCTTTGAGGCCTTCTTTGGAAATGGGATTTCTTCAAGTAATTTTCGACAGAAGAATTCTCAGTAACTTATTTGTGGTGTGTGTATTCAACTCACAGAGTTGAACCTTCCTTTAGACAGAGCAGATTTGAAACACCCTATTTGTGCAGTTTCCAGTTGGAGATTTCAATCGCTTTGAGACCAAATGTAGAAAAGGAAACATCTTCGTATAAAAACTAGACAGAATCATTCTCAGAAACTACTTTGTGATGTGTGCGTTCAACTCAAGGAGTTTAAGCTTTCTTTTCATAGAGTAGTTTGGAAACACTCTGTCTGTAAAGTCTGCAAGCAGATATTTGGACCTCTTTGGGGCCTTCGTTGGAAACGGGATTTCTTCATAGAACGCTAGAAAGAAGAATACTGAGTAAGTTCTTTGTGTTGCCTCTATTCAACTCACAGAGGTGAACTGTCCTTTAGACAGAGCAGATGTGAAACCCTCTTTTTGTGATATTTGCAGGTGGAGATTTCAAGCGCTTTTAGGCCAAATGTAGAAAAGGAAATATCTTCGTATAAAAACTAGACAGAATCATTCTCAGAAACTACTTTGTGATGTGTGCGTTCAATTCACAGAGTATAACCTTTCTTTTGATGGAGGAGTTTGGAGACACTGTCTTTGTAAAGTCTGCAAGTGGATATTTGGATCTCTTTGAGGCCTTCGTTGGAAACGGGATTTCTTCATATAATGTTACACAGAAGAATTCTCATTAACTTATTTGTGATGTGTGTATTCAACTCACAGAGTTGAACCTTCCTTCAGAAAGAGCAGATTTGAAACACTCTTTTTGTGGAGTTTCCATGTGGAGATTTCAATCGCTTTGAGACCAAAGGTAGAAAAGGAAACATCTTCGTATAAAAACTAGACAGAATCATTCACAGAAACTACTTTGTGATGTGTGTGTTCAACTCAAGGAGTTTAACCTTTCTTTTGATGGAGCAGTTTGGAAACACTCTGTCTGTAAAGTCTGCAAGCGGATATTTGGACCTCTTTGGGGCCTTCGTTGGAAACGGGATTTCTTCATAGAACGCTAGAAAGAAGAATACTGAGTAAGTTCTTTGTGTTGCCTCTATTCAACTCACAGAGGTGAACTGTCCTTTAGACAGAGCAGATGTGAAACCCTCTTTTTGTGATATTTGCAGGTGGAGATTTCAAGCGCTTTTAGGCCAAATGTAGAAAAGGAAATATCTTCGTATAAAAACTAGACAGAATCATTCTCAGAAACTACTTTGTGATGTGTGCGTTCAATTCACAGAGTATAACCTTTCTTTTGATGGAGGAGTTTGGAGACACTGTCTTTGTAAAGTCTGCAAGTGGATATTTGGACCTCTTTGAGGCCTTCGTTGGAAACGGGATTTCCTCATATAATGTTACACAGAAGAATTCTCAGTAACTTATTTGTGGTGTGTGTATTCAACTCACAGAGTTGAAGCTTCCTTCAGAAAGAGCAGATTTGAAACACTCTTTTTGTGGAGTTTCCATGTGGAGATTTCAATCGCTTTGAGACCAAAGGTAGAAAAGGAAACATCTTCGTATAAAAACTAGACAGAATCATTCACAGAAACTACTTTGTGATGTGTGTGTTCAACTCAAGGAGTTTAACCTTTCTTTTGATGGAGCAGTTTGGAAACACACTGTCTGTAAAGTCTGCAAACAGATATTTGGACCTCTTTGAGGCCTTCATTGGAAACGGGATTTCTTCATATAATGTTTGATAGGAGAAGTCTCAGTAACTTCTTTGTGCTGTGTGTATTCAACTCATAGAGTTGAACTTTCCTTTAGAAGAGCAGATGTTAAACACCCTTTTTGTGGAATTTGCAGCTGGAGATTTCAAGCGCTTTGAGGCCTACGGTAGAAAAGGAAACATCTTCTTATAAAATCTAGACAGAATCATTCACAGAAACTTCTTTTTGATGTGTGTGTTCAGCTCACAGAGTTTAACCTTTCTTTTGATGGAGCAGTTTGGAAACACTCTGTTTGTAATGTCTGCAAGTGGATATTTGGACCTCTTTGAGGCCTTCGTTGGAAACGGGATTTCTTCATGTAATGTTCGACAGAAGAATTCTCAGTAACTTATTTGTGGTGTGTGTATTCAACTCAAAGAGTTGAACCTTCCTTTAGACAGAGCAGATTTGAAACACCCTATTTGTGCAGTTTCCAGTTGGAGATTTCAATCGCTTTGAGACCAAATGTAGAAAAGGAAACATCTTCGTATAAAAACTAGACAGAATCATTCTCAGAAACTACTTTGTGATGTGTGCGTTCAACTCAAGGAGTTTAAGCTTTCTTTTCATAGAGTAGTTTGGAAACACTCTGTCTGTAAAGTCTGCAAGCAGATATTTGGACCTCATTGGGGTCTTCGTTGGAAACCGGATTTCTTCATAGAACGCTAGAAAGAAGAATACTGAGTACGTTCTTTGTGTTGCCTCTATTCAACTCACAGAGGTGAACTGTCCTTTAGACAGAGCAGATGTGAAACCCTCTTTTTGTGATATTTGCAGGTGGAGATTTCAAGCGCTTTTAGGCCAAATGTAGAAAAGGAAATATCTTCGTATAAAAACTAGACAGAATCATTCTCAGAAACTACTTTGTGATGTGTGCGTTCAATTCACAGAGTATAACCTTTCTTTTGATGGAGGAGTTTGGAGACACTGTCTTTGTAAAGTCTGCAAGTGGATATTTGGACCTCTTTGAGGCCTTCGTTGGAAACGGGATTTCCTCATATAATTTTACACAGAAGAATTCCCAGTAACTTATTTGTGGTGCGTGTATTCAACTCACAGAGTTGAACCTTCCTTCAGAAACAGCAGATTTGAAACACTCTTTTTGTGGAGTTTCCATGTGGAGATTTCAATCGCTTTGAGACCAAAGCTAGAAAAGGAAACATCTTCGTATAAAAACTAGACAGAATCATTCACAGAAACTACTTTGTGATGTGTGTGTTCAACTCAAGGAGTTTAACCTTTCTTTTGATGGAGCAGTTTGGAAAAACTCTGTCTTTAAAGTCTGCTAGCAGATATTTGGACCTCTTTGAGGCCTTCGTTGGAAACGGGATTTCTTCATATAATGTTTGATAGGAGAAGTCTCAGTAACTTCTTTGTGCTGTGTGTATTCAACTCATAGAGTTGAACTTTCCTTTAGAAGAGCAGATGTTAAACACCCTTTTTGTGGAATTTGCAGCTGGAGATTTCAAGCGCTTTGAGGCCTACGGTAGAAAAGGAAACATCTTCTTATAAAATCTAGACAGAATCATTCACAGAAACTTCTTTTTGATGTGTGTGTTCATCTCACAGAGTTTAACCTTTCTTCTGACGGAGCAGTTTGCAAACACTGTGTTTGCCATGTCGGCAAGTAGATATTTGGATCTCTTTGAGGCCTTCGTTGGAAACGGGATTTCTTCATGTAATGTTCGACAGAAGAATTCTCAGTAACTGATTTGTGGTGTGTGTATTCAACTCACAGAGTTGAACCTTCCTTTAGACAGAGCAGATTTGAAACACCCTGTTTGTGCAGTTTCCAGTTGGAGATTTCAATCGCTTTGAGGCCAATCGTAGAAACGGAAATATCTTCGTATAAAAACAAGACAGAATCATTCTCAGAAACTACTTAGTGATGTGTGCGTTCAACTCACGGAGTTTAAGCTTTCTTTTCATAGAGTAGTTTGGAAACACTCTGTCTGTAAAGTCTGCAAGCAGATATTTGGACCTCTTTGAGGCCTTCGTTGGAAACGGGATTTCTTCATAGAACGCTAGAAAGAAGAATACTCAGTAAATTCTTTGTGTTGAATCTATTCAACTCACAGAGGTGAACTGTCCTTTAGACAGAGCAGATGTGAAACCCTCTTTTTGTGATATTTGCAGGTGGAGATTTCAAGCGCTTTTTGGCCAAATGTAGAAAAGGAAATATCTTCGTATAAAAACTAGACAGAATCATTCTCAGAAACTACTTTGTGATGTGTGCCTTCATTTCACAGAGTATAACCTTTCTTTTGATGGAGGAGTTTGGAGACACTGTGTTTCTAAAGTCTGCAAGTGGATATTTGGACCTCTTTGAGGCCTTCGTTGGAAACGGGATTTCCTCATATAATATTACACAGAAGAATTCTCAGTAACTTATTTGTGGTGTGTGTATTCAACTCACAGAGTTGAACCTTCCTTCAGAAAGAGCAGATTTGAAACACTCTTTTTGTGGAGTTTCCATGTGGAGATTTCAATCGCTTTGAGACCAAAGGTAGAAAAGGAAACATCTTCGTATAAAAACTAGACAGAATCATTCACAAAAACTACTTTGTGATGTGTGTGTTCAACTCAAGGAGTTTGACCTTTCTTTTGATGGAGCAGTTTGGAAACACTCTGTCTGTAAAGTCTGCAAGCAGATATTTGGACCTTTTCGAGGCCTTCGTTGGAAACGGGATTTCTTCATATAATGTTTGATAGGAGAAGTCTCAGTAACTTCTTTGTGCTGTGTGTATTCAACTCATAGAGTTGAACTTTCCTTTAGAAGAGCAGATGTTAAACACCCTTTTTGTGGAATTTGCAGCTGGAGATTTCAAGCGCTTTGAGGCCTACGGTAGAAAAGGAAACATCTTCTTATAAAATCTAGACAGAATCATTCACAGAAACTTCTTTTTGATGTGTGTGTTCAGCTCACAGAGTTTAACCTTTCTTTTGATGGAGCAGTTTGGAAACACTCTGTTTGTAATGTCTGCAAGTGGATATTTGGACCTCTTTGAGGCCTTCGTTGGAAACGGGATTTCTTCATATAATGTTTGATAGGAGAAGTCTCAGTAACTTCTTTGTGCTGTGTGTATTCAACTCATAGAGTTGAACTTTCCTTTAGAAGAGCAGATGTTAAACACCCTTTTTGTGGAATTTGCAGCTGGAGATTTCAAGCGCTTTGAGGCCTACGGTAGAAAAGGAAACATCTTCTTATAAAATCTAGACAGAATCATTCACAGAAACTTCTTTTTGATGTGTGTGTTCAGCTCACAGAGTTTAACCTTTCTTTTGATGGAGCAGTTGGGAAACACACTGTTTGTAATGTCTGCAAGTGGATATTTGGACCTCTTTGAGGCCTTCGTTGGAAACGGGATTTCTTCCTGTAATGTTCGACAGAAGAATTCTCAGTAACTTATTTGTGGTGTGTGTATTCAACTCACAGAGTTCAACCTTCCTTTAGACAGAGCAGATTTGAAACAGCCTATTTGTGCAGTTTCCAGTTGGAGATTTCAATCGCTTTGAGACCAAATGTAGAAAAGGAAACATCTTCGTATAAAAACTAGACAGAATCATTCTGAGAAACTACTTTGTGATGTGTGCGTTCAACTCAAGGAGTTTAAGCTTTCTTTTCATAGAGTAGTTTGGAAACACTCTGTCTGTAAAGTCTGCAAGCAGATATTTGGACCTCTTTGGGGCCTTCGTTGGAAACGGGATTTCTTCATAGAACGCTAGAAAGAAGAATACTGAGTAAGTTCTTTGTGTTGCCTCTATTCAACTCACAGAGGTGAACTGTCCTTTAGACAGAGCAGATGTGAAACCCTCTTTTTGTGATATTTGCAGGTGGAGATTTCAAGCGCTTTTAGGCCAAATGTAGAAAAGGAAATATCTTCGTATAAAAACTAGACAGAATCATTCTCAGAAACTACTTTGTGATGTGTGCGTTCAATTCACAGAGTATAACCTTTCTTTTGATGGAGGAGTTTGGAGACACTGTCTTTGTAAAGTCTGCAAGTGGATATTTGGACCTCTTTGAGGCCTTCGTTGGAAACGGGATTTCCTCATATAATGTTACACAGAAGAATTCTCAGTAACTTATTTGTGGTGTGTGTATTCAACTCACAGAGATGAACCTTCCTTCAGAAAGAGCAGATTTGAAACACTCTTTTCGTGGAGTTTCCATGTGGAGATTTCAATCGCTTTGAGACCAAAGGTAGAAAAGGAAACATCTTCGTATAACAACTAGACAGAATCATTCACAGAAACTACTTTGTGATGTGTGTGTTCAACTCAAGGAGTTTAACCTTTCTTTTGATGGAGCAGTTTGGAAACACTCTGTCTGTAAAGTCTGCAAGCAGATATTTGGACCTCTTTGAGGCCTTCGTTGGAAACGGGATTTCTTCATATAATGTTTGATAGGAGAAGTCTCAGTAACTTCTTTGTGCTGTGTGTATTCAACTCATAGAGTTGAACTTTCCTTTAGAAGAGCAGATGTTAAACACCCTTTTTGTGGAATTTGCAGCTGGAGATTTCAAGCGCTTTGAGGCCTACGGTAGAAAAGGAAACATCTTCTTATAAAATCTAGACAGAATCATTCACAGAAACTTCTTTTCGATGTGTGTGTTCAGCTCACAGAGTTTAACCTTTCTTTTGATGGAGCAGTTTGGAAACACTCTGTTTGTAATGTCTGCAAGTGGATATTTGGACCTCTTTGAGGCCTTCGTTGGAAACGGGATTTCTTCAAGTAATGGTCGACAGAAGAATTCTCAGTAACTTATTTGTGGTGTGTGTATTCAACTCACAGAGTTGAACCTTCCTTTAGACAGAGCAGATTTGAAACACCCTATTTGTGCAGTTTCCAGTTGGAGATTTCAATCGCTTTGAGACCAAATGTAGAAAAGGAAACATCTTCGTATAAAAACTAGACAGAATCATTCCCAGAAACTACTTTGTGATGTGTGCGTTCAACTCAAGGAGTTTAAGCTTTCTTTTCATAGAGTAGTTTGGAAACACTCTGTCTCTAAAGTCTGCAAGCAGATATTTGGACCTCTTTGGGGCCCTTCGTTGGAAACGGGATTTCTTCATAGAACGCTAGAAAGAAGAATACTGAGTAAGTTCTTTGTGTTGCCTCTATTCAACTCAGAGAGGTGAACTGTCCTTTAGACAGAGCAGATGTGAAACCCTCTTTTTCTGATATTTGCAGGTGGAGATTTCAAGCGCTTTTAGGCCAAATGTAGAAAAGGAAATATCTTCGTATAAAAACTAGACAGAATCATTCTCAGAAACTACTTTGTGATGTGTGCGTTCAATTCACAGAGTATAACCTTTCTTTTGATGGAGGAGTTTGGAGACACTGTCTTTCTAAAGTCTGCAAGTGGATATTTGGAACTCTTTGAGGCCTTCGTTGGAAACGGGATTTCCTCATATATGTTACACAGAAGAATTCTAAGTAACTTATTTGTGGTGTGTGTATTCAACTCACAGAGTTGAACCTTCCTTCAGAAAGAGCAGATTTGAAACACTCTTTTTGTGGAGTTTCCATGTGGAGATTTCAATCGCTTTGAGACCAAAGGTAGAAAAGGAAACATCTTCTTATAAAAACTAGACAGAATCATTCACAGAAACTACATTGTGATGTGTGTGTTCAACTCAAGGAGTTTAACCTTTCTTTTGATGGAGCAGTTTGGAAAAACTCTGTCTTTAAAGTCTGCAAGCAGATATTTGGACCTCTTTGAGGCCTTCGTTGGAAACGGGATTTCTTCATATAATGTTTGATAGGAGAAGTCTCAGTAACTTCTTTGTGCTGTGTGTATTCAACTCATTGAGTTGAACTTTCCTTTAGAAGAGCAGATGTTAAACACCCTTTTTGTGGAATTTGCAGCTGGAGATTTCAAGCGCTTTGAGGCCTACGGTAGAAAAGGAAACATCTTCTTATAAAATCTAGACAGAATCATTCACAGAAACTTCTTTTTGATGTGTGTGTTCAGCTCACAGAGTTTAACCTTTCTTTTGATGGAGCAGTTTGGAAACACTCTGTTTGTAATGTCTGCAAGTGGATATTTGGACCTCTTTGAGGCCTTCTTTGGAAACGGGATTTCTTCAAGTAATGTTCGACAGAAGAATTCTCAGTAACTTATTTGTGGTGTGTGTATTCAACTCACAGAGTTGAACCTTCCTTTAGACAGAGCAGATTTGAAACACCCTATTTGTGCAGTTTCCAGTTGGAGATTTCAATCGCTTTGAGACCAAATGTAGAAAAGGAAACATCTTCGTATAAAAACTAGACAGAATCATTCTCAGAAACTACTTTGTGATGTGTGCGTTCAACTCAAGGAGTTTAAGCTTTCTTTTCATAGAGTAGTTTGGAAACACTCTGTCTGTAAAGTCTGCAAGCAGATATTTGGACCTCTTTGTGGCCTTCGTTGGAAACGGGATTTCTTCATAGAACGCTAGAAAGAAGAATACTGAGTAAGTTCTTCGTGTTGCCTCTATTCAACTCACAGAAGTGAACTGTCCTTTAGACAGAGCAGATGTGAAATCCTCTTTTTGTGATATTTGCACGTGGAGATTTCAAGCGCTTTTAGGCCAAATGTAGAAAACGAAATATCTTCGTATAAAAACTAGACAGAATCATTCTCAGAAACTACTTTGTGATGTGTGCGTTCAATTCACAGAGTATAACCTTTCTTTTGATGGAGGAGTTTGGAGACACTGTCTTTGTAAAGTCTGCAAGCAGATATTTGGACCTCTCTGAGGCCATCGTTGGAAATGGGATTTCTTCATATAATGTTTGATAGGAGAAGTCTCAGTAACTTCTTTGTGCTGTGTGTATTCAACTCATAGAGTTGAACTTTCCTTTAGAAGAGCAGATGTTAAACACCCTTTTTGTGGAATTTGCAGCTGGAGATTTCAAGCGCTTTGAGGCCTACGGTAGAAAAGGAAACATCTTCTTATAAAATCTAGACAGAATCATTCACAGAAACTTCTTTTTGATGTGTGTGTTCAGCTCACAGAGTTTAACCTTTCTTTTGATGGAGCAGTTTGGAAACACTCTGTTGTAATGTCTGCAAGTGGATATTTGGACCTCTTTGAGGCCTTCGTTGCAAACGGGATTTCTTCAAGTAATGTTCGACAGAAGAATTCTCTGTAACTTATTTGTGGTGTGTGTATTCAACTCACAGAGTTGAACCTTCCTTTAGACAGAGCAGATTTGAAACACCCTATTTGTGCAGTTTCCAGTTGGAGATTTCAATCGCTTTGAGACCAAAAGTAGAAAAGGAAACATCTTCGTATAAAAACTAGACAGAATCATTCTCAGAAACTACTTTGTGATGTGTGCGTTCAACTCAAGGAGTTTAAGCTTTCTTTTCATAGAGTAGTTTGGAAACACTCTGTCTGTAAAGTCTGCAAGCAGATATTTGGACCTCATTGGGGCCTTAGTTGGAAACGGGATTTCTTCATTGAACGCTAGAAAGAAGAATACTGAGTAAGTTCTTTGTGTTGCCTCTATTCAACTCACAGAGGTGAACTGTCCTTTAGACAGAGCAGATGTGAAACCCTCTTTTTGTGATATTTGCAGGTGGAGATTTCAAGCGCTTTTAGGTCAAATGTAGAAAAGGAAATATCTTCGTATAAAAACTAGACAGAATCATTCTCAGAAACTACTTTGTGATGTGTGCGTTCAATTCACAGAGTATAACCTTTCTTTTGATGGAGGAGTTTGGAGACACTGTCTTTGTAAAGTCTGCAGGTGGATATTTGGACCTCTTTGAGGCCTTCGTTGGAAACGGGATTTCCTCATATAATTTTACACAGAAGAATTCTCAGTAACTTATTTGTGGTGTGTGTATTCAACTCACAGAGTTGAACCTTCCTTCAGAAAGAGCAGATTTGAAACACTCTTTTTGTGGAGTTTCCATGTGGAGATTTCAATCGCTTTGAGACCAAAGGTAGAAAAGGAAACATCTTCGTATAAAAACTAGACAGAATCAATCACAGAAACTGCTTTGTGATGTGTGTGTTCAACTCAAGGAGTTTAACATTTCTTTTGATGGAGCAGTTTGGAAAAACTCTGTCTGTAAAGTCTGCAAGCAGATATTTGGACCTCTTTAAGGCCTTCGTTGGAAACGGGATTTCTTCATATAATGTTTGATAGGAGAAGTCTCAGTAACTTCTTTGTGCTGTGTGTATTCAACTCATAGAGTTGAACTTTCCTTTAGAAGAGCAGATGTTAAACACCCTTTTTGTGGAATTTGCAGCTGGAGATTTCAAGCGCTTTGAGGCCTACGGTAGAAAAGGAAACATCTTCTTATAAAATCTAGACAGAATCATTCACAGAAACTTCTTTTTGATGTGTGTGTTCAGCTCACAGAGTTTAACCTTTCTTTTGATGGAGCAGTTTGGAAACACTCTGTTTGTAATGTCTGCAAGTGGATATTTGGACCTCTTTGAGGCCTTCTTTGGAAACGGGATTTCTTCAAGTAATGTTCGACAGAAGAATTCTCAGTAACTTATTTGTGGTGTGTGTATTCAACTCACAGAGTTGAACCTTCCTTTAGACAGAGCAGATTTGAAACACCCTATTTGTGCAGTTTCCAGTTGGAGATTTCAATCGCTTTGAGACCAAATGTAGAAAAGGAAACATCTTCGTATAAAAACTAGACAGAATCATTCTCAGAAACTACTTTGTGATGTGTGCGTTCAACTCAAGGAGTTTAAGCTTTCTTTTCATAGAGTAGTTTGGAAACACTCTGTCTGTAAAGTCTGCAAGCAGATATTTGACCTCTTTGAGGCCTTCGTTGGAAACGGGATTTCTTCATAGAACGCTAGAAAGAAGAATACTGAGTAAGTTCTTTGTGTTGCCTCTATTCAACTCACAGAGGTGAACTGTCCTTTAGACAGAGCAGATGTGAAACCCTCTTTTTGTGATATTTGCAGGTGGAGATTTCAAGCGCTTTTAGGCCAAATGTAGAAAAGGAAATATCTTCGTATAAAAACTAGACAGAATCATTCTCAGAAACAACTTTGTGATGTGTGCGTTCAATTCACAGAGTATAACCTTTCTTTTGATGGAGGAGTTTGGAGACACTGTCTTTGTAAAGTCTGCAAGTGGATATTTGGACCTCTTTGAGGCCTTCGTTGGAAACGGGATTTCCTCATATAATGTTACACAGAAGAATTCTCAGTAACTTATTTGTGGTGTGTGTATTCAACTCACAGAGATGAACCTTCCTTCAGAAAGAGCAGATTTGAAACACTCTTTTTGTGGAGTTTCCATGTGGAGATTTCAATCGCTTTGAGACCAAAGGTAGAAAAGGAAACATCTTCGTATAACAACTAGACAGAATCATTCACAGAAACTACTTTGTGATGTGTGTGTTCAACTCAAGGAGTTTAACCTTTCTTTTGATGGAGCAGTTTGGAAACACTCTGTCTGTAAAGTCTGCAAGTAGATATTTGGACCTCTTTGAGGCCTTCGTTGGAAACGGGATTTCTTCATATAATGTTTGATAGGAGAAGTCTCAGAAACTTCTTTGTGCTGTGTGTATTCAACTCATAGAGTTGAACTTTCCTTTAGAAGAGCAGATGTTAAACACCCTTTTTGTGGAATTTGCAGCTGGAGATTTCAAGCGCTTTGAGGCCTACGGTAGAAAAGGAAACATCTTCTTATAAAATCTAGACAGAATCATTCACAGAAACTTCTTTTTGATGTGTGTGTTCAGCTCACAGAGTTTAACCTTTCCTTTGATGGAGCAGTTTGGAAACACTCTGTCTGTAATGTCTGCAAGTGGATATTTGGACCTCTTTGAGGCCTTCGTTGGAAACGGGATTTCTTCATGTAATGTTCAACAGAAGAATTCTCAGTAACTTATTTGTGGTGTGTGTATTCAACTCACAGAGTTGAACCTTCCTTTAGACAGAGCAGATTTGAAACACCCTATTTGTGCAGTTTCCAGTTGGAGATTTCAATCGCTTTGAGACCAAATGTAGAAAAGGAAACATCTTCGTATAAAAACTAGACAGAATCATTCTCAGAAACTACTTTGTGATGTGTGCGTTCAACTCAAGGAGTTTAAGCTTTCTTTTCATAGAGTAGTTTGGAAACACTCTGTCTGTAAAGTCTGCAAGCAGATATTTGGACCTCTTTGAGGCCTTCGTTGGAAACGGGATTTCTTCATAGAACGCTAGAAAGAAGAATACTGAGTAAGTTCTTTGTGTTGCCTCTATTCAACTCACAGAGGTGAACTGTCCTTTAGACAGAGCAGATGTGAAACCCTCTATTTGTGATATTTGCACGTGGAGATTTCAAGCGCTTTTAGGCCAAATGTAGAAAAGGAAATATCTTCGTATAAAAACTAGACAGAATCATTCTCAGAAACTACTTTGTGATGTGTGCGTTCAATTCACAGAGTATAACCTTTCTTTTGATGGAGGAGTTTGGAGACACTGTCTTTGTAAAGTCTGCAAGTGGATATTTGGACCTCTTTGAGGCCTTCGTTGGAAACGGGATTTCCTCATATAATGTTACACAGAAGAATTCTCAGTAACTTATTTGTGGTGTGTGTATTCAACTCACAGAGTTGAACCTTCCTTCAGAAAGAGCAGATTTGAAACACTCTTTTTCTGGAGTTTCCATGTGGAGATTTCAATCGCATTGAGACCAAAGGTAGAAAAGGAAACATCTTCGTATAAAAACTAGACAGAATCATTCACAGAAACTACTTTGTGATGTGTGTGTTCAACTCAAGGAGGTTAACCTTCCTTTTGATGGAGCAGTTTGGAAACACTCTGTCTGTAAAGTCTGCAAGCAGATATTTGGACCTCTTTGAGGCCTTCGTTGGAAACGGGATTTCTTCATATAATGTTTGATAGGAGAAGTCTCAGTAACTTCTTTGTGCTGTGTGTATTCAACTCATAGAGTTGAACTTTCCTTTAGAAGAGCAGATGTTAAACACCCTTTTTGTGGAATTTGCAGCTGGAGATTTCAAGCGCTTTGAGGCCTACGGTAGAAAAGGAAACATCTTCTTATAAAATCTAGACAGAATCATTCACAGAAACTTCTTTTTCATGTGTGTGTTCAGCTCACAGAGTTTAATCTTTCTTTTGATGGAACAGTTTGGAAACACTCTGTTTGTAATGTCTGCAAGTGGATATTTGGACCTCTTTGAGGCCTTCGTTGGAAACGGGATTTCTTCATATAATGTTTGATAGGAGAATTCTCAGTAACTTATTTGTGGTGTGTGTATTCAACTCACAGAGTTGAACCTTCCTTTAGACAGAGCAGATTTGAAACACCCTATTTGTGCAGTTTCCAGTTGGAGATTTCAATCGCTTTGAGACCAAATGTAGAAAAGGAAACATCTTCGTATAAAAACTAGACAGAATCATTCTCAGAAACTACTTTGTGATGTGTGCGTTCAACTCAAGGAGTTTAAGCTTTCTTTTCATAGAGTAGTTTGGAAACACTCTGTCTGTAAAGTCTGCAAGCAGATATTTGGACCTCTTTGGGGCCTTCGTTGGAAACGGGATTTCTTCATAGAACGCTAGAAAGAAGAATACTGAGTAAGTTCTTTGTGTTGCCTCTATTCAACTCACAGAGGTGAACTGTCCTTTAGACAGAGCAGATGTGAAACCCTCTTTTTGTGATATTTGCAGGTGGAGATTTCAAGCGCTTTTAGGCCAAATGTAGAAAAGGAAATATCTTCGTATAAAAACTAGACAGAATCATTCTCAGAAACTACTTTGTGATGTGTGCGTTCAATTCACAGAGTATAACCTTTCTTTTGATGGAGGAGTTTGGAGACACTGTCTTTGTAAAGTCTGCAAGTGGATATTTGGACCTCTTTAAGGCCTTCGTTGGAAACGGGATTTCCTCATATAATGTTACACAGAAGAATTCTCAGTAGCTTATTTGTGGTGTGTGTATTCAACTCACAGAGATGAACCTTCCTTCAGAAAGAGCAGATTTGAAACACTCTTTTTGTGGAGTTTCCATGTGGAGATTTCAATCGCTTTGAGACCAAAGTTAGAAAAGGAAACATCTTCGTATAACAACTAGACAGATAATCATTCACAGAAACTACTTTGTGATGTGTGTGTTCAACTCAAGGAGTTTAACCTTTCTTTTGATGGAGCAGTTTGGAAAAACTCTGTCTGTAAAGTCTGCAAGCAGATATTTGGACCTCTTTGAGGCCTTCGTTGGAAACGGGATTTCTTCATATAATGTTTGATAGGAGAAGTCTCAGTAACTTCTTTGTGCTGTGTGTATTCAACTCATAGAGTTGAACTTTCCTTTAGAAGAGCAGATGTTAAACACCCTTTTTGTGGAATTTGCAGCTGGAGATTTCAAGCGCTTTGAGGCCTACGGTAGAAAAGGAAACATCTTCTTATAAAATCTAGACAGAATCATTCACAGAAACTTCTTTTTGATGTGTGTGTTCAGCTCACAGAGTTTAACCTTTCTTTTGATGGAGCAGTTTTGGAAACACTCTGTTTGTAATGTCTGCAAGTGGATATTTGGACCTCTTTGAGGCCTTCGTTGGAAACGGGATTTCTTCAAGTAATGTTCGACGGAAGAATTCTCAGTAACTTATTTGTGGTGTGAGTATTCAACTCACAGATTTGAACCTTCCTTTAGACAGAGCAGATATGAAACACCCTATTTGTGCAGTTTCCGGTTGGAGATTTCAATCGCTTTGAGACCAAATGTAGAAAAGGAAACATCTTCGTATAAAAACTAGACAGAATCATTCTCAGAAACTACTTTGTGATGTGTGCGTTCAACTCAAGGAGTTTAAGCTTTCTTTTCATAGAGTAGTTTGGAAACACTCTGTCTGTAAAGTCTGCAAGCAGATATTTGGACCTCTTTGGGGCCTTCGTTGGAAGCGGGATTTCTTCATAGAACGCTAGAAAGAAGAATACTGAGTAAGTTCTTTGTGTTGCCTCTATTCAACTCACAGAGGTGAACTGTCCTTTAGACAGAGCAGATGTGAAACCCTCTTTTTGTGATATTTGCAGGTGGAGATTTCAAGCGCTTTTAGGCCAAATGTAGAAAAGGAAATATCTTCGTATAAAAACTAGACAGAATCATTCTCAGAAACTACTTTGTGATGTGTGCGTTCAATTCACAGAGTATAACCTTTCTTTTGATGGAGGAGTTTGGAGACACTGTCTTTGTAAAGTCTGCAAGTGGATATTTGGACCTCTTTGAGGCCTTCGTTGGAAACGGGATTTCCTCATATAATGTTACACACAAGAATTCTCAGTAACTTATTTGTGGTGTGTGTATTCAACTCACAGAGTTGAACCTTCCTTCAGAAAGAGCAGATTTGAAACACTCTTTTTGTGGAGTTTCCATGTGGAGATTTCAATCGCTTTGAGACCAAAGGTAGAAAAGGAAACATCTTCGTATAAAAACTAGACAGAATCATTCACAGAAACTACTTTGTGATGTGTGTGTTCAACTCAAGGAGTTTAACCTTTCTTTTGATGGAGCAGTTTGGAAACATTCTGTCTGTAAAGTCTGCAAGCAGATATTTGGACCTCTTTGAGGCCTTCGTTGGAAACGGGATTTCTTCATATAATGTTTGATAGGAGAAGTCTCAGTAACTTCTTTGTGCTGTGTGTATTCAACTCATAGAGTTGAACTTTCCTTTAGAAGAGCAGATGTTAAACACCCTTTTTGTGGAATTTGCAGCTGGAGATTTCAAGCGCTTTGAGGCCTACGGTAGAAAAGGAAACATCTTCTTATAAAATCTAGACAGAATCATTCACAGAAACTTCTTTTTGATGTGTGTGTTCAGCTCACAGAGTTTAACCTTTCTTTTGATGGAGCAGTTTGGAAACACTCTGTTTGTAATGTCTGCAAGTGGATATTTGGACCTCTTTGAGGCCTTCGTTGGAAACGGGATTTCTTCATGTAATGTTTGACAGAAGAATTCTCAGTAACTTATTTTTGGTGTGTGTATTCAACTCACAGATTTGAACCTTCCTTTAGACAGAGCAGATTTGAAACACCCTATTTGTGCAGTTTCCAGTTGGAGATTTCAATGGCTTTGAGGCCAATCATAGAAACGGAAATATCTTCGTATAAAAACAAGACAGAATCATTCTCAGAAACTCTTTGTGATGTGTGCGTTCAACTCAAGGAGTTTAAGCTTTCTTTTCATAGAGTAGTTTGGAAACACTCTGTCTGTAAAGTGTGCAAGCAGATATTTGGACCTCTTTGGGGCCTTCGTTGGAAACGGGATTTCTTCATAGAACGCTAGAAAGAAGAATACTGAGTAAGTTCTTTGTGTTGCCTCTATTCAACTCACAGAGGTGAACTGTCCTTTAGACAGAGCAGATGTGAAACCCTCTTTTTGTGATATTTGCAGGTGGAGATTTCAAGCACTTTTAGGCCAAATGTAGAAAAGGAAATATCTTCGTATAAAAACTAGACAGAAATCATTCTCAGAAACTACTTTCTGATGTGTGCGTTCATTTCACAGAGTATAACCTTTCTTTTGATGGAGGAGTTTGGAGACACTGTGTTTCTAAAGTCTGCAAGTGGATATTTGGACCTCTTTGAGGCCTTCGTTGGAAACGGGATTTCCTCATATAATGTTACACAGAAGAATTCTCAGTAACTTATTTGTGGTGTGTTTATTCAACTCACAGAGGTGAACCTTCCTTCAGAAAGAGCAGATTTGAAACCCTCTTTTTGTGGAGTTTCCATGTGGAGATTTCAATCGCTTTGAGACCAAAGGTAGAAAAGGAAACATCTTCGTATAAAAACTAGACAGAATCATTCACAGAAACTACTTTGTGATGTGTGTGTTCAACTCAAGGAGTTTAACCTTTCTTTTGATGGAGCAGTTTGGAAAAACTCTGTCTGTAAAGTCTGCAAGCAGATATTTGGACCTCTTTGAGGCCTTCGTTGGAAACGGGATTTCTTCATAGAATGCTAGAAAGAAGAAGTCTCAGTAACTTCTTTGTGCTGTGTGTATTCAACTCATAGAGTTGAACTTTCCTTTAGAAGAGCAGATGTTAAACACCCTTTTTGTGGAATTTGCAGCTGGAGATTTCAAGCGCTTTGAGGCCTACGGTAGAAAAGGAAACATCTTCTTATAAAATCTAGACAGAATCATTCACAGAAACTTCTTTTTGATGTGTGTGTTCAGCTCACAGAGTTTAACCTTTCTTTTGATGGAGCAGTTTGGAAACACTCTGTTTGTAATGTCTGCAAGTGGATATTTGGACCTCTTTGAGGCCTTCTTTGGAAACGGGATTTCTTCATGTAATGTTTGACAGAAGAATTCTCAGTAACTTATTTTTGGTGTGTGTATTCAACTCACAGAGTTGAACCTTCCTTTAGACAGAGCAGATTTGAAACACCCTATTTGTGCAGTTTCCAGTTGGAGATTTCAATGGCTTTGAGGCCAATCATAGAAACGGAAATATCTTCGTATAAAAACAAGACAGAATCATTCTCAGAAACTACTTTGTGATGTGTGCGTTCAACTCAAGGAGTTTAAGCTTTCTTTTCATAGAGTAGTTTGGAAACACTCTGTCTGTAAAGTCTGCAAGCAGATATTTGGACCTCTTTGAGGCCTTCGTTGGAAACGGGATTTCTTCATTTAACGCTAGAAAGAAGAATACTGAGTAAGTTCTTTGTGTTGCCTCTATTCAACTCACAGAGGTGAACTGTCCTTTAGACAGAGCAGATGTGAAACCCTCTTTTTGTGATATTTGCAGGTGGAGATTTCAAGCGCTTTTAGGCCCAATGTAGAAAAGGAAATATCTTCGTATAAAAACTAGACAGAATCATTCTCAGAAACTACTTTGTGATGTGTGCGTTCAATTCACAGAGTATAACCTTTCTTTTGATGGAGGAGTTTGGAGACACTGTCTTTGTAAAGTCTGCAAGTGGATATTTGGACCTCTTTGAGGCCTTGGTTGGAAACGGGATTTCCTCATATAATGTTACACAGAAGAATTCTCAGTAACTTATTTGTGGTGTGTGTATTCAACTCACAGAGTTGAACCTTCCTTCAGAAAGAGCAGATTTGAAACACTCTTTTTGTGGAGTTTCCATGTGGAGATTTCAATCGCTTTGAGACCAAAGGTAGAAAAGGAAACATCTTCGTATAAAAACTAGACAGAATCATTCACAGAAACTACTTTGTGATGTGTGTGTTCAACTCACAGAGTTTAACCTTTCTTTTGATGGAGCAGTTTGGAAACACTCTGTTTGTCACGTCTGCAAGTGGATATTTGGACCTCTTTGAGGCCTTCGTTGGAAACGGGATTTCTTCATATAATGTTTGATAGGAGAAGTCTCAGTAACTTCTTTGTGCTGTGTGTATTCAACTCATAGAGTTGAACTTTCCTTTAGAAGAGCAGATGTTAAACACCCTTTTTGTGGAATTTGCAGCTGGAGATTTCAAGCGCTTTGAGGCCTACGGTAGAAAAGGAAACATCTTCTTATAAAATCTAGACAGAATCATTCACAGAAACTTCTTTTTGATGTGTGTGTTCAGCTCACAGAGTTTAACCTTTCTTTTGATGGAGCAGTTTGGAAACACTCTGTTTGTAATGTCTGCAAGTGGATATTTGGACGTCTTTGAGGCCTTCGTTGGAAACGGGATTTCTTCATGTAATGTTCGACAGAAGAATTCTCAGTAACTTATTTGTGGTGTGTGTATTCAACTCACAGAGTTGAACCTTCCTTCAGAAAGAGCAGATTTGAAACACCCTATTTGTGCAGTTTCCAGTTAGAGATTTCAATCGCTTTGAGACCAAATGTAGAAAAGGAAACATACTTCGTATAAAAACTAGACAGAATCATTCTCAGAAACTACTTTGTGATGTGTGCATTCAACTCAAGGAGTTTAAGCTTTCTTTTCATAGAGTAGTTTGGAAACACTCTGTCTGTAAAGTCTGCAAGCAGATATTTGGACCTCTTTGAGGCCTTCGTTGGAAAAGGGATTTCTTCATAGAACGGTAGAAAGAAGAATACTGAGTAAGTTCTTTGTGTTGCCTCTATTCAACTCACAGAGGTGAACTGTCCTTTAGACAGAGCAGATGTGAAACCCTCTTTTTGGGATATTTGCAGGTGGAGATTTCAAGCGCTTTTAGGCCAAATGTAGAAAAGGAAATATCTTCGTATAAAAACTAGACAGAATCATTCTCAGAAACTACTTTGTGATGTGTGCGTTCAATTCACAGAGTATAACCTTTCTTTTGATGGAGGAGTTTGGAGACACTGTCTTTGTAAAGTCTGCAAGTGGATATTTGGACCTCTTTGAGGCCTTCGTTGGAAACGGGATTTCCTCATATAATGTTACACAGAAGAATTCTCAGTAACTTATTTGTGGTGTGTGTATTCAACTCACAGAGATGAAACTTCCTTCAGAAAGAGCAGATTTGAAACACTCTTTTTGTGGAGTTTCCATGTGGAGATTTCAATCGCTTTGAGACCAAAGGTAGAAAAGGAAACATCTTCGTATAACAACTAGACAGAATCATTCACAGAAACTACTTTGTGATGTGTGTGTTCAACTCAAGGAGTTTAACCTTTCTTTTGATGGAGCAGTTTGGAAACACTCTGTCTGTAAAGTCTGCAAGCAGATATTTGGACCTCTTTGAGGCCTTCGTTGGAAACGGGATTTCTTCATATAATGTTTGATAGGAGAAGTCTCAGTAACTTCTTTGTGCTGTGTGTATTCAACTCATAGAGTTGAACTTTCCTTTAGAAGAGCAGATGATAAACACCCTTTTTGTGGAATTTGCAGCTGGAGATTTCAAGCGCTTTGAGGCCTACGGTAGAAAAGGAAACATCTTCTTATAAAATCTAGACAGAATCATTCACAGAAACTTCTTTTTCATGTGTGTGTTCAGCTCACAGAGTTTAACCTTTCTTTTGATGGAGCAGTTTTGAAACACTCTGTTTGTAATGTCTGCAAGTGGATATTTTGACCTCTTTGAGGCCTTCTTTGGAAACGGTATTTCTTCAAGTAATGTTCGACAGAAGAATTCTCAGTAACTTATTTGTGGTGTGTGTATTCAACACACAGAGCTGAACCTTCCTTTAGACAGAGCAGATTTGAAACAGCCTATTTGTGCAGTTTCCAGTTGGAGATTTCAATCGCTTTGAGACCAAATGTAGAAAAGGAAACATCTTCGTATAAAAACTAGACAGAATCATTCTCAGAAACTACTTTGTGATGTGTGCGTTCAACTCAAGGAGTTTAAGCTTTCTTTTCATAGAGTAGTTTGGAAACACTCTGTCTGTAAAGTCTGCAAGCAGATATTTGACCTCTTTGAGGCCTTCGTTGAAAACGGGATTTCTTCATAGAACGCTAGAAAGAAGAATACTGAGTAAGTTCTTTGTGTTGCCTCTATTCAACTCACAGAGGTGAACTGTCCTTTAGACAGAGCAGATGTGAAACCCTCTTTTTGTGATATTTGCAGGTGGAGATTTCAAGCGCTTTTAGGCCAAATGTAGAAAAGGAAATATCTTCGTATAAAAACTAGACAGAATCATTCTCAGAAACTACTTTGTGATGTGTGCGTTCAATTCACAGAGTATAACCTTTCTTTTGATGGAGGAGTTTGGAGACACTGTCTTTGTAAAGTCTGCAAGTGGATATTTGGACCTCTTTGAGGCCTTCGTTGGAAACGGGATTTCCTCATATAATGTTACCCAGAAGAATTCTCAGTAACTTATTTGTGGTGTGTGTATTCAACTCACAGAGTTGAACCTTCCTTCAGAAAGAGCAGATTTGAAACACTCTTTTTGTGGAGTTTCCATGTGGAGATTTCAATCGCATTGAGACCAAAGGTAGAAAAGGAAACATCTTCGTATAAAAACTAGACAGAATCATTCACAGAAACTACTTTGTGATGTGTGTGTTCAACTCAAGGAGTTTAACCTTTCTTTTGATGGAGCAGTTTGGAAATACTCTGTCTGTAAAGTCTGCAAGCAGATATTTGGACCTCTTTGAGGCCTTCGTTGGAAACGGGATTTCTTCATATAATGTTTGATAGGAGAAGTCTCAGTAACTTCTTTGTGCTGTGTGTATTCAACTCATAGAGTTGAACTTTCCTTTAGAAGAGCAGATGATAAACACCCTTTTTGTGGAATTTGCAGCTGGAGATTTCAAGCGCTTTGAGGCCTACGGTAGAAAAGGAAACATCTTCTTATAAAATCTAGACAGAATCATTCACAGAAACTTCTTTTCGATGTGTGTGTTCAGCTCACAGAGTTTAACCTTTCTTTTGATGGAGCAGTTTGGAAACACTCTGTTTGTAATGTCTGCAAGTGGATATTTGGACCTCTTTGAGGCCTTCGTTGGAAACGGGATTTCATCAAGTAATGGTCGACAGAAGAATTCTCAGTAACTTATTTGTGGTGTGTGTATTCAACTCACAGAGTTGAACCTTCCTTTAGACAGAGCAGATTTGAAACACCCTATTTGTGCAGTTTCCAGTTGGAGATTTCAATCGCTTTGAGACCAAATGTAGAAAAGGAAACATCTTCGTATAAAAACTAGGCAGAATCATTCTCCGAAACTACTTTGTGATGTGTGCGTTCAACTCAAGGAGTTTAAGCTTTCTTTTCATAGAGTAGTTTGGAAACACTCTGTCTGTAAAGTCTGCAAGCAGATATTTGGACCTTCTTTGGGGCCTTCGTTGGAAACGGGATTTCTTCATAGAACGCTAGAAAGAAGAATACTGAGTAAGTTCTTTGTGTTGCCTCTATTCAACTCACAGAGGTGAACTGTCCTTTAGACAGAGCAGATGTGAAACCCTCTTTTTGTGATATTTGCACGTGGAGATTTCAAGCGCTTTTAGGCCAAATGTAGAAAAGGAAATATCTTCGTATAAAAACTAGACAGAATCATTCTCAGAAACTACTTTGTGATGTGTGCGTTCAATTCACAGAGTATAACCTTTCTTTTGATGGAGGAGTTTGGAGACACTGTCTTTGTAAAGTCTGCAAGTGGATATTTGGACCTCTTTGAGGCCTTCGTTGGAAACGGGATTTCCTCATATAATGTTACCCAGAAGAATTCTCAGTAACTTATTTGTGGTGTGTGTATTCAACTCACAGAGTTGAACCTTCCTTCAGAAAGAGCAGATTTGAAACACTCTTTTTGTGGAGTTTCCATGTGGAGATTTCAATCGCTTTGAGACCATAGGTAGAAAAGGAAACATCTTCGTATAAAAACTAGACAGAATCATTCACAGAAACTACTTTGTGATGTGTGTGTTCAACTCAAGGAGTTTAACCTTTCTTTTGATGGAGCAGTTTGGAAACACTCTGTCTGTAAAGTCTGCAAGTAGATATTTGGACCTCTTTGAGGCCTTCGTTGGAAACGGGATTTCTTCATATAATGTTTGATAGGAGAAGTCTCAGTAACTTCTTTGTGCTGTGTGTATTCAACTCATAGAGTTGAACTTTCCTTTAGAAGAGCAGATGTTAAACACCCTTTTTGTGGAATTTGCACCTAGAGATTTCAAGCGCTTTGAGGCCTACGGTAGAAAAGGAAACATCTTCTTATAAAATCTAGACAGAATCATTCACAGAAACTTCTTTTTGATGTGTGTGTTCAGCTCACAGAGTTTAACCTTTCTTTTGATGGAGTAGTTTGGAAACACTCTGTTTGTAATGTCTGCAAGTGGATATTTGGACCTGTTTGAGGCCTTCGTTGGAAACGGGATTTCTTCCTGTAATGTTCGACAGAAGAATTCTCAGTAACTTATTTGTGGTGTGTGTATTCAACTCACAGAGTTGAACCTTCCTTTAGACAGAGCAGATTTGAAACACCCTATTTGTGCAGTTTCCAGTTGGAGATTTCAATCGCTTTGAGACCAAATGTAGAAAAGGAAACATCTTCGTATAAAAACTAGACAGAATCATTCTCAGAAACTACTTTGTGATGTGTGCGTTCAACTCAAGGAGTTTAAGCTTTCTTTTCATAGAGTAGTTTGGAAACACTCTGTCTGTAAAGTCTGCAAGCAGATATTTGGACCTCATTGGGGCCTTCGTTGGAAACGGGATTTCTTCATAGAACGCTAGAAAGAAGAATACTGAGTAAGTTCTTTGTGTTGCCTCTATTCAACTCACAGAGGTGAACTGTCCTTTAGACAGAGCAGATGTGAAACCCTCTTTTTGTGATATTTGCAGGTGGAGATTTCAAGCGCTTTTAGGCCAAATGTAGAAAAGGAAATATCTTCGTATAAAAACTAGACAGAATCATTCTCAGAAACTACTTTGTGATGTGTGCGTTCAATTCACAGAGTATAACCTTTCTTTTGATGGAGGAGTTTGGAGACACTGTCTTTGTAAAGTCTGCAAGTGGATATTTGGACCTCTTTGAGGCCTTCGTTGGAAACGGGATTTCCTCATATAATGTTACCCAGAAGAATTCTCAGTAACTTATTTGTGGTGTGTGTATTCAACTCACAGAGTTGAACCTTCCTTCAGAAAGAGCAGATTTGAAACACTCTTTTTGTGGAGTTTCCATGTGGAGATTTCAATCGCATTGAGACCAAAGGTAGAAAAGGAAACATCTTCGTATAAAAACTAGACAGAATCATTCACAGAAACTACTTTGTGATGTGTGTGTTCAACTCAAGGAGTTTAACCTTTCTTTTGATGGAGCAGTTTGGAAACACTCTGTCTGTAAAGTCTGCAAGCAGATATTTGGACCTCTTTGAGGCCTTCGTTGGAAACGGGATTTCTTCATATAATGTTTGATAGGAGAAGTCTCAGTAACTTCTTTGTGCTGTGTGTATCCAACGCATAGAGTTGAACTTTCCTTTAAAAGAGCAGATGTTAAACACCCTTTTTGTGGAATTTGCAGCTGGAGATTTCAAGCGCTTTGAGGCCTACGGTAGAAAAGGAAACATCTTCTTATAAAATCTAGACAGAATCATTCACAGAAACTTCTTTTTGATGTGTGTGTTCAGCTCACAGAGTTTAACCTTTCTTTTGATGGAGCAGTTTGGAAACACTCTGTTTGTAATGTCTGCAAGTGGATATTTGGACCTCTTTGAGGCCTTCGTTGGAAACGGGATTTCTTCATGTAATGTTCGACAGAAGAATTCTCAGTAACTTATTTGTGGTGTGTGTATTCAACTCACAGAGTTGAACCTTCCTTTAGACAGAGCAGATTTGAAACACCCTATTTGTGCAGTTTCCAGTTGGAGATTTCAATCGCTTTGAGACCAAATGTAGAAAAGGAAACATCTTCGTATAAAAACTAGACAGAATCATTCTCAGAAACTACTTTGTGATGTGTGCGTTCAACTCAAGGAGTTTAAGCTTTCTTTTCATAGAGTAGTTTGGAAACACTCTGTCTGTAAAGTCTGCAAGCAGATATTTGGACCTCTTTGAGGCCTTCGTTGGAAATGGGATTTCTTCATAGAACGCTAGAAAGAAGAATACTGAGTAAGTTCTTTGTGTTGCCTCTATTCAACTCACAGAGGTGAACTGTCCTTTAGACAGAGCAGATGTGAAACCCTCTTTTTGTGATATTTGCACGTGGAGATTTCAAGCGCTTTTAGGCCAAATGTAGAAAAGGAAATATCTTCGTATAAAAACTAGACAGAATCATTCTCAGAAACTACTTTGTGATGTGTGCGTTCAATTCACAGAGTATAACCTTTCTTTTGATGGAGGAGTTTGGAGACACTGTCTTTGTAAAGTCTGCAAGTGGATATTTGGACCTCTTTGAGGCCTTTGTTGGAAACGGGATTTCCTCATATAATGTTACACAGGGAGAATTCTCAGTAACATATTTGTGGTGTGTGTATTCAACTCACAGAGTTGAACCTTCCTTCAGAAATAGCAGATTTGAAACGCTCTTTTTGTGGAGTTTCCATGTGGAGATTTCAATCGCTTTGAGACCAAAGGTAGAAAAGGAAACATCTTCGTATAAAAACTAGACAAAATCATTCACAGACACTACTTTGTGATGTGTGTGTTCAACTCACAGAGTTTAACCTTTCTTTGGATGGAGCAGTTTGGAAACACTCTGTTTGTCACGTCTGCAAGTGGATATTTGGACCTCTTTGAGGCCTTCGTTGGAAACGGGATTTCCTCCTATAATGTTACACAGAAGAATTCTCGGTAACTTATTTGTGGTGTGTGTATTCAACTCACAGAGTTGAACTTTCCTTCAGAAAGAGCAGATTTGAAACACTCTTTTTGCGGAGTTTCCATGTGGATATTTCAATGGCTGTGAGACCAAAGGTAGAAAAGGAAACATCTTCGTATAAAAACTAGACAGAATCATTCACAGAAACTACTTTGTGATGTGTGTGTTCAACTCACAGAGTTTAACCTTTCTTTGGATGGAGCAGTTTGGAAAAACTCTGTTTGTCACGTCTGCAAGTGGATATTTGGACCTCTTTGAGGCCTTCGTTGGAAACGGGATTTCTTCATATAATATTTGATAGTGGAAGTCTCAGTAACTTCTTTGTGCTGTGTGTATTCAACTCATAGAGTTGAACTTTCCTTTAGAAGAGCAGATGTTAAACACCCTTTTTGTGGAATTTGCAGCTGGAGATTTCAAGCGCTTTGAGGCCTACGGTAGAAAAGGAAACATCTTCTTATAAAATCTAGACAGAATCATTCACAGAAACTTCTTTTTGATGTGTGTGTTTATCTCACAGACTTTAACCTTTCTTTTGATGGAGCAGTTTGCAAACACTGTGTTTGCCATGTCGGCAAGTGGATATTTGGATCTCTTTCAGGCCTTCGTTGGAAACGGGATTTCTTCATGTAATGTTCGACAGAAGAATTCTCAGTAACTTATTTGTGGTGTGTGTATTCAACTCACAGAGTGGAACCTTCCTTTAGACAGAGCAGATTTGAAACACCCTATTTGTGCAGTTTCCAGTTGGAGATTTGAATCGCTTTGAGGCCAATCGTAGAAACGGAAATATCTTCGTATAAAAACAAGACAGAATCATTCTCAGAAACTACTTTGTGATGTGTGCGTTCAACTCAAGGAGTTTAAGCTTTCTTTTCATAGAGTAGTTTGGAAACACTCTGTCTGTAAAGTCTGCAAGCAGATATTTGGACCTCTTTGGGGCCTTCGTTGGAAACGGGATTTCTTCATAGAACGCTAGAAAGAAGAATACTGAGTAAGTTCTTTGTGTTGCCTCTATTCAACTCAGAGAGGTGAACTGTCCTTTAGACAGAGCAGATGTGAAACCCTCTTTTTGTGATATTTGCAGGTGGAGATTTCAAGCGCTTTTAGGCCAAATGTAGAAAAGGAAATATCTTCGTATAAAAACTAGACAGAATCCTTCTCAGAAACTACTTTGTGATGTGTGCGTTCAATTCACAGAGTATAACCTTTCTTTTGATGGAGGAGTTTGGAGACACTGTCTTTGTAAAGTCTGCAAGTGGATATTTGGACCTCTTTGAGGCCTTCGTTGGAAACGGGATTTCCTCATATAATGTTACACAGAAGAATTCTCAGTAACTTATTTGTGGTGTGTGTATTCAACTCACAGAGTTGAACCTTCCTTCAGAAAGAGCAGATTTGAAACACTCTTTTTGTGGAGTTTCCATGTGGAGATTTCAATCGCATTGAGACCAAAGGTAGAAAAGGAAACATCTTCGTATAAAAACTAGACAGAATCATTCACAGAAACTACTTTGTGATGTGTGTGTTCAACTCAAGGAGTTTAACCTTTCTTTTGATGGAGCAGTTTGGAAACACTCTGTCTGTAAAGTCTGCAAGCAGATATTTGGACCTCTTTGAGGCCTTCGTTGGAAACGGGATTTCTTCATATAATGTTTGATAGGAGAAGTCTCAGTAACTTCTTTGTGCTGTGTGTATTCAACTCATAGAGTTGAACTTTCCTTTAGAAGAACAGATGTTAAACACCCTTTTTGTGGAATTTGCAGCTGGAGATTTCAAGCGCTTTGAGGCCTACGGTAGAAAAGGAAACATCTTCTTATAAAATCTAGACAGAATCATTCACAGAAACTTCTTCTCGATGTGTGTGTTCAGCTCACAGAGTTTAAACTTTCTTTTGATGGAGCAGTTTGGAAACACTCTGTTTGTAATGTCTGCAAGTGGATATTTGGACCTCTTTGAGGCCTTCGTTGGAAACGGGATTTCTTCAAGTAATGTTCGACAGAAGAATTCTCAGTAACTTATTTGTGGTGTGTGTATTCAACTCACAGAGTTGAACCTTCCTTTAGACAGAGCAGATTTGAAACACCCTATTTGTGCAGTTTCCAATTGGAGATTTCAATCGCTTTGAGACCAAATGTAGAAAAGGAAACATCTTCGTATAAAAACTAGACAGAATCATTCTGAGAAACTACTTTGTGATGTATGCGTTCAACTCAAGGAGTTTAAGCTTTCTTTTCATAGAGTAGTTTGGAAACACTCTGTCTGTGAAGTCTGCAAGCAGATATTTGGACCTCTTTGAGGCCTTCGTTGGAAACGGGATTTCTTCATAGAACGCTAGAAAGAGGAATACTCAGTAAGTTCTTTCTGTTGCCTCTATTCAACACACAGAGGTGAACTGTCCTTTAGACAGAGCAGATGTGAAACCCTCTTTTTGTGATATTTGCAGGTGGAGATTTCAAGCGCTTTTAGGCCAAATGTAGAAAAGGATATATCTTCGTATAAAAACTAGACAGAATCATTCTCAGAAAGTACTTTGTGATGTGTGCATTCAATTCACAGAGTATAACCTTTCTTTTGATGGACGAGTTTGGAGACACTGTCTTTGTAAAGTCTGCAAGTGGATATTTGGACCTGCTTTGAGGCCTTCGTTGGAAACGGGATTTCCTCATATAATGTTACACAGAAGAAGTCTCAGTAACTTCTTTGTGCTGTGTGTATTCAACTCATTGAGTTGAACTTTCCTTTAGAAGAGCAGATGTTAAACACCCTTTTTGTGGAATTTGCAGCTGGAGATTTCAAGCGCTTTGAGGCCTACGGTAGAAAAGGAAACATCTTCTTATAAAATCTAGACAGAATCATTCACAGAAACTTCTTTTTGATGTGTGTGTTCAGCTCACAGAGTTTAACCTTTCTTTTGATGGAGCAGTTTGGAAACAAACTGTTTGTAATGTCTGCAAGTGGATATTTGGACCTCTTTGAGGCCTTCTTTGGAAACGGGATTTCTACAAGTAATGTTCGACAGAAGAATTCTCAGTAACTTATTTGTGGTGTGTGTATTCAACTCAAAGAGTTGAACCTTCCTTTAGACAGAGCAGATTTGAAACACCCTATTTGTGCAGTTTCCAGTTGGAGATTTCAATCGCTTTGAGACCAAATGTAGAAAAGGAAACATCTTCGTATAAAAACTAGACAGAATCATTCTCCGAAACTACTTTGTGATGTGTGTGTTCAACTCAAGGAGTTTAAGCTTTCTTTTCATAGAGTAGTTTGGAAACACTCTGTCTGTAAAGTCTGCAAGCAGATATTTGGACCTCTTTGGGGCCTTCGTTGGAAACGGGATTTCTTCATAGAACGCTAGAAAGAAGAATACTGAGTAAGTTCTTTGTGTTGCCTCTATTCAACTCACAGAGGTGAACTGTCCTTTAGACAGAGCAGATGTGAAACCCTCTTTTTGTGATATTTGCAGGTGGAGATTTCAAGCGCTTTTAGGCCAAATGTAGAAAAGGAAATATCTTCGTATAAAAACTAGACAGAATCATTCTCAGAAACTACTTTGTGATGTGTGCGTTCAATTCACAGAGTATAACCTTTCTTTTGATGGAGGAGTTTGTAGACACTGTCTTTGTAAAGTCTGCAAGTGGATATTTGGACCTCTTTGAGGCCTTCGTTGGAAACGGGATTTCCTCATATAATGTTACACAGAAGAATTCTCAGTAACTTATTTGTGGTGTGTGTATTCAACTCACAGAGTTGAACCTTCCTTCAGAAAGAGCAGATTTGAAACACTCTTTTTGTGGAGTTTCCATGTGGAGATTTCAATCGCTTTGAGACCAAAGGTAGAAAAGGAAACATCTTCGTATAAAAACTAGACAGAATCATTCTCAGAAACTACTTTGTGATGTGTGCGTTCAATTCACAGAGTATAACCTTTCTTTTGATGGAGCAGTTTGGAAACACTCTGTCTGTAAAGTCTGCAAGCAGATATTTGGACCTCTTTGAGGTCTTCGTTGGAAACGGGATTTCTTCATATAATGTTTGATAGGAGAAGTCTCAGTAACTTCTTTGTGCTGTGTGTATTCAATGCATAGAGTTGAACTTTCCTTTAGAAGAGCAGATGTTAAACACCCTTTTTGTGGAATTTGCAGCTGGAGATTTCAAGCGCTTTGAGGCCTACGGTAGAAAAGGAAACATCTTCTTATAAAATCTAGACAGAATCACTCACAGAAACTTCTTTTTGATGTGTGTGTTCAGCTCACAGACTTTAACCTTTCTTTTGATGGAGCAGTTTGGAAACACTCTGTAATGTCTGCAAGTGGATATTTGGACCTCTTTGAGGCCTTCGTTGGAAACGGGATTTCTTCATGTAATGTTCGACAGAAGAATTCTCAGTAACTTATTTGTGGTGTGTGTATTCAACTCAAAGAGTTGAACCTTCCTTTAGACAGAGCAGATTTGAAACACCCTATTTGTGCAGTTTCCAGTTGGAGATTTCAATCGCTTTGAGACCAAATGTAGAAAAGGAAACATCTTCGTATAAAAACTAGACAGAATCATTCTCAGAAACTACTTTGTGATGTGTGCGTTCAACTCAAGGAGTTTAAGCTTTCTTTTCATAGAGTAGTTTGGAAACACTCTGTCTGTAAAGTCTGCAAGCAGATATTTGGACCTCTTTGAGGCCTTCGTTGGAAACGGGATTTCTTCATAGAACGGTAGAAAGAAGAATACTGACTAAGTTCTTTGTGTTGCCTCTATTCAACTCACAGAGGTGAACTGCCCTTTAGACAGAGCAGATGTGAAACCCTCTTTTTGTGATATTTGCAGGTGGAGATTTCAAGCGCTTTTAGGCCAAATGTAGAAAAGGAAATATCTTCGTATAAAAACTGGACAGAATCATTCTCAGAAACTACTTTTTGATGTGTGCGTTCAATTCCCAGAGTATAACCTTTCTTTTGATGGAGGAGTTTGGAGACACTGTCTTTGTAAAGTCTGCAAGTGGATATTTGGACCTCTTTGAGGCCTTCGTTGGAAACGGGATTTCCTCATATAATGTTACACAGAAGAATTCCCAGTAACTTATTTGTGGTGCGTGTATTCAACTCACAGAGTTGAACCTTCCTTCAGAAACAGCAGATTTGAAACACTCTTTTTGTGGAGTTTCCATGTGGAGATTTCAATCGCTTTGAGACCAAAGCTAGAAAAGGAAACATCTTCGTATAAAAACTAGACAGAATCATTCACAGAAACTACTTTGTGATGTGTGTGTTCAACTCAAGGAGTTTAACCTTTCTTTTGATGGAGCAGTTTGGAAACACACTGTCTGTAAAGTCTGCAAGCAGATATTTGGACCTCTTTGAGGCCTTCGTTGGAAACGGGATTTCTTCATATAATGTTTGATAGGAGAAGTCTCAGTAACTTCTTTGTGCTGTGTGTATTCAACTCATAGAGTTGAACTTTCCTTTAGAAGAGCAGATGTTAAACACCCTTTTTGTGGAATTTGCAGCTGGAGATTTCAAGCGCTTTGAGGCCTACGGTAGAAAAGGAAACATCTTCTTATAAAATCTAGACAGAATCATTCACAGAAACTTCTTTTTGATGTGTGTGTTCAGCTCACAGAGTTTAACCTTTCTTTTGATGGAGCAGTTGGGAAACACACTGTTTGTAATGTCCGCAAGTGGATATTTGGACCACTTTGAGGCCTTCGTTGGAAACGGGATTTCTTCAAGTAATGTTCGACAGAAGAATTCTCAGTAACTTATTTGTGGTGTGTGTATTCAACTCACAGAGTTGAACCTTCCTTTAGACAGAGCAGATTTGAAACAGCCTATTTGTGCAGTTTCCAGTTGGAGATTTCATTCGCTTTGAGACCAAATGTAGAAAGGTAAACATCTTCGTATAAAAACTAGACAGAATCATTCTCAGAAACTACTTTGTGATGTGTGCGTTCAACTCAAGGAGTTTAACCTTTCTTTTGATGGAGCAATTTGGAAACACTCTGTCTGTAAAGTCTGCAAGCAGATATTTGGACCTCTTTGGGGCCTTCGTTGGAAACGGGATTTCTTCATAGAATGCAAGAAAGAAGAATACTGAGTAAGTTCTTTGTGTTGCCTCTATTCAAATCACAGAGGTGAACTGTCCTTTAGACAGAGCAGATGTGAAACCCTCTTTTTGTGATATTTGCAGGTGGAGATTTCAAGCGCTTTTAGGCCAAATGTAGAAAAGGAAATATCTTCGTATAAAAACTAGACAGAATCATTCTCAGAAACTACTTTGTGATGTGTGCGTTCAATTCACAGAGTATAACCTTTCTTTTGATCGAGGAGTTAGGAGACACTGTCTTTGTAAAGTCTGCAAGTGGATATTTGGACCTCTTTGAGGCCTTCGTTGGAAACGGGATTTCCTCATATAATGTTACACAGAAGAATTCTCAGTAACTTATTTGTGGTGTGTGTATTCAACTCACAGAGTTGAACCTTCCTTCAGAAAGAGCAGATTTGAAACACTCTTTTTGTGGAGTTTCCATGTGGAGATTTCAATCGCTTTGAGACCAAAGGTAGAAAAGGAAACATCTTCGTATAAAAACTAGACAGAATCATTCATGTAAACTACTTTGTGATGTGTGTGTTCAACTCAAGGAGTTTAACCTTTCTTTTGATGGAGCAGTTTGGAAACACTCTGTCTGTAAAGTCTGCAAGCAGATATTTGGACCTCTTTGAGGCCTTCGTTGGAAATGGGATTTCTTCATATAATGTTTGATAGGAGAATTCTCAGTAACTTATTTGTGGTGTGTGTATTCAACTCACAGAGCTGAACATTCCTTCAGAAGGAGCAGATTTGAAACGCTCTTTTTGTGGAGTTTCCATGTGGAGATTTCAATCGCTTTGAGACCAAAGGTAGAAAAGGAAACATCTTCGTATAAAAACTAGACAGAATCATTCACAGAAACTTCTTTTCGATGTGTGTGTTCAGCTCACAGAAGTTTAACCTTTCTTTTGATGGAGCAGTTTGGAAACACTCTGTTTGTAATGTCTGCAAGTGGATATTTGGACCTCTTTGAGGCCTTCGTTGGAAACGGGATTTCATCAAGTAATGGTCGACAGAAGAATTCTCAGTAACTTATTTGTGGTGTGTGTATTCAACTCACAGAGTTGAACCTTCCTTTAGACAGAGCAGATTTGAAACAGCCTATTTGTGCAGTTTCCAGTTGGAGATTTCAAGAGCTTTGAGACCAAATGTAGAAAAGGAAACATCTTCGTATAAAAACTAGACAGAATCATTCTCAGAAACTACTTTGTGATGTGTGCGTTCAACTCAAGGAGTTTAAGCTTTCTTTTCATAGAGTAGTTTGGAAACACTCTGTCTGTAAAGTCTGCAAGCAGATATTTGGACCTCTTTGGGGCCTTCGTTGGAAACGGGATTTCTTCATAGAACGCTAGAAAGAAGAATACTGAGTAAGTTCTTTGTGTTGCCTCTATTCAACTCACAGAGGTGAACTGTCCTTTAGACAGAGCAGATGTGAAACCCTATTTTTGTGATATTTGCAGGTGGAGATTTCAAGCGCTTTTAGGCCAAATGTAGAAAAGGAAATATCTTCGTAAAAAAACTAGACAGAATCATTCTCAGAAACTACTTTGTGATGTGTGCGTTCAATTCACAGAGTATAACCTTTCTTTTGATGGAGGAGTTTGGAGACACTGTCTTTGTAAAGTCTGCAAGTGGATATTTGGACCTCTTTGAGGCCTTCGTTGGAAACGGGATTTCCTCATATAATGTTACACAGAAGAATTCTCAGTAACTTATTTGTGGTGTGTGTATTCAACTCACAGAGTTGAACCTTCCTTCAGAAAGAGCAGATTTGAAACACTCTTTTGGTGGAGTTTCCATGTGGAGATTTCAATCGCTTTGAGACCAAAGGTAGAAAAGGAAACATCTTCGTATAAAAACTAGACAGAATCATTCACAGAAACTACTTTGTGATGTGTGTGTTCAACTCAAGGAGTTTAACCTTTCTTTTGATGGAGCAGTTTGGAAAAACTCTGTCTGTAAAGTCTGCAAGCAGATATTTGGACCTCTTTGGGGCCTTCGTTGGAAACGGGATTTCTTCATAGAATGCTAGAAAGAAGAAATCTCAGTAACTTCTTTGTGCTGTGTGTATTCAACTCATAGAGTTGAAATTTCCTTTAGAAGACCAGATGTTAAACACCCTTTTTGTGGAATTTGCAGCTGGAGATTTCAAGCGCTTTGAGGCCTACGGTAGAAAAGGAAACATCTTCTTATAAAATCTAGACAGAATCATTCACAGAAACTTCTTTTTGATGTGTGTGTTCAGCTCACAGAGTTTAACCATTCCTTTGATGGAGCAGTTTGGAAACACTCTGTTTGTAATGTCTGCAAGTGGATATTTGGACCTCTTTGAGGCCTTCGTTGGAAACGGAATTTCTTCATGTAATGTTCGACAGAAGAATTCTCAGTAACTTATTTGTGGTGTGTGTATTCAACTCACAGAGTTGAACCTTCCTTTAGACAGAGCAGATTTGAAACACCCTATTTGTGCAGTTTCCAGTTGGAGATTTCAATCGCTTTGAGGCCAATGATAGAAACGGAAATATCTTCGTATAAAAATAAGACAGAATCATTCTCAGAAACTACTTTGTGATGTGTGCGTTCAACTCAAGGAGTTTAAGCTTTCTTTTCATAGAGTAGTTTGGAAACACTCTGTCTGCAAAGTCTGCAAGCAGATATTTGGACCTCTTTGAGGCCTTCGTTGGAAACGGGATTTCTTCATATAACGCTAGAAAGAAGAATACTGAGTAAGTTCTTTGTGTTGCCTCTATTCAACTCACAGAGGTGAACTGTCCTTTAGACAGAGCAGATGTGAAACCCTCTTTTTGTGATATTTGCAGGTGGAGATTTCAAGCACTTTCAGGCCAAATGTATAAAAGGAAATATCTTCGTATAAAAACCAGACAGAATCATTCTCAGAAACTACTTTGTGATGTGTGCGTTCAATTCACAGAGTATAACCTTTCTTTTGATGGAGGAGTTTGGAGACACTGTCTTTGTAAAGTCTGCAAGTGGATATTTGGACCTCTTTGAGGCCTTCGTTGGAAACGGGATTTCCTCATATAATGTTACACAGAAGAATTCTCAGTAACTTATTTGTGGTGTGTGTATTCAACTCACAGAGTTGAACCTTCCTTCAGAAAGAGCAGATTTGAAACACTCTTTTTGTGGAGTTTCCATAAGGAGATTTCAATCTCTTTGAGACCAAAGGTAGAAAAGGAAACATCTTCGTATAAAAACTAGACAGAATCTTTCACAGAAACTACTTTGTGATGTGTGTGTTCAACTCAAGGAGTTTAACCTTTCTTTTGATGGAGCAGTTTGGAAACACTCTGTCTGTAAAGTCTGCAAGTGGATATTTGGACCTCTTTGAGGCCTTCGTTGGAAACGGGATTTCTTCATATAATGTTTGATAGGAGAAGTCTCAGTAACTTCTTTGTGCTGTGTGTATTCAACTCATAGAGTTGAACTTTCCTTTAGAAGAGCAGATGTTAAACACCCTTTTTGTGGAATTTGCAGCTGGAGATTTCAAGCGCTTTGAGGCCTACGGTAGAAAAGGAAACATCTTCTTA
The DNA here is from genome assembly GCF_000001405.40 of Homo sapiens. Lineage (NCBI taxonomy): Eukaryota > Metazoa > Chordata > Mammalia > Primates > Hominidae > Homo > Homo sapiens. Next base: position 36,278,747 of record NC_000012.12, read on the forward strand.
TAAAATCTAGACAGAAATCATTCACAGAAACTTCTTTTTGATGTGTGTGTTCAGCTCACAGAGTTTAACCTTTCTTTTGATGGAGCAGTTTGGAAACACACTGTTTGTAATGTCTGCAAGTGGATATTTGGACCTCTTTGAGGCCTTCGTTGGAAACGGGATTTCTTCCTGTAATGTTCGACAGAAGAATTCTCAGTAACTTATTTGTGGTGTGTGTATTCAACTCACAGAGTTGAGCCTTCCTTTAGACAGAGCAGATTTGAAACACTCTTTTTGTGGAGTTTCCAGTTGGAGATTTCAATCACTTTGAGACCAAATGTAGAAAAGGAAACATCTTCGTATAAAAACTAGACAGAATCATTCTCAGCAAACTACTTTGTGATGTGTGCGTTCAACTCAAGGAGTTTAAGCTTTCTTTTCATAGAGTAGTTTGGAAACACTCTGTCTGTAAAGTCTGCAAGCAGATATTTGGACCTCTTTGAGGCCTTCGTTGGAAACGGGATTTCTTCATATAACGCTAGAAAGAAGAATACTGAGTAAGTTCTTTGTGTTGCCTCTATTCAACTCACAGAGGTGAACTGTCCTTTAGACAGAGCAGATGTGAAACCCTCTTTTTGTGATATTTGCAGGTGGAGATTTCAAGCACTTTTAGGCCAAATGTAGAAAAATAAATATCCTCGTATAAAAACTAGACAGAATCATTCTCAGAAACTACTTTGTGATGTGTGCGTTCAATTCACAGAGTATAACCTTTCTTTTGATGGAGGAGTTTGGAGACACTGTCTTTGTAAAGTCTGCAAGCAGATATTTGGACCTCTTTGAGGCCTTCGTTGGAAACGGGATTTCTTCATATAATGTTTGATAGGAGAATTCTCAGTAACTTATTTGTGGTGTGTGTATTCAACTCACAGAGTTGAACCTTCCTTCAGAAAGAGCAGATTTGAAACACTCTTTTTGTGGTGTTTCCATGTGGAGATTTCAATCGCTTTGAGACCAAAGGTCGAAAAGGAAACATCTTCGTATAAAAACTAGACAGAATCATTCACAGAAACTACTTTGTGATGTGTGTGTTCAACTCAAGGAGTTTAACCTTTCTTTTGATGGAGCAGTTTGGAAACACTCTGTCTGTAAAGTCTGCAAGCAGATATTTGGACCTCTTTGAGGCCTTCGTTGGAAACGGGATTTCTTCATATAATGTTTGATAGGAGAAGTCTCAGTAACTTCTTTGTGCTGTGTGTATTCAACGCATAGAGTTGAACTTTCCTTTAGAAGAGCAGATGTTAAACACCCTTTTTGTGGAATTTGCAGCTGGAGATTTCAAGCGCTTTGAGGCCTACGGTAGAAAAGGAAACATCTTCTTATAAAATCCAGACAGAATCATTCACAGAAACTTCTTTTTGATGTGTGTGTTCAGCTCACAGAGTTTAACCTTTCTTTTGATGGAGCAGTTTGGAAACACTCTGTTTGTAATGTCTGCAAGTGGATATTTGGACCTCTTTGAGGCCTTCGTTGGAAACGGGATTTCTTCAAGTAATGTTCGACAGAAGAATTCTCAGTAACTTATTTGTGGTGTGTGTATTCAACTCACAGAGTTGAACCTTCCTTTAGACAGAGCAGATTTGAAACCCCCTATTTGTGCAGTTTCCAGTTGGAGATTTCAATTGCTTTGAGACCAAATGTAGAAAAGGAAACATCTTCGTATAAAAACTAGACAGAATCATTCTCAGAAACTACTTTGTGATGTGTGCGTTCAACTCAAGGAGTTTCAGCTTTCTTTTCATAGAGTAGTTTGGAAACACTCTGTCTGTAAAGTCTGCAAGCAGATATTTGGACCTCTTTGGGGCCTTCGTTGGAAACAGGATTTCTTCATAGAAGGCTAGAAAGAAGAATACTGAGTAAGTTCTTTGTGTTGCCTCTATTCAACTCACAGAGGTGAACTGTCCTTTAGACAGAGCAGATGTGAAACCCTCTTTTTGTGATATTTGCAGGTGGAGATTTCAAGCGCTTTTAGGCCAAATGTAGAAAAGGAAATATCTTCGTATAAAAACTAGACAGAATCATTCTCAGAAACTACTTTGTGATGTGTGCGTTCAATTCACAGAGTATAACCTTTCTTTTGATGGAGGAGTTTGGAGACACTGTCTTTGTAAAGTCTGCAAGTGGATATTTGGATCTCTTTGAGGCCTTCGTTGGAAACGGGATTTCCTCATAAAATGTTACACAGAAGAATTCTCAGTAACTTATTTGTGGTGTGTGTATTCAACTCACAGAGATGAACCTTCCTTCAGAAAGAGCAGATTTCAAACACTCTTTTTGTGGAGTTTCCATGTGGAGATTTCAATCGCTTTGAGACCAAAGGTAGAAAAGGAAACATCTTCGTATAACAACTAGACAGAATCATTCACAGAAACTACTTTGTGATGTGTGTGTTCAACTCAAGGAGTTTAACCTTCCTTTTGATGGAGCAGTTTGGAAACACTCTGTCTGTAAAGTCTGCAAGCAGATATTTGGACCTCTTTGAGGCCTTCGTTGGAAACGGGATTTCTTCATATAATGTTTGATAGGAGAAGTCTCAGTAACTTCTTTGTGCTGTGTGTATTCAACTCATAGAGTTGAACTTTCCTTTAGAAGAGCAGATGTTAAACACCCTTTTTGTGGAATTTGCAGCTGGAGATTTCAAGCGCTTTGAGGCCTACGGTAGAAAAGGAAACATCTTCTTATAAAATCTAGACAGAATCATTCACAGAAACTTCTTTTTGATGTGTGTGTTCAGCTCACCGAGTTTAACCTTTCTTTTGATGGAGCAGTTTGGAAACACTCTGTTTGTAATGTTTGCAAGTGGATATTTGGACCTCTTTGAGGCCTTCGTTGGAAACGGGATTTCTTCATGTAATGTTCGACAGAAGAATTCTCAGTAACTTATTTGTGGTGTGTGTATTCAACTCACAGAGTTGAACCTTCCTTTAGACAGAGCAGATTTGAAACACCCTATTTGTGCAGTTTCCAGTTGGAGATTTCAATCGCTTTGAGACCAAATGTAGAAAAGGAAACATCTTCGTATAACAACTAGACAGAATCATTCTCAGAAACTACTTTGTGATGTGTGCGTTCAACTCAAGGAGTTTAAGCTTTCTTTTCATAGAGTAGTTTGGAAACACTCTGTCTGTAAAGTCTGCAAGCAGATATTTGGACCTCTTTGGGGCCTTCGTTGGAAACGGGATTTCTTCATAGAACGCTAGAAAGAAGAATACTGAGTAAGTTCTTTGTGTTGCCTCTATTCAACTCACAGAGGTGAACTGTCCTTTAGACAGAGCAGATGTGAAACCCTCTTTTTGTGATATTTGCAGGTAGAGATTTCAAGCGCTTTTAGGCCAAATGTAGAAAAGGAAATATCTTTGTATAAAAACTAGACAGAATCATTCTCAGAAACTACTTTGTGATGTGTGCGTTCAATTCACAGAGTATAACCTTTCTTTAGATGAAGGAGTTTGGAGACACTGTCTTTGTAAAGTCTGCAAGTGGATATTTGGACCTCTTTGAGGCCTTCGTTGGAAACGGGATTTCCTCATATAATGTTACACAGAAGAATTCTCAGTAACTTATTTGTGGTGTGTGTATTCAACTCACAGAGTTGAACCTTCCTTCAGAAAGAGCAGATTTGAAACACTCTTTTTGTGGAGTTTCCATGTGGAGATTTCAATCGCTTTGAGACCAAAGGTAGAAAAGGAAACATCTTCGTATAAAAACTAGACAGAATCATTCACAGAAACTACTTTGTGATGTGTGTGTTCAACTCAAGGAGTTTAACCTTTCTTTTGATGGAGCAGTTTGGAAACACTCTGTCTGTAAAGTCTGCAAGCAGATATTTGGACCTCTTTGAGGCCTTCGTTGGAAACGGGATTTCTTCATATGATGTTTGATAGGAGAAGTCTCAGTAACTTCTTTGTGCTGTGTGTATTCAACTCATAGAGTTGAACTTTCCTTTAGAAGAGCAGATGTTAAACACCCTTTTTGTGGAATTTGCAGCTGGAGATTTCAAGCGCTTTGAGGCCTACGGTAGAAAAGGAAACATCTTCTTATAAAATCTAGACAGAATCATTCACAGAAACTTCTTTTTGATGTGTGTGTTCAGCTCACAGAGTTTAACCTTTCTTTTGATGGAGCAGTTTGGAAACACTCTGTTTGTAATGTCTGCAAGTGGATATTTGGACCTCTTTGAGGCCTTCGTTGGAAACGGGATTTCTTCCTGTAATGTTCGACAGAAGAATTCTCAGCAACTTATTTGTGGTGTGTGTATTCAACTCACAGAGTTGAACCTTCCTTTAGACAGAGTAGATTTGAAACACCCTATTTGTGCAGTTTCCAGTTGGAGATATCAATCGCTTTGAGACCAAATGTAGAAAAGGAAACATCTTCGTATAAAAACTAGACAGAATCATTCTCAGAAACTACTTTGTGATGTGTGCGTTCAACTCAAGGAGTTTAAGCTTTCTTTTCATAGAGTAGTTTGGAAACACTCTGTCTGTAATGTCTGCAAGCAGATATTTGGACCTCTTTGAGGCCTTCGTGGGAAACGGGATTTCTTCATAGAACGCTAGAAAGAAGAATACTGAGTAAGTTCTTTGTGTTGCCTCTATTCAACTCACAGAGGTGAACTGTCCTTTAGACAGAGCAGATGTGAAACCCTCTTTTTGTGATATTTGCAGGTGGAGATTTCAAGCGCTTTTAGGCCAAATGTAGAAAAGGAAATATCTTCGTATGAAAACTAGACAGAAATCATTCTCAGAAACTACTTTGTGATGTGTGCGTTCAATTCACAGAGTATAACCTTTCTTTTGATGGAGGAGTTTGGAGACACTGTCTTTGTAAAGTCTGCAAGTGGATATTTGGACCTCTTTGAGGCCTTCGTTGGAAACGGGATTTCCTCATATAATGTTACACAGAAGAATTCTCAGTAACTTATTTGTGGTGTGTGTATTCAACTCACAGAGTTGAACCTTCGTTCAGAAAGAGCAGATTTGAAACACTCTTTTTGTGGAGTTTCCATGTGGAGATTTCAATCGCTTTGAGACCAAAGGTAGAAAAGGAAACATCTTCGTATAAAAACTAGACAGAATCATTCACAGAAACTACTTTGTGATGTGTGTGTTCAACTCAAGGAGTTTAACCTTTCTTTTGATGGAGCAGTTTGGAAACACTCTGTCTGTAAAGTCTGCAAGCAGATATTTGGACCTCTTTGAGGCCTTCGTTGGAAACGGGATTTCTTCATATAATGTTTGATAGGAGAAGTCTCAGTAACTTCTTTGTGCTGTGTGTATTCAACTCATAGAGTTGAACTTTCCTTTAGAAGAGCAGATGTTAAACACCCTTTTTGTGGAATTTGCAGCTGGAGATTTCAAGCGCTTTGAGGCCTACGGTAGAAAAGGAAACATCTTCTTATAAAATCTAGACAGAATCATTCACAGAAACTTCTTTTTGATGTGTGTGTTCAGCTCACAGAGTTTAACCTTTCTTTTGATGGAGCAGTTTGGAAACACTCTGTTTGTAATGTCTGCAAGTGGATATTTGGACCTCTTTGAGGCCTTCGTTGGAAACGGGATTTCTTCAAGTAATGTTCGACAGAAGAATTCTCAGTAACTTATTTGTGCTGTGTGTATTCAACTCACAGAGTTGAACCTTCCTTTAGACAGAGCAGATTTGAAACACCCTATTTGTGCAGTTTCCAGTTGGAGATTTCAATGGCTTTGAGACCAAATGTAGAAAAGGAAACATCTTCGTATAAAAATTAGACAGAATCATTCTCAGAAACTACTTTGTGATGTGTGCGTTCAACTCAAGGAGTTTAAGCTTTCTTTTCATAGAGTAGTTTGGAAACACTCTGTCTGTAAAGTCTGCAAGCAGATATTTGGACCTCATTGGGGCCTTAGTTGGAAACGGGATTTCTTCATTGAACGCTAGAAAGAAGAATACTGAGTAAGTTCTTTGTGTTGCCTCTATTCAACTCACAGAGGTGAACTGTCCTTTAGACAGAGCAGATGTGAAACCCTCTTTTTGTGATATTTGCAGGTGGAGATTTCAAGCGCTTTTAGGCCAAATGTAGAAAAGGAAATATCTTCGTATAAAAACTAGACAGAATCATTCTCAGAAACTACTTTGTGATGTGTGCGTTCAATTCACAGAGTATAACCTTTCTTTTGATGGAGGAGTTTGGAGACACTGTCTTTGTAAAGTCTGCAAGTGGATATTTGGACCTCTTTGAGGCCTTCGTTGGAAACGGGATTTCCTCATATAATGTTACACAGAAGAATTCTCAGTAACTTATTTGTGGTGTGTGTATTCAACTCACAGAGTTGAACCTTCCTTCAGAAAGAGCAGATTTGAAACACTCTTTTTGTGGGGTTTCCATGTGGAGATTTCAATCGCATTGAGACCAAAGGTAGAAAAGGAAACATCTTCGTATAAAAATTAGACAGAATCATTCACAGAAACTACTTTGTGATGTGTGTGTTCAACTCAAGGAGTTTAACCTTTCTTTTGATGGAGCAGTTTGGAAACACTCTGTCTGTAAAGTCTGCAAGCAGATATTTGGACCTCTTTGAGGCCTTCGTTGGAAACGGGATTTCTTCAAGTAATGTTCGACAGAAGAAGTCTCAGTAACTTCTTTGTGCTGTGTGTATTCAACTCATAGAGTTGAACTTTCCTTTAGAAGACCAGATGTTAAACACCCTTTTTGTGGAATTTGCAGCTGGAGATTTCAAGCGCTTTGAGGCCTACGGTAGAAAAGGAAATATCTTCTTATAAAATCTAGACATAATCATTCACAGAAACTTCTTTTTGATGTGTGTGTTCAGCTCACAGAGTTTAACCTTTCTTTTGATGGAGCAGTTTGGAAACACACTGTTTGTAATGTTTGCAAGTGGATATTTTGACCTCTTTGAGGCCTTCGTTGGAAACGGGATTTCTTCATGTAATGTTCGACAGAAGAATTCTCAGTAACTTATTTGTGGTGTGTGTATTCAACTCACAGAGTTGAACCTTCCTTTAGACAGAGCAGATTTGAAACACCCTATTTGGCAGTTTCCAGTTGGAGATTTCAATCGCTTTGAGGCCAATCGTAGAAACGGAAATATCTTCGTATAAATACAAGACAGAATCATTCTCAGAAACTACTTTGTGATGTGTGCGTTCAACTCAAGGAGTTTAAGCTTTCTTTTCATAGAGTACTTTGGAAACACTCTGTCTCTGAAGTCTGCAAGCAGATATTTGGACCTCTTTGAGGCCTTCGTTGGAAACGGGATTTCTTCATAGAGCGCTAGAAAGAAGAATACTGAGTAAGTTCTTTGTGTTGCCTCTATTCAACTCACAGAGGTGAACTGTCCTTTAGACAGAGCAGATGTGAAACCCTCTTTTTGTGATATTTGCAGGTGGAGATTTCAAGCGCTTTTAGGCCAAATGTAGAAAAGGAAATATCTTCGTATAAAAACTAGACAGAATCATTCTCAGAAACTACTTTGTGATGTGTGCGTTCAATTCACAGAGTATAACCTTTCTTTTGATGGAGGAGTTTGGAGACACTGTCTTTGTAAAGTCTGCAAGTGGATATTTGGACCTCTTTGAGGCCTTCGTTGGAAACGGGATTTCCTCATATAATGTTACACAGAAGAATTCCCAGTAACTGATTTGTGGTGTGTGTATTCAACTCACAGAGTTGAACCTTCCTTCAGAAAGAGCAGATTTGAAACACTCTTTTTGTGGAGTTTCCATGTGGAGATTTCAATCGCTTTGAGACCAAAGGTAGAAAAGGAAACATCTTCGTATAAAAACTAGACAGAATCATTCACAGAAACTACTTTGTGATGTGTGTGTTCAACTCACAGAGTTTAACCTTTCTTTTGATGGAGCAGTTTGGAAGCACTCTGTTTTTCACGTCTGCAAGTGGATATTTGGACCTCTTTGAGGCCTTCGTTGGAAACGGGATTTCTTCTTATAATGTTAGACAGAAGAAGTGTCAGTAACTTCTTTGTGCTGTGTGTATTCAACTCACAGAGCTGAACTTTACTTTACACCGAGCAGATGTTAAACACACTTTTTGTGGAATTTGCAGCTGGAGATTTCTAGCGCTTTGAGGCCGATGGTAGAAAAGGAAACATCTTCTTATAAAATCTAGACAGAATCATTCACAGAAACTTCTTTTTGATGTGTGTGTTCATCTCACAGAGTTTAACCTTTCTTTTGACGGAGCAGTTTCAAACACTGTGTTTGCCATGTCGGCAAGTGGATATTTGGACCTCTTTGAGGCCTTCGTTGGAAACGGGATTTCTTCATGTAATGTTCGAGACAAGAATTCTCAGTAACTTATTTGTGGTGTGTGTATTCAACTCACAGAGTTGAACCTTCCTTCAGAAAGAGCAGATTTGAAACACTCTTTTTGAGGAGTTTCCATGTGGAGATTTCAATCGCTTTGAGACCAAAGGTAGAAAAGGAAACATCTTCTTATAAAAACTAGACAGAATCATTCACAGAAACTACTTTGTGATGTGTGTGTTCAACTCAAGGAGGTTAACCTTTCTTTTGATGGAGCAGTTTGGAAACACTCTGTCTGTAAAGTCTGCAAGCAGATATTTGGACCTCTTTGAGGCCTTCGTTGGAAACGGGATTTCTTCATATAATGTTTGATAGGAGAAGTCTCAGTAACTTCTTTGTCCTGTGTGTATTCAACGCATAGAGTTGAACTTTCCTTTAGAAGAGCAGATGTAAAACACCCTTTTTGTGGAATTTGCAGGTGGAGATTTCAAGCGCATTGAGGCCTACGGTAGAAAAGGAAACATCTTCTTACAAAATCTAGACAGAATCATTCACAGAAACTTCTTTTTGATGTGTGTGTTCAGCTCACCGAGTTTAACCTTTCTTTTGATGGAGTAGTTTGGAAACACTCTGTTTGTAATGTCTGCAAGTGGATATTTGGACCTTTTTGAGGCCTTCCTTGGAAACGGGATTTCTTCATGTAATGTTCGACAGAAGAATTCTCAGTAACTTATTTGTGGTGTGTGTATTCAACTCACAGAGTTGAACCTTCCTTTAGACAGAGCAGATTTGAAACACCCTATTTGTGCAGTTTCCAGTTGGAGATTTCAATCGCTTTGAGGCCAATCGTAGAAACGGAAATATCTTCGTATAAAAACAAGACAGAATCATTCTCAGAAACTACTTTGTGATGTGTGCGTTCAACTCAAGGAGTTTAAGCTTTCTTTTCATAGAGTAGTTTGGAAACACTCTGTCTGTAAAGTCTGCAAGCAGATATTTGGACCTCTTTGAGGCCTTCGTTGGAAACGGGATTTCTTCATAGAACGCTAGAAAGAAGAATACTGAGTAAGTTCTTTGTGTTGCCTCTATTCAACTCACAGAGGTGAACTGTCCTTTAGACAGAGCAGATGTGAAACCCTCTTTTTGTGATATTTGCAGGTGGAGATTTCAAGCACTTTTAGGCCAAATGTAGAAAAGGAAATATCTTCGTATAAAAACTAGACAGAATCATTCTCAGAAACTACTTTGTGATGTGTGCGTTCAATTCACAGAGTATAACCTTTCTTTTGATGGAGGAGTTTGGAGACACTGTCTTTGTAAAGTCTGCAAGTGGATATTTGGACCTCTTTGAGGCCTTCGTTGGAAACGGGATTTCCTCATATAATGTTACACAGAAGAATTCTCAGTAACTTATTTGTGGTGTGTGTATTCAACTCACAGAGATGAACCTTCCTTCAGAAAGAGCAGATTTGAAACACTCTTTTTGTGGAGTTTCCATGTGGAGATTTCAATCGCTTTGAGACCAAAGGTAGAAAAGGAAACATCTTCGTATAAAAACTAGACAGAATCATTCACAGAAACTACTTTGTGATGTGTGTGTTCAACTCAAGGAGTTTAACCTTTCTTTTGATGGAGCAGTTTGGAAACACTCTGTCTGTAAAGTCTGCAAGCAGATATTTGGACCTCTTTGAGGCCTTCGTTGGAAACGGGATTTCTTCATATAATGTTTGATAGGAGAAGTCTCAGTAACTTCTTTCTGCTGTGTTTATTCAGCGCATAGAGTTGAACTTTCCTTTAGAAGAGCAGATGTTAAACACCCTTTTTGTAGAATTTGCAGCTGGAGATTTCAAGCGCTTTGAGGCCTACGGTAGAAAAGGAAACATCTTCTTATAAAATCTAGACAGAATCATTCACAGAAACTTCTTTTTCATGTGTTTGTTCAGCTCACAGAGTTTAACCTTTCTTTTGATGGAGCAGTTTTGAAACACTCTGTTTGTAATGTCTGCAAGTGGATATTTTGACCTCTTTGAGGCCTTCTTTGGAAACGGTATTTCTTCAAGTAATGTTCGACAGAAGAATTCTCAGTAACTTATTTGTGGTGTGTGTATTCAACTCACAGAGTTGAACCTTCCTTTAGACAGAGCCGATTTGAAACACACTATTTGTGCAGTTTCCAGGTGGAGATTTCAATGGCTTTGAGGCCAATCATAGAAACGGAAATATCTTCGTATAAAAACAAGACAGAATCATTCTCAGAAACTACTTTGTGATGTGTGCGTTCAACTCAAGGAGTTTAAGCTTTCTTTTCATAGAGTAGTTTGGAACCACTCTGTCTGTAATGTCTGCAAGCAGATATTTGGACCTCTTTGAGGCCTTCGTTGGAAACGGGATTTCTTCATATAACGCTAGAAAGAAGAATACTCAGTAAGTTCTTGGTGTTGCCTGTATTCAACTCACAGAGGTGAACTGTCCTTTAGACAGAGCAGATGTGAAACCCTCTTTTTGTGATATTTGCAGTTGGAGATTTCAAGCGCTTTTAGGCCAAATGTAGAAAAGGAAATATCTTCGTATAAAAACTAGACAGAATCATTCTCAGAAACTACTTTGTGATGTGTGGGTTCAATTCACAGAGTATAACCTTTCTTTTGATGGAGGAGTTTGGAGACACTGTCTTTGTAAAGTCTGCAAGTGGATATTTGGACCTCTTTGAGGCCTTCGTTGGAAACGGGATTTCCTCATATAATGTTACACAGAAGAATTCTCAGTAACTTATTTGTGGTGTGTGTATTCAACTCACAGAGTTGAACCTTCCTTCAGAAAGAGCAGATTTGAAACACTCTTTTTGTGGAGTTTCCATGTGGAGATTTCAATCGCTTTGAGACCAAAGGTAGAAAAGGAAACATCTTCGTATAAAAACTAGACAGAATCATTCACAGAAACTACTTTGTGATGTGTGTGTTCAACTCAAGGAGTTTAACCTTTCTTTTGATGGAGCAGTTTGGAAACACTCTGTCTGTAAAGTCTGCAAGCAGATATTTGGACCTCTTTGAGGCCTTCGTTGGAAACGGGATTTCTTCATATAATGTTTGATAGGAGAAGTCTCAGTAACTTCTTTGTGCTGTGTGTATTCAACTCATAGAGTTGAACTTTCCTTTAGAAGAGCAGATGTTAAACACCCTTTTTGTGGAATTTGCAGCTGGAGATTTCAAGCGCTTTGAGGCCTACGGTAGAAAAGGAAACATCTTCTTATAAAATCTAGACAGAATCATTCACAGAAACTTCTTTTCGATGTGTGTGTTCAGCTCACAGAGTTTAACCTTTCCTTTGAGGGAGCAGTTTGGAAACACTCTGTTTGTAATGTCTGCAAGTGGATATTTGGACCTCTTTGAGGCCTTCGTTGGAAACGGGATTTCTTCATGTAATGTTCAACAGAAGAATTCTCAGTAACTTATTTGTGGTGTGTGTATTCAACTCACAGAGTTGAACCTTCCTTTAGACAGAGCAGATTTGAAACACCCTATTTGTGCAGTTTCCAGTTGGAGATTTCAATCGCTTTGAGACCAAATGTAGAAAAGGAAACATCTTCGTATAAAAACTAGACAGAATCATTCTCAGAAACTACTTTGTGATGTGTGCGTTCAACTCAAGGAGTTTAAGCTTTCTTTTCATAGAGTAGTTTGGAAACACTCTGTCTGTAAAGTCTGCAAGCAGATATTTGGACCTCTTTGGGGCCTTCGTTGGAAACGGGATTTCTTCATAGAACGCTAGAAAGAAGAATACTGAGTAAGTTCTTTGTGTTGCCTCTATTCAACTCACAGAGGTGAACTGTCCTTTAGACAGAGCAGATGTGAAACCCTCTTTTTGTGATATTTGCAGGTGGAGATTTCAAGCGCTTTTAGGCCAAATGTAGAAAAGGAAATATCTTCGTATAAAAACTAGACAGAATCATTCTCAGAATCTACTTTGTGATGTGTGCGTTCAATTCACAGAGTATAACCTTTCTTTTGATGGAGGAGTTTGGAGACATTGTCTTTGTAAAGTCTGCAAGTGGGTATTTGGACCTCTTTGAGGCCTTCGTTGGAAACGGGATTTCCTCATATAATGTTACACAGAAGAATTCTCAGTAACTTATTTGTGGTGTGTGTATTCAACTCACAGAGTTGAACCTTCCTTCAGAAAGAGCAGATTTGAAACACTCTTTTTGTGGAGTTTCCATGTGGAGATTTCAATCGCTTTGAGACCAAAGGTAGAAAAGGAAACATCTTCGTATAAAAACTAGACAGAATCATTCACAGAAACTACTTTGTGATGTGTGTATTCAACTCAAGGAGTTTAACCTTTCTTTTGATGGAGCAGTTTGGAAAAACTCTGTCTTTAAAGTCTGCAAGCAGATATTTGGACCTCTTTGAGGCCTTCGTTGGAAACGGGATTTCTTCATATAATGTTTGATAGGAGAAGTCTCAGTAACTTCTTTGTGCTGTGTGTATTCAACTCATAGAGTTGAACTTTCCTTTAGAAGAGCAGATGTTAAACACCCTTTTTGTGGAATTTGCAGCTGGAGATTTCAAGCGCTTTGAGTCCTACGGTAGAAATGGAAACATCTTATAAAATCTTGACAGAAATCATTCACAGAAACATCTTTTCGATGTGTGTGTTCAGCTCACAGAGTTTAACCTTTCTTTTGATGGAGCAGTTTGGAAACACTCTGTTTGTAATGTCTGCAAGTGGATATTTGGACCTCTTTGAGGCCTTCGTTGGAAACGGGATTTCTTCAAGTAATGGTCGACAGAAGAATTCTCAGTAACTTATTTGTGGTGTGTGTATTCAACTCACAGAGTTGAACCTTCCTTTAGACAGAGCAGATTTGAAACACCCTATTTGTACAGTTTCCAGTTGGAGATTTCAATGGTTTGAGGCCAATCATAGAAACGGAAATATCTTCGTATAAAAACAAGACAGAATCATTCTCAGAAACTTCTTTGTGATGTGTGCATTCACGTCACGGAGTTTAAGCTTTCTTTTCATAGAGTAGTTTGGAAACACTCTGTCTGTAAAGTCTGCAAGCAGATATTTGTACCTCTTTGAGGACATCGTTGGAAACGGGATTTCTTCATATAACGCTAGAAAGAAGAATACTGAGTAAGTTCTTTGTGTTGCCTCTATTCAACTCACAGAGGTGAACTGTCCTTTAGACAGAGCAGATGTGAAACCCTCTTTTTGTGATATTTGCAGGTGGAGATTTCAAGCGCTTTTAGGCCAAATGTAGAAAAGGAAATATCTTCGTATAAAAACTAGACAGAATCATTCTCAGAAACTACTTTGTGATGTGTGCGTTCAATTCACAGAGTATAACCTTTCTTTTGATGGAGGAGTTTGGAGACACTGTCTTTGTAAAGTCTGCAAGTGGATATTTGGACCTCTTTGAGGCCTTCGTTGGAAACGGGATTTCCTCATATAATGTTACACAGAAGAATTCTCAGTAACTTATTTGTGCTGTGTGTATTCAACTCACAGAGTTGAACCTTCCTTCAGAAAGAGCAGATTTGAAACACTCTTTTTGTGGTGTTTCCATGTGGAGATTTCAATCGCTTTGAGACCAAAGGTAGAAAAGGAAACATCTTCGTATAAAAACTAGACAGAATCATTCACAGAAACTACTTTGTGATGTGTGTGTTCAACTCAAGGAGTTTAACCTTTCTTTTGATGGAGCAGTTTGGAAAAACTCTGTCTGTAAAGTCTGCAGGCAGATATTTGGACCTCTTTGGGGCCTTCGTTGGAAATGGGATTTCTTCATAGAATGCTAGAAAGAAGAAGTCTCAGTAACTTCTTTGTGCTGTGTGTATTCAACTCATAGAGTTGAACTTTCCTTTAGAAGAGCAGATGTTAAACACCCTTTTTGTGGAATTTGCAGCTGGAGATTTCAAGCGCTTTGAGGCCTACGGTAGAAAAGGAAACATCTTCTTATAAAATCTAGACAGAATCATTCACAGAAACTTCTTTTTGATGTGTGTGTTCAGCTCACAGAGTTTAACCTTTCTTTTGATGGAGAAGTTTGGAAACACACTGTTTGTAATGTCTGCAAGTGGATATTTGGACCTCTTTGAGGCCTTCGTTGGAAACGGGATTTCTTCCTGTAATGTTCGACAGAAGAATTCTCAGTAACTTATTTGTGGTGTGTGTATTCAACTCACAGAGTTGAACCTTCCTTTAGACAGAGCAGATTTGAAACACCCTATTTGTGCAGTTTCCAGTTGGAGATTTCAATCGCTTTGAGACCAAATGTAGAAAAGGAAACATCTTCGTATAAAAACTAGACAGAATCATTCTCAGAAACTACTTTGTGATGTGTGCGTTCAACTCAAGGGGTTTAAGCTTTCTTTTCATAGAGTAGTTTGGAAACACTCTGTCTGTAAAGTCTGCAAGCAGATATTTGGACCTCTTTGAGGCCTTCGTTGGAAACGGGATTTCTTCATAGAACGCTAGAAAGAAGAATACTGAGTAAGTTCTTTGTGTTGCCTCTATTCAACTCACAGAGGTGAACTGTCCTTTAGACAGAGCAGATGTGAAACCCTCTTTTTGTGATATTTGCAGGTGGAGATTTCAAGCACTTTTAGGCCAAATGTAGAAAAGGAAACATCTTCGTATAAAAACTAGACAGAATCATTCTCAGAAACTACTTTGTGATGTGTGCGTTCAATTCACAGAGTATAACCTTTCTTTTGATGGAAGAGTTTGGAGACACTGTCTTTGTAAAGTCTGCAAGTGGATATTTGGACCTCTTTGAGGCCTTCGTTGGACACGGGATTTCTTCCTGTAATGTTCGACAGAAGAATTCTCAGTAACTTATTTGTGGTGTGTGTATTCAACTCACAGAGTTGAACCTTCCTTCAGAAAGAGCAGATTTGAAACACTCTTTTTGTGGAGTTTCCATGTGGAGATTTCAATCGCTTTGAGACCAAAGGTAGAAAAGGAAACATCTTCGTGTAAAAACTAGACAGAATCATTCACAGAAACTACTTTGTGATGTGTGTGTTCAACTCAAGGAGTTTAACCTTTCTTTTGATGGAGCAGTCTGGAAACACTCTGTCTGTAAAGTCTGCAAGCAGATATTTGGACCTCTTTGAGGCCTTCATTGGAAACGGGATTTCTTCATATAATGTTTGATAGGAGAAGTCTCAGTAACTTCTTTGTGCTGTGTGTATTCAACTCATAGAGTTGAACTTTCCTTTAGAAGAGCAGATGTTAAACACCCTTTTTGTGGAATTTGCAGCTGGAGATTTCAAGCGCTTTGAGGCCTACGGTAGAAAAGGAAACATCTTCTTATAAAATCTAGACAGAATCATTCACAGAAACTTCTTTCTGATGTGTGTGTTCAGCTCACAGAGTTTAACCTTTCTTTTGATGGAGCAGTTTGGAAACACTCTGTTTGAAATGTCTGCAAGTGGATATTTGGACCTCTTTGAGGCCTTCGTTGGAAACGGGATTTCTTCATGTAATGTTCGACAGAAGAATTCTCAGTAACTTATTTGTGGTGTGTGTATTCAACTCACAGAGTTGAACCTTCCTTTAGACAGAGCAGATTTGAAACAGCCTATTTGTGCAGTTTCCAGTTGGAGATTTCAATCGCTTGGAGGCCAATCATAGAAACGGAAATATCTTCGTATAAAAACAAGACAGAATCATTCTCAGAAACTACTTTGTGATGTGTGCGTTCAACTCAAGGAGTTTAAGCTTTCTTTTCATAGAGTAGTTTGGAAACACTCTGTCTGTAAAGTCTGCAAGCAGATATTTGGACCTCTTTGAGGCCTTCGTTGGAAACGGGATTTCTTCATAGAACGGTAGAAAGAAGAATACTAAGTTCTTTGTGTTGCCTCTATTCAACTCGCAGAGGTGAACTGTCCTTTAGACAGAGCAGATGTGAAACCCTCTTTTTGTGATATTTGCAGGTGGAGATTTCAAGCACTTTTAGGCCAAATGTAGAAAAGGAAACATCTTCGTATAAAAACTAGACAGAATCATTCTCAGAAACTACATTGTGATGTGTGCGTTCAACTCAAGGAGTTTAAGCTTTCTTTTCAAAGAGTAGTTTGGAAACACTCTGTCTGTAAAGTCTGCAAGCAGATATTTGGACCTCTTTGAGGCCTTCGTTGGAAACGGGATTTCTTCATATAACGCTAGAAAGAAGAATACTGAGTAAGTTCTTTGTGTTGCCTCTATTCCACTCACAGAGGTGAACTGTCCTTTAGACAGAGCAGATGTGAAACCCTCTTTTTGTGATATTTGCAGGTGGAGATTTCAAGCACTTTTAGGCCAAATGTAGAAAAGGAAATATCTTCGTATAAAAACTAGACAGAATCATTCTCAGAAACTACTTTGTGATGTGTGCGTTCAATTCACAGAGTATAACCTTTCTTTTGATGGAGGAGTTTGGAGACACTGTGTTTGTAAAGTCTGCAAGTGGATATTTGGACCTCTTTGAGGCCTTCGTTGGAAACGGGATTTCCTCATATAATGTTACACAGAAGAATTCTCAGTAACTTATTTGTGGTGTGTGTATTCAACTCACAGAGTTGAACCTTCCTTCAGAAAGAGCAGATTTGAAACACTCTTTTTGTGGAGTTTCCATGTGGAGATTTCAATCGCTTTGAGACCAAAGGTAGAAAAGGAAACATCTTCGTATAAAAACTAGACAGAATCATTCACAGAAACTACTTTGTGATGTGTGTGTTCAACTCAAGGAGTTTAACCTTTCTTTTGATGGAGCAGTTTGGAAATACTCTGTCTGTAAAGTCTGCAAGCAGATATTTGGACCTCTTTGAGGCCTTCGTTGGAAACGGGATTTCTTCATATAATGTTTGATAGGAGAAGTCTCAGTAACTTCTTTGTGCTGTGTGTATTCAACTCATAGAGTTGAACTTTCCTTTAGAAGAGCAGATGTTAAACACCCATTTTGTGGAATTTGCAGCTGGAGATTTCAAGCGCTTTGAGGCCTATGGTAGAAAAGGAAACATCTTCTTATAAAATCTAGACAGAATCATTCACAGAAACTTCTTTTTGATGGGTGTGTTCAGCTCACAGAGTTTAACCTTTCCTTTGATGGAGCAGTTTGGAAACACTCTGTTTGTAATGTCTGCAAGTGGATATTTGGACCTCTTTGAGGCATTCGTTGGAAACGGGATTTCTTCATGTAATGTTCGACAGAAGAATTCTCAGTAACTTATTTGTGCTGTGTGTATTCAACTCACAGAGTTGAACCTTCCTTTAGACAGAGCAGATTTGAAACACCCTATTTGTGCAGTTTCCAGTTGGAGATTTCAATCGCTTTGAGACCAAATGTAGAAAAGGAAACATCTTCGTATAAAAACTAGACAGAATCATTCTCAGAAACTACTCTGTGATGTGTGTGTTCAACTCAAGGAGTTTAACCTTTCTTTTGATGGAGCAGTTTCGAAAAACTCTGTCTGTAAAGTCTGCAAGCAGATATTTGGACCTCTTTGGGGCCTTCGTTGGAAACGGGATTTCTTCACAGAATGCTAGAAAGAAGAATACTGAGTAAGTTCTTTGTGTTGCCTCTATTCAACTCACAGAGGTGAACTGTCCTTTAGACAGAGCAGATGTGAAACCCTCTTTTTGTGATATTTGCAGGTGGAGATTTCAAGCGCTTTTAGGCCAAATGTAGAAAAGGAAATATCTTCGTATAAAAACTAGACTGAATCATTCTCAGAAACTATTTTGTGATGTGTGCGTTCAATTCACAGAGTATAACCTTTCTTTTGATGGAGGAGTTTGGAGACACTGTCTTTGTAAAGTCTGCAAGTGGATATTTGGACCTCTTTGAGGCCTTCGTTGGAAACGGGATTTCCTCATATAATGTTACACAGAAGAATTCTCAGTAACTTATTTGTGGTGTGTGTATTCAACTCACAGAGTTGAACCTTCCTTCCGAAAGAGCAGATTTGAAACACTCTTTTTGTGGAGTTTCCATGTGGAGATTTCAATCGCTTTGAGACCAAAGGTAGAAAAGGAAACATCTTCGTATAAAAACTAGACAGAATCATTCACAGAAACTACTTTGTGATGTGTGTGTTCAACTCAAGGAGTTTAACCTTTCTTTTGATGGAGCAGTTTGGAAACACTCTGTCTGTAAAGTCTGCAAGCAGATATTTGGACCTCTTTGAGGCCTTCGTTGGAAACGGGATTTCTTCATATAATGTTTGATAGGAGAAGTCTCAGTAACTTCTTTGTGCTGTGTGTATTCAACTCATAGAGTTGAACTTTCCTTTAGAAGAGCAGATGTTAAACACCCTTTTTGTGGAATTTGCAGCTGGAGATTTCAAGCGCTTTGAGGCCTACGGTAGAAAAGGAAACATCTTCTTATAAAATCTAGACAGAATCATTCACAGAAACTTCTTTTTGATGTGTGTGTGCAGCTCACAGAGTTTAACCTTTCTTTTGATGGAGCAGTTTGGAAACACTCTGTTTGTAATGTCTGCAAGTGGTTATTTGGACCTCTTTGAGGCCTTCGTTGGAAACGGGATTTCTTCAAGTAATGTTAGACAGAAGAATTCTCAGTAACTTATTTGTGGTGTGTGTATTCAACTCACAGAGTTGAACCTTCCTTTAGACAGAGCAGATTTGAAACACCCTATTTGTGCAGTTTCCAGTTGGAGATTTCAATCGCTTTGAGACCAAATGTAGAAAAGGAAACATCTTCGTATAAAAACTAGACAGAATCATTCACAGAAACTACTTTGTGATGTGTGTGTTCAACTCACAGAGTTTAACCTTTCTTTTGATGGAGCAGTTTGGAAACACTCTGTCTGTAAAGTCTGCAAGCAGATATTTGGACCTCTTTGAGGCCTTCGTTGGAAACGGGATTTCTTCATATAACGCTAGAAAGAAGAATACTGAGTAAGTTCTCTGGGTTGCCTCTATTCAACTCACAGAGGTGAACTGTCCTTTAGACAGAGCAGATGTGAAACCCTCTTTTTGTGATATTTGCAGGTGGAGATTTCAAGCGCTTTTAGGCCAAATGTAGAAAAGGAAATATCTTCGTATAAAAACCAGACAGAAATCATTCTCAGAAACTACTTTGTGATGTGTGCGTTCAATTCACAGAGTATAACCTTTCTTTTGATGGAGGAGTTTGGAGACACTGTCTTTGTAAAGTCTGCAAGTGGATATTTGGACCTCTTTGAGGCCTTCGTTGGAAACGGGATTTCCTCATATAATGTTACACAGAAGAATTCTCAGTAACTTATTTGTGGTGTGTGTATTCAACTCACAGAGTTGAACCTTCCTTCAGAAAGAGCAGATTTGAAACACTCTTTTTGTGGAGTTTCCATGTGGAGATTTCAATCGCTTTGAGACCAAAGGTAGAAAAGGAAACATCTTCGTATAAAAACTAGACAGAATCATTCACAGAAACTACTTTGTGATGTGTGTGTTCAACTCAAGGAGTTTAACCTTTCTTTTGATGGAGCAGTTTGGAAACACTCTGTCTGTAAAGTCTGCAAGCAGATATTTGGACCTCTTTGAGGCCTTCGTTGGAAACGGGATTTCTTCATATAATGTTTGATAGGAGAAGTCTCAGTAACTTCTTTGTGCTGTGTGTATTCAACTCATAGAGTTGAACTTTCCTTTAGAAGAGCAGATGTTAAACACCCTTTTTGTGGAATTTGCAGCTGGAGATTTCAAGCGCTTTGAGGCCTACGGTAGAAAAGGAAACATCTTCTTATAAAATCTAGACAGAATCATTCACAGAAACTTCTTTTTGATGTGTGTGTTCAGCTCACAGAGTTTAACCTTTCTTTTGATGGAGCAGTTTGGAAACACTCTGTTTGTAATGTCTGCAAGTGGATATTTGGACGTCTTTGAGGCCTTCTTTGGAAACGGGATTTCTTCATGTAATGTTCGACAGAAGAATTCTCAGTAACTTATTTGTGGTGTGTGTATTCAACTCACAGAGTTGAACCTTCCTTTAGACAGAGCAGATTTGAAACACCCTATTTGTGCAGTTTCCAGTTGGAGATTTCAATCGCTTTGAGACCAAATGTAGAAAAGGAAACATCTTCGTATAAAAACTAGACAGAATCATTCTCAGAAACTACTTTGTGATGTGTGCGTTCAACTCACGGAGTTTAAGCTCTCTTTTCATAGAGTAGTTTGGAAACACTCTGTCTGTAAAGTCTGCAAGCAGATATTTGGACCTCTTTGAGTCCTTCGTTGGAAAAGGGATTTCTTCATATAACGCTAGAAAGAAGAATACTGAGTAAGTTCTTTGTGTTGCCTCTATTCAACTCACAGAGGTGAACAGTCCATTAGACAGAGCAGGTGTGAAACCCTCTTTTTGTGATATTTGCACGTGGAGATTTCAAGCGCTTTTAGGCCAAATGTAGAAAAGGAAATATCTTCTTATAAAAACTAGACAGAATCATTCTCAGAAACTACTTTGTGATGTGTGCGTTCAATTCACAGAGTATAACCTTTCTTTTGATGGAGCAGTTTGGAGACACTGTCTTTGTAAAGTCTGCAAGTGGATATTTGGACCTCTTTGAGGCCTTCGTTGGAAACGGGATTTCCTCATATAATGTTACACAGAAGAATTCTCAGTAACTTATTTGGGGTGTGTGTATTCAACTCACAGAGTTGAACCTTCCTTCAGAAAGAGCAGATTTGAAACACTCTTTTTGTGGAGTTTCCATGTGGAGATTTCAATCGCTTTGAGACCAAAGATAGAAAAGGAAACATCTTCGTATAAAAACTAGACAGAATCATTCACAGAAACTACTTTGTGATGTGTGTGTTCAATTCAAGGAGTTTAACCATTCTTTTGATGGAGCAGTTTGGAAAAACTCTGTCTGTAAAGTCTGCAAGCAGATATTTGGACCTCTTTGGGGCCTTCGTTGGAAACGGGATTTCTTCATAGAATGCTAGAAAGAAGAAGTCTCAGTAACTTCTTTGTGCTGTGTGTAATCAACTCATAGAGTTGAACTTTCCTTTAGAAGAGCAGATGTTAAACACCCTTTTTGTGTAATTTGCAGCTGGAGATTTCAAGCGCTTTGAGGCCTACGGTAGAAAAGGAAACATCTTCTTATAAAATCTAGACAGAATCATTCACAGAAACTTCTTTTTGATGTGTGTGTTCAGCTCACAGAGTTTAACCTTTCTTTTGATGGAGCAGTTGGGAAACACACTGTTTGTAATGTCTGCAAGTGGATATTTGGACCTCTTTGAGGCCTTCGTTGGAAACGGGATTTCTTCCTGTAATGTTCGACAGAAGAATTCTCAGTAACTTATTTGTGGTGTGTGTATTCAACTCAAAGAGTTGAACCTTCCTTTAGACAGAGCAGATTTGAAACACCCTATTTGTGCAGTTTCCAGTTGGAGATTTCAATCGCTTTGAGACCAAATGTAGAAAAGGAAACATCTTCGTATAAAAACTAGACAGAATCATTCTCAGAAACTACTTTGTGATGTGTGCGTTCAACTCAAGGAGTTTAAGCTTTCTTTTCATAGAGTAGTTTGGAAACACTCTGTCTGTAAAGTCTGCAAGCAGATATTTGGACCTCTTTGAGGCCTTCGTTGGAAACGGGATTTCCTCCTATAATGTTACACAGAAGAATTCTCAGTAACTTATTTGTGGTGTGTGTATTCAACTCACAGGGTTGAACCTTCCTTCAGAAAGAGCAGATTTGTAACACTCTTTTTGTGGAGTTTCCATGTGGAGATTTCAATGGCTTTGAGACCAAATGTAGAAAAGGAAACATCTTCGTATAAAAACTAGACAGAATCATTCTCAGAAACTACTTTGTGATGTGTGCGTTCAACTCAAGGAGTTTAAGCTTTCTTTTGATGGAGCAGTTTGGAAAGACTCTGTCTGTAAAGTCTGCAAGCAGATATTTGGACCTCTTTGAGGCCTTCGTTGGAAACGGGATTTCTTCATATAATGTTTGATACGAGAAGTCTCAGTAACTTCTTTGTGCTGTGTGTATTCAACTCATAGAGTTGAACTTTCCTTTAGAAGAGCAGATGTTAAACACCCTTTTTGTGGAATTTGCAGCTGGAGATTTCAAGCGCTTTGAGGCCTACGGTAGAAAAGGAAACATCTTCTTATAAAATCTAGACAGAATCACTCACAGAAACTTCTTTTTGATGTGTGTGTTCAGCTCACAGACTTTAACCTTTCTTTTGATGGAGCAGTTTGGAAACACTCTGTAATGTCTGCAAGTGGATATTTGGACCTCTTTGAGGCCTTCGTTGGAAACGGGATTTCTTCATGTAATGTTCGACAGAAGAATTCTCAGTAACTTATTTGTGGTGTGTGTATTCAACTCACAGAGTTGAACCTTCCTTTAGACAGAGCAGATTTGAAACACCCTATTTGTGCAGTTTCCAGTTGGAGATTTCAATCGCTTTGAGACCAAATGTAGAAAAGGAAACATCTTCGTATAAAAACTAGACAGAATCATTCTCAGAAACTACTTTGTGATGTATGCGTTCAACACAAGGAGTTTAAGCTTTCTTTTCATAGAGTAGTTTGGAAACACTCTGTCTGTGAAGTCTGCAAGCAGATATTTGGACCTCTTTGAGGCCTTCGTTGGAAACGGGATTTCTTCATAGAACGCTAGAAAGAAGAATACTAAGTAAGTTCTTTGTGTTGCCTCTATTCAACTCACAGAGGTGAACTGTCCTTTAGACAGAGCAGATGTGAAACCCTCTTTTTGTGATATTTGCAGGTGGAGATTTCAAGCACTTTTAGGCCAAATGTAGAAAAGGAAACATCTTCGTATAAAAACTAGACAGAATCATTCTGAGAAACTACTTTGTGATGTGTGCGTTCAATTCACAGAGTATAACCTTTCTTTTGATGGAGGAGTTTGGAGACACTGTCTTTGTAAAGTCTGCAAGTGGATATTTGGACCTCTTTGAGGCCTTCGTTGGAAACGGGATTTCCTCATATAATGTTACACAGAAGAATTCTCAGTAACTTATTTGTGGTGTGTGTATTCAACTCACAGAGTTGAACCTTCCTTCAGAAAGAGCAGATTTGAAACACTCTTTTTGTGGAGTTTCCATGTGGAGATTTCAATCGCTTTGAGACCAAAGGTAGAAAAGGAAACATCTTCGTATAAAAACTAGACAGAATCATTCACAGAAACTACTTTGTGATGTGTGTGTTCAACTCAAGGAGTTTAACCTTTCTTTTGATGGAGCAGTTTGGAAATACTCTGTCTGTAAAGTCTGCAAGCAGATATTTGGACCTCTTTGAGGCCTTCGTTGGAAACGGGATTTCTTCATATAATGTTTGATAGGAGAAGTCTCAGTAACTTCTTTGTGATGTGTGTATTCAACGCATAGAGTTGAACTTTCCTTTAGAAGAGCAGATGTTAAACACCCTTTTTGTGGAATTTGCAGCTGGAGATTACAAGCACTTTGAGGCCTACGGTAGAAAAGGAAACATCTTCTTATAAAATCTAGACAGAATCATTCACAGAAACTTCTTTTTGATGTGTGTGTTCAGCTCACAGAGTTTAACCTTTCTTTTGATGGAGCAGTTTGGAAACACTCTGTTTGTAATGTCTGCAAGTGGATATTTGGACGTCTTTGAGGCCTTCGTTGGAAACGGGATTTCTTCATGTAATGTTCGACAGAAGAATTCTCAGTAACTTATTTGTGGTGTGTGTATTCAACTCACAG
The DNA here is from genome assembly GCF_000001405.40 of Homo sapiens. NCBI lineage: Eukaryota > Metazoa > Chordata > Mammalia > Primates > Hominidae > Homo > Homo sapiens. The sequence continues at coordinate 36,302,750 of NC_000012.12, forward strand.
AGTTGAACCTTCCTTTAGACAGAGCAGATTTGAAACACCCTATTTGTGCAGTTTCCAGTTGGAGATTTCAATCGCTTTGAGACCAAATGTAGAAAAGGAAACATCTTCGTATAAAAACTAGACAGAATCATTCTCAGAAACTACTTTGTGATGTGTGCGTTCAACTCAAGGAGTTTAAGCTTTCTTTTCATAGAGTAGTTTGGAAACACTCTGTCGGTAAAGTCTGCAAGCAGATATTTGGACGTCTTTGAGGCCTTCGTTGGAAACGGGATTTCTTCATAGAACGCTAGAAAGAAGAATACTGAGTACGTTCTTTGTGTTGCCTCTATTCAACTCACAGAGGTGAACTGTCCTTTAGACAGAGCAGATGTGAAACCCTCTTTTTGTGATATTTGCAGGTGGAGATTTCAAGCGCTTTTAGGCCAAATGTAGAAAAGGAAATATCTTCGTATAAAAACTAGACAGAATCATTCTCAGAAACTACTTTGTGATGTGTGCGTTCAATTCACAGAGTATAACCTTTCTTTTGATGGAGGAGTTTGGAGACACTGTCTTTGTAAAGTCTGCAAGTGGATATTTGGACCTCTTTGAGGCCTTCGTTGGAAACGGGATTTCCTCATATAATGTTACACAGAAGAATTCTCAGTAACTTATTTGTGGTGTGTGTATTCAACTCACAGAGATGAACCTTCCTTCAGAAAGAGCAGATTTGAAACACTCTTTTTGTGGAGTTTCCATGTGGAGATTTCAATCGCTTTGAGACCAAAGGTAGAAAAGGAAACATCTTCGTATAACAACTAGACAGAATCATTCACAGAAACTACTTTGTGATGTGTGTGTTCAACTCAAGGAGTTTAACCTTTCTTTTGATGGAGCAGTTTGGAAACACTCTGTCTGTAAAGTCTGCAAGTAGATATTTGGACCTCTTTGAGGCCTTCGTTGGAAACGGGATTTCTTCATATAATGTTTGATAGGAGAAGTCTCAGTAACTTCTTTGTGCTGTGTGTATTCAACGCATAGAGTTGAACTTTCCTTTAGAAGAGCAGATGTTAAACACCCTTTTTGTGGAATTTGCAGCTGGAGATTTCAAGCGCTTTGAGGCCTACGGTAGAAAAGGAAACATCTTATAAAATCTAGACAGAATCATTCACAGAAACTTCTTTTTGATGTGTGTGTTCAGCTCACAGAGTTTAACCTTTCTTTTGATGGAGCAGTTTGGAAACACTCTGTTTGTAATGTCTGCAAGTGGATATTTGGACCTCTTTGAGGCCCTCGTTGGAAACGGGATTTCTTCAAGTAATGTTCGGGAGAAGAATTCTCAGTAACTTATTTGTGGTGTGTGTATTCAACTCACAGAGTTGAACCTTCCTTTAGACAGAGCAAATTTGAAACACCCTATTTGTGCAGTTTCCAGTTGGAGATTTCAATCGCTTTGAGACCAAATGTAGAAAAGGAAACATCTTCGTATAAAAACTAGACAGAATCATTCTCAGAAACTCTTTGTGATGTGTGCGTTCAACTCAAGGAGTTTAAGCTTTCTTTTCATAGAGTAGTTTGGAAACACTCTGTCTGTAAAGTGTGCAAGCAGATATTTGGACCTCTTTGGGGCCTTCGTTGGAAACGGGATTTCTTCATAGAACGCTAGAAAGAAGAATACTGAGTAAGTTCTTTGTGTTGCCTCTATTCAACTCACAGAGGTGAACTGTCCTTTAGACAGAGCAGATGTGAAACCCTCTTTTTGTGATATTTGCAGGTGGAGATTTCAAGCACTTTTAGGCCAAATGTAGAAAAGGAAATATCTTCGTATAAAAACTAGACAGAATCATTCTCAGAAACTACTTTGTGACGTGTGCGTTCAATTCACAGAGTATAACCTTTCTTTTGATGGAGGAGTTTGGAGACACTGTCTTTGTAAAGTCTGCAAGTGGATATTTGGACCTCTTTGAGGCCTTCGTTGGAAACGGGATTTCCTCATATAATGTTACACAGAAGAATTCTCAGTAACTTATTTGTGGTGTGTGTATTCAACTCACAGAGATGAACCTTCCTTCAGAAAGAGCAGATTTGAAACACTCTTTTTGTGGAGTTTCCATGTGGAGATTTCAATCGCATTGAGACCAAAGGTAGAAAAGGAAACATCTTCGTATAAAAACTAGACAGAATCATTCACAGAAACTACTTTGTGATGTGTGTGTTCAACTCACAGAGTTTAACCTTTCTTTTGATGGAGCAGTTTGGAAACACTCTGTTTGTCACGTCTGCAAGTGGATATTTGGACCTCTTTGAGGCCTTCGTTGGAAACGGGATTTCTTCATATAATGTTTGATAGGAGAAGTCTCAGTAACTTCTTTGTGCTGTGTGTATTCAACTCATAGAGTTGAACTTTCCTTTAGAAGAGCAGATGTTAAACACCCTTTTTGTGGAATTTGCAGCTGGAGATTTCAAGCGCTTTGAGGCCTACGGTAGAAAAGGAAACATCTTCTTATAAAATCTAGACAGAATCATTCACAGAAACTTCTTTTTGATGTGTGTGTCCAGCTCACAGAGTTTAACCTTTCTTTTGATGGAGCAGTTGGGAAACACACTGTTTGTAATGTCTGCAAGTGGATATTTGGACCTCTTTGAGGCCTTCGTTGGAAACGGGATTTCTTCAAGTAATGTTCGACAGAAGAATTCTCAGTAACTTATTTGTGGTGTGTGTATTCAACTCACACAGTTGAACCTTCCTTTAGACAGAGCAGATTTGAAACACCCTATTTGTGCAGTTTCCAGTTGGAGATTTCAATCGCTTTGAGACCAAATGTAGAAAAGGAAACATCTTCGTATAAAAACTAGACAGAATCATTCTCAGAAACTATTTTGTGATGTGTGCGTTCAACTCAAGGAGTTTAAGCTTTCTTTTCATAGAGTAGTTTGGAAACACTCTGTCTGTAAAGTCTGCAAGCAGATATTTGGACCTCTTTGGGGCCTTCGTTGGAAACGGGATTTCTTCATAGAACGCTAGAAAGAAGAATACTGAGTAAGTTCTTTGTGTTGCCTCTATTCAACTCACAGAGGTGAACTGTCCTTTAGACAGAGCAGATGTGAAACCCTCTTTTTGGGATATTTGCAGGTGGAGATTTCAAGCGCTTTTAGGCCAAATGTAGAAAAGGAAATATCTTCGTATAAAAACTAGACAGAATCATTCTCAGAAACTACTTTGTGATGTGTGCGTTCAATTCACAGAGTATAACTTTTCTTTTGATGGAGGAGTTTGGAGACACTGTCTTTGTAAAGTCTGCAAGTGGATATTTGGACCTTTTTGAGGCCTTCGTTGGAAACGGGATTTCCTCGTATAATGTTACACAGAAGAATTCTCAGTAACTTATTTGTGGTGTGTGTATTCAACTCACAGAGTTGAACCTTCCTTCAGAAAGAGCAGATTTGAAACACTCTTTTTGTGGAGTTTCCATGTGGACATTTCAATCGCTTTGAGACCAAAGGTAGAAAAGGAAACATCTTCGTATAAAAACTAGACAGAATCATTCACAGAAACTACTTTGTGATGTGTGTGTTCAACTCAAGGAGTTTAACCTTTCTTTTGATGGAGCAGTTTGGAAACACTCTGTCTGTAAAGTCTGCAAGCAGATATTTGGACCTCTTTGAGGCCTTCGTTGGAAACGGGATTTCTTCATATAATGTTTGATAGGAGAATTCTCAGTAACTTCTTTGTGCTTTGTGTATTCAACTCATAGAGTTGAACTTTCCTTTAGAAGAGCAGATGTTAAACACCCTTTTTGTGGATTTTGCAGGTGGAGATTTCAAGCGCTTTGAGGCCTACGGTAGAAAAGGAAACATCTTCTTATAAAATCTAGACAGAATCATTCACAGAAACTTCTTTTTGATGTGTGAGTTCAGCTCACAGAGTTTAACCTTTCTTTTGATGGAGCAGCTTGGAAACACTCTGTTTGTAATGTCTGCAAGTGGATATTTGGACCTCTTTGAGGCCTTCGTTGGAAACGGGATTTCTTCATGTAATGTTCGACAGAAGAATTCTCAGTAACTTATTTGTGGTGTGTGTATTCAACTCACAGAGTTGAACCTTCCTTTAGACAGAGCAGATTTGAAACACCCTATTTGTGCAGTTTCCAGTTGGAGATTTCAATCGCTTTGAGACCAAATGTAGAAAAGGAAACATCTTCGTATAAAAACTAGACAGAATCATTCTCAGAAACTACTTTGTGATGTGTGCGTTCAACTCAAGGAGTTTAAGCTTTCTTTTCATAGAGTAGTTTGGAAACACTCTGTCTGTAAAGTCTGCAAGCAGATATTTGGACCTCTTTGAGGCCTTCGTTGGAAACGGGATTTCTTCATATAACGCTAGAAAGAAGAATAGTGAGTAAGTTCTTGGTGTTGCCTCTATTCAACTCACAGAGGTGAACTGTCCTTTAGACAGAGCAGATGTGAAACCCTCTTTTTGTGATATTTGCAGGTGGAGATTTCAAGCGCTTTTAGGCCAAATGTAGAAAAGCTAATATCTTCGTATAAAAACTAGACAGAATCATTCTCAGAAACTACTTTGTGATGTGTGCGTTCAATTCACAGAGTATAACCTTTCTTTTGATGGAGGAGTTTGGAGACACTGTCTTTGTAAAGTCTGCAAGTGGATATTTGGGACCTCTTTGAGGCCTTCGTTGGAAACGGGATTTCCTCATATAATGTTACACAGAAGAATTCTCAGTAACTTATTTGTGGTGTGTGTATTCAACTCACAGAGTTGAACCTTCCTTCAGAAAGAGCAGATTTGAAACTCTCTTTTTGTGGAGTTTCCAAGTGGAGATTTCAATCGCTTTGAGACCAAAGGTAGAAAAGGAAACATCTTCGTATAAAAACTAGACAGAATCATTCACAGAAACTACTTTGTGATGTGTGTGTTCAACTCAAGGAGTTTAACCTTTCTTTTGATGGAGCAGTTTGGAAATACTCTGTCTGTAAAGTCTGCAAGCAGATATTTGGACCTCTTTGAGGCCTTCGTTGGAAACGGGATTTCTTCATATAATGTTTGATAGGAGAAGTCTCAGTAACTTCTTTGTGCTGTGTGTATTCAACTCATAGAGTTGAACTTTCCTTTAGAAGAGCAGATGTTAAACACCCTTTTTGTGGAATTTGCAGCTGGAGATTTCAAGCGCTTTGAGGCCTACGGTAGAAAAGGAAACATCTTCTTATAAAATCTAGACAGAATCATTCACAGAAACTTCTTTTTGATGTGTGTGTTCAGCTCACAGAGTTTAACCTTTCTTTTGATGGAGCAGTTTGGAAACACTCTGTTTGTAATGTCTGCAAGTGGATATTTGGACCTCTTTGAGGCCTTCGTTGGAAACGGGATTTCTTCAAGTAATGTTCGACAGAAGAATTCTCAGTAACTTATTTGTGGTGTGTGTATTCAACTCACAGAGTTGAACCTTCCTTTAGACAGAGCAGATTTGAAACACCCTATTTGTGCAGTTTCCAGTTGGAGATTTCAATCGCTTTGAGACCAAATGTAGAAAAGGAAACATCTTCGTATAAAAACTAGACAGAATCATTCTCAGAAACTACTTTGTGATGTGTGCGTTCAACTCAAGGAGTTTAAGCTTTCTTTTCATAGAGTAGTTTGGAAACACTCTGTCTGTAAAGTCTGCAAGCAGATATTTGGACCTCTTTGGGGCCTTCGTTGGAAACGGGATTTCTTCATAGAACGCTAGAAAGAAGAATACTGGGTAAGTTCTTTGTGTTGCCTCTATTCAACTCACAGAGGTGAACTGTCCTTTAGACAGAGCAGATGTGAAACCCTCTTTTTGTGATATTTGCAGGTGGAGATTTCAAGCGCTTTTAGGCCAAATGTAGAAAAGGAAATATCTTCGTATAAAAACTAGACAGAATCATTCTCAGTAAACTACTTTGTGATGTGTGCGTTCAATTCACAGAGTATAACCTTTCTTTTGATGGAGGAGTTTGGAGACACTGTCTTTGTAAAGTCTGCAAGTGGATATTTGGATCTCTTTGAGGCCTTCGTTGGAAACGGGATTTCCTCATATAATGTTACACAGAAGAATTCTCAGTAACTTATTTGTGGTGTGTGTATTCAACTCACAGAGTTGAACCTTCCTTCAGAAAGAGCAGATTTGAAACACTCTTTTTGTGGAGTTTCCATGTGGAGATTTCAATCGCTTTGAGACCAAAGGTAGAAAAGGAAACATCTTCGTATAAAAACGAGACAGAATCATTCACAGAAATTACTTTGTGATGTGTGTGTTCAGCTCACAGAGTTTAACCTTTCTTTTGATGGTGCAGTTTGGAAACACTCTGACAAGTCTGCAAGTGGATATTTGGACCTCTTTGAGGCCTTCGTTGGAAACGGGATTTCTTCATATAATGTTAAACAGAAGAATTCTCAGTAACTTATTTGTGGTGTGTGTATTCAACTCACAGAGTTGAACCTTCCTTTAGACAGAGCAGATTTGAAACACCCTATTTGTGCAGTTTCCAGTTGGAGATTTCAATCGCTTTGAGTCCAAATGTAGAAAAGGAAACATCTTCGTATAAAAACTAGACAGAATCATTCTCAGAAACTACTTTGTGATGTGTGCGTTCAACTCAAGGAGTTTAAGCTTTCTTTTCATAGAGTAGTTTGGAAACACTCTGTCTGTAAAGTCTGCAAGCAGATATTTGGACCTCTTTGGGGCCTTCGTTGGAAACGGGATTTCTTCATAGAACGCTAGAAAGAAGAATACTGAGTAAGTTCTTTGTGTTGCCTCTATTCAACTCACAGAGGTGAACTGTCCTTTAGACAGAGCAGATGTGAAACCCTCTTTTTGTGATATTTGCAGGTGGAGATTTCAAGCGCTTTTAGGCCAAATGTAGAAAAGGAAATATCTTCGTATAAAAACTAGACAGAATCATTCTCAGAAACTACTTTGTGATGTGTGCGTTCAATTCACAGAGTATAACCTTTCTTTTGATGGAGGAGTTTGAAGACACTGTCTTTGTAAAGTCTGCAAGTGGATATTTGGACCTCTTTGAGGCCTTCGTTGGAAACGGGATTTCCTCATATAATGTTACACAGAAGAATTCTCAGTAACTTATTTGTGGTGTGTGTATTCAACTCACAGAGTTGAACCTTCCTTCAGAAAGAGCAGATTTGAAACACTATTTTTATGGAGTTTCCATGTGGAGATTTCAATCGCTTTGAGACCAAAGGTAGAAAAGGAAGCATCTTCGTATAAAAACTAGACAGAATCATTCACAGAAACTACTTTGTGATGTGTGTGTTCAACTCAAGGAGTTTAACCTTTCTTTTGATGGAGCAGTTTGGAAACACTCTGTCTGTAAAGTCTGCAAGCAGATATTTGGACCTCTTTGAGGCCTTCGTTGGAAATGGGATTTCTTCATATAATGTTTGATAGGAGAAGTCTCAGTAACTTCTTTGTGCTGTGTGTATTCAACTCATAGAGTTGAACTTTCCTTTAGAAGAGCAGATGTTAAACACCCTTTTTGTGGAATTTGCAGCTGGAGATTTCAAGCGCTTTGAGGCCTACGGTAGAAAAGGAAACATCTTCTTATAAAATCTAGACAGAATCATTCACAGAAACTTCTTTTTGATGTGTGTGTTCAGCTCACAGCAGTTTAACCTTTCTTTTGATGGAGCAGTTTGGAAACACTCTGTTTGTAATGTCTGCAAGTGGATATTTGGACCTCTTTGAGGCCTTCGTTGGAAACGGGATTTCTTCAAGTAATGTTCGACAGAAGAATTCTCAGTAACTTATTTGTGGTGTGTGTATTCAACTCACAGACTTGAACCTTCCTTTAGACAGAGCAGATTTGAAACACCCTATTTGTGCAGTTTCCAGTTGGAGATTTCAATCGCTTTGAGACCAAATGTAGTAAAGGAAACATCTTCGTATAAAAACTAGACAGAATCATTCTCAGAAACTACTTTGTGATGTGTGCGTTCAACTCAAGGAGTTTAAGCTTTCTTTTCATAGAGTAGTTTGGAAACACTCTGTCTGTAAAGTCTGCAAGCAGATATTTGGACCTCTTTGGGGCCTTCGTTGGAAACGGGGTTTCTTCATAGAACCCTAGAAAGAAGAATACTGAGTAAGTTCTTTGTGTTGCCTCTATTCAACTCACAGAGGTGAACTGTCCTTTAGACAGAGCAGATGTGAAACCCTCTTTTTGTGATATTTGCACGTGGAGATTTCAAGCGCTTTTAGGCCAAATGTAGAAAAGGAAATATCTTCGTATAAAAACTAGACAGAATCATTCTCAGAAACTACTTTGTGATGTGTGCGTTCAATTCACAGAGTATAACCTTTCTTTTGATGGAGGAGTTTGGAGACACTGTCTTTGTAAAGTCTGCAAGTGGATATTTGGACCTCTTTGAGGCCTTCGTTGGAAACGGGATTTCCTCATATAATGTTACACAGAAGAATTCTCAGTAACTTATTTGTGGTGTGTGTATTCAACTCACAGAGTTGAACCTTCCTTCAGAAAGAGCAGATTTGAAACACTCTTTTTTGTGGAGTTTCCATGTGGAGATTTCAATCGCTTTGAGACCAAAGGTAGAAAAGGAAACATCTTCGTATAAAAACTAGACAGAATCATTCACAGAAACTACTTTGTGATGTGTGTGTTCAACTCAAGGAGTTTAACCTTTCTTTTGATGGAGCAGTTTGGAAAAACTCTGTCTTTAAAGTCTGCAAGCAGATATTTGGACCTCTTTGAGGCCTTCGTTGGAAACGGGATTTCTTCATATAATGTTTGATAGGAGAAGTCTCAGTAACTTCTTTGTGCTGTGTGTATTCAACTCATAGAGTTGAACTTTCCTTTAGAAGAGCAGATGTTAAACACCCTTTTTGTGGAATTTGCAGCTGGAGATTTCAAGCACTTTGAGGCCTACGGTAGAAAAGAAAACATCTTCTTATAAAATCTAGACAGAATCATTCACAGAAACTTCTTTTTGATGTGTGTGTTCAGCTCACAGAGTTTAACCTTTCTTTTGATGGAGCAGTTTGGAAACCCTCTGTTTGTAATGCCTGCAAGTGGATATTTTGACCTCTTTGAGGCCTTCGTTGGAAACGGGATTTCTTCATGTAATGTTCGACAGAAGAATTCTCAGTAACTTATTTGTGGTGTGTGTATTCAACTCACAGAGTTGAACCTTCCTTTAGACAGAGCAGATTTGAAACACCCTATTTGTGCAGTTTCCAGTTGGAGATTTCAATCGCTTTGAGACCAAATGTAGAAAAGGAAACATCTTCGTATAAAAACTAGACAGAATCATTCTCAGAAACTACTTTGTGATGTGTGCGTTCAACTCAAGGAGTTTAAGCTTTCTTTTCATAGAGTAGTTTGGAAACATTCTGTCTGTAAAGTCTGCAGGCAGATATTTGGACCTCTTTGGGGCCTTCGTTGGAAACGGGATTTCTTCATAGAATGCCAGAAAGAAGAATACTGAGTAAGTTCTTTGTGTTGCCTCTATTCAACTAACAGAGGTGAACTGTCCTTTAGACAGAGCAGATGTGAAACCCTCTTTTTGTGATATTTGCAGGTGGAGATTTCAAGCACTTTTAGGCCAAATGTAGAAAAGGAAACATCTTCGTATAAAAACTAGACAGAATCATTCTCAGAAACTACTTTGTGATGTGTGCGTTCAATTCACAGAGTATAACCTTTCTTTTGATGGAGGAGTTTGGAGACACTGTCTTTGAAAAGTCTGCAAGTGGATATTTGGACCTCTTTGAGGCCTTCGTTGGAAATGGGATTTCCTCATATAATGTTACACAGAAGAATTCTCAGTAACTTATTTGTGGTGTGTGTATTCAACTCACAGAGATGAACCTTCCTTCAGAAAGAGCAGATTTGAAACACTCTTTTTGTGGAGTTTCCATGTGGAGATTTCAATCGCTTTGAGACCAAAGGTAGAAAAGGAAACATCTTCGTATAACAACTAGACAGAATCATTCACAGAAACTACTTTTTGATGTGTGTGTTCAACTCACAAAGTTAAACATTTCTTTTGATGGAGCAGTTTGGAAACACTCGGTTTGTCAAACCTGTAAGTGGTTATTTGGACTTCTTTGAGGCCTTCATTGGAAACGGGATTTCTTTATATAATGTTAGACAGACGAAGTCTCTGTAACTTGTTTGTGCTGTGTGCATTCAACTAACAGAATTGAACTTTCCTTTAGACAGAGCAGATGTGAAACACCCTTTTTGTGGAATTTGAAGCTGGAGATTTAAAGCGATTTGAGGCCAATGGTAGAAAAGGAAACATCTTCGTATAACATCTAGACAGCATCATTCACAGAAACTTCTTTTTGATGTGTGTGTTCAGCTCACAGAGTTTAACCTTTCTTTTGATGGAGCAGTTTGGAAACACTCTGTTTGTAATGTCTGCAAGTGGATATTTGGACCTCTTTGAGGCCTTCGTTGGAAACGGGATTTCTTCAAGTAATGTTCGGGAGAAGAATTCTCAGTAACTTATTTGTGGTGTGTGTATTCAACTCACAGAGTTGAACCTTCCTTTAGACAGAGCAGATTTGAAACACCCTATTTGTGCAGTTTCCAGTTGGAGATTTCAATCGCTTTGAGACCAAATGTAGAAAAGGAAACATCTTCGTATAAAAACTAGACAGAATCATTCTCAGAAACTACTTTGTGATGTGTGCGTTCAACTCAAGGAGTTTAAGCTTTCTTTTCATAGAGTAGTTTGGAAACACTCTGTCTGTAAAGTCTGCAAGCAGATATTTGGACCTCTTTGGGGCCTTCGTTGGAAACGGGATTTCTTCATAGAACGCTAGAAAGAAGAATACTGAGTAAGTTCTTGGTGTTGCCTCTATTCAACTCACAGAGGTGAACTGTCCTTTACACAGAGCAGATGTGAAACCCTCTTTTTGTGATATTTGCAGGTGGATATTTCAAGCGCTTTTAGGCCAAATGTAGAAAAGGAAATATCTTCGTATAAAAACTAGACAGAATCATTCTCAGAAACTACATTGTGATGTGTGCGTTCAATTCACAGAGTATAACCTTTCTTTTGATGGAGGAGTTTGGAGACACTGTTTTTGTAAAGTCTGCAAGTATATATTTGGACCTCTTTGAGGCCTTCGTTGGAAACGGGATTTCCTCATATAATGTTACACAGAAGAATTCTCAGTAACTTATTTGTGGTGTGTGTATTCAACTCACAGAGATGAACCTTCCTTCAGAAAGAGCAGATTTGAAACACTCTTTTTGTGGAGTTTCCATGTGGAGATTTCAATCGCATTGAGACCAAAGGTAGAAAAGGAAACATCTTCGTATAAAAACTAGACAGAATCATTCACAGAGACTACTTTGTGATGTGTGTTTTCAACTCACAGAGTTGAACCTTTCTTTTGATGGAGCAGTTTGGAAACACTCTGTTTTTCACGTCTGCAAGTGGATATTTGGACCTCTTTGAGGCCTTCGTTGGAAACGGGATTTCTTCATATAAAGTTTGATAGGAGAAGTCTCAGTAACTTCTTTGTGCTGTGTGTATTCAACTCATAGAGTTGAACTTTCCTTTAGAAGAGCAGATGTTAAACACCCTTTTTGTGGAATTTGCAGCTGGAGATTTCAAGCGCTTTGAGGCCTACGGTAGAAAAGGAAACATCTTCTTATAAAATCTAGACAGAATCATTCACAGAAACTTCTTTTTGATGTGTGTGTTTATCTCACAGACTTTAACCTTTCTTTTGATGGAGCAGTTTGCAAACACTGTGTTTGACATGTCGGCAAGTGGATATTTGGACCTCTTTGAGGCCTTCGTTGGAAACGGGATTTCTTCATGTAATGTTCGACAGAAGAATTCTCAGTAACTTATTTGTGGTGTGTGTATTCAACTCACAGATTTGAACCTTCCTTTAGACAGAGCAGATTTGAAACACCCTAGTTTGTGCAGTTTCCAGTTGCGAGATTTCAATCGCTTTGAGGCCAATCGTAGAAACGGAAATATCTTCGTATAAAAACAAGACAGAATCATTCTCAGAAACTACTTTGTGATGTGTGCGTTCAACTCAAGGAGTTTAACCTTTCTTTTGATGGAGCAGTTTGGAAACACTCTGTCTGTAAAGTCTGCAAGCAGATATTTGGACCTCTTTGGGGCCTTCGTTGGAAACGGGTTTTCTTCATAGAATGCAAGAAAGAAGAATACTGAGTAAGTTCTTTGTGTTGCCTCTATTCAACTCACAGAGGTGAACTGTCCTTTAGACAGAGCAGATGTGAAACCCTCTTTTTGTGATATTTGCAGGTGGAGATTTCAAGCGCTTTTAGGCCAAATGTAGAAAAGGAAATATCTTCGTATAAAAACTAGACAGAATCCTTCTCAGAAACTACTTTGTGATGTGTGAGTTCAATTCACAGAGTATAACCTTTCTTTTGATGGAGGAGTTTGGAGACACTGTCTTTGTAAAGTCTGCATGTGGATATTGGGACCTCTTTGAGGCCTTCGTTGGAAATGGGATTTCCTCATATAATGTTACACAGAAGAATTCTCAGTAACTTATTTGTGGTGTGTGTATTCAACTCACAGAGTTGAACCTTCCTTCAGAAAGAGCAGATTTGAAACACTCTTTTTGTGGAGTTTCCATGTGGAGATTTCAATCGCTTTGAGACCAAAGGTAGAAAAGGAAACATCTTCTTATAAAAACTAGACAGAATCATTCACAGAAACTACTTTGTGATGTGTGTGTTCAACTCAAGGAGTTTAACCTTTCTTTTGATGGAGCAGTTTGGAAAAACTCTGTCTGTAAAGTCTGCAAGCAGATATTTGGATCTCTTTGGGGCCATCGTTGGAAACGGGATTTCTTCATAGAATGCTAGAAAGAAGAATACTGAGTAAGTTCCTTGTGTTGCCTCTATTCAACTCACAGAGGTGAACTGTCCTTTAGACAGAGCAGATGTGAAACCCTCTTTTTGTGATATTTGCAGGTGGAGATTTCAAGCGCTTTTAGGCCAAATGTAGAAAAGGAAATATCTTCGTATAAAAACTAGACAGAATCATTCTCAGAAACTACTTTGTGATGTGTGCGTTCAATTCACAGAGTATAACCTTTCTTTTGATGGAGGAGTTTGGAGACACTGTCTTTGTAAAGTCTGCAAGTGGATATTTGGACCTCTTTGAGGCCTTCGTTGGAAACGGGATTTCCTCATATAATGTTACACAGAAGAATTCTCAGTAACTTATTTGTGGTGTGTATATTCAACTCACAGAGATGAACCTTCCTTCAGAAAGAGCAGATTTGAAACACTCTTTTTGTGGAGTTTCCATGTGGAGATTTCAATCGCTTTGAGACCAAAGGTAGAAAAGGAAACATCTTCGTATAACAACTAGACAGAATCATTCACAGAAACTACTTTGTGATGTGTGTGTTCAACTCAAGGAGTTTAACCTTTCTTTTGATGGAGCAGTTTGGAAACACTCTGTCTGTAAAGTCTGCAGGCAGATATTTGGACCTCTTTGAGGCCTTCGTTGGAATCGGGATTTCTTCATATAATGTTAGACAGAAGAAGTCTCAGTAACGTCTTTGTGCTGTGTGTATTCAACTCACAGAGTTGAACTTTCCTTTAGAAGAGCAGATGTTAAACACCCTTTTTGTGGAATTTGCAGCTGGAGATTTCAAGCACTTTGAGGCCTACGGTAGAAAAGGAATCATCTTCTTATAAAATCTAGACAGAATCATTCACAGAAACTTCTTTTTGATATGTGTGTTTATCTCACAGAGTTTAACCTTTCTTTTGACGTAGCAGTTTGGAAAAACTGTGTTTGCATTGTCGGCAACTGGATATTTGGACCTCTTTGAGGCCTTCGTTGGAAATGGGATTTCTTCATGTAATGTTCGACAGAAGAATTCTCAGTAACTTATTTGTGGTGTGTGTATTCAACTCACAGAGTTGAACCTTCCTTTAGACAGAGCAGATTTGAAACACCCTATTTGTGCAGTTTCCAGTTGGAGATTTCAGTCGCTTTGAGGCCAATCGTAGAAACGGAAATATCTTCGTATAAATACAAGACAGAATCATTCTCAGAAACTACTTTGTGATGTGTGCGTTCAACTCACGGAGTTTAAGCTTTCTTTTCATAGAGTAGTTTGGAAACACTCTGTCTGTAAAGTCTGCAAGCAGATATTTGGACCTCTTTGAGGCCTTCGTTGGAAACGGGATTTCTTCATATAACGCTAGAAAGAAGAATACTGAGTAAGTTCTTTGTGTTGCCTCTATTCAACTCACAGAGGTGAACTGTCCTTTAGACAGAGCAGATGTGAAACCCTCTTTTTGTGATATTTGCAGGTGGAGATTTCAAGCACTTTTAGGCCAAATGTAGAAAAGGAAATATCTTCGTATAAAAACTAGACAGAATCATTCTCAGAAACTACTTTGTGATGTGTGCGTTCAATTCACAGAGTATAACCTTTCTTTTGATGGAGGAGTTTGGAGACACTGTCTTTGTAAAGTCTGCAAGCAGATATTTGGACCTCTTTGAGGCCTTCGTTGGAAACGGGATTTCTTCATATAATGTTTGATAGGAGAAGTCTCAGTAACTTCTTTGGGCTGTGTGTATTCAACTCATTGAGTTGAACTTTCCTTTAGAAGAGCAGATGTTAAACACCCTTTTTGTGGAATTTGCAGCTGGAGATTTCAAGCACTTTGAGGCCTACGGTAGAAAAGGAAACATCTTCTTATAAAATCTAGACAGAATCATTCACAGAAACTTCTTTTTGATGTGTGTGTTCAGCTCACAGAGTTTAACCTTTCTTTTGATGGAGCAGTTTGGAAACACACTGTTTGTAATGTCTGCAAGTGGTTATTTGGACGTCTTTGAGGCCTTAGTTGGAAACGGGATTTCTTCATATAATGTTTGATAGGAGAATACTCAGTAACTTATTTGTGGTGTGTGTATTCAACTCACAGAAGTTGAACCTTCCTTTAGACAGAGCAGATTTGAAACACCCTATTTGTGCAGTTTCCAGTTGGAGATTTCAATCGCTTTGAGACCAAATGTAGAAAAGGAAACATCTTCGTATAAAAACTAGACAGCATCATTCTCAGAAACTACTTTGTGATGTGTGCCTTCAACTCAAGGAGTTTAAGCTTTCTTTTCATAGAGTAGTTTGGAAACACTCTGTCTGTGAAGTCTGCAAGCAGATATTTGGACCTGTTTGAGGCCTTCGTTGGAAACGGAATTTCTTCATAGAACGCTGGAAAGAAGAATACTGAGTAAGTTCTTTGTGTTGCCTCTATTCAACTCCCACAGGTGAACTGTCCTTTAGACAGAGCAGATGTGAAACCCTCTTTTTGTGATATTTGCAGGTGGAGATTTCAAGCGCTTTTAGGCCAAATGTAGAAAAGGAAATATCTTCGTATAAAAACTAGACAGAATCATTCTCAGAAACTACTTTGTGATGTGTGCCTTCAATTCACAGAGTATAACCTTTCTTTTGATGGAGGAGTTTGGAGACACTGTCTTTGTAAAGTCTGCAAGTGGATATTTGGACCTCTTTGAGGCCTTCGTTGGAAACGGGATTTCCTCATATAATGTTACACAGAAGAATTCTCAGTAACTTATTTGTGGTGTGTGTATTCAACTCACAGAGTTGAACCTTCCTTCAGAAAGAGCAGATTTGAAGCACTCTTTTTGTGGAGTTTCCATGTGGAGATTTCAATCGCTTTCAGACCAAAGGTAGAAAAGGAAACATCTTCGTATAAAAACTAGACAGAATCATTCACAGAAACTACTTTGTGATGTGTGTGTTCAACTCAAGGAGTTTAACCTTTCTTTTGATGGAGCAGTTTGGAAACACTCTGTCTGTAAAGTCTGCAAGCAGATATTTGGACCTCTTTGAGGCCTTCGTTGGAAACGGGATTTCTTCATATAATGTTTGATAGGAGAAGTCTCAGTAACTTCTTTGTGCTGTGTGTATTCAACTCATAGAGTTGAACTTTCCTTTAGAAGAGCAGATGTTAAACACCCTTTTTGTGGAATTTGCAGTTGGAGATTTCAAGCGCTTTGAGGCCTACGGTAGAAAAGGAAACATCTTCTTATAAAATCTAGACAGAATCATTCACAGAAACTTCTTTTTGATGTGTGTGTTCAGCTCACAGAGTTTAACCTTTCTTTTGATGGAGCAGTTTGGAAACTCTCTGTTTGTAATATCTGCAAGTTGATATTTGGACCTCTTTGAGGCCTTCGTTGGAAACGGGATTTCTTCCTGTAATGTTCGACAGAAGAATTCTCAGTAACTTATTTGTGGTGTGTGTATTCAACTCACAGATTTGAACCTTCCTTTAGACAGAGCAGATTTGAAACACCCTATTTGTGCAGTTTCCAGTTGGAGATTTCAATCGCTTTGAGACCAAATGTAGAAAAGGAAACATCTTCGTATAGAAACTAGACAGAATCATTCTCAGAAACTACTTTGTGATGTGTGCGTTCAACTCAAGGAGTTTAAGCTTTCTTTTCATAGAGTAGTTTGGAAACACTCTGTCTGTAAAGTCTGCAAGCAGATATTTGGACCTCTTTAGGGCCTTCGGTTGGAAACGGGATTTCTTCATAGAACGCTAGAAAGAAGAATACTGAGTAAGTTCTTTGTGTTGCCTCTATTCAACTCACAGAGGTGAACTGTCCTTTAGACAGAGCAGATGTGAAACCCTCTTTTTGTGATATTTGCACGTGGAGATTTCAAGCGCTTTTAGGCCAAATGTAGAAAAGGAAATATCTTCGTATAAAAACTAGACAGAATCATTCTCAGAAACTACTTTGTGATGTGTGCGTTCAATTCACAGAGTATAACCTTTCTTTTGATGGAGGAGTTTGGAGACACTGTCTTTGTAAAGTCTGCAAGTGGATATTTGGACCTCTTTGAGGCCTTTGTTGGAAACGGGATTTCCTCATATAATGTTACACAGGGAGAATTCTCAGTAACTTATTTGTGGTGTGTGTATTCAACTCACAGAGTTGAAACTTCCTTCAGAAAGAGCAGATTTGAAACACTCTTTTTGTGGAGTTTCCATGTGGAGATTTCAATCGCATTGAGACCAAAGGTAGAAAAGGAAACATCTTCATATAAAAACTAGACAGAATCATTCACAGAAACTACTTTGTGATGTGTGTGTTCAACTCAAGGAGGTTAACCTTTCTTTTGATGGAGCAGTTTGGAACCACTCTGTTTTTCACGTCTGCAAGTGGATATTTGGACCTCTTTGAGGCCTTCGTTGGAAACGGGATTGCTTCATATAATGTTTGATAGGAGAAGTCTCAGTAACTTCTTTGTGCTGTGTGTATTCAACTCATAGGAGTTGAACTTTCCTTTAGAAGAGCAGATGTTAAACACCCTTTTTGTGGAATTTGCAGCTGGAGATTTCAAGCGCTTTGAGGCCTACGGTAGAAAAGGAAACATCTTCTTATAAAATCTAGACAGAATCATTCACAGAAACTTCTTTTTGATGTGTGTGTTCAGCTCACAGAGTTTAACCTTTCTTTTGATGGAGCAGTTTGGAAACACTCTGTTTGTAATGTCTGCAAGTGGATATTTGGACCTCTTTGAGGCCTTCGTTGGAAACGGGATTTCTTCATGTAATGTTCGACAGAAGAATTCTCAGTAACTTATTTGTGGTGTGTGTATTCAACTCACAGAGTTGAACCTTCCTTTAGACAGAGCAGATTTGAAACACCCTATTTGTGCAGTTTCCAGTTGGAGATTTCAATCGCTTTGAGACCAAATGTAGAAAAGGAAACATCTTCGTATAAAAACTAGACAGAATCATTCTCCGAAACTACTTTGTGATGTGTGCGTTCAACTCAAGGAGTTTAAGCTTTCTTTTCATAGAGTAGTTTGGAAACACTCTGTCTGTAAAGTCTGCAAGCAGATATTTGACCTCTTTGAGGCCTTCGTTGGAAACGGGATTTCTTCATAGAACGCTAGAAAGAAGAATACTGAGTAAGTTCTTTGTGTTGCCTCTATTCAACTCACAGAGGTGAACTGTCCTTTAGACAGAGCAGATGTGAAACCCTCTTTTTGTGATATTTGCAGGTGGAGATTTCAAGCGCTTTTAGGCCAAATGTAGAAAAGGAAATATCTTCGTATAAAAACTAGACAGAATCATTCTCAGAAACTACTTTGTGATGTGTGCGTTCAATTCACAGAGTATAACCTTTCTTTTGATGGAGGAGTTTGGAGACACTGTCTTTGTAAAGTCTGCAAGTGGATATTTGGACCTCTTTGAGGCCTTCGTTGGAAACGGGATTTCCTCATATAATGTTACCCAGAAGAATTCTCAGTAACTTATTTGTGGTGTGTGTATTCAACTCACAGAGTTGAACCTTCCTTCAGAAAGAGCAGATTTGAAACACTCTTTTTGTGGAGTTTCCATGTGGAGATTTCAATCGCTTTGTGACCAAAGGTAGAAAAGGAAACATCTTCGTATAAAAACTAGACAGAATCATTCACAGAAACTACTTTGTGATGTGTGTGTTCAACTCAAGGAGTTTATCCTTTCTTTTGATGGAGCAGTTTGGAAACACTCTGTCTGTAAAGTCTGCAAGCAGATATTTGGACCTCTTTGAGGCCTTCGTTGGAAACGGGATTTCTTCATGTAATGTTTGATAGGAGAAGTCTCAGTAACTTCTTTGTGCTGTGTGTATTCAACTCATAGAGTTGAACTTTCC
The DNA here is from genome assembly GCF_000001405.40 of Homo sapiens. Lineage (NCBI taxonomy): Eukaryota > Metazoa > Chordata > Mammalia > Primates > Hominidae > Homo > Homo sapiens. Next base: position 36,321,453 of record NC_000012.12, read on the forward strand.
TTTAGAAGAGCAGATATTAAACACCCTTTTTGTGGAATTTGCAGCTGGAGATTTCAAGCGCTTTGAGGCCTACGGTAGAAAAGGAAACATCTTCTTATAAAATCTAGACAGAATCATTCACAGAAACTTCTTTTTGATGTGTGTGTTCAGCTCACAGAGTTTAACCTTTCTTTTGATGGAGCAGTTTGGAAACACTCTGTTTGTAATGTCTGCAAGTGGATATTTGGACCTCTTTGAGGCCTTCATTGGAAACGGGATTTCTTCAAGTAATGTTCGACAGAAGAATTCTCAGCAACTTATTTGTGGTGTGTGTATTCAACTCACAGAGTTGAACCTTCCTTTAGACAGAGCAGATTTGAAACACCCTATTTGTGCAGTTTCCATTTGGAGATTTCAAACGCTTTGAGAAGAAATGTAGAAAAGGAAACATCTTCGTATAAAAACTAGACAGAATCATTCTCAGAAACTACTTTCTGATGTGTTCGTTCAACTCAAGGAGTTTAAGCTTTCTTTTCATAGAGTAGTTTAGAAACACTCTGTCTGTAAAGTCTGCAAGCAGATATTTGGACCTCTTTGAGGCCTTCGTTGGAAACGGGATTTCTTCATAGAACGCTAGAAAGAAGAATACTGAGTAAGTTCTTTGTGTTGCCTCTATTCAACTCACAGAGGTGAACTGTCCTTTAGACAGAGCAGATGTGAAACCCTCTTTTTGTGATATTTGCACGTGGAGATTTCAAGCGCTTTTAGGCCAAATGTAGAAAAGGAAATATCTTCGTATAAAAACTAGACAGAATCATTCTCAGAAACTACTTTGTGATGTGTGCGTTCAATTCACAGAGTATAACCTTTCTTTTGATGGAGGAGTTTGGAGACACTGTCTTTGTAAAGTCTGCAAGTGGATATTTGGACCTCTTTGAGGCCTTCGTTGGAAACGGGATTTCCTCATATAATGTTACACAGAAGAATTCTCAGTAACTTATTTGTGGTGTGTGTATTCAACTCACAGAGTTGAACCTTCCTTCAGAAAGAGCAGATTTGAAACATTCTTTTTGTGGAGTTTCCATGTGGAGATTTCAATCGCTTTGAGACCAAAGGTAGAAAAGGAAACATCTTCGTATAAAAACTAGACAGAATCATTCACAGAAACTACTTTGTGATGTGTGTGTTCAACTCAAGGAGTTTAACCTTTCTTTTGATGGAGCAGTTTGGAAACACTCTGTCTGTAAAGTCTGCAAGCAGATATTTGGACCTCTTTGAGGCCTTCGTTGGAAACGGGATTTCTTCATATAATGTTTGATAGGAGAAGTCTCAGTAACTTCTTTGTGCTGTGTGTATTCAACTCATAGAGTTGAACTTTCCTTTAGAAGAGCAGATGTTAAACACCCTTTTTGTGGAATTTGCAGCTGGAGATTTCAAGCGCTTTGAGGCCTACGGTAGAAAAGGAAACATCTTCTTATAAAATCTAGACAGAATCATTCACAGAAACATCTTTTCGATGTGTGTGTTCAGCTCACAGAGTTTAACCTTTCTTTTGATGGAGCAGTTTGGAAACACTCTGTTTGTAATGTCTGCAAGTGGATATTTGGACCTCTTTGAGGCCTTCGTTGGAAACGGGATTTCTTCAAGTAATGGTCGACAGAAGAATACTCAGTAACTTATTTGTGGTGTGTGTATTCAACTCACAGAGTTGAACCTTCCTTTAGACAGAGCAGATTTGAAACACCCTATTTGTGCAGTTTCCAGTTGGAGATTTCAATCGCTTTGAGACCAAATGTAGAAAAGGAAACATCTTCGTATAAAAACTAGACAGCATCATTCTCAGAAACTACTTTGTGATGTGTGCGTTCAACTCAAGGAGTTTAAGCTTTCTTTTCATAGAGTAGTTTGGAAACACTCTGTCTGTAAAGTCTGCAAGCAGATATTTGGACCTCTTTGGGGCCTTCGTTGGAAACGGGATTTCTTCATAGAACGCTAGAAAGAAGAATACTGAGTAAGTTCTTTGTGTTGCCTCTATTCAACTCACAGAGGTGAACTGTCCTTTAGACAGAGCAGATGTGAAACCCTCTTTTTGTGATATTTGCTGGTGGAGATTTCAAGCGCTTTTAGGCCAAATGTAGAAAAGGAAATATCTTCGTATAAAAACTAGACAGAATCATTCTCAGAAACTACTTTGTGATGTGTGCGTTCAATTCACAGAGTATAACCTTTCTTTTGATGGAGGAGTTTGGAGACACTGTCTTTGTAAAGTCTGCAAGTGGATATTTGGACCTCTTTGAGGCCTTCGTTGGAAACGGGATTTCCTCATATAATGTTACCCAGAAGAATTCTCAGTAACTTATTTGTGGTGTGTGTATTCAACTCACAGAGTTGAACCTTCCTTCAGAAAGAGCAGATTTGAAACACTCTTTTTGTGGAGTTTCCATGTGGAGATTTAAATCGCTTTGAAACCAAAGGTAGAAAAGGAAACATCTTCGTATAAAAACTAGACAGAATCATTCACAGAAACTACTTTGTGATGTGTGTGTTCAACTCAAGGAGTTTAACTTTTCTTTTGATGGAGCAGTTTGGAAACACTCTGTCTGTAAAGTCTGCAAGTAGATATTTTGACCTCTTTGAGGCCTTCGTTGGAAACCGGGATTTCTTCATATAATGTTTGATAGGAGAAGTCTCAGTAACTTCTTTGTGCTGTGTGTATTCAACTCATAGAGTTGAACTTTCCTTTAGAAGAGCAGATGTTAAACACCCTTTTTGTGGAATTTGCAGCTGGAGATTTCAAGCGCTTTGAGGCCTACGGTAGAAAAGGAAACATCTTCTTATAAAATCTAGACAGAATCATTCACAGAAACTTCTTTTTGATGTGTGTGTTCAGCTCACAGAGTTTAACCTTTCTTTTGATGGAGCAGTTTGGAAACACTCTGTTTGTAATGTCTGCAAGTGGATATTTGGACCTCTTTGAGGCCTTCGTTGGAAACGGGATTTCTTCAAGTAATGTTCCACAGAAGAATTCTCAGTAACTTATTTGTGGTGTGTGTATTCAACTCACAGAGTTGAACCTTCCTTTAGACAGAGCAGATTTGAAACACCCTATTTGTGCAGTTTCCAGTTGGAGATTTCAATCGCTTTGAGACCAAATGTAGAAAAGGAAACATCTTCGTATAAAAACTAGACAGAATCATTCTCAGAAACTACTTTGTGATGTGTGCGTTCAACTCAAGGAGTTTAAGCTTTCTTTTCATAGAGTAGTTTGGAAACACTCTGTCTGTAAAGTCTGCAAGCAGATATTTGGACCTCTTTGAGGCCTTCGTTGGAAACGGGATTTCTTCATATAACGCTAGAAAGAAGAATACTGAGTAAGTTCTTTGTGTTGCCTCTATTCAACTCACAAAGGTGAACTGTCCTTTAGACAGAGCAGATGTGAAACCCTCTTTTTGTGATATTTGCAGGTGGAGACTTCAAGCGCTTTTAGGCCAAATGTAGAAAAGGAAATATCTTCGTATAAAAACTAGACAGAATCATTCTCAGAAACTACTTTGTGATGTGTGCGTTCAATTCACAGAGTATAACCTTTCTTTTGATGGAGGAGTTTGGAGACACTGTCTTTGTAAAGTCTGCAAGTGGATATTTGGACCTCTTTGAGGCCTTCGTTGGAAACGGGATTTCCTCATATAATGTTACACAGAAGAATTCTCAGTAACTTATTTGTGGTGTGTGTATTCAACTCACAGAGTTGAACCTTCCTTCAGAAAGAGCAGATTTGAAACACTCTTTTTGTGGAGTTTCCCTGTGGAGATTTCAATCGCTTTGAGACCAAAGGTAGAAAAGGAAACATCTTCGTATAAAAACTAGACAGAATCATTCACAGAAACTACTTTGTGATGTGTGTGTTCAACTCAAGGAGTTTAACCTTTCTTTTGATGGAGCAGTTTGGAAACACTCTGTCTGTAAAGTCTGCAAGCAGATATTTGGACCTCTTTGAGGCCTTCGTTGGAAACGGGATTTCTTCATATAATGTTTGATAGGAGAAGTCTCAGTAACTTCTTTGTGCTGTGTGTATTCAACTCATAGAGTTGAACTCTCCTTTAGAAGTGCAGATGTTAAGCACCCTTTTTGTGGAATTTGCAGCTGGAGATTTCAAGCGCTTTGAGGCCTACGGTAGAAAAGGAAACATCTTCTTAGAAAATCTAGACAGAATCATTCACAGAAACTTCTTTTTGATGTGTGTGTTCAGCTCACAGAGTTTAACCTTTCTTTTGATGGAGCAGTTTGGAAACACACTGTTTGTAATGTCTGCAAGTGGATATTTGGACCTCTTTGAGGCCTTCGTTGGAAACGGGATTTCTTCCTGTAATGTTCGACAGAAGAATTCTCAGTAACTTATTTGTGGTGTGTGTATTCAACTCACAGAGTTGAAACTTCCTTTAGACAGAGCAGATTTGAAACACCGTATTTGTGCAGTTTCCAGTTGGAGATTTCAATCGCTTTGAGACCAAATGTAGAAAAGGAAACATCTTCGTATAAAAACTGGACAGAAATCATTCTCAGAAACTACTTTGTGATGTGTGCGTTCAACTCAAGGAGTTTAAGCTTTCTTTTCATAGAGTAGTTTGGAAACACTCTGTCTGTAAAGTCTGCAAGCAGATATTTGGACCTCTTTGAGGCCTTCGTTGGAAACGGGATTTCTTCATAGAACGCTAGAAAGAAGAATACTGAGTACGTTCTTTGTGTTGCCTCTATTCAACTCACAGAGGTGAACTGTCCTTTAGACAGAGCAGATGTGAAACCCTCTTTTTGTGATATTTGCAGGTGGAGATTTCAAGCGCTTTTAGGCCAAATGTAGAAAAGGAAATATCTTCGTATAAAAACTAGACAGAATCATTCTCAGAAACTACTTTGTGATGTGTGCGTTCAATTCACAGAGTATAACCTTTCTTTTGATGGAGGAGTTTGGAGACACTGTCTTTGTAAAGTCTGCAAGTGGATATTTGGACCTCTTTGAGGCCTTCGTTGGAAACGGGATTTCCTCATATAATGTTACACAGAAGAATTCTCAGTAACTTATTTGTGGTGTGTGTATTCAACTCACAAGAGTTGAACCTTCCTTCAGAAAGAGCAGATTTGAAACACTCTTTTTGTGGAGTTTCCATGTGGAGATTTCAATCGCTTTGAGACCAAAGGTAGAAAAGGAAACATCTTCGTATAAAAACTAGACAGAATCATTCACAGAAACTACTTTGTGATGTGTGTGTTCAACTCAAGGAGTTTAACCTTTCTTTTGATGGAGCAGTTTGGAAACACTCTGTCTGTAAAGTCTGCAAGCAGATATTTGGACCTCTTTGAGGCCTTCGTTGGAAACGGGATTTCTTCAAGTAATGTTCGACAGAAGAAGTCTCAGTAACTTCTTTGTGCTGTGTGTATTCAACTCATAGAGTTGAACTTTCCTTTAGAAGAGCAGATGTTAAACACCCTTTTTGTGGAATTTGCAGCTGGAGATTTCAAGCGCTTTGAGGCCTACGGTAGAAAAGGAAACATCTTCTTATAAAATCTAGACAGAATAATTCACAGAAACTTCTTTTTGATGTGTGTGTTCAGCTCACCGAGTTTAACCTTTCTTTTGATGGAGCAGTTTGGAAACACTCTGTTTGTAATATCTGCAAGTGGATATTTGGACCTCTTTGGGGCCTTCGTTGGAAACGGGATTTCTTCAAGTAATGTTCGACAGAAGAATTCTCAGTAACTTATTTGTGGTGTGTGTATTCAACTCACAGAGTTGAACCTTCCTTTAGACAGAGCAGATTTGAAACACCCTATTTGTGCAGTTTCCAGTTGGAGATTTCAATCGCTTTGAGACCAAATGTAGAAAAGGAAACATCTTCGTATAAAAACTAGACAGAATCATTCTCAGAAACTACTTTGTGATGTGTGCGTTCAATTCAAGGAGTTTAAGCTTTCTTTTCATAGAGTAGTTTGGAAACACTCTGTCTGTAAAGTCTGCAAGCAGATATTTGGACCTCTTTGAGGCCTTCGTTGGAAACGGGATTTCTTCATAGAACGCTAGAAAGAAGAATACTGAGTAAGTTCTTTGTGTTGCCTCTATTCAACTCACAGAGGTGAACTGTCCTTTAGACAGAGCAGATGTGAAACCCTCTTTTTGGGATATTTGCAGGTGGAGATTTCAAGCGCTTTTAGGCCAAATGTAGAAAAGGAAATATCTTCGTATAAAAACTAGATAGAATCATTCTCAGAAACTACTTTGTGATGTGTGCGTTCAATTCACAGACTATAACCTTTCTTTTGATGGAGGAGTTTGGAGACACTGTCTTTGTAAAGTCTGCAAGTGGATATTTGGACCTCTTTGGGGCCTTCATTGGAAACGGGATTTCCTCGTATAATGTTACACAGAAGAATTCTCAGTAACTTATTTGTGGTGTGTGTATTCAACTCACAGAGTTGAACCTTCCTTCAGAAAGAGCAGATTTGAAACACTCTTTTGGTGGAGTTTCCATGTGGAGATTTCAATCGCTTTGAGACCAAAGGTAGAAAAGGAAACATCTTCGTATAAAAACTAGACAGAATCATTCACAGAAACTACTTTGTGATGTGTGTGTTCAGCTCACAGAGTTTAACCTTTCTTTTGATGGAGCAGTTTGGAAACACTCTGTTTTTCACGTCTGCAAGTGGATATTTGGACCTCTTTGAGGCCTTCGTTGGAAACGGGAATTCTTCATATAATGTTTGATAGGAGAAGTCTCAGTAACTTCTTTGTGCTGTGTGTATTCAACTCATAGAGTTGAACTTTCCTTTAGAAGAGCAGATGTTAAACACCCTTTTTGTGGAATTTGCAGCTGGAGATTTCATGCGCTTTGAGGCCTACGGTAGAAAAGGAAACATCTTCTTATAAAATCTAGACAGAATCATTCACAGAAACTTCTTTTTGATGTGTGTGTTCAGCTCACAGAGTTTAACCTTTCTTTTGATGGAGCAGTTTGGAAACACTATGTTTGTAATGTCTGCAAGTGGATATTTGGACCTCTTTCAGGCCTTCGTTGGAAACGGGATTTCATCATGTAATGTTCGACAGAAGAATTCTCAGTAACTTCTTTGTGGTGTGTGTATTCAAATCACAGAGTTGAACCTTCCTTTAGACAGAGCAGATTTGAAACACCCTATTTGTGAGTTTCCAGTTGGAGATTTCAATCGCTTTTAGACCAAATGTAGAAAAGGAAACATCTTCGTATAAAAACTAGACAGAATCATTCTCCGAAACTACTTTGTGATGTGTGCGTTCAACTCAAGGAGTTTAAGCTTTCTTTTCATAGAGTAGTTTGGAAACACTCTGTCTGTAAAGTCTGCAAGCAGATATTTGGACCTCTTTGGGGCCTTCGTTGGAAACGGGATTTCTTCATAGAACGCTAGAAAGAAGAATACTGAGTAAGTTCTTTGTGTTGCCTCTATTCAACTCACAGAGGTGAACTGTCCTTTAGACAGAGCAGATGTGAAACCCTCTTTTTGTGATATTTGCAGGTGGAGATTTCAAGCGCTTTTAGGCCAAATGTAGAAAAGGAAATATCTTCGTATAAAAACTAGGCAGAATCATTCTCAGAAACTACTTTGTGATGTGTGCGTTCAATTCACAGAGTATAACCATTCTTTCGATGGAGGAGTTTGGAGACACTGTCTTTGTAAAGTCTGCAAGTGGATATTTGGACCTCTATGAGGCCTTCGTTGGAAACGGGATTTCCTCATATAATGTTACACAGAAGAATTCTCAGTAACTTATTTGTGGTGTGTGTATTCAACTCACAGAGTTGAACCTTCCTTCAGAAAGAGCAGATTTGAAACACTCTTTTTGTGGAGTTTCCATGTGGAGATTTCAATCGCTTTGAGACCAAAGGTAGAAAAGGAAACATCTTCGTATAAAAACTAGACAGAATCATTCACAGAAACTACTTTGTGATGTGTGTGTTCAACTCAAGGAGTTTAACCTTTCTTTTGATGGAGCAGTTTGGAAACACTCTGTCTGTAAAGTCTGCAAGCAGATATTTGGACCTCTTTGAGGCCTTCGTTGGAAACGGGATTTCTTCATATAATGTTTGATAGGAGAAGTCTCAGTAACTTCTTTGTGCTGTGTGTATTCAACTCATAGAGTTGAACTTTCCTTTAGAAGAGCAGATGATAAACACCCTTTTTGTGGAATTTGCAGCTGGAGATTTCAAGCGCTTTGAGGCCTACGGTAGAAAAGGAAACATCTTCTTATAAAATCTAGACAGAATCACTCACAGAAACTTCTTTTTGATGTGTGTGTTCAGCTCACAGAGTTTAACCTTTCTTTTGATGGAGCAGTTTGGAAACACTCTGTAATGTCTGCAAGTGGATATTTGGACCTCTTTGAGGCCTTCGTTGGAAACGGGATTTCTTCATGTAATGTTCGACAGAAGAATTCTCAGTAACTTATTTGTGGTGTGTGTATTCAACTCACAGAGCTGAACCTTCCTTTAGACAGAGCAGATTTGAAACACCCTATTTGTGCAGTTTCCAGTTGGAGATTTCAATCGCTTTGAGACCAAATGTAGAAAAGGAAACATCTTCGTATAAAAACTAGACAGAATCATTCTCAGAAACTACTTTGTGATGTGTGCGTTCAACTCAAGGAGTTTAAGCTTTCTTTTCATAGAGTAGTTTGGAAACACTCTGTCTGTAAAGTCTGCAAGCAGATATTTGGACCTCTTTGGGGCCTTCGTTGGAAACGGCGTTTCTTCATAGAACCCTAGAAAGAAGAATACTGAGTAAGTTCTTTGTGTTGCCTCTATTCAACTCACAGAGGTGAACTGTCCTTTAGACAGAGCAGATGTGAAACAACCTTTTTGTGATATTTGCAGGTGGAGATTTCAAGCGCTTTTAGGCCAAATGTAGAAAAGGAAATATCTTCGTATAAAAACTAGACAGAATCATTCTCAGAAACTACTTTGTGATGTGTGCGTTCAATTCACAGAGTATAACCTTTCTTTTGATGGAGGAGTTTGGAGACACTGTCTTTCTAAAGTCTGCAAGTGGATATTTGGAACTCTTTGAGGCCTTCGTTGGAAACGGGATTTCCTCATATATGTTACACAGAAGAATTCTCAGTAACTTATTTGTGGTGTGTGTATTCAACTCACAGAGATGAACCTTCCTTCAGAAAGAGCAGATTTGAAACACTCTTTTTGTGGAGTTTCCATGTGGAGATTTCAATCGCTTTGAGACCAAAGGTAGAAAAGGAAACATCTTCGTATAAAAACTAGACAGAATCATTCACAGAAACTACTTTGTGATGTGTGTGTTCAACTCAAGGAGTTTAACCTTTCTTTTGATGGAGCAGTTTGGAAAAACTCTGTCTGTAAAGTCTGCAAGCAGATATTTGGACCTCTTTGAGGCCTTCGTTGGAAACGGGATTTCTTCATATAATGTTTGATAGGAGAAGTCTCAGTAACTTCTTTGTCCTGTGTGTATTCAACACATAGAGTTGAACTTTCCTTTAGAAGAGCAGATGTAAAACACCCTTTTTGTGGAATTTGCAGGTGGAGATTTCAAGCGCTTTGAGGCCTACGGTAGAAAAGGAAACATCTTCTTACAAAATCTAGACAGAATCATTCACAGAAACTTCTTTTTGATGTGTGTGTTCAGCTCACAGAGTTTAACCTTTCTTTTGATGGAGCAGGTTGGAAACAATCTGTTTGTAATGTCTGCAAGTGGATATTTGGACCTCTTTGAGGCCTTCGTTGGAAACGGGATTTCTTCAAGTAATGTTCGACAGAAGAATTCTCAGTAACTTATTTGTGGTGTGTGTATTCAACTCACAGAGTTGAACCTTCCTTTAGACAGAGCAGATTTGAAACAGCCTATTTGTGCAGTTTCCAGTTGGAGATTTCAATCGCTTTGAGACCAAACGTAGAAAAGGAAACATCTTCGTATAAAAACTAGACAGAATCATTCTCAGAAACTACTTTGTGATGTGTGCGTTCAACTCAAGAAGTTTAAGCTTTCTTTTCATAGAGTAGTTTGGAAACACTCTGTCTGTAAAGTCTGCAAGCAGATATTTGGACCTCTTTGGCGCCTTCGTTGGAAACGTGATTTCTTCATAGAACGCTAGAAAGAAGAATACTGAGTAAGTTCTTTGTGTTGCCTCTACCCAACTCACAGAGGTGAACTGTCCTTTAGACAGAACAGATGTGAAACCCTCTTTTTGTGATATTTGCAGGTGGAGATTTCAAGCGCTTTTAGGCCAAATGTAGAAAAGGAAATATCTTCGTATAAAAACTAGACAGAATCATTCTCAGAAACTACTTTGTGATGTGTGCGTTCAATTCGCAGAGTATAACCTTTCTTTTGATGGAGGAGTTTGGAGACACTGTCTTTGTAAAGTCTGCAAGTGGATATTTGGACTTCTTTGAGGCCTTCGTTGGAAACGGGATTTCCTCATATAATGTTACACAGAAGAATTCTCAGTAACTTATTTGTGGTGTGTGTATTCAACTCACAGAGTTGAACCTTCCTTCAGAAAGAGCAGATTTGAAACACTCCTTTTGTGGAGTTTCCATGTGGAGATTTCAATCGCTTTGAGACCAAAGGTAGAAAAGGAAACATCTTCGTATAAAAACTAGACAGAATCATTCACAGTAAACTACTTTGTGATGTGTGTGTTCAACTCAAGGAGTTTAACCTTTCTTTTGATGGAGCAGTTTGGAAAAACTCTGTCTGTAAAGTCTGCAAGCAGATATTTGGACCTCTTTGAGGCCTTCTTTGGAAACGGGATTTCTTCATATAATGTTTGATAGGAGAAGTCTCAGTAACTTCTTTGTGCTGTGTGTATTCAACTCACAGAGTTGAACTTTCCTTTAGAAGAGCAGATGTTAAACACCCTTTTTGTGGAATTTGCAGCTGGAGATTTCAAGCGCTTTGAGGCCTACGGTAGAAAAGGAAACATCTTCTTAAAAAATCTAGACAGAATCATTCACAGAAACTTCTTTTTGATGTGTGTGTTCAGCTCACAGAGTTTAACCTTTCTTTTGATGGAGCAGTTTGGAAACACTCTGTAATGTCTGCAAGTGGATATTTGGTCCTCTTTGAGGCCTACGTTGGAAACGGGATTTCTTCATGTAATGTTCGACAGAAGAATTCTCAGTAACTTATTTGTGGTGTGTGTATTCAACTCACAGAGCTGAACCTTCCTTTAGACAGAGCAGATTTGAAACAGCCTATTTGTGCAGTTTCCAGTTGGAGATTTCAATCGCTTTGAGACCAAATGTAGAAAAGGAAACATCTTCGTATAAAAACTAGACAGAATCATTCTCAGAAACTACTTTGTGATGTGTGCGTTCAACTCAAGGAGTTTAAGCTTTCTTTTCATAGAGTAGTTTGGAAACACTCTGTCTGTAAAGTCTGCAAGCAGATATTTGGACCGCATTGGGGTCTTCGTTGGAAACGGGATTTCTTCATAGAACGCTAGAAAGAAGAATACTGAGTAAGTTCTTTGTGTTGCCTCTATCCAACTCACAGAGGTGAACTGTCCTTTAGACAGAGCAGATGTGAAACCCTCTTTTTGTGATATTTGCAGGTGGAGATTTCAAGCGCTTTTAGGCCAAATATAAAAAAGGAAATATCTTCGTATAAAAACTAGACAGAATCATTCTCAGAAACTACTTTGTGATGTGTGCGTTCAATTCACAGAGTATAACCTTTCTTTTGATGGAGGAGTTTGGAGACACTGTCTTTGTAAAGTCTGCAAGTGGATATTTGGACCTCTTTGAGGCCTTCGTTGGAAACGGGATTTCCTCATATAATGTTACACAGTAGAATTCTCAGTAACTTATTTGTGGTGTGTTTATTCAACTCACAGAGGTGAACCTTCCTTCAGAAAGAGCAGATTTGAAACACTCTTTTTGTGGAGTTTCCATGTGGAGATTTCAATCGCTTTGAGACCAAAGGTAGAAAAGGAAACATCTTCGTATAAAAACTAGACAGAATCATTCACAGAAACTACTTTGTGATGTGTGTGTTCAACTCAAGGAGTTTAACCTTTCTTTTGATGGAGCAGTTTGGAAATACTCTGTCTGTAAAGTCTGCAAGCAGATATTTGGACCTCTTTGAGGCCTTCGTTGGAAACGGGATTTCTTCATATAATGTTTGATAGGAGAAGTCTCAGTAACTTCTTTGTGCTGTGTGTATTCAACTCATAGAGTTGAACTTTCCTTTAGAAGAGCAGATGTTAAACACCGTTTTTGTGGAATTTGCAACTGGAGATTTCAAGCGCTTTGAGGCCTACGGTAGAAAAGGAAACATCTTATAAAATCTAGACAGAATCATTCTCAGAAACTACTTTGTGATGTGTGCGTTCAATTCACAGAGTATAACCTTTCTTTTGATGGAGCAGTTTGGAAACACTCTGTTTGTAATGTCTGCAAGTGGATATTTGGACCTCTTTGAGGCCTTCGTTGGAAACGGGATTTCTTCAAGTAGTGTTCGAAAGAAGAATTCTCAGTAACTTATTTGTGGTGTGTGTATTCAACTCACAGAGTTGAACCTTCCTTTAGACAGAGCAGATTTGAAACACCCTATTTGTGCAGTTTCCTGTTGGAGATTTCAATCGCTTTGAGACCAAATGTACAAAAGGAAACATCTTCGTATAAAAACTAGACAGAATCATTCTCAGAAACTACTTTGTGATGTGTGTGTTCAACTCAAGGAGTTTAACCTTTCTTTTGATGGAGCAGTTTCGAAAAACTCTGTCTGTAAAGTCTGCAAGCAGATATTTGGACCTCTTTGGGGCCTTCGTTGGAAACGGGATTTCTTCACAGAATGCTAGAAAGAAGAATACTGAGTAAGTTCTTTGTGTTGCCTCTATTCAACTCACAGACGTGAACTGTCCTTTAGACAGAGCAGATGTGAAACCCTCTTTTTGTGATATTTGCAGGTGGAGATTTCAAGCGCTTTTAGGCCAAATGTAGAAAAGGAAATATCTTCGTATAAAAACTAGAGAGAAGTCATTCTTCAGAAACTACTTTGTGATGTGTGCGTTCAATTCACAGAGTATAACCTTTCTTTTGATGGAGGAGTTTGGAGACACTGTCTTTGTAAAGTCTGCAAGTGGATATTTGGACCTCTTTGAGGCTTTCGTTGGAAACGGGATTTCCTCATATAATGTTACACAGAAGAATTCTCAGTAACTTATTTGTGGTGTGTATATTCAACTCACAGAGATGAACCTTCCTTCAGAAAGAGCAGATTTGAAACACTCTTTTTGTGGAGTTTCCATGTGGAGATTTCAATCGCTTTGAGACCAAAGGTAGAAAAGGAAACATCTTCGTATAACAACTAGACAGAATCATTCACAGAAACTACTTTGTGATGTGTGTGTTCAACTCAAGGAGTTTAACCTTTCTTTTGATGGAGCAGTTTGGAAAAACTCTGTCTGTAAAGTCTGCAAGCAGATATTTGGACCTCTTTGAGGCCTTCGTTGGAAACGGGATTTCTTCATATAATGTTTGATAGGAGAAGTCTCAGTAACTTCTTTGTGCTGTGTGTATTCAACTCATAGAGTTGAACTTTCCTTTAGAAGAGCAGATGTTAAACACCCTTTTTTTGGAATTTGCAGCTGGAGATTTCAAGCGCTTTGAGGCCTACAGTAGAAAAGGCAACATCTTATAAAATCTAGACAGAATCATTCACAGAAACTTCTTTTTGATGTGTGTGTTCAGCTCACAGAGTTTAACCTTTCTTTTGATGGAGCAGTTTGGAAACACTCTGTAATGTCTGCAAGTGGATATTTGGACCTCTTTGAGGCCTTTGTTGGAAAAGGGATTTCTTCATGTAGTGTTCGACAGAAGAATTCTCAGTAACTTATTTGTGGTGTGTGTATTCAACTCACAGAGTTGACCCTTCCTTTAGACAGATCAGATTTGAAACTCCCTATTTGTGCAGTTTCCAGTTGGAGATTTCAATCGCTTTGAGACCAAATGTAGAAAAGGAAACATCTTCGTATAAAAACTAGACAGAATCATTCTCAGAAACTACTTTGTGATGTGTGCGTTCAACTCAAGGAGTTTAAGCTTTCTTTTCATAGAGTAGTTTGGAAACACTCTGTCTGTAAAGTCTGCAAGCAGATATTTGGACCTCTTTGAGGCCTTCGTTGGAAACGGGATTTCTTCATAGAACGCTAGAAAGAAGAATACTGAGTAAGTTCTTTGTGTTGCCTCTATTCAACTCACAGAGGTGAACTGTCCTTTAGACAGAGCAGATGTGAAACCCTCTTTTTGTGATATTTGCAGGTGGAGATTTCAAGCGCTTTTAGGCCAAATGTAGAAAAGGAAATATCTTCGTATAAAAACTAGACAGAAATCATTCTCAGAAACTACTTTGTGATGTGTGCGTTCAATTCACAGAGTATAACCTTTCTTTTGATGGAGGAGTTTGGAGACACTGTCTTTGTAAAGTCTGCAAGTGGATATTTGGACCTCTTTGAGGCCTTCGTTGGAAACGGGATTTCCTCATATAATGTTACACACAAGAATTCTCAGTAACTTATTTGTGGTGTGTGTATTCAACTCACAGAGATGAACCTTCCTTCAGAAAGAGCAGATTTGAAACACTCTTTTTGTGGAGTTTCCATGTGGAGATTTCAATCGCTTTGAGACCAAAGGTAGAAAAGGAAACATCTTCGTATAACAACAAGACAGAATCATTCACAGAAACTACTTTGTGATGTGTGTGTTCAACTCAAGGAGTTTAACCTTTCTTTTGATGGAGCAGTTTGGAAAAACTCTGTCTGTAAAGTCTGCAAGCAGATATTTGGACCTCTTTGAGGCCTTCGTTGGAAACGGGATTTCTTCATAGAATGCTAGAAAGAAGAAATCTCAGTAACTTCTTTGTGCTGTGTGTATTCAACTCATAGAGTTGAACTTTCCTTTAGAAGAGCAGATGTTAAACACCCTTTTTGTGGAATTTGCAGCTGGAGATTTCAAGCGCTTTGAGGCCTACGGTAGAAAAGGAAACATCTTCTTATAAAATCTAGACAGAATCATTCACAGAAACTTCTTTTTGATGTGTGTGTTCAGCTCACAGAGTTTAACCTTTCTTTTGATGGAGCAGTTTGGAAACACTCTGTTTGTAATGTCTGCAAGTGGATATTTGGACCTCTTTGAGGCCTTCGTTGGAAACGGGATTTCTTCATGTAATGTTCGACAGAAGAATTCTCAGTAACTTATTTGTGGTGTGTGTATTCAACTCACAGAGTTGAACCTTCCTTTAGACAGAGCAGATTTGAAACACCCTGTTTGTGCAGTTTCCACTTAGAGATTTCAATCGCTTTGAGGCCAATCATAGAAACGGAAATATCTTCGTATAAAAACAAGACAGAATCATTCTCAGAAACTACTTTGTGATGTGTGCGTTCAACTCACGGAGTTAAAGCTTTCTTTTCATACAGTAGCTTGGAAACACTCTGTCTGTAAAGTCTGCAAGCAGATATTTGGACCTCTTTGAGGCCTTCGTTGGAAACGGGATTTCTTCATATAACGCTAGAAAGAAGAATACTGAGTAAGTTCTTTGTGTTGCCTCTATTCAACTCACAGAGGTGAACTGTCCTTTAGACAGAGCAGATGTGAAACCCTCTTTTTGTGATATTTGCAGGTGGAGATTTCAAGCGCTTTTAGGCCAAATGTAGAAAAGGAAATATCTTCGTATAAAAACTAGACAGAATCATTCTCAGAAACTACTTTGTGATTTGTGCGTTCAATTCACAGTGGATAAGCTTTCTTTTGATGGAGGAGTTTGGAGACACTGTCTTTGTAAAGTCTGCAAGTGGATAATTGGACCTCTTTGAGGCCTTCGTTGGAAACGGGATTTCCTCCTATAATGTTACACAGAAGAATTCTCAGTAACTTCTTTGTGGTGTGTGTATTCAACTCACAGAGTTGAACCTTCCTTCAGAAAGAGCAGATTTGAAACACTCTTTTTGTGGAGTTTCCATTTGGAGATTTCAATAGCTTTGAGACCAAAGGTAGAAAAGGAAACATCTTCGTATAAAAACTAGACAGAATCATTCACAGAAACTACTTTGTGATGTGTGTGTTCAACTCACAGAGTTTAACCTTTCTTTCGATGGGGCAGTTTGGAAACACTCTGTTTGTCACGTCTGCAAGTGGATATTTGGACCTCTTTGAGGCCTTCGTTGGAAACGGGATTTCTTCATATAATGTTTGATAGGAGAAGTCTCAGTAACTTCTTTGTGCTGTGTGTATTCAACTCATGGAGTTGAACTTTCCTTTAGAAGAGCAGATGTTAAACACCCTTTCTGTGGAATTTGCAGCTGGAGATTTCAAGCGCTTTGAGGCCTACGTTAGAAAAGGAAACATCTTCTTCTAAAGTCTAGACTGAATCATTCACAGAAACTTCTTTTTGATGTGTGTGTTCAGCTCACAGAGTTTAACCTTTCTTTTGATGGAGCAGTTTGGAAACACTCTGTTTGTAATGTCTGCAAGTGGATAGTTGGACCTCTTTGAGGCCTTCGTTGGAAACGGAATTTCTTCATGTAATGTTCGACAGAAGAATTCTCAGTAACTTATTTGTGGTGTGTGTATTCAACTCACAGAGTTGAACCTTCCTTTAGACAGAGCAGATTTGAAACACCCTATTTGTGCAGTTTCCAGTTGGAGATTTCAATCGCTTTGAGACCAAATGTAGAAAAGGAAACATCTTCGTATAAAAACTAGACAGAATCATTCTCAGAAACTACTTTGTGATGTGTGTGTTCAACTCAAGGAGTTTAACCTTTCTTTTGATGGAGCAGTTTGGAAAAACTCTGTCTGTAAAGTCTGCAAGCAGATATTTGGACCTCTTTGGGGCCTTTGTTGGAAACGGGATTTCTTCATAGAATGCTAGAAAGAAGAATACAGAATAAGTTCTTTGTGTTGCCTCTATTCAACTCACAGAGGTGAACTGTCCTTTAGACAGAGCAGATGTGAAACCCTCTTTTTGTGATATTTGCAGGTGGAGATTTCAAGCGCTTTTAGGCCAAATGTAGAAAAGGAAATATCTTCGTATAAAAACTAGACAGAATCATTCTCAGAAACTACTTTGTGATGTGTGCGTTCAATTCACAGAGTATAACCTTTCTTTTGATGGAGGAGTTTGGAGACACTGTCTTTGTAAAGTCTGCAAGTGGATATTTGGACCTCTTTGAGGCCTTCGTTGGAAACGGGATTTCCTCATATAATGTTACACAGAAGAATTCTCAGTAACTTATTTGTGGTGTGTGTATTCAACTCACAGAGTTGAACCTTCCTTCAGAAAGAGCAGATTTGAAACACTCTTTTTGTGGAGTTTCCATGTGGAGATTTCAATCGCTTTGAGACCAAAGGTAGAAAAGGAAACATCTTCGTATAAAAACTAGACAGAATCATTCACAGAAACTATTTTGTGATGTGTGTGTTCAACTCAAGGAGTTTAACCTTTCTCTTGATGGAGCAGTTTGGAAACACTCTGTCTGTAAAGTCTGCAAGCAGATATTTGGACCTCTTTGAGGCCTTCGTTGGAAACGGGATTTCTTCATATAATGTTTGATAGGAGAAGTCTCAGTAACTTCTTTGTGCTGTGTGTGTTCAACGCATAGAGTTGAACTTTCCTTTAGAAGAGCAGATGTTAAACACCCTTTTTGTGGAATTTGCAGCTGGAGATTTCAAGCGCTTTGAGGCCTACGGTAGAAAAGCAAACATCTTCTTATAAAATCTAGACAGAATCATTCACAGAAACTTCTTTTTGATGTGTGTGTTCAGCTCACAGAGTTTAACCTTTCTTTTGATGGAGCAGTTTGGAAACACTCTGTTTGTAATGTCTGCAAGTGGATATTTGGACCTCTTTGAGGCCTTCGTTGGAAACGGGATTTCTTCATGTAATGTTCGACAGAAGAATTCTCAGTAACTTATTTGTGGTGTGTGTATTCAACTCACAGAGTTGAACCTTCCTTTAGACAGAGCAGATTTGAAACACCCTATTTGTGCAGTTTCCAGTTGGAGATTTCAATCGCTTTGAGACCAAATGTAGAAAAGGAAACATCTTCGTATAAAAACTAGACAGAATCATTCTCAGAAACTACTTTGTGATGTGTGCGTTCAACTCAAGGAGTTTAAGCTTTCTTTTCATAGAGTAGTTTGGAAACACTCTGTCTGTAAAGTCTGCAAGCAGATATTTGGACCTCTTTGGGGCCTTCGTTGGAAACGGGATTTCTTCATAGAACGCTAGAAAGAAGAATACTGAGTAAGTTCTTTGTGTTGCCTCTATTCAACTCACAGAGGTGAACTGTCCTTTAGACAGAGCAGATGTGAAACCCTCTTTTTGTGATATTTGCAGGTGGAGATTTCAAGCGCTTTTAGGCCAAATGTAGAAAAGGAAATATCTTCTGTATAAAAACTAGACAGAATCATTCTCAGAAACTACTTTGTGATGTGTGCGTTCAATTCACAGAGTATAACCTTTCTTTTGATGGAGGAGTTTGGAGACACTGTCTTTGTAAAGTCTGCAAGTGGATATTTGGACCTCTTTGAGGCCTTCGTTGGAAACGGGATTTCCTCATATAATGTTACCCAGAAGAATTCTCAGTAACTTATTTGTGGTGTGTGTATTCAACTCACAGAGTTGAACCTTCCTTCAGAAAGAGCAGATTTGAAACACTCTTTTTGTGGAGTTTCCATGTGGAGATTTCAATCGCTTTGAGACCAAAGGTAGAAAAGGAAACATCTTCGTATAAAAACTAGACAGAATCATTCACAGACACTACTTTGTGATGTGTGTGTTCAACTCACAGAGTTTAACCTTTCTTTGGATGGAGCAGTTTGGAAACACTCTGTTTGTCACGTCTGCAAGTGGATATTTGGACCTCTTTGAGGCCTTCGTTGGAAACGGGATTTCCTCCTATAATGTTACACAGAAGAATTCTCGGTAACTTATTTGTGGTGTGTGTATTCAACTCACAGAGTTGAACTTTCCTTCAGAAAGAGCAGATTTGAAACACTCTTTTTGCGGAGTTTCCATGTGGATATTTCAATGGCTGTGAGACCAAAGGTAGAAAAGGAAACATCTTCGTATAAAAACTAGACAGAATCATTCACAGAAACTACTTTGTGATGTGTGTGTTCAACTCAAGGAGTTTAACCTTTCTTTTGATGGAGCAGTTTGGAAACACTCTGTCTGTAAAGTCTGCAAGCAGATATTTGGACCTCTTTGAGGCCTTCGTTGGAAACGGGATTTCTTCATATAATGTTTGATAGGAGAAGTCTCAGTAACTTCTTTGTGCTGTGTGTATTCAACGCATAGAGTTGAACTTTCCTTTAGAAGAGCAGATGTTAAACACCCTTTTTGTGGAATTTGCAGCTGGAGATTTCAAGCGCTTTGTGGCCTACGGTAGAAAAGGAAACATCTTCTTATAAAATCTAGACAGAATCATTCACAGAAACTTCTTTTTGATGTGTGTGTTCAGCTCACAGAGTTTAACCTTTCTTTTGATGGAGCAGTTTGGAAACACTCTGTTTGTAATGTCTGCAAGTGGATATTTGGACGTCTTTGAGGCCTTCGTTGGAAACGGGATTTCTTCAAGTAATGTTCGACAGAAGAATTCTCAGTAACTTATTTGTGGTGTGTGTATTCAACTCACAGAGTTGAACCTTCCTTTAGACAGAGCAGATTTGAAACACCCTATTTGTGCAGTTTCCAGTTGGAGATTTCAATCGCTTTGAGACCAAATGTAGAAAAGGAAACATCTTCGTATAAAAACTAGACAGAATCATTCTCAGAAACTACTTTGTGATGTGTGCGTTCAACTCAAGGAGTTTAAGCTTTCTTTTCATAGAGTAGTTTGGAAACACTCTGTCTGTAAAGTCTGCAAGCAGATATTTGGACCTCTTTGGGGCCTTCGTTGGAAACGGGATTTCTTCATAGAACGCTAGAAAGAAGAATACTGAGTAAGTTCTTTGTGTTGCCTCTATTCAACTCACAGAGGTGAACTGTCCTTCAGACAGAGCAGATGTGAAACCCTCTTTTTGTGATATTTGCAGGTGGAGATTTCAAGCGCTTTTAGGCCAAATGTAGAAAAGGAAATATCTTCGTATAAAAACTAGACAGAATCATTCTCAGAAACTACTTTGTGATGTGTGCGTTCAATTCACAGAGTATAACCTTTCTTTTGATGGAGGAGTTTGGAGACACTGTCTTTGTAAAGTCTGCAAGTGGATATTTGGACCTCTTTGAGGCCTTCGTTGGAAACGGGATTTCCTCATATAATGTTACACAGAAGAATTCTCAGTAACTTATTTGTGGTGTGTGTATTCAACTCACAGAGTTGAACCTTCCTTCAGAAAGAGCAGATTTGAAACACTCTTTTTGTGGAGTTTCCATGTGGAGATTTCAATCGCTTTGAGACCAAAGGTAGAAAAGGAAACATCTTCGTATAAAAACTAGACAGAATCATTCACAGAAACTACTTTGTGATGTGTGTGTTCAACTCAAGGAGTTTAACCTTTCTTTTGATGGAGCTGTTTGGAAAAACTCTGTCTGTAAAGTCTGCAAGCAGATATTTGGACCTCTTTGGGGCCTTCGTTGGAAACGGGATTTCTTCATATAATGTTTGATAGGAGAAGTCTCAGTAACTTCTTTGTGCTGTGTGTATTCAACTCATAGAGTTGAACTTTCCTTTAGAAGAGCAGATGTTAAACACCCTTTTTGTGGAATTTGCAGCTGGAGATTTCAAGCGCTTTGAGGCCTACGGTAGAAAAGGAAACATCTTCTTATAAAATCTAGACAGAATCATTCACAGAAACTTCTTTTCGATGTGTGTGTTCAGCTCACAGAGTTTAACCTTTCTTTTGATGGAGCAGTTTGGAAACACTCTGTTTGTAATGTCTGCAAGTGGATATTTGGACCTCTTTGAGGCCTTCGTTGGAAACGGGATTTCTTCAAGTAATGTTCGACAGAAGAATTCTCAGTAACTTATTTGTGGTGTGTGTATTCAACTCACAGAGTTGAACCTTCCTTTAGACAGAGCAGATTTGAAACACCCTATTTGTGCAGTTTCCAGTTGGAGATTTCAATCGCTTTGAGACCAAATGTAGAAAAGGAAACATCTTCGTATAAAAACTGGACAGAATCATTCTCAGAAACTACTTTGTGATGTGTGCGTTCAACTCAAGGAGTTTAAGCTTTCTTTTCATAGAGTAGTTTGGAAACACTCTGTCTGTAAAGTCTGCAAGCAGATATTTGGACCTCTTTGGGGCCTTCGTTGGAAACGGGATTTCTTCATAGAACGCTAGAAAGAAGAATACTGAGTAAGTTCTTTGTGTTGCCTCTATTCAACTCACAGAGGTGAACTGTCCTTTAGACAGAGCAGATGTGAAACCCTCTTTTTGTGATATTTGCAGGTGGAGATTTCAAGCGCTTTTAGGCCAAATGTAGAAAAGGAAATATCTTCGTATAAAAACTAGACAGAATCATTCTCAGAAACTACTTTGTGATGTGTGCGTTCAATTCACAGAGTATAACCTTTCTTTTGATGGAGGAGTTTGGAGACACTGTCTTTGTAAAGTCTGCAAGTGGATATTTGGACCTCTTTGAGGCCTTCGTTGGAAACGGGATTTCCTCATATAATGTTACACAGAAGAATTCTCAGTAACTTATTTGTGGTGTGTGTATTCATCTCACAGAGATGAACCTTCCTTCAGAAAGAGCAGATTTGAAACACTCTTTTTGTGGAGTTTCCATGTGGAGATTTCAATCGCATTGAGACCAAAGGTAGAAAAGGAAACATCTTCGTATAAAAACTAGACAGAATCATTCACAGAAACTACTTTGTGATGTGTGTGTTCAACTCAGGAGGTTAACCTTTCTTTTGATGGAGCAGTTTGGAAACACTCTGTCTGTAAAGTCTGCAAGCAGATATTTGGACCTCTTTGAGGCCTTCGTTGGAAATGGGATTTTTTCATATAATGTTTGATAGGGAAGTCTCAGTAACTTCTTTGTGCTGTGTGTATTCAACTCATAGAGTTGAACTTTCCTTTAGAAGAGCAGATGTTAAACACCCTTTTTGTGGAATTTGCAGCTGGAGATTTCAAGCGCTTTGAGGCCTACGGTAGAAAAGGAAACATCTTCTTATAAAATCTAGACAGAATCATTCACAGAAACTTCTTTTCGATGTGTGTGTTCAGCTCACAGAGTTTAACCTTTCTTTTGATGGAGCAGTTTGGAAACACTCTGTTTGTAATGTCTGCAAGTGGATATTTGGACCTCTTTGAGGCCTTCGTTGGAAACGGGATTTCTTCAAGTAATGTTCGACAGAAGAATTCTCAGTAACTTATTTGTGGTGTGTGTATTCAACTCACAGAGTTGAACCTTCCTTTAGACAGAGCAGATTTGAAACACCCTATTTGTGCAGTTTCCAGTTGGAGATTTCAATCGCTTTGAGACCAAATGTAGAAAAGGAAACATCTTCGTATAAAAACTAGACAGAATCATTCTCAGAAACTACTTTGTGATGTGTGCGTTCAACTCAAGGAGTTTAAGCTTTCTTTTCATAGAGTAGTTTGGAAACACTCTGTCTGTAAAGTCTGCAAGCAGATATTTGACCTCTTTGAGGCCTTCGTTGGAAACGGGATTTCTTCATAGAACGCTAGAAAGAAGAATACTGAGTAAGTTCTTTGTGTTGCCTCTATTCAACTCACAAAGGTGAACTGTCCTTTAGACAGAGCAGATGTGAAACCCTCTTTTTGTGATATTTGCAGGTGGAGACTTCAAGCGCTTTTAGGCCAAATGTAGAAAAGGAAATATCTTCGTATAAAAACTAGACAGAATCATTCTCAGAAACTACTTTGTGATGTGTGCGTTCAATTCACAGAGTATAACCTTTCTTTTGATGGAGGAGTTTGGAGACACTGTCTTTGTAAAGTCTGCAAGTGGATATTTGGACCTCTTTGAGGCCTTCGTTGGAAACGGGATTTCCTCATATAATGTTACACAGAAGAATTCTCAGTAACTTATTTGTGGTGTGTGTATTCAACTCACAGAGTTGAAACTTCCTTCAGAAAGAGCAGATTTGAAACACTCTTTTTGTGGAGTTTCCATGTGGAGATTTCAATCGCTTTGAGACCAAAGGTAGAAAAGGAAACATTCTTCGTATAAAAACTAGACAGAATCATTCACAGAAACTACTTTGTGATGTGTGTGTTCAACTCAAGGAGTTTAACCTTTCTTTTGATGGAGCAGTTTGGAAACACACTGTCTGTAAAGTCTGCAAGCAGATATTTGGACCTCTTTGAGGCCTTCGTTGGAAACGGGATTTCTTCATATAATGTTTGATAGGAGAAGTCTCAGTACCTTCTTTGTGCTGTGTGTATTCAACTCATAGATTTGAACTTTCCTTTAGAAGAGCAGATGTTAAACACCCTTTTTGTGGAATTTGCAGCTGGAGATTTCAAGCGCTTTGAGGCCTATGGTAGAAAAGGAAACATCTTCTTATAAAATCTAGACAGAATCATTCACAGAAACTTCTTTTTGATGTGTGTGTTCAGCTCACAGAGTTTAACCTTTCTTTTGATGGAGCAGTTTGGAAACACACTGTTTATAATGTCTGCAAGTGGATATTTGGACGTCTTTGAGGCCTTCGTTGGAAACGGGATTTCTTCATATAATGTTTGATAGGAGAAGTCTCAGTAACTTCTTTGTGCTGTGTGTATTCAACTCATAGAGTTGAACTTTCCTTTAGAAGAGCAGATGTTAAACCCCCTTTTTGTGGAATTTGCAGCTGGAGATTTCAAGCGCTTTGAGGCCTATGGTAGAAAAGGAAACATCTTCTTATAAAATCTAGACAGAATCACTCACAGAAACTTCTTTTTGATGTGTGTGTTCAGCTCACAGACTTTAACCTTTCTTTTGATGGAGCAGTTTGGAAACACTCTGTAATGTCTGCAAGTGGATATTTGGACCTCTTTGAGGCCTTCGTTGGAAACGGGATTTCTTCATGTAATGTTCGACAGAAGAATTCTCAGTAACTTATTTGTGGTGTGTGTATTCAACTCACAGAGTTGAACCTTCCTTTAGACAGAGCAGATTTGAAACAGCCTATTTGTGCAGTTTCCAGTTGGAGATTTCAATCGCTTTGAGACCAAATGTAGAAAAGGAAACATCTTCGTATAAAAACTAGACAGAATCATTCTCAGAAACTACTTTGAGATGTGTGCGTTCAACTCAAGGAGTTTAAGCTTTCTTTTCGTAGAGTAGTTTGGAAACACTCTGTCTGTAAAGTCTGCAAGCAGATATTTGACCTCTTTGGGGCCTTCGTTGGAAACGGGATTTCTTCATAGAACGCTAGAAAGAAGAATACTGAGTACGTTCTTTGTGTTGCCTCTATTCAACTCACAGAGGTGAACTGTCCTTTAGACAGAGCAGATGTGAAACCCTCTTTTTGTGATATTTGCAGGTGGAGATTTCAAGCGCTTTTAGGCCAAATGTAGAAAAGGAAATATCTTCGTATAAAAACTAGACAGAATCATTCTCAGAAACTACTTTGTGATGTGTGCGTTCAATTCACAGAGTATAACCTTTCTTTTGATGGAGGAGTTTGGAGACACTGTCTTTGTAAAGTCTGCAAGTGGATATTTGGACCTCTTTGAGGCCTTCGTTGGAAACGGGATTTCCTCATATAATGTTACCCAGAAGAATTCTCAGTAACTTATTTGTGGTGTGTGTATTCAACTCACAGAGATGAACGTTCCTTCAGAAAGAGCAGATTTGAAACACTCTTTTTGTGGAGTTTCCATGTGGAGATTTCAATCGCTTTGAGACCAAAGGTAGAAAAGGAAACATCTTCGTATAACAACTAGACAGAATCATTCACAGAAACTACTTTGTGATGTGTGTGTTCAACTCAAGGAGTTTAACCTTTCTTTTGATGGAGCAGTTTGGAAACACTCTGTCTGTAAAGTCTGCAAGCAGATATTTGGACCTCTTTGAGGCCTTCGTTGGAAACGGGATTTCTTCATATAATGTTAGATAGGAGAAGTCTCAGTAACTTCTTTGTGCTGTGTGTATTCAACTCATAGAGTTGAACTTTCCTTTAGAAGAGCAGATGTTAAACACCCTTTTTGTGGAATTTGCAGCTGGAGATTTCAAGCGCTTTGAGGCCTACGGTAGAAAAGGAAACATCTTCTTAGAAAATCTAGACGGAATCATTCACAGAAACTTCTTTTTGATGTGTGTGTTCAGCTCACAGAGTTTAACCTTTCTTTTGATGGAGCAGTTTGGAAACACTCTGTTTGTAATGTCTGCAGGTGGATATTTGGACCTCTTTGAGGCCTTCGTTGGAAACGGGATTTCTTCCTGTAATGTTCGACAGAAGAATTCTCAGTAACTTATTTGTGGTGTGTGTATTCAACTCACAGAGTTGAACCTTCCTTTAGACAGAGCAGATTTGAAACAGCCTATTTGTGCAGTTTCCAGTTGGAGATTTCAATCGCTTTGAGACCAAATGTAGAAAAGGAAACATCTTCGTATAAAAACTAGACAGAATCATTCTCAGAAACTACTTTGTGATGTGTGCGTTCAACTCAAGGAGTTTAAGCTTTCTTTTCATAGAGTAGTTTGGAAACTGTCTGTAAAGTCTGCAAGCAGATATTTGGACCTCTTTGGGGCCTTCGTTGGAAACGGGATTTCTTCATAGAACGCTAGAAAGAAGAATACTGAGTAAGTTCTTTGTGTTGCCTCTATTCAACTCACAGAGGTGAACTGTCCTTTAGACAGAGCAGATGTGAAACCCTCTTTTTGTGATATTTGCAGGTGGAGATTTCAAGCGCTTTTAGGCCAAATGTAGAAAAGGAAATATCTTCGTATAAAAACTAGACAGAATCATTCTCAGAAACTACTTTGTGATGTGTGCGTTCAATTCACAGAGTATAACCTTTCTTTTGATGGAGGAGTTTGGAGACACTGTCTTTGTAAAGTCTGCAAGTGGATATTTGGACCTCTTTGAGGCCTTCGTTGGAAACGGGATTTCCTCATATAATGTTACACAGAAGAATTCTCAGTAACTTATTTGTGGTGTGTGTATTCAACTCACAGAGTTGAACCTTCTTTCAGAAAGAGCAGATTTGAAACACTCTTTTTGTGGAGTTTCCATGTGGAGATTTCAATCGCTTTGAGACCAAAGGTAGAAAAGGAAACATCTTCGTATAAAAACTAGACAGAATCATTCACAGAAACTACTTTGTGATGTGTGTGTTCAACTCAAGGAGTTTAACCTTTCTTTTGATGGAGCAGTTTGGAAACACTCTGTCTGTAAAGTCTGCAAGCAGATATTTGGACCTCTTTGAGGCCTTCGTTGGAAACGGGATTTCTTCATATAATGTTTGATAGGAGAAGTCTCAGTAACTTCTTTGTGCTGTGTGTATTCAACTCATAGAGTTGAACTTTCCTTTAGAAGAGCAGATGTTAAACACCCTTTTTGTGGAATTTGCAGCTGGAGATTTCAAGCGCTTTGAGGCCTACGGTAGAAAAGGAAACATCTTCTTATAAAATCTAGACAGAATCATTCACAGAAACTTCTTTTTGATGTGTGTGTTCAGCTCACAGAGTTTAACCTTTCTTTTGATGGAGCAGGTGGGAAACACACTGTTTGTAATGTCTGCAAGTGGATATTTGGACCTCTTTGAGGCCTTCGTTGGAAACGGGATTTCTTCCTGTAATGTTCGACAGAAGAATTCTCAGTAACTTATTTGTGGTGTGTGTATTCAACTCACAGAGTTGAACCTTCCTTTAGACAGAGCAGGTTTGAAACACCCTATTTGTGCAGTTTCCAGTTGGAGATTTCAATCGCTTTGAGACCAAATGTAGAAAAGGAAACATCTTCGTATAAAAACTTGACAGAATCATTCTCAGAAACTACTTTGTGATGTGTGCGTTCAACTCAAGGAGTTTAAGCATTCTTTTCATAGAGTAGTTTGGAAACACTCTGTCTGTAAAGTCTGCAAGCAGATATTTGGACCTCTTTGGGGCCTTCGTTGGAAACGGGATTTCTTCATAGAACGCTAGAAAGAAGAATACTGAGTAAGTTCTTTGTGTTGCCTCTATTCAACTCACAGAGGTGAACTGTCCTTTAGACAGAGCAGATGTGAAACCCTCTTTTTGTGATATTTGCAGGTGGAGATTTCAAGCGCTTTTAGGCCAAATGTAGAAAAGGAAATATCTTCGTATAAAAACTAGACAGAATCATTCTCAGAAACTACTTTGTGATGTGTGCGTTCAATTCACAGAGTATAACCTTTCTTTTGATGGAGGAGTTTGGAGACACTGTCTTTGTAAAGTCTGCAAGTGGATATTTGGACCTCTTTGAGGCCTTCGTTGGAAACGGGATTTCCTCATATAATGTTACACAGAAGAATTCTCAGTAACTTATTTGTGGTGTGTGTATTCAACTCACAGAGTTGAACCTTCCTTCAGAAAGAGCAGATTTGAAACACTCTTTTTGTGGAGTTTCCATGTGGAGATTTCAATCGCTTTGAGACCAAAGGTAGAAAAGGAAACATCTTCGTATAAAAACTAGACAGAAATCATTCACAGAAACTACTTTGTGATGTGTGTGTTCAACTCAAGGAGTTTAACCTTTCTTTTGATGGAGCAGTTTGGAAAAACTCTGTCTGTAAAGTCTGCAAGCAGATATTTGGACCTCTTTGAGGCCTTCGTTGGAAACAGGATTTCTTCATATAATGTTTGATAGGAGAAGTCTCAGTAACTTCTTTGTGCTGTGTGTATTCAACTCATGGAGTTGAACTTTCCTTTAGAAGAGCAGATGTTAAACACCCTTTTTGTGGAATTTGCAGCTGGAGATTTCAAGCGCCTTGAGGCCTACGGTAGAAAAGGAAACATCTTCTTCTAAAATCTAGACAGAATCATTCACAGAAACTTCTTTTTGATGTGTGTGTTCAGCTCACAGAGTTTAACCTTTCTTTTGATGGAGCAGTTGGGAAACACTCTGTTTGTAATGTCTGCAAGAGGATATTTGGACCTCTTTGAGGCCTTAGTTGGAAACGGGATTTCTTCAAGTAATTTTCGACAGAAGAATTCTCAGTAACTTATTTGTGGTGTGTGTATTCAACTCACAGTGTTGAACCTTCCTTTAGACAGATCAGATTTGAAACTCCCTATTTGTGCAGTTTCCAGTTGGAGATTTCAATTGCTTTGAGACCAAAGGTAGAAAAGGAAACATCTTCGTATAAAAACTAGACAGAATCATTCACAGAAACTACTTTGTGATGTGTGCGTTCAACTCAAGGAGTTTAAGCTTTCTTTTCATAGAGTAGTTTGGAAACACTCTGTCTGTAAAGTCTGCAAGCAGATATTTGGACCTCTTTGAGGCCTTCGTTGGAAACGGGATTTCTTCATAGAACGCTAGAAAGAAGAATACTGAGTAAGTTCTTTGTGTTGCCTCTATTCAACTCACAGAGGTGAACTGTCCTTTAGACAGAGCAGATGTGAAACCCTCTTTTTGTGATATTTGCAGGTGGAGATTTCAAGCACTTTTAGGCCAAATGTAGAAAAGGAAATATCTTCGTATAAAAACTAGACAGAATCATTCTCAGAAACTACTTTGTGATGTGTGCGTTCAATTCACAGAGTATAACCTTTCTTTTGATGGAGGAGTTTGGAGACACTGTCTTTGTAAAGTCTGCAAGTGGATATTTGGACCTCTTTGAGGCCTTCGTTGGAAACGGGATTTCCTCATATAATGTTACACAGAAGAATTCTCAGTAACTTATTTGTGGTGTGTGTATTCAACTCACAGAGTTGAACCTTCCTTCAGAGAGAGCAGATTTGAAACACTCTTTTTGTGGAGTTTCCATGTGGAGATTTCAATAGCTTTGAGACCAAAGGTAGAAAAGGAAACATCTTCGTATAAAAACTAGACAGAATCATTCACAGAAACTACTTTGTGATGTGTGTGTTCAACTCAAGGAGTTTAACCTTTCTATTGATGGAGCAGTTTAAAAACACTCTGTCTGTAAAGTCTGCAAGCAGATATTTGGACCTCTTTGAGGCCTTCGTTGGAAACGGGATTTCTTCATAGAACGCTAGAAAGAAGAATACTGAGTAAGTTCTTTGTGTTGCCTCTATTCAACTCACAGAGGTGAACTGTCCTTTTGACAGAGCAGATCTGAAACCCTCTTTTTGTGATATTTGCACGTGGAGATTTCAAGCGCTTTTAGGCCAAATTTAGAAAAGGAAATATCTTCGTATAAAAACTAGACAGAATCATTCTCAGAAACTACTTTGTGATGTGTGCGTTCAATTCACAGAGTATAACCTTTCTTTTGATGGAGGAGTTTGGAGACACTGTCTTTGTAAAGTCTGCAAGTGGATATTTGGACCTCTTTGAGGCCTTCGTTGGAAACGGGATTTCCTCATATAATGTTACACAGAAGAATTCTCAGTAACTTATTTGTGGTGTGTGTATTCAACTCACAGAGTTGAACCTTCCTTCAGAGAGAGCAGATTTGAAACACACTTTTTGTGGAGTTTCCATGTGGAGATTTCAATCGCTTTGAGACCAAAGGTAGAAAAGGAAACATCTTCGTATAAAAACTAGACAGAATCATTCACAGAAACTACTTTGTGATGTGTGTGTTCAACTCAAGGAGGTTAACCTTTCTTTTGATGGAGCAGTTTGGAAACACTCTGTCTGTAAAGTCTGCAAGCAGATATTTGGACCTCTTTGAGGCCTTCGTTGGAAACGGGATTTCTTCATATAATGTTTGATAGGAGAAGTCTCAGTAACTTCTTTGTGCTGTGTGTATTCAACGCATAGAGTTGAACTTTCCTTTAGAAGAGCACATGTTAAATACCCTTTTTGTGGAATTTGCAGCTGGAGATTTCAAGCGCTTTGAGGCCTACGGTAGAAAAGGAAACATCTTCTTATAAAATCTAGACAGAATCATTCACAGCAAACTTCTTTTTGATGTGTGTGTTCAGCTCACAGAGTTTAACCTTTCTTTTGATGGAGCAGTTTGGAAACACTCTGTTTGTAATGTCTGCAAGTGGATATTTGGACCTCTTTGAGGCCTTCGTTGGGAAAGGGATTTCTTCATGTAATGTTCGACAGAAGAATTCTCAGTAACTTATTTGTGGTGTGTGTATTCAACTCACAGAGTTGAACCTTCCTTTAGACAGAGCAGATTTGAAACACCCTATTTGTGCAGTTTCCAGTTGGAGATTTCAATCGCTTTGAGACCAAATGTAGAAAAGGAAACATCTTCGTATAAAAACTAGACAGAATCATTCTCAGAAACTACTTTGTGATGCGTGCGTTTAACTCAAGGAGTTTAAGCTTTCTTTTCATAGAGTAGTTTGGAAACACTCTGTCTGTAAAGTCTGCAAGCAGATATTTGGACCTCTTTGAGGCCTTCTTTGGAAACGGGATTTCTTCATATAACGCTAGAAAGAAGAATACTGAGTAAGTTCTTTGTGTTGCCTCTATTCAACTCACAGAGGTGAACTGTCCTTTAGACAGAGCAGGTGTGAAACCCTCTTTTTGTGATATTTGCAGGTGGAGATTTCAAGCGCTTTTAGGCCAAATGTAGAAAAGGAAATATCTTCGTATAAAAACTAGACAGAATCATTCTCAGAAACTACTTTGTGATGTGTGCGTTCAATTCACAGAGTATAACCTTTCTTTTGATGGAGGAGTTTGGAGACACTGTCTTTGTAAAGTCTGCAAGTGGATATTTGGACCTCTTTGAGGCCTTCGTTGGAAACGGGATTTCCTCATATAATGTTACACAGAAGAATTCTCAGTAACTTATTTGTGGTGTGTGTATTCAACTCACAGAGATGAACCTTCCTTCAGAAAGAGCAGATTTGAAACACTCTTTTTGTGGAGTTTCCATGTGGAGATTTCAATCGCTTTGAGACCAA
This sequence comes from Homo sapiens, assembly GCF_000001405.40. NCBI lineage: Eukaryota > Metazoa > Chordata > Mammalia > Primates > Hominidae > Homo > Homo sapiens. Next base: position 36,352,422 of record NC_000012.12, read on the forward strand.
AGGTAGAAAAGGAAACATCTTCGTATAACAACTAGACAGAATCATTCACAGAAACTACTTTGTGATGTGTGTGTTCAACTCAAGGAGTTTAACCTTTCTTTTGATGGAGCAGTTTGGAAACACTCTGTCTGTAAAGTCTGCAAGCAGATATTTGGACCTCTTTGAGGCCTTCATTGGAAACGGGATTTCTTCATATAATGTTTGATAGGAGAAATCTCGGTAACTTCTTTCTGCTGTGTGTATTCAACTCATAGAGTTGAACTTTCCTTTAAAAGAGCAGATGTTAAACACCCTTTTTGTGGAATTTGCAGCTGGAGATTTCAAGCGCTTTGAGGCCTATGGTAGAAAAGGAAACATCTTCTTATAAAATCTAGACAGAATCACTCACAGAAACTTCTTTTTGATGTGTGTGTTCAGCTCACAGACTTTAACCTTTCTTTTGATGGAGCAGTTTGGAAACACTCTGTAATGTCTGCAAGTGGATATTTGGACCTCTTTGAGGCCTTCGTTGGAAACGGGATTTCTTCATGTAATGTTCGACAGAAGAATTCTCAGTAACTTATTTGTGGTGTGTGTATTCAACTCACAGAGTTGAACCTTCCTTTAGACAGAGCAGATTTGAAACACCCTGTTTGTGCAGTTTCCAGTTGGAGATTTCAACCGCTTTGAGGCCAATCGTAGAAACGGAAATATCTTCGTATAAAAACAAGACAGAATCATTCTCAGAAACTACTTTGTGATGTGTGCGTTCAACTCACGGAGTTTAAGCTTTCTTTTCATAGAGTAGTTTGGAAACACTCTGTCTGTAAAGTCTGCAAGCAGATATTTGGACCTCTTTGAGGCCTTCGTTGGAAACGGGATTTCTTCATATAACGCTAGAAAGAAGAATACTGAGTAAGTTCTTTGTGTTGACTTTATTCAACTCACAGAGGTGAACTGTCCTTTAGACAGAGCAGATGTGAAACCCTCTTTTTGTGATATTTGCAGGTGGAGATTTCAAGCGCTTTTAGGCCAAATGTAGAAAAGGAAATATCTTCGTAGAAAAACTAGACAGAATCATTCTCAGAAACTACTTTGTGATGTGTGCGCTCATTTCACAGAGTATAACCTTTCTTTTGATGGAGGAGTTTGGAGACACTGTGTTTCTAAAGTCTGCAAGTGGATATTTGGACCTCTTTGAGGCCTTCGTTGGAAACGGGATTTCCTCATATAATGTTACACAGAAGAATTCTCAGTAACTTATTTGTGGTGTGTGTATTCAACTCACAGAGATGAACCTTCCTTCAGAAAGAGCAGATTTGAAACACTCTTTTTGTGGAGTTTCCATGTGGAGATTTCAATCGCTTTGAGACCAAAGGTAGAAAAGGAAACATCTTCGTATAAAAACTAGACAGAATCATTCACAGAAACTACTTTGTGATGTGTGTGTCCAACTCAAGGAGTTTAACCTTTCTTTTGATGGAGCAGTTTGGAAACACTCTGTCTGTAAAGTCTGCAAGCAGACATTTGGACCTCTTTGAGGCCTTCGTTGGAAACGGGATTTCTTCATATAATGTTTGATAGGAGAAGTCTCAGTAACTTCTTTGTGCTGTGTGTATTCAACTCATAGAGTTGAACTTTCCTTTAGAAGAGCAGATGTTAAACACCCTTTTTGTGGAATTTGCAGCTGGAGATTTCAAGCGCTTTGAGGCCTACGGTAGAAAAGGAAATATCTTCTTATAAAATCTAGACAGAATCATTCACAGAAACTTCTTTTTGATGTGTGTGTTCAGCTCACCGAGTTTAACCTTTCTTTTGATGGAGCAGTTTGGAAACACTCAGCTTGTAATATCTGCAAGTGGATATTTGGACCTCTTTGAGGTCTTCGTTGGAAACGGGATTTCTTCAAGTAATGTTCGACAGAAGAATTCTCAGTAACTTATTTGTGGTGTGTGTATTCAACTCACAGAGTTGAACCTTCCTTTAGACAGAGCAGATTTGAAACACCCTATTTGTGCAGTATCTAGTTGGAGATTTCAATCGCTTTGAGACCAAATGTAGAAAAGGAAACATCTTCGTATAAAAACTAGACAGAATCATTCTCAGAAACTACTTTGTGATGTGTGCGTTCAACTCAAGGAGTTTAAGCTTTCTTTTCATAGAGTAGTTTGGAAACATTCTGTCTGTAAAGTCTGCAGGCAGATATTTGGACCTCTTTGGGGCCTTCGTTGGAAACGGGATTTCTTCATAGAACGCCAGAAAGAAGAATACTGAGTAAGTTCTTTGTGTTGCCTCTATTCAACTCACAGAGGTAAAGTGTCCTTTAGACAGAGCAGATGTGAAACCCTCTTTTTGTGATATTTGCAGGTGGAGATTTCAAGCGCTTTTATGCCAAATGTAGAAAAGGAAATATCTTCGTATAAAAACTAGACAGAATCATTCTCAGAAACTACTTTGTGATGTGTGCGTTCAATTCACAGAGTATAACCTTTCTTTTGATGGAGGAGTTTGGAGACACTGTCTTTGTAAAGTCTGCAAGTGGATATTTGGACCTCTTTGAGGCCTTCTTTGGAAAAGGGATTTCCTCATATAACGTTACACAGAAGAATTCTCAGTAACTTATTTGTGGTGTGTGTATTCAACTCACAGAGTTGAACCTTCCTTCAGAAAGAGCAGATTTGAAACATTCTTTTTGTGGAGTTTCCATGTGGAGATTTCAATCGCTTTGAGACCAAAGGTAGAAAAGGAAACATCTTCGTATAAAAACTAGACAGAATCATTCACAGAAACTACTTTGTGATGTGTGTGTTCAACTCAAGGAGTTTAACCTTTCTTTTGATGGAGCAGTGTGGAAAAACTCTGTCTGTAAAGTCTGCAAGCAGATATTTGGACCTCTTTGAGGCCTTCGTTGGAAACGGGATTTCTTCATATAATGTTTGAGAGCAGAAATCTCAGTAACGTCTTTGTGCTGTGTGTATTCAACTCATAGAGTTGAACTTTCCTTTAGAAGAGCAGATGTTAAACACCCTTTTTGTGGAATTTGCAGCTGGAGATTTCAAGCGCTTTGAGGCCTACGGTAGAAAAGGAAACATCTTCTTATAAAATCTAGACAGAATCATTCACAGAAACTTCTTTTTGATGTGTGTGTTCAGCTCACAGAGTTTAACCTTTCTTTTGATGGAGCAGTTTGGAAACACACTGTTTGTAATGTCTGCAAGTGGATATTTGGACCTCTTTGAGGCCTTCGTTGGAAACGGGATTTCTTCATGTAATGTTCGACAGAAGAATTCTCAGTAACTTATTTGTGGTGTGTGTATTCAACTCACAGAGTTGAACCTTCCTTTAGACAGAGCAGATTTGAAACACCCTATTTGTGCAGTTTCCAGTTGGAGATTTCAATCGCTTTGAGACCAAATGTAGAAAAGGAAACATCTTCGTATAAAAACTAGACAGAATCATTCTCAGAAACTACTTTGTGATGTGTGCGTTCAACTCAAGGAGTTTAAGCTTTCTTTTCATAGAGTAGTTTGGAAACACTCTGTCTGTAAAGTCTGCAAGCAGATATTTGGACGTCTTTGGGGCCTTCGTTGGAAACGGGATTTCTTCATAGAACGCTAGAAAGAAGAATACTGAGTAAGTTCTTTGTGTTGCCTCTATTCAACTCACAGAGGTGAACTGTCCTTTAGACAGAGCAGATGTGAAACCCTCTTTTTGTGATATTTGCAGGTGGAGATTTCAAGCGCTTTTAGGCCAAATGTAGAAAAGGAAATATCTTCGTATAAAAACTAGACAGAATCATTCTCAGAAACTACTTTGTGATGTGTGCGTTCAATTCACAGAGTATAACCTTTCTTTAGATGGAGGAGTTTGGAGACACTGTCTTTGTAAAGTCTGCAAGTGGATATTTGGACCTCTTTGAGGCCTTCGTTGGAAACGGGATTTCCTCATATAATGTTACACAGAAGAATTCTCAGTAACTTATTTGTGGTGTGTGTATTCAACTCACAGAGTTGAACCTTCCTTCAGAAAGAGCAGATTTGAAACACTCTTTTTGTGGAGTTTCCATGTGGAGATTTCAATCGCTTTGAGACCAAAGGTAGAAAAGGAAACATCTTCGTATAAAAACTAGACAGAATCATTCACAGAAACTACTTTGTGATGTGTGTGTTCAACTCAAGGAGTTTAACCTTTCTTTTGATGGAGCAGTTTGGAAACACTCTGTCTGTAAAGTCTGCAAGTAGATATTTGGACCTCTTTGAGGCCTTCGTTGGAAACGGGATTTCTTCATATAATGTTTGATAGGAGAAGTCTCAGTAACTTCTTTGTGCTGTGTGTATTCAACTCATAGAGTTGAACTTTGCTTTAGAAGAGCAGATGTTAAACACCCTTTTTGGTGAATTTGCAGCTGGAGATTTCAAGCGCTTTGAGGCCTACGGTAGAAAAGGAAACATCTTCTTATAAAATCTAGACAGAATCATTCACAGAAACTTCTTTTTGATGTGTGTGTTCAGCTCACAGAGTTTAACCTTTCTTTTGATGGAGCAGTTTGGAAACACACTGTTTGTAATGTCTCCAAGTGGATATTTGGACCTCTTTGAGGCCTTCGTTGGAAACGGGATTTCCTCATATAATGTTACACAGAAGAATTCTCAGTAACTTATTTGTGGTGTGTGTATTCAACTCACAGAGTTGAACCTTCCTTTAGACAGAGCAGATTTGAAACACCCTATTTGTGCAGTTTCCAGTTGGAGATTTCAATCGCTTTGAGACCAAATGTAGAAAAGGAAACATCTTCGTATAAAAACTAGACAGAAGCATTCTCAGAAACTACTTTGTGATGTGTGCATTCAACTCACGGAGTTTAAGCTTTCTTTTCATAGAGTAGTTTGGAAACACTCTGTCTGTAAAGTCTGCAAGCAGATATTTGGACCTCTTTGAGGCCTTCGTTGGAAACGGGATTTCTTCATAGAACGCTGGAAAGAAAGAATACTGAGTAAGTTCTTTGTGTTGCCTCTATTCAACTCACAGAGGTGAACTGTCCTTTAGACAGAGCAGATGTGAAACCCTCTTTTTGTGATATTTGCAGGTGGAGATTTCAAGCGCTTTTAGGCCAAATGTAGAAAAGGAAATATCTTCGTATGAAAACTAGACAGATCATTCTCAGAAACTACTTTGTGATGTGTGCGTTCAATTCACAGAGTATAACCTTTCTTTTGATGGAGGAGTTTGGAGACACTGTCTTTGTAAAGTCTGCAAGTGGATATTTGGACCTCTTTGAGGCCTTCGTTGGAAACGGGATTTCCTCATATAATGTTACACAGAAGAATTCTCACTAACTTATTTGTGGTGTGTGTATTCAACTCACAGAGATGAACCTTCCTTCAGAAAGAGCAGATTTGAAACACTCTTTTTGTGGAGTTTCCATGTGGAGATTTCAATCGCTTTGAGACCAAAGGTAGAAAAGGAAACATCTTCGTATAACAACTAGACAGAATCATTCACAGAAACTACTTTGTGATGTGTGTGTTCAACTCAAGGAGTTTAACCTTTCTTTTGATGGAGCAGTTTGGAAACACTCTGTCTGTAAAGTCTGCAAGTAGATATTTGGACCTCTTTGAGGCCTTCGTTGGAAACGGGATTTCTTCATATAATGTTTGATAGGAGAAGTCTCAGTAACTTCTTTGTGCTGTGTGTATTCAACTCATAGAGTTGAACTTTCCTTTAGAAGAGCAGATGTTAAACACCCTTTTTGTGGAATTTGCAGCTGGAGATTTCAAGCGCTTTGAGGCCTACGGTAGAAAAGGAAACATCTTCTTATAAAATCTAGACAGAATCATTCACAGAAACTTCTTTTTGATGTGTGTGTTCAGCTCACAGAGTTTAACCTTTCTTTTGATGGAGCAGTTTGGAAACACTCTGTTTGTAATGTCTGCAAGTGGATATTTGGACCTCTTTGAGGCCTTCGCTGGAAACGGGATTTCTTCCTGTAATGTTCGACAGAAGAATTCTCAGTAACTTATTTGTGGTGTGTGTATTCAACTCACAGAGTTGAACCTTCCTTTAGACAGAGCAGATTTGAAACACCCTATTTGTGCAGTTTCCAGTTGGAGATTTCAATCGCTTTGAGACCAAATGTAGAAAAGGAAACATCTTCGTATAAAAACTAGACAGAATCATTCTCAGAAACTACTTTGTGATGTGTGCGTTCAACTCAAGGAGTTTAAGCTTTCTTTTCATAGAGTAGTTTGGAAACACTCTGTCTGTAAAGTCTGCAAGCAGATATTTGGACCTCTTTGAGGCCTTCGTTGGAAACGGGATTTCTTCATATAACGCTAGAAAGAAGAATACTGAGTAAGTTCTTTGTGTTGCCTCTATTCAACTCACAGAGGTGAACTGTCCTTTAGACAGAGCAGATGTGAAACCCTCTTTTTGTGATATTTGCAGGTGGAGATTTCAAGCGCTTTGAGGCCAAATGTAGAAAAGGAAATATCTTCGTATAAAAACTAGACACAATCATTCTCAGAAACTACTTTGTGATGTGTGCGTTCAATTCACAGAGTATAACCTTTCTTTTGATGGAGGAGTTTGGAGACACTGTCTTTGTAAAGTCTGCAAGTGGATATTTGGACCTCTTTGAGGCCTTCGTTGGAAACGGGATTTCCTCATATAATGTTACCCAGAAGAATTCTCAGTAACTTATTTGTGGTGTGTGTATTCAACTCACAGAGTTGAACCTTCCTTCAGAAAGAGCAGATTTGAAACACTCTTTTTTGTGGAGTTTCCATGTGGAGATTTCAATCGCTTTGAGACCAAAGGTAGAAAAGGAAACATCTTCGTATAAAAACTAGACAGAATCATTCACAGAAACTACTTTGTGATGTGTGTGTTCAACTCAAGGAGTTTAACCTTTCTTTTGATGGAGCAGTTTGGAAACACTCTGTCTGTAAAGTCTGCAAGCAGATATTTGGACCTCTTTGAGGCCTTCGTTGGAAACGGGATTTCTTCATATAATGTTTGATAGGAGAAGTCTCAGTAACTTCTTTGTGCTGTGTGTATTCAACTCATAGAGTTGAACTTTCCTTTAGAAGAGCAGATGTTAAACACCCTTTTTGTGGAATTTGCAGCTGGAGATTTCAAGCGCTTTGAGGCCTACGGTAGAAAAGGAAACATCTTCTTATAAAATCTAGACAGAATCATTCACAGAAACTTCTTTTTGATGTGTGTGTTCAGCTCACAGAGTTTAACCTTTCTTTTGATGGAGCAGTTTGGAAACACTCTGTTTGTAACGTCTGCAAGTGGATATTTGGACCTCTTTGAGGCCTTCGTTGGAAACGGGATTTCTTCAAGTAATGTTCGACAGAAGAATTCTCAGTAACTTATTTGTGGTGTGTGTATTCAACTCACAGAGTTGAACCTTCCTTTAGACAGAGCAGATTTGAAACACCCTATTTGTGCAGTTTCCAGTTGGAGATTTCAATCGCTTTGAGACCAAATGTAGAAAAGGAAACATCTTCGTATAAAAACTAGACAGAATCATTCTCAGAAACTACTTTGTGATGTGCGCGTTCAACTCAAGGAGTTTAAGCTTTCTTTTCATAGAGTACTTTGGAAACACTCTGTCTGTGAAGTCTGCAAGCAGATATTTGGACCTCTTTGAGGCCTTCGTTGGAAACGGGATTTCTTCATAGAGCGCTAGAAAGAAGAATACTGAGTAAGTTCTTTGTGTTGCCTCTATTCAACTCACAGAGGTGAACTGTCCTTTAGACAGAGCAGATGTGAAACCCTCTTTTTGTGATATTTGCAGGTGGAGATTTCAAGCGCTTTTAGGCCAAATGTAGAAAAGGAAATATCTTCGTATAAAAACTAGACAGAATCATTCTCAGAAACTACTTTGTGATGTGTGCGTTCAATTCACAGAGTATAACCTTTCTTTTGATGGAGGAGTTTGGAGACACTGTCTTTGTAAAGTCTGCAAGTGGATATTTGGACCTCTTTGAGGCCTTCGTTGGAAACGGGATTTCCTCATATAATGTTACACAGAAGAATTCTCAGTAACTTATTTGTGGTGTGTGTATTCAACTCACAGAGTTGAACCTTCCTTCAGAAAGAGCAGATTTGAAACACTCTTTTTGTGGAGTTTCCATGTGGAGATTTCAATCGCATTGAGACCAAAGGTAGAAAAGGAAACATCTTCGTATAAAAACTAGACAGAATCATTCACAGAAACTACTTTGTGATGTGTGTGTTCAACTCAAGGAGTTTAACCTTTCTTTTGATGGAGCAGTTTGGAAACACTGTGTCTGTAAAGTCTGCAAGCAGATATTTGGACCTCTTTGAGGCCTTCGTTGGAAACGGGATTTCTTCATATAATGTTTGATAGGAGAAGTCTCAGTAACTTCTTTGTGCTGTGTGTATTCAACTCATAGAGTTGAACTTTCCTTTAGAAGAGCAGATGTTAAACACCCTTTTTGTGGAATTTGCAGCTGGAGATTTCAAGCGCTTTGAGGCCTACGGTAGAAAAGGAAACATCTTCTTATAAAATCTAGACAGAATCATTCACAGAAACTTCTTTTTGATGTGTGTGTTCAGCTCACAGAGTTTAACCTTTCTTTTGATGGAGCAGTTTGGAAACACTCTGTTTGTAATGTCTGCAAGTGGATATTTGGACCTCTTTGAGGCCTTCGTTGGAAACGGGATTTCTTCATGTAATGTTCGACAGAAGAATTCTCAGTAACTTATTTGTGGTGTGTGTATTCAACTCACAGAGTTGAACCTTCCTTTAGACAGAGCAGATTTGAAACACCCTATTTGTGCAGTTTCCAGTTGGAGATTTCAATCGCTTTGAGACCAAATGTAGAAAAGGAAACATCTTCGTATAAAAACTAGACAGAATCATTCTCAGAAACTACTTTGTGATGTGTGCGTTCAACTCAAGGAGTTTAAGCTTTCTTTTCATAGAGTAGTTTGGAAACACTCTGTCTGTAAAGTCTGCAAGCAGATATTTGGACCTCTTAGGGGCCTTCGTTGGAAACGGGATTTCTTCATAGAATGCTAGAAAGAAGAATACTGAGTAAGTTCTTTGTGTTGCCTCTATTCAACTCACAGAGGTGAACTGTCCTTTAGACAGAGCAGATGTGAAACCCTCTTTTTGTGATATTTGCAGGTGGAGATTTCAAGCGCTTTTAGGCCAAATGTAGAAAAGGAAATATCTTCGTATAAAAACTAGACAGAATCATTCTCAGAAACTACTTTGTGATGTGTGCGTTCAATTCACAGAGTATAACCTTTCTTTTGATGGAGGAGTTTGGAGACACTGTCTTTGTAAAGTCTGCAAGTGGATATTTGGACCTCTTTGAGGCCTTCGTTGGAAACGGGATTTCCTCATATAATGTTACACAGAAGAATTCTCAGTAACTTATTTGTGGTGTGTGTATTCAACTCACAGAGTTGAACCTTCCTTCAGAAAGAGCAGATTTGAAACACTCTTTTTGTGGAGTTTCCATGTGGAGATTTCAATCGCATTGAGACCAAAGGTAGAAAAGGAAACATACTTCGTATAAAAACTAGACAGAATCATTCACAGAAACTACTTTGTGATGTGTGTGTTCAACTCACAGAGTTTAACCTTTCTTTTGATGGAGCAGTTTGGAAACACTCTGTTTGTCACATCTGCAAGTGGATATTTGGACCTCGTTGAGGCCTTCGTTGGAAACGGGATTTCTTCCTATAATGTTTGATAGGAGAAGTCTCAGTAACTTCTTTGTGCTGTGTGTATTCAAGTCATAGAGTTGAACTTTCCTTTAGAAGAGCAGATGTTAAACACCCTTTTTGTGGAATTTGCAGCTGGAGATTTCAAGCGCTTTGAGGCCTACGGTAGAAAAGGAAACATCTTCTTATAAAATGCTAGACAGAATCATTCACAGAAACTTCTTTTTGATGTGTGTGTTCAGCTCACAGAGTTTAACCTTTCTTTTGATGGAGCAGTTTGGAAACACTCTGTTTGTAATGTCTGCAAGTGGATATTTGGACCTCTTTGAGGCCTTCGTTGGAAACGGGATTTCTTCAAGTAATGTTCGACAGAAGAATTCTCAGTAACTTATTTGTGGTGTGTGTATTCAACTCACAGAGTTGAAACTTACTTTAGACAGAGCATATTTGAAACACCCTATTTGTGCTGTTTCCAGTTGGAGAATTCAATCGCTTTGAGGCCAATCATAGAAACGGAAATACATTTGTATAAAAACAAGACAGAATCATTCTCCGAAACTACTTTGTGATGTGTGCGTTCAACTCAAGGAGTTTAAGCTTTCTTTTCATAGAGTAGTTTGGAAACACTCTGTCTGTAAAGTCTGCAAGCAGATATTTGGACCTCTTTGGGGCCTTCATTGGAAACGGGATTTCTTCATAGAACGCTAGAAAGAAGAATACTGAGTAAGTTCTTTGTGTTGCCTCTATTCAACTCACAGAGGTGAACTGTCCTTTAGACAGAGCAGATGTGAAACCCTCTTTTTGTGATATTTGCAGGTGGAGATTTCAAGCGCTTTTTGGCCAAATGTAGAAAAGGAAATATCTTCGTATAAAAACTAGACAGAATCACTCTCAGAAACTACTTTGTGATGTGTGCGTTCAATTCACAGAGTATAACCTTTGTTTTGATGGAGGAGTTTGGAGACACTGTCTTTGTAAAGTCTGCAAGCAGATATTTGGACCTCTTTGAGGCCATCGTTGGAAACGGGATTTCTTCATATAATGTTTGATAGGAGAAGTCTCAGTAACTTCTTAGTGCTGTGTGTATTCAACTCATAGAGTTGAACTTTCCTTTAGAAGAGCAGATGTTAAACACCCTTTTTGTGGAATTTGCAGCTGGAGATTTCAAGCGCTTTGAGGCCTACGGTAGAAAAGGAAACATCTTCTTATAAAATCTAGACAGAATCATTCACAGAAACTTCTTTTTGATGTGTGTGTTCAGCTCACAGAGTTTAACCTTTCTTTTGATGGAGCAGTTTGGAAACACTCTGTTGTAATGTCTGCAAGTGGATATTTGGACCTCTTTGAGGCCTTCGTTGCAAACGGGATTTCTTCAAGTAATGTTCGACAGAAGAATTCTCAGTAACTTATTTGTGGTGTGTGTATTCAACTCAAAGAGTTGAACCTTCCTTTAGACAGAGCAGATTTGAAACACCCTATTTGTGCAGTTTCCAGTTGGAGATTTCAATCGCTTTGGGACCAAATGTAGAAAAGGAAACATCTTCGTATAAAAACTAGACAGAATCATTCTCAGAAACTACTTTGTGATGTGTGCGTTCAACTCAAGGAGTTTAAGCTTTCTTTTCATAGAGTACTTTGGAAACACTCTGTCTGTAAAGTCTGCAAGCAGATATTTGGACCTCTTTGGGGCCTTCGTTGGAAAAGGGATTTCTTCATAGAACGCTAGAAAGAAGAATACTGAGTAAGTTCTTTGTGTTGCCTCTATTCAACTCACAGAGGTGAACTGTCCTTTAGACAGAGCAGATGTGAAACCCTCTTTTTGTGATATTTGCACGTGGAGATTTCAAGCGCTTTTAGGCCAAATGTAGAAAAGGAAATATCTTCGTATAAAAACTAGACAGAATCATTCTCAGAAACTACTTTGTGATGTGTGCGTTCAATTCACAGAGTATAACCTTTCTTTTGATGGAGGAGTTTGGAGACACTGTCTTTGTAAAGTCTGCAAGTGGATATTTGGACCTCTTTGAGGCCTTCGTTGGAAACGGGATTTCCTCATATAATGTTACACAGAAGAATTCTCACTAACTTATTTGTGGTGTGTGTATTCAACTCACAGAGATGAACCTTCCTTCAGAAAGAGCAGATTTGAAACACTCTTTTTGTGGAGTTTCCATGTGGAGATTTCAATCGCTTTGAGACCAAAGGTAGAAAAGGAAACATCTTCGTATAACAACTAGACAGAATCATTCACAGAAACTACTTTGTGATGTGTGTGTTCAACTCAAGGAGTTTAACCTTTCTTTTGATGGAGCAGTTTGGAAAAACTCTGTCTGTAAAGTCTGCAAGCAGATATTTGGACCTCTTTGAGGCCTTCGTTGGAAACGGGATTTCTTCATAGAATGCTAGAAAGAAGAAGTCTCAGTAACTTCTTTGTGCTGTGTGTATTCAACTCATAGTAGTTGAACTTTCCTTTAGAAGAGCAGATGTTAAACACCCTTTTTGGGGAATTTGCAGCTGGAGGTTTCAAGCGCTTTGAGGCCTACTGTAGAAAAGGAAACATCTTCTTATAAAATCTAGACAGAATCATTCACAGAAACTTCTTTTTGATGTGTGTGTTCAGCTCACAGAGTTAAACCTTTCTTTTGATGGAGCAGTTTGGAAACACTCTGTTTGTAATGTCTGCAAGTGGATATTTGGACCTCTTTGAGGCCTTCGTTGGAAACGGGATTTCTTCAAGTAATGTTCGACAGAAGAATTCTCAGTAACTTATTTGTGGTGTGTGTATTCAACTCACAGAGTTGAACCTTCCTTTAGACAGAGCAGATTTGAAACACCCTATTTGTGCAGTTTCCAGTTGGAGATTTCAATCGCTTTGAGGCCAATCATAGAAACGGAAATAACTTTGTATAAAAACAAGACAGAATCATTCTCAGAAACTAATTTGTGATGTGTGCATTCAACTCACGGAGTTAAAGCTTTCTTTTCATAGAGTAGCTTGGAAACGCTCTGTCTGTAAAGTCTGCAAGCAGATATTTGGACCTCTTTGAGGCCTTCGTTGGAAACGGGATTTCTTCATATAACGCTAGAAAGAAAGAATACTCAGTAAGTTCTTTGTGTTGCCTCTATTCAACTCACAGAGGTGAACTGTCCTTTAGACAGAGCAGATGTGAAACCCTCTTTTTGTGGTATTTGCAGGTGGAGATTTCAAGCGCTTTTAGGCCAAATGTAGAAAAGGAAATATCTTCGTATAAAAACTAGACAGATCATTCTCAGAAACTACTTTGTGATGTGTGCGTTCAATTCACAGAGTATAACCTTTCTTTTGATGGAGGAGTTTGGAGACACTGTCTTTGTAAAGTCTGCAAGTGGATATTTGGACCTCTTTGAGGCCTTCGTTGGAAACGGGATTTCCTCATATAATGTTACACAGAAGAATTCTCAGTAACTTATTTGTGGTGTGTGTATTCAACTCACAGAGTTGAACCTTCCTTCAGAAAGAGCAGATTTGAAACACTCTTTTTGTGGAGTTTCCATGTGGAGATTTCAATCGCATTGAGACCAAAGGTAGAAAAGGAAATATCTTCGTATAAAAACTAGACAGAATCATTCACAGAAACTACTTTGTGATGTGTGTGTTCAACTCAAGGAGTTTAACCTTTCTTTTGATGGAGCAGTTTGGAAAAACTCTGTCTTTAAAGTCTGCAAGCAGATATTTGGACCTCTTTGAGGCCTTCGTTGGAAACGGGATTTCTTCATATAATGTTTGATAGGAGAAGTCTCAGTAACTTCTTTGTGCTGTGTGTATTCAACTCATAGAGTTGAACTTTCCTTTAGAAGAGCAGATGTTAAACACCCTTTTTGTGGAATTTGCAGCTGGAGATTTCAAGCGCTTTGAGGCCTACGGGTAGAAAAGGAAACATCTTCTTATAAAATCTAGACAGAATCATTCACAGAAACTTCTTTTTGATGTGTGTGTTCAGCTCACAGAGTTTAACCTTTCTTTTGATGGAGCAGTTTGGAAACACTCTGTTTGTAATGTCTGCAAGTGGATATTTGGACCTCTTTGAGGCCTTCGTTGGAAACGGGATTTCTTCAAGTAATGTTCGGGAGAAGAATTCTCAGTAACTTATTTGTGGTGTGTGTATTCAACTCACAGAGTTGAACCTTCCTTTAGACAGAGCAAATTTGAAACACCCTATTTGTGCAGTTTCCAGTTGGAGATTTCAATTGCTTTGAGACCAAATGTAGAAAAGGAAACATCTTCGTATAAAAACTAGACAGAATCATTCTCAGAAACTGCTTTGTGATGTGTGCGTTCAACTCAAGGAGTTTAAGCTTTCTTTTCATAGAGTAGTTTGGAAACACTTTGTCTGTAAAGTCTGCAAGCAGATATTTGGACCTGCTTTGAGGCCTTCGTTGGAAACGGGATTTCTTCATAGAACGCTAGAAAGAAGAATCCTGAGTACGTTCTTTGTGTTGCCTCTATTCAACTCACAGAGGTGAACTGTCCTTTAGACAGAGCAGATGTGAAACCCTCTTTTTGTGATATTTGCAGGTGGAGATTTCAAGCGCTTTTAGGCAAAATGTAGAAAAGGAAATATCTTCGTATAAAAACTAGACAGATAATCATTCTCAGAAACTACTTTGTGATGTGTGCGTTCAATTCACAGAGTATAACCTTTCTTTTGATGGAGAAGTTTGGAGACACTGTGTGTGTAAAGTCTGCAAGTGGATATTTGGACCTCTTTGAGGCCTTCGTTGGAAACGGGATTTCCTCATATAATGTTACACAGAAGAATTCTCAGTAACTTATTTGTGGTGTGTGTATTCAACTCACAGAGTTGAACCTTCCTTTAGACAGAGCAGATTTGAAACACTCTTTTTGTGGAGTTTCCATGTGGAGATTTCAATCGCTTTGAGACCAAAGGTAGAAAAGGAAACATCTTCGTATAAAAACTAGACAGAATCATTCACAGAAACTACTTTGTGATGTGTGTGTTCAACTCAAGGAGTTTAACCTTTCTTTTGATGGAGCAGTTTGGAAACACTCTGTCTGTAAAGTCTGCAAGCAGATATTTGGACCTCTTTGAGGCCTTCGTTGAAAACGGGATTTCTTCATATAATGTTTGATAGGAGAAGTCTCAGTAACTTCTTTGTGCTGTGTGTATTCAACTCATAGAGTTGAACTTTCCTTTAGAAGAGCAGATGTTAAACACCCTTTTTGTGGAATTTGCAGCTGGAGATTTCAAGCGCTTTGAGGCCTACGGTAGAAAAGGAAACATCTTCTTATAAAATCTAGACAGAATCATTCACAGAAACTTCTTTTTGATGTGTGTGTTCAGCTCACAGAGTTTAACCTTTCTTTTGATGGAGCAGTTTGGAAACACTCTGTTTGTAATGTCTGCAAGTGGATATTTGGACCTCTTTGAGGCCTTCGTTGGAAACGGGATTTCTTCAAGTAATGGTCGACAGAAGAATTCTCAGTAACTTATTTGTGGTGTGTGTATTCAACTCAAAGAGTTGAACCTTCCTTTAGACAGAGCAGATTTGAAACACCCTATTTGTGCAGTTTCCAGTTGGAGATTTCAATCGCTTTGAGACCAAATGTAGAAAAGGAAACATCTTCGTATAAAAACTAGACAGAATCATTCTCAGAAACTACTTTGTGATGTGTGCGTTCAACTCAAGGAGTTTAAGCTTTCTTTTCATAGAGTAGTTTGGAAACACTCTGTCTGTAAAGTCTGCAAGCAGATATTTGACCTCTTTGAGGCCTTCGTTGGAAACGGGATTTCTTCATAGAACGCTAGAAAGAATAATACTGAGTAAGTTCTTTCTGTTGCCTCTATACAACTCACAGAGGTGAACTGTCCTTCAGACAGAGCAGATGTGAAACCCTCTTTTTGTGATATTTGCAGGTGGAGATTTCAAGCGCTTTTAGGCCAAATGTAGAAAAGGAAATACCTTCGTATAAAAACTAGACAGAATCATTCTCAGAAACTGCTTTGTGATGTGTGCGTTCAATTCACAGAGTATAACCTTTCTTTTGATGGAGGCGTTTGGAGACACTGTCTTCGTAAAGTCTGCAAGTGGATATTTGGACCTCTTTGAGGCCTTCGTTGGAAACGGGATTTCCTCATATAATGTTACACAGAAGAATTCTCAGTAACTTATTTGTGGTGTGTGTATTCAACTCACAGAGTTGAACCTTCCTTCAGAAAGAGCAGATTTGAAACACTCTTTTTGTGGAGTTTCCATGTGGAGATTTCAATCGCTTTGAGACCAAAGGTAGAAAAGGAAACATCTTCGTATAAAAACTAGACAGAATCATTCACAGAAACTACTTTGTGATGTGTGTGTTCAACTCAAGGAGTTTAACCTTTCTTTTGATGGAGCAGTTTGGAAAAACTCTGTCTGTAAAGTCTGCAAGCAGATATTTGGACCTCTTTGAGGCCTTCGTTGAAAACGGGATATCTTCATATAATGTTTGATAGGAGAAGTCTCAGTAACTTCTTTGTGCTGTGTGTGTTCAACTCATAGAGTTGAACTTTCCTTTAGAAGAGCAGATGTTAAACACCCTTTTTGTGGAATTTGCAGCTGGAGATTTCAAGCGCTTTGAGGCCTACTGTAGAAAAGGAAACATCTTCTTATATAATCTAGACAGAATCATTCACAGAAACTTCTTTTTGATGTGTGTGTTCAGCTCACAGAGTTTAACCTTTCCTTTGATGGAGCAGTTTAGAAACACTCTGTTTGTAATGTCTGCAAGTGGATATTTGGACCTCTTTGAGGCCTTCGTTAGAAACGGGATTTCTTCATGTAATGTTCGACAGAAGAATTCTCAGTAACTTATTTGTGGTGTGTGTATTCAACTCACAGAGTTGAACCTTCCTTTAGACAGAGCAGATTTGAAATACCCTATTTGTGCAGTTTCCAGTTGGAGATTTCAATCGTTTGAGGCCAATCGTAGAAACGGAATTATCTTCGTATAAAAACAAGACAGAATCATTCTCAGCAAACTACTTTGTGATGTGTGCGTTCAACTCAAGGAGTTTAAGCTTTCTTTTCATAGAGTAGTTTGGAAACACTCTGTCTGTAAAGTCTGCAAGCAGATATTTGGACCTCTTTGGGGCCTTCGTTGGAAACGGGATTTCTTCATAGAACGCTAGAAAGAAGAATACTGAGTAAGTTCTTTGTGTTGCCTCTATTCAACTCACAGAGGTGAACTGTCCTTTAGACAGAGCAGATGTGAAACCCTCTTTTTGTGATATTTGCAGGTGGAGATTTCAAGCGCTTTTAGGCCAAATGTAGAAAAGGAAATATCTTCGTATAAAAACTAGACAGAATCATTCTCAGAAACTACTTTGTGATGTGTGCGTTCAATTCACAGAGTATAACCTTTCTTTTGATGGAGGAGTTTGGAGACACTGTCTTTGTAAAGTCTGCAAGTGGATATTTGGACCTCTTTGAGGCCTTCGTTGGAAACGGGATTTCCTCATATAATGTTACCCAGAAGAATTCTCAGTAACTTATTTGTGGTGTGTGTATTCAACTCACAGAGTTGAACCTTCCTTCAGAAAGAGCAGATTTGAAACACTCTTTTTGTGGAGTTTCCATGTGGAGATTTCAATCGCTTTGAGACCAAAGGTAGAAAAGGAAACATCTTCGTATAAAAACTAGACAGAATCATTCACAGAAACTACTTTGTGATGTGTGTGTTCAACTCAAGGAGTTTAACCTTTCTTTTGATGGAGCAGTTTGGAAACACTCTGTCTGTAAAGTCTGCAAGCAGATATTTGGACCTCTTTGAGGCCTTCGTTGGAAACGGGATTTCTTCATATAATGTTTGATAGGAGAAGTCTCAGTAACTTCTTTGTGCTGTGTGTATTTAACTCACAGAGCTGATCTTTACTTTAGACAGAGCAGATGTTAAACACACTTTTTGTGGAATTTGCAGGTGGAGATTTCTAGCGCTTTGAGGCCTACGGTAGAAAAGGAAACATCTTCTTATAAAATCTAGACAGAATCATTCACAGAAACTTCTTTTTGATGTGTGTGTTCAGCTCACAGAGTTTAACCTTTCTTTTGATGGAGCAGTTTGGAAACACTCTGTTTGTAATGCCTGCAAGTGGATATTTGGACCTCTTTGAGGCCTTCGTTGGAAACGGGAATTCTTCATGTAATGTTCGACAGAAGAATTCTCAGTAACTTATTTGTGGTGTGTGTATTCAACTCACAGAGTTGAACCTTCCTTTAGACAGAGCAGATTTGAAACACCCTGTTTGTGCAGTTTCCAGTTGGAGATTTCAATGGCTTTGAGGCCAATCATAGAAACGGAAATATCTTCGTATAAATACAAGACAGAATCATTCTCAGAAACTACTTTGTGATGTGTGCGTTCAACTCAAGGAGTTTAAGCTTTCTTTTCATAGAGTAGTTTGGAACCACTCTGTCTGTAATGTCTGCAAGCAGATATTTGGACCTCTTTGAGGCCTTCGTTGGAAACGGGATTTCTTCATATAACGCTAGAAAGAAGAATACTGAGTAAGTTCTTGGTGTTGCCTCTATTCAACTCACAGAGGTGAACTGTCCTTTAGACAGAGCAGATGTGAAACCCTCTTTTTGTGATATTTGCAGGTGGAGATTTCAAGCGCTTTTGGGCCAAATGTAGAAAAGGAAATATCTTCGTATAAAAACTAGACAGAATCATTCTCAGCAAACTACTTTGTGATGTGTGCGTTCAATTCACAGCAGTATAACCTTTCTTTTGATGGAGGAGTTTGGAGACACTGTCTTTGTAAAGTCTGCAAGTGGATATTTGGACCTCTTTGAGGCCTTCGTTGGAAACGGGATTTCCTCATATAATGTTACACAGAAGAATTCTCAGTAACTTATTTGTGGTGTGTGTATTCAACTCACAGAGATGAACCTTCCTTCAGAAAGAGCAGATTTGAAACACTCTTTTTGTGGAGTTTCCATGTGGAGATTTCAATCGCTTTGAGACCAAAGGTAGAAAAGGAAACATCTTCGTATAAAAACTAGACAGAATCATTCACAGAAACTACTTTGTGATGTGTGTGTTCAACTCAAGGAGTTTAACCTTTCTTTTGATGGAGCAGTTTGGAAACACTCTGTCTGTAAAGTCTGCAAGCAGATATTTGGACCTCTTTGAGGCCTTCGTTGGAAACGGGATTTCTTCATATAATGTTTGATAGGAGAAGTCTCAGTAACTTCTTTGTGCTGTGTGTATTCAACTCACAGAGTTGAACTTTCCTTTAGAAGAGCAGATGTTAATGACCCTTTTTGTGGAATTTGCAGCTGGAGATTTCAAGCGCTTTGAGGCCTACGGTAGAAAAGGAAACATCTTCTTATAAAATCTAGACAGAATCATTCACAGAAACTTCTTTTTGATGTGTGTGTTCAGCTCACAGAGTTTAACCTTTCTTTTGATGGAGCAGTTTGGAAACACTCTGTTTGTAATGTCTGCAAGTGGATATTTGGACCTCTTTGAGGCCTTCGCTGGAAACGGGATTTCTTCCTGTAATGTTCGACAGAAGAATTCTCAGTAACTTATGTGTGGTGTGTGTATTCAACTCACAGAGTTGAACCTTCCTTTAGACAGAGCAGATTTGAAACACCCTATTTGTGCAGTTTCCAGTTGGAGATTTCAATCGCTTTGAGACCAAATGTAGAAAAGGAAACATCTTCGTATAAAAACTAGACAGAATCATTCTCAGAAACTACTTTGTGATGTGTGCGTTCAACTCAAGGAGTTTAAGCTTTCTTTTCATAGAGTAGTTTGGAAACACTCTGTCTGTAAAGTGTGCAAGCAGATATTTGGACCTCATTGAGGCCTTCGTTGGAAACGGGATTTCTTCATAGAACGCTAGAAAGAAGAATACTGAGTAAGTTCATTGTGTTGCCTCTATTCAACTCACAGAGGTGAACTGTCCTTTAGACAGAGCAGATGTGAAACCCTCTTTTTGTGATATTTGCAGGTGGAGATTTCAAGCCCTTTTAGGCCAAATGTAGAAAAGGAAATATCTTCGTATAAAAACTAGACAGAATCATTCTCAGAAACTACTTTGTGATGTGTGCGTTCAATTCACAGAGTATAACCTTTCTTTTGATGGAGGAGTTTGGAGACACTGTCTTTGTAAAGTCTGCATGTGGATATTTGGACCTCTTTGAGGCCTTCGTTGGAAACGGGATTTCCTCATATAATGTTACACAGAAGAATTCTCACTAACTTATTTGTGGTGTGTGTATTCAACTCACAGAGATGAACCTTCCTTCAGAAAGAGCAGATTTGAAACACTCTTTTTGTGGAGTTTCCATGTGGAGATTTCAATCGCTTTGAGACCAAAGGTAGAAAAGGAAACATCTTCGTATAACAACTAGACAGAATCATTCTCAGAAACTACTTTGTGATGTGTGCGTTCAACTCAAGGAGTTTAAGCTTTCTTTTCATAGAGTAGTTTGGAAACACTCTGTCTGTAAAGTCTGCAAGCAGATATTTGGACCTCTTTGAGGCCTTCGTTGGAAACGGGATTTCTTCATATAATGTTTGATAGGAGAAGTCTCAGTAACTTCTTTGTGCTGTGTGAATTCAACTCATAGACTTGAACTTTCCTTTAGAAGAGCAGATGTTAAACACCCTTTTTGTGGAATTTGCAGCTGGAGATTTCAAGCGCTTTGAGGCCTACGGTAGAAAAGGAAACATCTTCTTATAAAATCTAGACAGAATCATTCACAGAAACTTCTCTTTGATGTGTGTGTTCAGCTCACAGAGTTTAACCTTTCTTTTGATGGAGCAGTTTGGAAACACTCTGTTTGTAATGTCTGCAAGTAGATATTTGGACCCCTTGAGGCCTTCTTTGGAAACGGGATTTCTTCATGTAATGTTCGACAGAAGAATTCTCAGTAACTTATTTGTGGTGTGTGTATTCAACTCACAGAGTTGAACCTTCCTTTAGACAGAGCAGATTTGAAACAGCCTATTTGTGGAGTTTCCAGTTGGAGATTTCAATCGCTTTGAGACCAAATGTAGAAAAGGGAACATCTTCGTATAAAAACTAGACAGAATCATTCTCAGAAACTACTTTGTGATGTGTGCGTTCAACTCAAGGAGTTTAAGCTTTCTTTTCATAGAGTAGTTTGGAAACACTCTGTCTGTAAAGTCTGCAAGCAGATATTTGACCTCTTTGAGGCCTTCGTTGGAAACGGGATTTCTTCATAGAACGCTAGAAAGAAGAATACTGAGTAAGTTCTTTGTGTTGCCTCTATTCAACTCACAGAGGTGAACTGTCCTTTAGACAGAGCAGATGTGAAACCCTCTTTTTGTGATATTTGCAGGTGGAGATTTCAAGCGCTTTTAGGCCAAATGTAGAAAAGGAAATATCTTCGTATAAAAACTAGACAGAATCATTCTCAGAAACTACTTTGTGATGTGTGCGTTCAATTCACAGAGTATAACCTTTCTTTTGATGGAGGAGTTTGGAGACACTGTCTTTGTAAAGTCTGCAAGTGGATATTTGGACCTCTTTGAGGCCTTCGTTGGAAACGGGATTTCCTCATATAATGTTACACAGAAGAATTCTCAGTAACTTATTTGTGGTGTGTGTATTCAACTCACAGAGTTGAACCTTCCTTCAGAAAGAGCAGATTTGAAACACTCTTTTTGTGGAGTTTCCATGTGGAGATTTCAATCGCTTTGAGACCAAAGGTAGAAAAGGAAACATCTTCGTATAAAAACTAGACAGAATCATTCACAGAAACTACTTTGTGATGTGTGTGTTCAACTCAAGGAGTTTAACCTTTCTTTTGATGGAGCAGTTTGGAAACACTCTGTCTGTAAAGTCTGCAAGCAGATATTTGGACCTCTTTGAGGCCTTCGTTGGAAACGGGATTTCTTCATATAATGTTTGATAGGAGAAGTCTCAGTAACTTCTTTGTGCTGTGTGTATTCATCTCATAGAGTCGAACTTTCCTTTAGAAGAGCAGATGTTAAACACCCTTTTTGTGGAATTTGCAGCTGGAGATTTCAAGCGCTTTGAGGCCTACGGTAGAAAAGGAAACATCTTCTTATAAAATCTAGACAGAATCATTCACAGAAACTTGTTTTTGATGTGTGTGTTCAGCTCACAGAGTTTAACCTTTCTTTTGATGGAGCAGTTTGGAAACACTCTGTTTGTAATATCTGCAAGTGAATATTTGGACCTCTTTGAGGCCTTCGTTGGAAACGGGATTTCTTCAAGTAATGTTCGACAGAAGAATTCTCAGTAACTTATTTGTGGTGTGTGTATTCAACTCACAGAGTTGAACCTTCCTTTAGACAGAGCAGATTTGAAACACCCTATTTGTGCAGTTTCCAGTTGGAGATTTCAATCGCTTTGAGACCAAATGTAGAAAAGGAAACATCTTCGTATAAAAACTAGACAGAATCATTCTCAGAAACTACTTTGTGATGTGTGCGTTCAACTCAAGGAATTTAAGCTTTCTTTTCATAGAGTAGTTTGGAAACACTCTGTCTGTAAAGTCTGCAAGCAGATATTTGGACCTCTTTGGGGCCTTCGTTGGAAACGGGATTTCTTCATAGAACGCTAGAAAGAAGCAATACTGAGTAAGTTCTTTGTGTTGCCTCTATTCAACTCGCAGAGGTGAACTGTCCTTTAGACAGAGCAGATGTGAAACCCTCTTTTTGTGATATTTGCAGGTGGAGATTTCAAGCGCTTTTAGGCCAAATGTAGAAAAGGAAATATCTTCGTATAACAAACTAGACAGAATCATTCTCAGAAACTACTTTGTGATGTGTGCGTTCAATTCACAGAGTATAACCTTTCTTTTGATGGAGGAGTTTGGAGACACTGTCTTTGTAAAGTCTGCAAGTGGATATTTGGACCTCTTTGAGGCCTTCGTTGGAAACGGGATTTCCTCATATAATGTTACACAGAAGAATTCTCAGTAACTTATTTGTGGTGTGTGTATTCAACTCACAGAGTTGAACCTTCCTTCAGAAAGAGCAGATTTGAAACACTCTTTTTGTGGAGTTTCCATGTGGAGATTTCAATCGCATTGAGACCAAAGGTAGAAAAGGAAACATCTTCGTATAAAAACTAGACAGAATCATTCACAGAAACTACTTTGTGATGTGTGTGTTCAACTCAAGGAGTTTAACCTTTCTTTTGATGGAGCAGTTTGGAAACACTCTGTCTGTAAAGTCTGCAAGCAGATATTTGGACCTCTTTGAGGCCTTCGTTGGAAAAGGGATTTCTTCATATAATGTTTGATTGGAGAAGTCTCAGTAACTTCTTTGTGCTGTGTGTATTCAACTCATAGAGTTGAACTTTCCTTTAGAAGAGCACATGTTAAACACCCTTTTTGTGGAATTTGCAGCCGGAGATTTCAAGCGCTTTGAGGCCTACGGTAGAAAAGGAAACATCTTCTTATAAAATCTAGACAGAATCATTCACAGAAACTTCTTTTTGATGTGTGTGTTCAGCTCACAGAGTTTAACCTTTCTTTTGATGGAGCAGGTTGGAAACAATCTGTTTGTAATGTCTGCAAGTGGATATTTGGACCTCTTTGAGGCCTTCGTTGGAAACGGGATTTCTTCAAGTAATGTTCGACAGAAGAATTCTCAGTAACTTATTTGTGGTGTGTGTATTCAACTCACAGAGTTGAACCTTCCTTTAGACAGAGCAGATTTGAAACACCCTATTTGTGCAGTTTCCAGTTGGAGATTTCAATCGCTTTGAGACCAAATGTAGAAAAGGAAACATCTTCGTATAAAAACTAGACAGAATCATTCTCAGAAACTACTTTGTGATGTGTGCGTTCAACTCAAGGAGTTTAAGCTTTCTTTTCATAGAGTAGTTTGGAAACACTCTGTCTGTAATGTCTGCAAGCAGATATTTGGACCTCTTTGAGGCCTTCGTTGGAAACGGGATTTCTTCATAGAGCGCTAGAAAGAAGAATACTGAGTAAGTTCTTTGTGTTGCCTCTATTCAACTCACAGAGGTGAACTGTCCTTTAGACAGAGCAGATGTGAAACCCTCTTTTTGTGATATTTGCAGGTGGAGATTTCAAGCGCTTTTAGGCCAAATGTAGAAAAGGAAATATCTTCGTATAAAAACTAGACAGAATCATTCTCAGAAACTACTTTGTGATGTGTGTGTTCAATTCACAGAGTATAACCTTTCTTTTGATGGAGGAGTTTGGAGACACTGTCTTTGTAAAGTCTGCAAGTGGATATTTGGACCTCTTTGAGGCCTTCGTTGGAAACGGGATTTCCTCATATAATATTACACAGAAGAATTCTCAGTAACTTATTTGTGGTGTGTGTATTCAACTCACAGAGTTGAACCTTCCTTCAGAAAGAGCAGATTTGAAACACTCTTTTTGTGGAGTTTCCATGTGGAGATTTCAATCGCTTTGAGACCAAAGGTAGAAAAGGAAACATCTTCGTATAAAAACTAGACAGAATCATTCACAGAAACTACTTTGTGATGTGTGTGTTCAACTCAAGGAGTTTAACCTTTCTTTTGATGGAGCAGTTTGGAAACACTCTGTCTGTAAAGTCTGCAAGCAGATATTTGGACCTCTTTGAGGCCTTCGTTGGAAACGGGATTTCTTCATATAATGTTTGATAGGAGAAGTCTCAGTAACTTCTTTGTGCTGTGTGTATTCAACTCATAGAGTTGAACTTTCCTTTAGAAGAGCAGATGTTAAACACCCTTTTTGTGGAATTTGCAGCTGGAGATTTCAAGCGCTTTGAGGCCTACGGTAGAAAAGGAAACATCTTCTTATAAAATCTAGACAGAATCATTCACAGAAACTTCTTTTTGATGTGTGTGTTCAGCTCACAGAGTTTAACCTTTCTTTTGATGGAGCAGTTTGGAAACACTCTGTTTGTAATGTCTGCAAGTGGATATTTGGACCTCTTTGAGGCCTTCGTTGGAAACGGGATTTCTTTCAAGTAATGTTCGACAGAAGAATTCTCAGTAACTTATTTGTGGTGTGTGTATTCAACTCACAGAGTTGAACCTTCCTTTAGACAGAGCAGATTTGAAACACCCCATTTGTGCAGTTTCCAGTTGGAGATTTCAATCGCTTTGAGACCAAATGTAGAAAAGGAAACATCTTCGTATAAAAACTAGACAGAATCATTCTCAGAAACTACTTTGTGATGTGTGCATTCAACTCAAGGAGTTTAAGGTTTCTTTTCATAGAGTAGTTTGGAAACACTCTGTCTGTAAAGTCTGGAAGCAGATATTTGGACCTCTTTGAGGCCTTCGTTGGAAACGGGATTTCTTCATAGAACGCTAGAAAGAAGAATACTCAGTAACTTCTTTGTGCTGCCTCTATTCAACTCACAGAGGTGAACTGTCCTTTAGACAGAGCAGATGTGAAACCCTCTTTTTGTGATATTTGCAGGTGGAGATTTCAAGCGCTTTTAGGCCAAATGTAGAAAAGGAAATATCTTCGTATAAAAACTAGACAGAATCATTCTCAGAAACTACTTTGTGATGTGTGCGTTCAATTCACAGAGGATAAGCTTTCTTTTGATGGAGGAGTTTGGAGACACTGTCTTTGTAAAGTCTGCAAGTGGATATTTGGACCTCTTTGAGGCCTTCGTTGGAAACGGGATTTCCTCCTATAATGTTACACAGAAGAATTCTCAGTAACTTATTTGTGGTGTGTGTATTCAACTCACAGAGTTGAACCTTCCTTCAGAAAGAGCAGATTTGAAACACTCTTTTTGTGGAGTTTCCATGTGGAGATTTCAATCGCTTTGAGACCAAAGGTAGAAAAGGAAACATCTTCGTATAAAAACTAGACAGAATCATTCACAGAAACTACTTTGTGATGTGTGTGTTCAACTCAAGGAGTTTAACCTTTCTTTTGATGGAGCAGTTTGGAAAAACTCTGTCTGTAAAGTCTGCAAGCAGATATTTGGACCTCTTTGAGGCCTTCGTTGGAAACGGGATTTCTTCATATAATGTTTGATAGGAGAAGTCTCAGTAACTTCTTTGTGCTGTGTGTATTCAACTCATAGAGTTGAACTTTCCTTTAGAAGAGCAGATGTTAAACACCCTTTTTGTGGAATTTGCAGCTGGAGATTTCAAGCGCTTTGAGGCCTACGGTAGAAAAGGAAACATCTTCTTATAAAATCTAGACAGAATCATTCACAGAAACTTCTTTTTGATGTGTGTGTTCAGCTCACAGAGTTTAACCTTTCTTTTGATGGAGCAGTTTGGAAACACTCTGTTTGTAATGTCTGCAAGTGGATATTTGGACCTCTTTGAGGCCTTCGTTGGAAACGGGATTTCTTCAAGTAATGTTCGACAGAAGAATTCTCAGTAACTTATTTGTGGTGTGTGAATTCAACTCACAGAGTTGAACCTTCCTTTAGACAGAGCAGATTTGAAACACCCTATTTGTGCAGTTTCCAGTTGGAGATTTCAATCGCTTTGAGACCAAATGTAGAAAAGGAAACATCTTCGTATAAAAACTAGACAGAATCATTCTCAGAAACTACTTTATGATGTGTGCGTTCAACTCAAGGAGTTTAAGCTTTCTTTTCATAGAGTAGTTTGGAAACACTCTGTCTGTAAAGTCTGCAAGCAGATATTTGGACCTCATTGGGGCCTTCGTTGGAAACGGGATTTCTTCATAGAACGCTAGAAAGAAGAATACTGAGTACGTTCTTTGTGTTGCCTCTATTCAACTCACAGAGGTGAACTGTCCTTTAGACAGAGCAGATGTGAAACCCTCTTTTTGTGATATTTGCAGGTGGAGATTTCAAGCGCTTTTAGGCCAAATGTAGAAAAGGAAATATCTTCGTATAAAAACTAGACAGAATCATTCTCAGAAACTACTTTGTGATGTGTGCGTTCAATTCACAGAGTATAACCATTCTTTCGATGGAGGAGTTTGGAGACACTGTCTTTGTAAAGTCTGCAAGTGGATATTTGGACCTCTTTGAGGCCTTCGTTGGAAACGGGATTTCCTCATATAATGTTACACAGAAGAATTCTCAGTAACTTATTTGTGGTGTGTGTATTCAACTCACAGAGTTGAACCTTCCTTCAGAAAGAGCAGATTTGAAACACTCTTTTTGTGGAGTTTCCATGTGGAGATTTCAATCGCTTTGAGACCAAAGGTAGAAAAGGAAACATCTTCGTATAAAAACTAGACAGAATCATTCACAGAAACTACTTTGTGATGTGTGTGTTCAACTCAAGGAGGTTAACCTTTCTTTTGATGGAGCAGTTTGGAAACACTCTGTCTGTAAAGTCTGCAAGCAGATATTTGGACCTCTTTGAGGCCTTCGTTGGAAACGGGATTTCTTCATATAATGTTTGATAGGAGAAGTCTCAGTAACTTCTTTGTGCTGTGTGTATTCAACTCATAGAGTTGAACTTTCCTTTAGAAGAGCAGATGTTAAACACCCTTTTTGTGGAATTTGCAGCTGGAGATTTCAAGCGCTTTGAGGCCTACGGTAGAAAAGGAAACATCTTCTTATAAAATCTAGACAGAATCATTCACAGAAACTTCTTTTCGATGTGTGTGTTCAGCTCACAGAGTTTAACCTTTCTTTTGATGGAGCAGTTTGGAAACACTCTGTTTGTAATGTCTGCAAGTGGATATTTGGACCTCTTTGAGGCCTTCGTTGGAAACGGGATTTCTTTAAGTAATGTTCGACAGAAGAATTCTCAGTAACTTATTTGTGGTGTGTGTATTCAACTCACAGAGTTGAACCTTCCTTTAGACAGAGCAGATTTGAAACACCCTATTTGTGCAGTTTCCAGTTGGAGATTTCAATCGCTTTGAGACCAAATGTAGAAAAGGAAACATCTTCGTATAAAAACTAGACAGAATCATTCTCAGAAACTACTTT
Source organism: Homo sapiens (assembly GCF_000001405.40). Taxonomy (NCBI): domain Eukaryota; kingdom Metazoa; phylum Chordata; class Mammalia; order Primates; family Hominidae; genus Homo; species Homo sapiens. The sequence goes on from NC_000012.12 coordinate 36,380,008, forward strand.
GTGATGTGTGCGTTCAACTCAAGGAGTTTAAGGTTTCTTTTCATAGAGTAGTTTGGAAACACTCTGTCTGTAAAGTCTGGAAGCAGATATTTGGACCTCTTTGAGGCCTTCGTTGGAAACGGGATTTCTTCATAGAACGCTAGAAAGAAGAATACTGAGTAAGTTCTTTGTGTTGCCTCTATTCAACTCACAGAGGTGAACTGTCCTTTAGACAGAGCAGATGTGAAAACCTCTTTTTGTGATATTTGCAGGTGGAGATTTCAAGCGCTTTTAGGCCAAATGTAGAAAAGGAAATATCTTCGTATAAAAACTAGACAGAATCATTCTCAGAAACTACTTTGTGATGTGTGCGTTCAATTCACAGAGTATAACCTTTCTTTTGATGGAGGAGTTTGGAGACACTGTCTTTGTAAAGTCTGCAAGTGGATATTTGGACCTCTTTGAGGCCTTCGTTGGAAACGGGATTTCCTCATATAATGTTACACAGAAGAATTCTCAGTAACTTATTTGTGGTGTGTGTATTCAACTCACAAGAGTTGAACCTTCCTTCAGAAAGAGCAGATTTGAAACACTCTTTTTGTGGAGTTTCCATGTGGAGATTTCAATCGCTTTGAGACCAAAGGTAGAAAAGGAAACATCTTCGTATAAAAACTAGACAGAATCATTCACAGAAACTACTTTGTGATCTGTGTGTTCAACTCAAGGAGTTTAACCTTTCTTTTGATGGAGCAGTTTGGAAACACCCTGTCTGTAAAGTCTGAAAGCAGATATTTGGACCTCTTTGAGGCCTTCGTTGGAAACGGGATTTCTTCATATAATGTTTGATAGGAGAATTCTCAGTTACTTATTTGTGGTGTGTCTATTCAACTCACAGAGATGAACCTTCCTTTAGAAAGAGGAGATTTGAAACACTCTTTTTGTGGAGGTTCCATGTGGAGATTTCAATCGTTTTGAGACCAGAGGTAGAAAAGGAAACGTCTTCGTATAAAAACTAGACAGAATCATTCACAGAAACTACTTTGAGATGTGTGTGTTCAACTCACAGAGTTTAACCTTTCTTTTGATGGAGCAGTTTGGAAACACTCTGTTTGTCACGTCTGCAAGTGGATATTTGGACCTCTTTGAGGCCTTCGTTGGAAACGGGATTTCTTCATGTAATGTTCGACAGAAGAATTCTCAGTAACTTATTTGTGGTGTGTGTATTCAACTCACAGAGTTGAACCTTCCTTTAGACAGAGCAGATTTGAAACACCCTATTTGTGCAGTTTCCAGTTGGAGATTTCAATCGCTTTGAGGCCAATCATAGAAACGGAAATATCTTCGTATAAAAACTAGACAGAATCATTCTCAGAAACTACTTTGTGATGTGTGCGTTCAACTCAAGGAGTTTAAGCTTTCTTTTCATAGAGTAGTTTGGAAACACTCTGTCTGTAAAGTCTGCAAGCAGATATTTGAACCTCTTTGAGGCCTTCGTTGGAAACGGGATTTCTTCATAGAACGCTAGAAAGAAGAATACTGAGTAAGTTCTTTGTGTTGCCTCTATTCAACTCACAGAGGTGAACTGTCCTTTAGACAGAGCAGATGTGAAACCCTCTTTTTGGGATATTTGCAGGTGGAGATTTCAAGCGCTTTTAGGCCAAATGTAGAAAAGGAAATATCTTCGTATAAAAACTAGACAGAATCATTCTCAGAAACTACTTTGTGATGTGTGCGTTCAATTCACAGAGTATAACCTTTCTTTTGATGGAGGAGTTTGGAGACACTGTCTTTGTAAAGTCTGCAAGTGGATATTTGGACCTCTTTGAGGCCTTCGTTGGAAACGGGATTTCCTCATATAATGTTACACAGAAGAATTCTCAGTAACTTATTTGTGGTGTGTGTATTCAACTCACAGAGTTGAACCTTCCTTCAGAAAGAGCAGATTTGAAACACTCCTTTTGTGGAGTTTCCATGTGGAGATTTCAATCGCTTTCAGACCAAAGGTAGAAAAGGAAACATCTTCGTATAAAAACTAGACAGAATCATTCACAGAAACTACTTTGTGATGTGTGTGTTCAACTCAAGGAGGTTAACCTTTGTTTTGATGGAGCAGTTTGGAAACACTCTGTCTGTAAAGTCTGCAAGCAGATATTTGGACCTCTTTGAGGCCTTCATTGGAAACGGGATTTCTTCATATAATGCTAGAAAGAAGAAGTCTCAGAAACTTCTTTGTGCTGTGTGTATTCAACTCATAGAGTTGAACTTTCCTTTAGAAGAGCAGATGTTAAACACCCTTTTTGTGGAATTTGCAGCTGGAGATTTCAAGCGCTTTGAGGCCTACGGTAGAAAAGGAAACATCTTCTTATAAAATCTAGACAGAATCATTCACAGAAACTTCTTTTTGATGTGTGTGTTCAGCTCACAGAGTTTAACCTTTCTTTTGATGGAGCAGTTGGGAAACACACTGTTTGTAATGTCTGCAAGTGGATATTTGGACCTCTTTGAGGCCTTCGTTGGAAACGGGATTTCTTCCTGTAATGTTCGACAGAAGAATTCTCAGTAACTTATTTGTGGTGTGTGTATTCAACTCACAGAGTTGAACCTTCCTTTAGACAGAGCAGATTTGAAACACCCTATTTGTGCAGTTTCCAGTTGGAGATTTCAATCGATTTGAGACCAAATGTAGAAAAGGAAACATCTTCGTATAAAAACTAGACAGAATCATTCTCAGAAACTACTTTGTGATGTGTGCGTTCAACTCAAGGAGTTTAAGCTTTCTTTTCATAGAGTAGTTTGGAAACACTCTGTCTGTAAAGTCTGCAAGCAGATATTTGGACCTCTTTGGGGCCTTCGTTGGAAACGGGATTTCTTCATAGAACGCTAGAAAGAAGAATACTGAGTAAGTTCTTTGTGTTGCCTCTATTCAACTCACAGAGGTGAACTGTCCTTTAGACAGAGCAGATGTGAAACCCTCTTTTTGTGATATTTGCAGGTGGAGATTTCAAGCGCTTTAGGCCAAATGTAGAAAAGGATATTCTTCGTATAAAAACTAGACAGAATCATTCTCAGAAACCACGTTGTGATGTGTGCGTTCAATTCACAGTAGTATAACCTTTCTTTTGATGGAGGAGTTTGGAGACACTGTCTTTGTAAAGTCTGCAAGTGGATATTTGGACCTCTTTGAGGCCTTCGTTGGAAACGGGATTTCCTCATATAATGTTACACAGACAGGATTCTCAGTACTTATTTGTGGTGTGTGTATTCAACTCACAGAGTTGAACCTTCCTTCAGAAAGAGCAGATTTGAAACACTCTTTTTGTGGAGTTTCCATGTGGAGATTTCAATTGCTTTGAGACCAAAGGTAGAAAAGGAAACATCTTCGTATAAAAACTAGACAGATCATTCATGTAAACTACTTTGTGATGTGTGTGTTCAACTCAAGGAGTTTAACCTTTCTTTTGATGGAGCAGTTTGGAAACACTCTGTCTGTAAAGTCTGCAAGCAGATATTTGGACCTCTTTGAGGCCTTCGTTGGAAATGGGATTTCTTCATATAATGTTTGATAGGAGAAGTCTCAGTAACTTCTTTGTGCTGTGTGTATTCAACTCATAGATTTGAACTTTCCTTTAGAAGAGCAGATGTTAAACACCCTTTTTGTGGAATTTGCAGCTGGAGATTTCAAGCGCTTTGAGGCCTATGGTAGAAAAGGAAACATCTTCTTATAAAATCTAGACAGAATCATTCACAGAAACTTCTTTTTGATGTGTGTTCAGCTCACAGAGTTTAACCTTTCTTTTGATGGAGCAGTTTGGAAACACACTGTTTGTAATGTCTGCAAGTGGATATTTGGACCTCTTTGAGGCCTTCGTTGGAAACGGGATTTCTTCATGTAATGTTCGACAGAAGAATTCTCAGTAACTTATTTGTGGTGTGTGTATTCAACTCCAGAGTCCAACCTTCCTTTAGACGGAGCACATTTGAAACACCCTATCTGTGCAGTTTCCAGTTGGAGATTTCAGTCGCTTTGAGGCCAATCGTAGAAACGGAAATATCTTCGTATAAATACAAGACAGAATCATTGTCAGAAACTACTTTGTGATGTGTGCGTTCAACTCACGGAGTTTAAGCTTTCTTTTCATAGAGTAGTTTGGAAACACTCTGTCTGTAAAGTCTGCAAGCAGATATTTGGACCTCTTTGAGGCTTTCGTTGGAAACGGGATTTCTTCATATAAATGCTTAAGAACAGAAGAAGTCTCAGTAACTTCTTTGTGCTGTGTGTATTCAACTCACAGAGCTGAACTTTACTTTAGACAGAGCAGATGTTCAACACACTTTTTGTGGAATTTGCAGCTGGAGATTTCTAGCGCTTTGAGGCCTATGGTAGAAAAGGAAACATCATCTTATAAAATCTAGACAGAATCATTCTCAGAAACTACTTTGTGATGTGTGCGTTCAATTCACAGAGTATAACCTTTCTTTTGATGGAGGAGTTTGGAGACACTGTCTTTGTAAAGTCTGCAAGTGGATATTTGGACCTCTTTGAAGCCTTCGTTGGAAACGGGATTTCCTCATATAATGTTACACAGAAGAATTCTCAGTAACTTATTTGTGGTGTGTGTATTCAACTCACAGAGATGAACCTTCCTTCAGAAAGAGCAGATTTGAAACACTCTTTTTGTGGAGTTTCCATGTGGAGATTTCAATCGCTTTGAGACCAAAGGTAGAAAAGGAAACATCTTCGTATAGCAACTAGACAGAATCATTCACAGAAACTACTTTGTGATGTGTGTGTTCAACTCAAGGAGTTTAACCTTTCTTTTGATGGAGCAGTTTGGAAACACTCTGTCTGTAAAGTCTGCAAGCAGATATTTGGACCTCTTTGAGGCCTTCGTTGGAAACGGGATTTCTTCATATAATGTTTGATAGGAGAAGTCTCAGTAACTTCTTTGTGCTGTGTGTATTCAACTCATAGAGTTGAACTTTCCTTTAGAAGAGCAGATGTTAAACACCCTTTTTGTGGAATTTGCAGCTGGAGATTTCAAGCGCTTTGAGGCCTACGGTAGAAAAGGAAACATCTTCTTATAAAATCTAGACAGAATCATTCACAGAAACTTCTTTTCGATGTGTGTGTTCAGCTCACAGAGTTTAACCTTTCTTTTGATGGAGCAGTTTGGAAACACTCTGTTTGTAATGTCTGCAAGTGGATATTTGGACCTCTTTGAGGCCTTCGTTGGAAACGGGATTTCTTCAAGTAATGGTCGACAGAAGAATTCTCAGTAACTTATTTGTGGTGTGTGTATTCAACTCACAGAGTTGAACCTTCCTTTAGACAGAGCAGATTTGAAACACCCTATTTGTGCAGTTTCCAGTTGGAGATTTCAATCGCTTTGAGACCAAATGTAGAAAAGGAAACATCTTCGTATAAAAACTAGACAGAATCATTCTCAGAAACTACTTTGTGATGTGTGCGTTCAACTCAAGGAGTTTAAGCTTTCTTTTCATAGAGTAGTTTGGAAACACTCTGTCTGTAAAGTCTGCAAGCAGATATTTGACCTCTTTGAGGCCTTCGTTGGAAACGGGATTTCTTCATAGAACGCTAGAAAGAAGAATACTGAGTAAGTTCTTTGTGTTGCCTCTATTCAACTCACAGAGGTGAACTGTCCTTTAGACAGAGCAGATGTGAAACCCTCTTTTTGTGATATTTGCAGGTGGAGATTTCAAGCGCTTTTAGGCCAAATGTAGAAAAGGAAATATCTTTGTATAAAAACTAGACAGAGTCATTCTCAGAAACTACTTTGTGATGTGTGCGTTCAATTCACAGAGTATAACCTTTCTTTTGATGGAGGAGTTTCAAGACACTGTCTTTGTAAAGTCTGCAAGTGGATATTTGGACCTCTTTGAGGCCTTCGTTGGAAACGGGATTTCCTCATATAATGTTACACAGAAGAATTCTCAGTAACTTATTTGTGGTGTGTGTATTCAACTCACAGAGTTGAACCTTCCTTCAGAAAGAGCAGATTTGAAACACTCTTTTTGTGGAGTTTCCATGTGGAGATTTCAATCGCTTTGAGACCAAAGGTAGAAAAGGAAATATCTTCGTATAAAAACTAGACAGAATCATTCACAGAAACTACTTTGTGATGTGTGTGTTCAACTCAAGGAGTTTAACCTTTCTTTTGATGGAGCAGTTTGGAAACACTCTGTCTGTAAAGTCTGCAAGCAGATATTTGGACCTCTTTGAGGCCTTCGTTGGAAACGGGATTTCTTCATATAATGTTTGATAGGAGAAGTCTCAGTAACTTCTTTGTGCTGTGTGTATTCAACGCATAGAGTTGAACTTTCCTTTAGAAGAGCAGATGTTAAACACCCTTTTTGTGGAATTTGCAGCTGGAGATTTCAAGCGCTTTGAGGCCTACGGTAGAAAAGGAAACATCTTCTTATAAAATCTAGACAGAATCATTCACAGAAACTTCTTTTCGATGTGTGTGTTCAGCTCACAGAGTTTAACCTTTCTTTTGATGGAGCAGTTTGGAAACACTCTGTTTGTAATGTCTGCAAGTGGATATTTGGACCTCTTTGAGGCCTTCGTTGGAAACGGGATTTCTTCAAGTAATGGTCGACAGAAGAATTCTCAGTAACTTATTTGTGGTGTGTGTATTCAACTCACAGAGTTGAACCTTCCTTTAGACAGAGCAGATTTGAAACACACTATTTGTGTAGTTTCCAGTTGGAGATTTCAATCGCTTTGAGGCCTATCGTAGAAACGGAAATATCTTCGTATAAAAACAAGACAGAATCATTCTCAGAAACTACTTTGTGATGTGTGCGTTCAACTCACGGAGTTTAAGCTTTCTTTTCATAGAGCAGTTTGGAAGCACTCTGTCTGTAAAGTCTGCAAGCAGATATTTGGACCTCTTTGAGGCCTTCGTTGGAAACGGGATTTCTTCATAGAACGCTAGAAAGAAGAATACTGAGTAAGTTCTTTGTGTTGCCTCTATTCAACTCACAGAGGTGAACTGTCCTTTAGACAGAGCAGATGTGAAACCCTCTTTTTGTGGTATTTGCAGGTGGAGATTTCAAGCGTTTTCAGGCCAAATGTAGAAAAGGAAATATCTTCGTATAAAAACTAGACAGAATCATTCTCAGAAACTACTTTGTGATGTGTGCGTTCAATTCACAGAGTATAACCTTTCTTTTGATGGAGGAGTTTGGAGACACTGTCTTTGTAAAGTCTGCAAGTGGATATTTGGACCTCTTTGAGGCCTTCGTTGGAAACGGGATTTCCTCATATAATGTTACACAGAAGAATTCTCAGTAACTTATTTGTGGTGTGTGTATTCAACTCACAGAGTTGAACCTTCCTTCAGAAAGAGCAGATTTGAAACACTCTTTTTGTGGAGTTTCCATGTGGAGATTTCAATCGCTTTGAGACCAAAGGTAGAAAAGGAAACATCTTCGTATAAAAACTAGACAGAATCATTCACAGCAAACTACTTTGTGATGTGTGTGTTCAACTCAAGGAGTTTAACCTTTCTTTTGATGGAGCAGTTTGGAAACACTCTGTCTGTAAAGTCTGCAAGCAGATATTTGGACCTCTTTGAGGCCTTCGTTGGAAACGGGATTTCTTCATATAATGTTTGATAGGAGAAGTCTCAGTAACTTCTTTGTGCTGTGTGTATTCAACTCATAGAGTTGAACTTTCCTTTAGAAGAGCAGATGTTAAACACCCTTTTTGTGGAATTTGCAGCTGGAGATTTCAAGCGCTTTGAGGCCTACGGTAGAAAAGGAAACATCTTCTTATAAAATCTAGACAGAATCATTCACAGAAACTTCTTTTTGATGTGTGTGTTCAGCTCACAGAGTTTAACCTTTCTTTTGATGGAGCAGTTTGGAAACACTCTGTTTGTAATGTCTGCAAGTGGATATTTGGACCTCTTTGAGGCCGTCGTTGGAAACGGGATCTCTTCATGTAATGTTCGACAGAAGAATTCTCAGTAACTTATTTGTGGTGTGTGTATTCAACTCAAAGAGTTGAACCTTCCTTTAGACAGAGCAGATTTGAAACACCCTATTTGTGCAGTTTCCAGTTGGAGATTTCAATCGCTTTGAGACCAAATGTAGAAAAGGAAACATCTTCGTATAAAAACTAGACAGAATCATTCTCAGAAACTACTTTGTGATGTGTGCGTTCAACTCAAGGAGTTTAAGCTTTCTTTTCATAGAGTAGTTTGGAAACACTCTGTCTGTAAAGTCTGCAAGCAGATATTTGACCTCTTTGAGGCCTTCGTTGGAAACGGGATTTCTTCATAGAACGCTAGAAAGAAGAATACTGAGTAAGTTCTTTGTGTTGCCTCTATTCAACTCACAGAGGTGAACTGTCCTTTAGACAGAGCAGATGTGAAACCCTCTTTTTGTGATATTTGCAGGTGGAGATTTCAAGCGCTTTTAGGCCAAATGTAGAAAAGGAAATATCTTCGTATAAAAACTAGACAGAATCATTCTCAGAAACTACTTTGTGATGTGTGCGTTCAATTCACAGAGTATAACCTTTCTTTTGATGGAGGAGTTTGGAGACACTGTCTTTGTAAAGTCTGCAAGTGGATATTTGGACCTCTTTGAGGCCTTCGTTGGAAAAGGGATTTCCTCATATAATGTTACACAGAAGAATTCTCAGTAACTTATTTGTGGTGTGTGTATTCAACTCACAGAGTTGAACCTTCCTTCAGAAAGAGCAGATTTGTAACACTCTTTTTGTGGAGTTTCCATGTGGAGATTTCAATCGCTTTGAGACCAAAGGTAGAAAAGGAAACATCTTCGTATAAAAACTAGACAGAATCATTCACAGAAACTACTTTGTGATGTGTGTGTTCAACTCAAGGAGGTTAACCTTTCTTTTGATGCAGCAGTTTGGAAACACTCTGTCTGTAAAGTCTGCAAGCAGATATTTGGACCTCTTTGAGGCCTTCGTTGGAAACGGGATTTCTTCATATAATGTTTGATAGGAGAAGTCTCAGTAACTTCTTTGTGCTGTGTGTATTCAAATCATAGAGTTGAACTTTCCTTTAGAAGAGCAGATGTTAAACACCCTTTTTGTGGAATTTGCAGCTGGAGATTTCAAGCGCTTTGAGGCCTACGGTAGAAAAGGAAACATCTTCTTATAAAATCTAGACAAAATCATTCACAGAAACATCTTTTTGATGTGTGTGTTCAGCTCACAGAGTTTAACCTTTCTTTTGATGGAGCAGTTTGGAAACACTCTGTTTGTAATGTCTGCATGTGGATATTTGGACCTCTTGGAGGCCTTCGTTGGAAACGGGATTTCTTCATGTAATGTTCGACAGAAGAATTCTCAGTAACTTATTTGTGGTGTGTGTATTCAACTCACAGAGCTGAACCTTCCTTTAGACAGAGCAGATTTGAAACAGCCTATTTCTGCAGTTTCCAGTTGGAGATTTCAATCGCTTTGAGACCAAATGTAGAAAAGGAAACATCTTCGTATAAAAACTAGACAGAATCATTCTCAGAAACTACTTTGTGATGTGTGCGTTCAACTCAAGGAGTTTAAGCTTTCTTTTCATAGAGTAGTTTGGAAACACTCTGTCTGTAAAGTCTGCAAGCAGATATTTGGACCTCTTTGAGGCCTTCGTTGGAAACGGGATTTCTTCATAGAACGCTAGAAAGAAGAATACTGAGTAAGTTCTTTGTGTTGCCTCTATTCAACTCACAGAGGTGAACTGTCCTTTAGACAGAGCAGATGTGAAACCCTCTTTTTGTGATATTTGCAGGTGGAGATTTCAAGCGCTTTTAGGCCAAATGTAGAAAAGGAAATATCCTCGTATAAAAACAAGACAGAATCATTCTCAGAAACTACTTTGTGATGTGTGCGTTCAATTCACAGAGTATAACCCTTCTTTTGATGGAGGAGTTTGGAGACACTGTCTTTGTAAAGTCTGCATGTGAATATTTGGACCTCTTTGAGGCCTTCGTTGGAAACGGGATTTCCTCATATAATGTTACACAGAAGAATTCTCAGCAACTTATTTGTGGTGTGTGTATTCAACTCACAGAGTTGAACCTTCCTTCAGAAAGAGCAGATTTGAAACACTCTTTTTGTGGAGTTTCCATGTGGAGATTTCAATCGCTTTGAGACCAAAGGTAGAAAAGGAAACATCTTCGTATAAAAACTAGACAGAATCATTCTCAGAAACTACTTTGTGATGTGTGTGTTCAACTCAAGGAGTTTAACCTTTCTTTTGATTTAGCAGTTTGGAAACACTCTGTCTGCAAAGTCTGCAAACAGATATTTGGACCTCTTTGAGGCCTTCGTTGGAAACGGGATTTCTTCATATAATGTTTGATAGGAGAGGTCTCAGTAACTTCTTTGTGCTGTGTGTATTCAACTCATTGAGTTGAACTTTCCTTTAGAAGATCAGGTGTTAAACACCCTTTTTGTGGAATTTGCAGCTGGAGATTTCAAGCACTATGAGGCCTACGGTAGAAAAGGAAACATCTTCTTATAAAATCTAGACAGAATCATTCACAAAAAATTCTTTTTGATGTGTGTGTTCAGCTCACAGAGTTTAACCTTTCTTTTGATGGAGCAGTTTGGAAACACTCTCTTTGTAATGTCTGCAAGTGGATATTTGGACCTCTTTGAGGCCTTCGTTGGAAACGGGATCTCTTCATGTAATGTTCGACAGAAGAATTCTCAGTAACTTATTTGTGGTGTGTGTATTCAACTCACAGAGTTGAACCTTCCTTTAGACAGAGCAGATTTGAAACACCCTATTTGTGCAGTTTCCAGTTGGAGATTTCAATCGCTTTGAGACCAAATGTTGAAAAGGAAACATCTTCGTATAAAAACTAGACAGAATCATTCTCAGAAACTAGTTTGTGATGTGTGCGTTCAACTCAAGGAGTTTAAGCTTTCTTTTCATAGAGTAGTTTGGAAACACTCTGTCTGTAAAGTCTGCAAGCAGATATTTGGACCTCTTTGAGGCCTTCGTTGGAAACGGGATTTCTTCATAGAACGCTAGAAAGAAGAATACTGAGTAAGTTCTTTGTGTTGCGTCTATTCAACTCACAGAGGTGAACTGTCCTTTAGACAGAGCAGATGTGAAACCCTCTTTTTGTGATATTTGCTGGTGGAGATTTCAAGCGCTTTTAGGCCAAATGTAGAAAAGGAAATATCTTCGTATAAAAACTGGACAGAATCACTCTCAGAAACTACTTTGTGATGTGTGCGTTCAATTCACAGAGTATAACCTTTCTTTTGATGGAGGTGTTTGGAGACACTGTCTTTGTAAAGTCTGCAAGTGGATATTTGGACCTCTTTGAGGCCTTCGTTGGAAACGGGATTTCCTCATATAATGTTACACAGAAGAATTCTCAGTAACTTATTTGTGGTGTGTGTATTCAACTCACAGAGTTGAACCTTCCTTCAGAAAGAGCAGATTTGAAACACACTTTTTGTGGAGTTTCCATGTGGAGATTTCAATCGCTTTGAGACCAAAGGTAGAAAAGGAAACATGTTCGTATAAAAACTAGACAGAATCATTCACAGAAACTACTTTGTGATGTGTGTGTTCAACTCAAGGAGTTTAATCTTTCTTTTGATGGAGCAGTTTGGAAACACTCTGTCTGTAAAGTCTGCAAGCAGATATTTGGACCTCTTTGAGGCCTTCGTTGGAAACGGGATTTCTTCATATAATGTTTGATAGGAGAAGTCTCAGTAACTTCTTTGTGCTGTGTGTATTCAACTCATAGAGTTGAACTTTCCTTTAGAAGAGCAGATGTTAAACACCCTTTTTGTGGAATTTGCAGCTGGAGATTTCAAGCGCTTTGAGGCCTACGGTAGAAAAGGAAACATCTTCTTATAAAATCTAGACAGAATCATTCACAGAAACTTCTTTTTGATGTGTGTGTTCAGCTCACAGAGTTTAACCTTTCTTTTGATGGAGCAGTTTGGAAACACACTGTTTGTAATGTCTGCAAGTGGACATTTGGACCTCTTTGAGGCCTTCGTTGGAAACGGGATTTCTTCATGTAATGTTCGACAGAAGAATTCTCAGTAACTTATTTGTGGTGTGTGTATTCAACTCACAGAGTTGAACCTTCCTTTAGACAGAGCAGATTTGAAACACCCTATTTGTGCAGTTTCCAGTTGGAGATTTCAATCGCTTTGAGACCAAATGTAGAAAAGGAAACATCTTCGTATAAAAACTAGACAGAATCATTCTCAGAAACTACTTTGTGATGTGTGCGTTCAACTCAAGGAGTTTAAGCTTTCTTTTCATAGAGTAGTTTGGAAACACTCTGTCTGTAAAGTCTGCAAGCAGATATTTGGACCTCTTTGAGGCCTTCTTTGGAAACGGGATTTCTTCATATAACGCTAGAAAGAAGAATACTGAGTAAGTTCTTTGTGTTGCCTCTATTCAACTCACAGAGGTGAACTGTCCTTTAGACAGAGCAGATGTGAAACCCTCTTTTTGTGATATTTGCAGGTGGAGATTTCAAGCGCTTTTAGGCCAAATGTAGAAAAGGAAATATCTTCGTATAAAAACTAGACAGAATCATTCTCAGAAACTACTTTGTGATGTGTGCGTTCAATTCACAGAGTATAACCTTTCTTTTGATGGAGGAGTTTGGAGACACTGTCTCTGTAAAGTCTGCAAGTGGATATTTGGACCTCTTTGAGGCCTTCGTTGGAAACGGGATTTCCTCATATAATGTTACACAGAAGAATTCTCAGTAACTTATTTGTGGTGTGTGTATTCAACTCACAGAGTTGAACCTTCCTTCAGAAAGAGCAGATTTGAAACACTCTTTTTGTGGAGTTTCCATGTGGAGATTTCAATCGCTTTGAGACCAAAGGTAGAAAAGGAAACATCTTCGTATAAAAACTAGACAGAATCATTCACAGAAACTACTTTGTGATGTGTGTGTTCAACTCAAGGAGTTTAACCTTTCTTTTGATGGAGCAGTTTGGAAACACTCTGTCTGTAAAGTCTGCAAGCAGATATTTGGACCTCTTTGAGGCCTTCGTTGGAAACGGGATTTCTTCATATAATGTTTGATAGGAGAAGTCTCAGTAACTTCTTTGTGCTGTGTGTATTCAACTCATAGAGTTGAACTTTCCTTTAGAAGAGCAGATGTTAAACACCCTTTTTGTGGAATTTGCAGCTGGAGATTTCAAGCGCTTTGAGGCCTACGGTAGAAAAGGAAACATCTTCTTATAAAATCTAGACAGAATCATTCACAGAAACTTCTTTTTGATGTGTGTGTTCAGCTCACAGAGTTTAACCTTTCTTTTGATGGAGCAGTTTGGAAACACTCTGTTTGTAATGTCTGCAAGTGGATATTTGGACCTCTTTGAGGCCTTCGTTGGAAACGGGATTTCTTCATGTAATGTTCGACAGAAGAATTCTCAGTAAGTTATTTGTGGTGTGTGTATTCAACTCACAGAGTTGAACCTTCCTTTAGACAGAGCAGATTTGAAACACCCTATTTGTGCAGTTTCCAGTTGGAGATTTCAATCGCTTGGAGGCCAATCATAGAAACGGAAATATCTTCGTATAAAAACTAGACAGAATCATTCTCAGAAACTACTTTGTGATGTGTGCGTTCAACTCAAGGAGTTTAAGCTTTCTTTTCATAGAGTAGTTTGGAAACACTCTGTCTGTAAAGTCTGCAAGCAGATATTTGGACCTCATTGGGGCCTTCGTTGGAAACGGGATTTCTTCATAGAACGCTAGAAAGAAGAATACTCAGTAAGTTCTTTGTGTTGCCTCTATTCAACTCACAGAGGTGAACTGTCCTTTAGACAGAGCAGATGTGAAACCGTCTTTTTGTGATATTTGCAGGTGGAGATTTCAAGCGCTTTTAGGCCAAATGTAGAAAAGGAAATATCTTCGTATAAAAACTAGACAGAATCATTCTCAGAAACTACTTTGTGATGTGTGCGTTCAATTCACAGAGTATAACCTTTCTTTTGATGGAGGAGTTTGGAGACACTGTCTTTGTAAAGTCTGCAAGTGGATATTTGGACCTCTTTGAGGCCTTCGTTGGAAACGGGATTTCCTCATATAATGTTACACAGAAGAATTCTCAGTAACTTATTTGTGGTGTGTGTATTCAACTCACAGAGTTGAACCTTCCTTCAGAAAGAGCAGATTTGAAACACTCTTTTTGTGGAGTTTCCATGTGGAGATTTCAATCGCATTGAGACCAAAGGTAGAAAAGGAAACATCTTCGTATAAAAACTAGACAGAATCATTCACAGAAACTACTTTGTGATGTGTGTGTTCAACTCAAGGAGTTTAACCTTTCTTTTGATGGAGCAGTTTGGAAACACTCTGTCTGTAAAGTCTGCAAGCAGATATTTGGACCTCTTTGAGGCCTTCGTTGGAAACGGGATTTCTTCATATAATGTTTGATAGGAGAAGTCTCAGTAACTTCTTTGTGCTGTGTGTATTCAACTCATAGAGTTGAACTTTCCTTTAGAAGAGCAGATGTTAAACACCCTTTTTGTGGAATTTGCAGCTGGAGATTTCAAGCGCTTTGAGGCCTACGGTAGAAAAGGAAACATCTTCTTATTAAATCTAGACAGAATCATTCACACAAACTTCTTTTTGATGTGTGTGTTCAGCTCACAGAGTTTAACCTTTCTTTTGATGGAGCAGGTGGGAAACACACTGTTTGTAATGTCTGCAAGTGGATATTTGGACCTCTTTGAGGCCTTCGTTGGAAACGGGATTTCTTCCTGTAATGTTCGACAGAAGAATACTCAGTAACTTATTTGTGGTGTGTGTATTCAACTCACAGAGTTGAACCTTCCTTTAGACAGAGCAGATTTGAAACACCCTATTTGTGCAGTTTCCAGTTGGAGATTTCAATCGCTTTGAGACCAAATGTAGAAAAGGAAACATCTTCGTATAAAAACTAGACAGAATCATTCTCAGAAACTACTTTGTGATGTGTGCGTTCAACTCAAGGAGTTTAAGCTTTCTTTTCATAGAGTAGTTTGGAAACACTCTGTCTGTAAAGTCTGCAAGCAGATATTTGGACCTCTTTGGGGCCTTCGTTGGAAACGGGATTTCTTCATAGAACGCTAGAAAGAAGAATACTGAGTAAGTTCTTTGTGTTGCCTCTATTCAACTCACAGAGGTGAACTGTCCTTTAGACAGAGCAGATGTGAAACCCTCTTTTTGTGATATTTGCAGGTGGAGATTTCAAGCGCTTTTAGGCCAAATGTAGAAAAGGAAATATCTTCGTATAAAAACTAGACAGAATCATTCTCAGAAACTACTTTGTGATGTGTGCGTTCAATTCACAGAGTATAACCTTTCTTTTGATGGAGGAGTTTGGAGACACTGTCTTTGTAAAGTCTGCAAGTGGATATTTGGACCTCTTTGAGGCCTTCGTTGGAAACGGGATTTCCTCATATAATGTTACACAGAAGAATTCTCAGTAACTTATTTGTGGTGTGTGTATTCAACTCACAGAGTTGAACCTTCCTTCAGAAAGAGCAGATTTGAAACACTCTTTTTGAGGAGTTTCCATGTGGAGATTTCAATCGCTTTGAGACCAAAGGTAGAAAAGGAAACATCTTCTTATAAAAACTAGACAGAATCATTCACAGAAACTACTTTGTGATGTGTGTGTTCAACTCAAGGAGTTTAACCTTTCTTTTGATGGAGCAGTTTGGAAACACTCTGTCTGTAAAGTCTGCAAGCAGATATTTGGACCTCTTTGAGGCCTTCGTTGGAAACGGGATTTCTTCATATAATGTTTGATAGGAGAAGTCTCAGTAACTTCTTTGTGCTGTGTGTATTTAACTCATAGAGTTGAACTTTCCTTTAGAAGAGCAGATGTTAAACACCCTTTTTGTGGAATTTGCAGCTGGAGATTTCAAGCGCTTTGAGGCCTACGGTAGAAAAGGAAACATCTTCTTATAAAATCTAGACAGAATCATTCACAGAAACTTCTTTTTGATGTGTGTGTTCAGCTCACAGTGTTTAACCTTTCTTTTGTTGGAGCAGTTTGGAAACACACTGTTTGTAATGTCTGCAAGTGGATATTTGGACCTCTTTGAGGTCTTCGTTGGAAACGGGATTTCTTCATGTAATGTTCGACAGAAGAATTCTCAGTAACTTATTTGTGGTGTGTGTATTCAACTCACAGAGTTGAACCTTCCTTTAGACAGAGCAGATTTGAAACACCCTATTTGTGCAGTTTCCAGTTGGAGATTTCAATCGCTTTGAGACCAAATGTAGAAAAGGAAACATCTTCGTATAAAAACTAGACAGAATCATTCTCAGAAACTACTTTGTGATGTGTGCGTTCAACTCAAGGAGTTTAAGCTTTCTTTTCATAGAGTAGTTTGGAAACACTCTGTCTGTAAAGTCTGCAAGCAGATATTTGACCTCTTTGGGGCCTTCGTTGGAAACGGGATTTCTTCATAGAACGCTAGAAAGAAGAATACTGAGTAAGTTCTTTGTGTTGCCTCTATTCAACTCACAGAGGTGAACTGTCCTTTAGACAGAGCAGATGTGAAACCCTCTTTTTGTGATATTTGCAGGTGGAGATTTGAAGCGCTTTTAGGCCAAATGTAGAAAAGGAAATATCTTCGTATAAAAACTAGACAGAATCATTCTCAGAAACTACTTTGTGATGTGTGCGTTCAATTCACAGAGTATAACCTTTCTTTTGATGGAGGAGTTTGGAGACACTGTCTTTGTAAAGTCTGCACGTGGATATTTGGACCTCTTTGAGGCCTTCGTTGGAAACGGGATTTCCTCATATAATGTTACACAGAAGAATTCTCAGTAACTTATTTGTGGTGTGTGTATTCAA
Organism: Homo sapiens; assembly: GCF_000001405.40. Taxonomy (NCBI): domain Eukaryota; kingdom Metazoa; phylum Chordata; class Mammalia; order Primates; family Hominidae; genus Homo; species Homo sapiens. Next base: position 36,396,841 of record NC_000012.12, read on the forward strand.
CTCACAGAGTTGAACCTTCCTTCACAAAGAGCAGATTTGAAACACTCTTTTTGTGGAGTTTCCATGTGGAGATTTCAATCGCTTTGAGACCAAAGGTAGAAAAGGAAACATCTTCGTATAAAAACTAGACAGAATCATTCACCGAAACTACTTTGTGATGTGTGTGTTCAACTCAAGGAGTTTAACCTTTCTTTTGATGGAGCAGTTTGGAAACACTCTGTCTGTAAAGTCTGCAAGCAGATATTTGGACCTCTTTGAGGCCTTCGTTGGAAACGGGATTTCTTCATATAATGTTTGATAGGAGAAGTCTCAGTAACTTCTTTGTGCTGTGTGTATTCAACTCATAGAGTCGAACTTTCCTTTAGAAGAGCAGATGTTAAACACCCTTTTTGTGGAATTTGCAGCTGGAGATTTCAAGCGCTTTGAGGCCTACGGTAGAAAAGGAAACATCTTCTTAGAAAATCTAGACAGAATCATTCACAGAAACTTCTTTTTGATGTGTGTGTTCAGCTCACAGAGTTTAACCTTTCTTTTGATGTAGCAGTTTGGAAACACTCTGTTTGTAATGTCTGCAAGTGGATATTTGGACCTCTTTGAGGCCTTCGTTGGAAACGGGATTTCTTCCTGTAATGTTCGACAGAAGAATTCTCAGTAACTTATTTGTGGTGTGTGTATTCAACTCACAGAGTTGAACCTTCCTTTAGACAGAGCAGATTTGAAACACCCTATTTGTGCAGTTTCCAGTTGGAGATTTCAATCGCTTTGAGACCAAATGTAGAAAAGGAAACATCTTCGTATAAAAACTAGACAGAAATCATTCTCAGAAACTACTTTGTGATGTGTGCGTTCAACTCAAGGAGTTTAAGCTTTCTTTTCATAGAGTAGTTTGGAAACACTCTGTCTGTAAAGTCTGCAAGCAGATATTTGGACCTCTTCGAGGCCTTCGTTGGAAACGGGATTTCTTCATAGAACGCTAGAAAGAAGAATACTGAGTAAGTTCTTTGTGTTGCCTCTATTCAACTCACAGAGGTGAACTGTCCTTTAGACAGAGCAGATGTGAAACCCTCTTTTTGTGATATTTGCAGGTGGAGATTTCAAGCGCTTTTAGGCCAAATGTAGAAAAGGAAATATCTTCGTATAAAAACTAGACAGAATCATTCTCAGAAACTACTTTGTGATGTGTGCGTTCAATTCACAGAGTATAACCTTTCTTTTGATGGAGGAGTTTGGAGACACTGTCTTTGTAAAGTCTGCAAGTGGATATTTGGACCTCTTTGAGGCCTTCGTTGGAAACGGGATTTCCTCATATAATGTTACACAGAAGAATTCTCAGTAACTTATTTGTGGTGTGTGTATTCAACTCACAGAGATGAACCTTCCTTCAGAAAGAGCAGATTTGAAACACTCTTTTTGTGGAGTTTCCATGTGGAGATTTCAATCGCTTTGAGACCAAAGGTAGAAAAGGAAACATCTTCGTATAGCAACTAGACAGAATCATTCACAGAAACTACTTTGTGATGTGTGTGTTCAACTCAAGGAGTTTAACCTTTCTTTTGATGGAGCAGTTTGGAAAAACTCTGTCTGTAAAGTCTGCAAGCAGATATTTGGACCTCTTTGAGGCCTTCGTTGGAAACGGGATTTCTTCATATAATGTTTGATAGGAGAAGTCTCAGTAACTTCTTTGTGCTGTGTGTATTCAACTCATAGAGTTGAACTTTCCTTTAGAAGAGCAGATGTTAAACACCCTTTTTGTGGAATTTGCAGTTGGAGATTTCAAGCGCTTTGAGGACTACAGTAGAAAAGGAAACATCTTCTTATAAAATCTGGACAGAATCATTCACAGAAACTTCTTTTCGATGTGTGTATTCAGCTCACAGAGTTTAACCTTTCTTTTGATGGAGCAGTTTGGAAACACTCTGTTTGTAATGTCTGCAAGTGGATATTTGGACCTCTTTGAGGCCTTCGTTGGAAACGGGATTTCATCAAGTAATGGTCGACAGAAGAATTCTCAGTAACTTATTTGTGGTGTGTGTATTCAAGTCACAGAGTTGAACCTTCCTTTAGACAGAGCAGATTTGAAACAGCCTATTTGTGCAGTTTCCATGTGGAGATTTCAATCGCTTTGAGACAAATGTAGAAAAGGAAATATCTTCGTATAAAAACTAGACAGAATCATTCTCAGAAACTACTTTGTGATGTGTGCGTTCAACTCAAGGAGTTTAAGCTTTCTTTTCATAGAGTAGTTTGGAAACACTCTGTCTGTAAAGTCTGCAAGCAGATATTTGGACCTCTTTGGGGCCTTCGTTGGAAACGGGATTTCTTCATAGAACGCTAGAAAGAAGAATACTGAGTAAGTTCTTTGTGTTGCCTCTATTCAACTCACAGAGGTGAACTGTCCTTTAGACAGAGCAGATGTGAAACCCTCTTTTTGTGATATTTGCAGGTGGAGATTTCAAGCACTTTTAGGCCAAATGTAGAAAAGGAAATATCTTCGTATAAAAACTAGACAGAATCATTCTCAGAAACTACTTTGTGATGTGTGCGTTCAATTCACAGAGTATAACCTTTCTTTTGATGGAGGAGTTTGGAGACCCTGTCTTTGTAAAGTCTGCAAGTGGATATATGGACCTCTTTGAGGCCTTCGTTGGAAACGGGATTTCCTCATATAATGTTACACAGAAGAATTCTCAGTAACTTATTTGTGGTGTGTGTATTCAACTCACAGAGTTGAAACTTACTTTAGACAGAGCAGATTTGAAACACCCTATTTGTGCAGTTTCCAGTTGGAGAATTCAATCGCTTTGAGGCCAATCATAGAAACGGAAATACATTTGTATAAAAACAAGACAGAATCATTCTCAGAAACTACTTTGTGATGTGTGCGTTCAACTTAAGGAGTTTAAGCTTTCTTTTCATAGAGTAGTTTGGAAACACTCTGTCTGTAAAGTCTGCAAGCAGATATTTGGACCTCTTTGAGGCCTTCGTTGGAAACGGGATTTCTTCATAGAAAGCTAGAAAGAAGAATACTGAGTAAGTTCTTTGTGTTGCCTCTATTCAACTCACAAAAGTGAACTGTCCTTTAGACAGAGCAGATGTGAAACCCTCTTTTTGTGATATTTGCAGGTGGAGATTTCAAGCGCTTTTAGGCCAAATGTAGAAAAGGAAATATCTTCGTATAAAAACTAGACAGAATCATTCTCAGAAACTACTTTGTGATGTGTGCGTTCAATTCACAGAGTATAACCTTTCTTTTGATGGAGGAGTTTGGAGACACTGTCTTTGTAAAGTCTGCAAGCAGATATTTGGACCTCTTTGAGGCCTTCGTTGGAAACGGGTTTTCTTCATATAATGTTTGATAGGAGAATTCTCAGTAACTTATTTGTGGTGTGTTTATTCAACTCACAGAGGTGAACCTTCCTTCAGAAAGAGCAGATTTGAAACACTCTTTTTGTGGAGTTTCCATGTGGAGATTTCAATCGCTTTGAGACCAAAGGTAGAAAAGGAAACATCTTCGTATAAAAACTAGACAGAATCATTCACAGAAACTACTTTGTGATGTGTGTGTTCAACTCAAGGAGTTTAACCTTTCTTTTGATGGAGCAGTTTGGAAACACTCTGTCTGTAAAGTCTGCAAGCAGATATTTGGACCTCTTTGAGGCCTTCGTTGGAAACGGGATTTCTTCATATAATGTTTGATAGGAGAAGTCTCAGTAACTTCTTTGTGCTGTGTGTATTCAACTCATAGAGTTGAACTTTCCTTTAGAAGAGCAGATGTTAAACACCCTTTTTGTGGAATTTGCAGCTGGAGATTTCAAGCGCTTTGAGGCCTACGGTAGAAAAGGAAACATCTTCTTATAAAATCTAGACAGAATCATTCTCAGAAACTACTTTGTGATGTGCGCGTTCAATTCACAGAGTATAAGCTTTCTTTTGATGGAGGAGTTTGGAGACACTGTCTTTGTAAAGTCTACAAGTGCATATTTCGACCTCTTTGAGGCCTTCGTTGGAAACGGGATTTCCTCATATAATGTTACACTGAAGAATTCTCAGTAACTTATTTGTGGTGTGTGTATTCAACTCACAGAGTTGAACCTTCCTTCAGAAAGAGCAGATGTGAAACACTCTTTTTGTGGAGTTTCCATGTGGAGATTTCAATCGCTTTGAGACCAAATGTAGAAAAGGAAACATCTTCGTATAAAAACTAGACAGAATCATTCTCAGAAACTACTTTGTGATGTGTGCGTTCAACTCAAGGAGTTTAAGCTTTCTTTTCATAGAGTAGTTTGGAAACACTCTGTCTGTAAAGTCTGCAAGCAGATATTTGGACCTCTTTGAGGCCTTCGTTGGAAACGGGATTTCTTCATATAATGTTTGATAGGAGAAGTCTCAGTAACTTCTTTGTGCTGTTTGTATTCAACTCATAGAGTTGAACTTTACTTTAGAAGAGCAGATGTTAAACACCCTTTTTGTGGAATTTGCAGCTGGAGATTTCAAGCGCTTTGAGGCCTACGGTAGAAAAGGAAACATCTTCTTATAAAATCTAGACAGAATCATTCACAGAAACTTCTTTTTGATGTGTGTGTTCAGCTCACAGAGTTTAACCTTTCTTTTGATGGAGCAGTTTGGAAACACTCTGTTTGTAATGTCTGCAAGTGGATATTTGGACCTCTTTGAGGCCTTCGTTGGAAACGGGATTTCTTCCTGTAATGTTCGAGAGAAGAATTCTCAGTAACTTATTTGTGGTGTGTGTATTCAACTCACAGAGTTGAACCTTCCTTTAGACAGAGCAGATTTGAAACACCCTATTTGTGCAGTTTCCAGTTGGAGATTTCAATCGCTTTGAGACCAAATGTAGAAAAGGAAACATCTTCGTATAAAAACTAGACAGAATCATTCTCAGAAACTACTTTGTGATGTGTGCGTTCAACTCAAGGAGTTTAAGCTTTCTTTTCATAGAGTAGTTTGGAAACACTCTGTCTGTAAATTCTGCAAGCAGATATTTGGACCTCTTTGGGGCCTTCGTTAGAAACGGGATTTCTTCATAGAACGCTAGAAAGAAGAATACTGAGTAAGTTCTTTGTGTTGCCTCTATTCAACTCACAGAGGTGAACTGTCCTTTAGACAGAGCAGATGTGAAACCCTCTTTTTGTGATATTTGCAGGTGGAGATTTCAAGCGCTTTTAGGCCAAATGTAGAAAAGGAAATATCTTCGTATAAAAACTAGACAGAATCATTCTCAGAAACTACTTTGTGATGTGTGCGTTCAATTCACAGAGTATAACCTTTCTTTTGATGGAGGAGTTTGGAGACACTGTCTTTGTAAAGTCTGCAAGTGGATATTTGGACCTCTTTGAGGCCTTCGTTGGAAACGGGATTTCCTCATATAATGTTACACAGAAGAATTCTCAGTAACTTATTTGTGGTGTGTGTATTCAACTCACAGAGTTGAACCTTCCTTCAGAAAGAGCAGATTTGAAACACTCTTTTTGTGGAGTTTCCATGTGGAGATTTCAATCGCATTGAGACCAAAGGTAGAAAAGGAAACATCTTCGTATAAAAACTAGACAGAATCATTCACAGAAACTACTTTGTGATGTGTGTGTTCAACTCAAGGAGTTTAACCTTTCTTTTGATGGAGCAGTTTGGAAACACTCTGTCTGTAAAGTCTGCAAGCAGATATTTGGACCTCTTTGAGGCCTTCGTTGGAAACGGGATTTCTTCATATAATGTTTGATAGGAGAAGTCTCAGTAACTTCTTTGTGCTGTGTGTATTCAACTCATGGAGTTGAACTTTCCTTTAGAAGAGCAGATGTTAAACACCCTTTTTGTGGAATTTGCAGCTGGAGATTTCAAGCGCTTTGAGGCCTACGGTAGAAAAGGAAACATCTTCTTATAAAATCTAGACAGAAATCATTCACAGAAACTTCTTTTTGATGAGTGTGTTCAGCTCACAGAGTTTAACCTTTCTTTTGATGGAGCAGTTGGGAAACACACTGTTTGTAATGTCTGCAAGTGGATATTTGGACCTCTTTGAGGCCTTCGTTGGAAACGGGATTTCTTCCTGTAATGTTCGACAGAAGAATTCTCAGTAACTTATTTGTGGTGTGTGTATTCAACTCACAGAGTTGAACCTTCCTTTAGACAGAGCATATTTGAAACACCCTATTTGTGCAGTTTCCAGTTGGAGATTTCAATCGCTTTGAGACCAAATGTAGAAAAGGAAACATCTTCGTATAAAAACTAGACAGAATCATTCTCAGAAACTACTTTGTGATGTGTGCGTTCAACTCAAGGAGTTTAAGCTTTCTTTTCATAGAGTAGTTTGGAAACACTCTGTCTGTAAAGTCTGCAAGCAGATATTTGGACCTCTTTAGGGCCTTCGTTGGAAACGGGATTTCTTCATAGAACGCTAGAAAGAAGAATACTGAGTAAGTTCTTTGTGTTGCCTCTATTCAACTCACAGAGGTGAACTGTCCTTTAGACAGAGCAGATGTGAAACCCTCTTTTTGTGATATTTGCAGGTGGAGATTTCAAGCGCTTTTAGGCCAAATGTAGAAAAGGAAATATCTTCGTATAAAAACTAGACAGAATCATTCTGAGAAACTACTTTGTGATGTGTGCGTTCAATTCACAGAGTATAACCTTTCTTTTGATGGAGGAGTTTGGAGACACTGTCTTTGTAAAGTCTGCAAGTGGATATTTGGACCTCTTTGAGGCCTTCGTTGGAAACGGGATTTCCTCATATAATGTTACACAGAAGAATTCTCAGTAACTTATTTGTGGTGTGTGTATTCAACTCACAGAGTTGAACCTTCCTTCAGAAAGAGCAGATTTGAAACACTCTTTTTGTGGAGTTTCCATGTGGAGATTTCAATCGCTTTGAGACCAAAGGTAGAAAAGGAAACATCTTCGTATAAAAACTAGACAGAATCATTCACAGAAACTACTTTGTGATGTGTGTGTTCAACTCAAGGAGTTTAACCTTTCTTTTGATGGAGCAGTTTGGAAACACTCTGTCTGTAAAGTCTGCAAGCAGATATTTGGACCTCTTTGAGGCCTTCGTTGGAAACGGGATTTCTTCATATAATGTTTGATAGGAGAAGTCTCAGTAACTTCTTTCTGCTGTGTGTATTCAACTCATTGAGTTGAACTTTCCTTTAGAAGAGCAGATGTTAAACACCATTTTTGTGGAATTTGCAGCTGGAGATTTCAAGCGCTTTGAGGCCTACGGTAGAAAAGGAAACATCTTCTTATAAAATCTAGACAGAATCATTCACAGAAACATCTTTTTGATGTGTGTGTTCAGCTCACAGGGTTTAACCTTTCTTTTGATGGAGCAGTTTGGAAACACTCTGTTTGTAATGTCTGCAAGTGGATATTTGGACCTCTTTGAGGTCTTCGTTGGAAACGGGATTTCTTCATGTAATGTTCGACAGAAGAATTCTCAGTAACTTATTTGTGGTGTGTGTATTCAACTCACAGAGTTGAACCTTCCTTTAGACAGAGCAGATTTGAAACACCCTATTAGTGCAGTTTCCAGTTGGAGATTTCAATCGCTTTGAGGCCAATCATAGAAACGGAAATATCTTCGTATAAAAACAAGACAGAATCATTCTCAGAAACTACTTTGTGATGTGTGCGTTCAACTCAAGGAGTTTAAGCTTTCTTTTCATAGAGTAGTTTGGAAACACTCTGTCTGTAAAGTCTGCAAGCAGATATTTGGACCTCTTTGGGGCCTTCGTTGGAAACGGGATTTCTTCATAGAACGCTAGAAAGAAGAATACTGAGTAAGTTCTTTGTGTTGCCTCTATTCAACTCACAGAGGTGAACTGTCCTTTAGACAGAGCAGATGTGAAACCCTCTTTTTGTGATATTTGCACGTGGAGATTTCAAGCGCTTTTAGGCCAAATGTAGAAAAGGAAATATCTTCGTATAAAAACTAGACAGAATCATTCTCAGAAACTACTTTGTGATGTGTGCGTTCAATTCACAGAGTATAACCTTTCTTTTGATGGAGGAGTTTGGAGACACTGTCTTTGTAAAGTCTGCAAGTGGATATTTGGACCTCTTTGAGGCCTTCGTTGGAAACGGGATTTCCTCATATAATGTTACACAGAAGAATTCTCAGTAACTTATTTGTGGTGTGTGTATTCAACTCACAGAGATGAACCTTCCTTCAGAAAGAGCAGATTTGAAACACTCTTTTTGTGGAGTTTCCATGTGGAGATTTCAATCGCTTTGAGACCAAAGGTAGAAAAGGAAACATCTTCGTATAACAACTAGACAGAATCATTCACAGAAACTACTTTGTGATGTGTGTGTTCAACTCAAGGAGTTTAACCTTTCTTTTGATGGAGCAGTTTGGAAAAACTCTGTCTGTAAAGTCTGCAAGCGGAGATTTGGACCTCTTTGAGGGCTTCGTTGGAAACGGGATTTCTTCATATAATGTTTGATAGGAGAAGTCTCAGTAACTTCTTTGTGCTGTGTGTATTCAACTCATAGAGTTGAACTTTCCTTTAGAAGAGCAGATGTTAAACACCCTTTTTGTGGAATTTGCAGCTGGAGATTTCAAGCGCTTTGAGGCCTGCGGTAGAAAAGGAAACATCTTCTTATAAAATCTAGACAGAATCATTCACAGAAACTTCTTTTTGATGTGTGTGTTCAGCTCACAGAGTTTAACCTTTCTTTTTATGGAGCAGTTTGGAAACACTCTGTTTGTAATGTCTGCAAGTGGATATTTGGACCTCTTTGAGGCCTTCGTTGGAAACGGGATTTCTTCATGTAATGTTCGACAGAAGAATTCTCAGTAACTTATTTGTGGTGTGTGTATTCAACTCACAGAGTTGAACCTTCCTTCAGACAGAGCAGATTTGAAACACCCTATTTGTGCAGTTTCCAGTTGGAGATTTCAATCGCTTTTAGGCCAATCATAGAAACGGAAATATCTTCGTATAAAAACAAGACAGAATCATTCTCAGAAACTACTTTGTGATGTGTGCGTTCAACTCAAAGAGTTTAAGCTTTCTTTTCATAGAGTAGTTTGGAAACACTCTGTCTGTAATGTCTGCAAGCAGATATTTGGACCTCTTTGAGGCCTTCGTTGGAAACGGGATTTCTTCATATAACGCTAGAAAGAAGAATACTGGGTAAGTTCTTTGTGTTGCCTCTATTCAACTCACAGAGGTGAACTGTCCTTTAGACAGAGCAGATGTGAAACCCTCTTTTTGTGATATTTGCAGGTGGAGATTTCAAGCGATTTTAGGCCAAATGTAGAAAAGGAAATATCTTCGTATAAAAACTAGACAGAATCATTCTCAGCAAACTACTTTGTGATGTGTGCGTTCAATTCACAGCAGTATAACCTTTCTTTTGATGGAGGAGTTTGGAGACACTGTCTTTGTAAAGTCTGCAAGTGGATATTTGGACCTCTTTGAGGCCTTCGTTGGAAACGGGATTTCCTCATATAATGTTACACAGAAGAATTCTCAGTAACTTATTTGTGGTGTGTGTATTCAACTCACAGAGTTGAACCTTCCTTCAGAAAGAGCAGATTTGAAACACTCTTTTTGTGGAGTTTCCATGTGGAGATTTCAATCGCTTTGAGACCAAAGGTAGAAAAGGAAACATCTTCGTATAAAAACTAGACAGAATCATTCACAGAAACTACTTTGTGATGTGTGTGTTCAACTCAAGGAGTTTAACCTTTCTTTTGATGGAGCAGTTTGGAAAAACTCTGTCTGTAAAGTCTGCAAGCAGATATTTGGACCTCTTTGAGGCCTTCGTTGGAAACAGGATATCTTCATATAATGTTTGATAGGAGAAGTCTCAGTAACTTCTTTGTGCTGTGTGTATTCAACTCATAGAGTTGAACTTCCCTTTAGAAGAGCAGATGTTAAACACCGTTTTTGTGGAATTTGCAGCTGGAGATTTCAAGCGCTTTGAGGCCTACGGTAGAAAAGGAAACATCTTCTTATAAAATCTAGACAGAATCATTCACAGAAACTTCTTTTTGATGTGTGTGTTCAGCTCACAGAGTTTAACCTTTCTTTTGATGGAGCCGTTTGGAAACACTCTGTTTGTAATATCTGCAAGTGGATATTTGGACCTCTTTGAGGCCTTCGTTGGAAACGGGATTTCTTCAAGTAATGTTCGACAGAAGAATTCTCAATAACTTATTTGTGGTGTGTGTATTCTACTCACAGAGTTGAACCTTCCTTTAGACAGAGCAGATTTGAAACACCCTATTTGTGCAGTTTCCAGTTGGAGATTTCAATCGCTTTGAGACCAAATGTAGAAAAGGAAACATCTTCGTATAAAAACTAGACAGAATCATTCTCAGAAACTACTTTGTGATGTGTGCGTTCAACTCAAGGAGTTTAAGCTTTCTTTTCATAGAGTAGTTTGGAAACACTCTGTCTGTAAAGTCTGCAAGCAGATATTTGGACCTCTTTGAGGCCTTCGTTGGAAACGGGATTTCTTCATAGAACGCTAGAAAGAAGAATACTGAGTAAGTTCTTTGTGTTGCCTCTATTCAACTCACAGAGGTGAACTGTCCTTTAGACAGAGCAGATGTGAAACCCTCTTTTTGTGATATTTGCAGGTGGAGATTTCAAGCGCTTTTAGGCCAAATGTAGAAAAGGAAATATCTTCGTATAAAAACTAGACAGAATCATTCTCAGAAACTACTTTGTGATGTGTGCGTTCAATTCACAGAGTATAACCTTTCTTTTGATGGAGGAGTTTCGAGACACTGTCTTTGTAAAGTCTGCAAGTGGATATTTGGACCTCTTTGAGGCCTTCGTTGGAAACGGGATTTCCTCATATAATGTTACACAGAAGAATGCTCAGTAACTTATTTGTGGTGTGTGTATTCAACTCACAGAGTTGAACCTTCCTTCAGAAAGAGCAGATTTGAAACACTCTTTTTGTGGAGTTTCCATGTGGAGATTTCAATCGCTTTGAGACCAAAGGTAGAAAAGGAAACATCTTCGTATAAAAACTAGACAGAATCATTCACAGAAACTACTTTGTGATGTGTGTGTTCAACTCAAGGAGTTTAACCTTTCTTTTGATGGAGGAGTTTGGAAAAACTCTGTCTTTAAAGTCTGCAAGCAGATATTTGGACCTCTTTGAGTCCTTCGTTGGAAACGGGATTTCTTCATATAATGTTTGATAGGAGAAGTCTCAGTAACTTCTTTGTGCTGTGTGTATTCAACTCATAGAGTTGAACTTTCCTTTAGAAGAGCAGATGTTAAACACCCTTTTTGTGGAATTTGCAGCTGGAGATTTCAAGCGCTTTGAGGCCTACGGTAGAAAAGGAAACATCTTCTTATAAAATCTAGACAGAATCATTCACAGAAACTTCTTTTTGATGTGTGTGTTCAGCTCACAGAGTTTAACCTTTCTTTTGATGGAGCAGTTTGGAAACACTCTGTTTGTAATGTCTGCAAGTGGATATTTGGACCTCTTTGAGGCCTTCGTTGGAAAAGGGATTTCTTCAAGTAATGTTCGACAGAAGAATTCTCAGTAACTTATTTGTGGTGTGTGTATTCAACTCACAGAGTTGAACCTTCCTTTAGACAGAGCAGATTTGAAACAGCCTATTTGTGCAGTTTCCAGTTGGAGATTTCAATCGCTTTGAGACCAAATGTAGAAAAGGAAACATCTTCGTATAAAAACTAGACAGAATCATTCTCAGAAACTACTTTGTGATGTGTGCGTTCAACTCAAGGAGTTTAAGCTTTCTTTTCATAGAGTAGTTTGGAAACACTCTGTCTGTAAAGTCTGCAAGCAGATATTTGACCTCTTTGAGGCCTTCGTTGGAAACGGGATTTCTTCATAGAACGCTAGAAAGAAGAATACTGAGTAAGTTCTTTGTGTTGCCTCTATTCAACTCACAAAGGTGAACTGTCCTTTAGACAGAGCAGATGTGAAACCCTCTTTTTGTGATATTTGCAGGTGGAGACTTCAAGCGCTTTTAGGCCAAATGTAGAAAAGGAAATATCTTCGTATAAAAACTAGACAGAATCATTCTCAGAAACTACTTTGTGATGTGTGCGTTCAATTCACAGAGTATAACCTTTCTTTTGATGGAGGAGTTTGGAGACACTGTCTTTGTAAAGTCTGCAAGTGGATATTTGGACCTCTTTGAGGCCTTCGTTGGAAACGGGATTTCCTCATATAATGTTACACAGAAGAATTCTCAGTAACTTATTTGTGGTGTGTGTATTCAACTCACAGATTTGAACCTTCCTTCAGAAAGAGCAGATTTGAAACACTCTTTTTGTGGAGTTTCCATGTGGAGATTTCAATCACTTTGAGACCAAAGGTAGAAAAGGAAACATCTTCGTATAAAAACTAGACAGAATCATACACAGAAACTACTTTGTGATGTGTGTGTTCAACTCAAGGAGTTTAACCTTTCTTTTGGTGGAGCAGTTTGGAAACACTCTGTCTGTAAAGTCTGCAAGCAGATATTTGGACCTCTTTGAGGCCTTCGTTGGAAACGGGATTTCTTCATATAATGTTTGATAGGAGAAGTCTCAGTAACGTCTTTGCGCTGTGTGTATTCAACTCATAGGGTTGAACTTTCCTTTAGAAGAGCAGATGTTAAACACCCTTTTTGTGGAATTTGCAGCTGGAGATTTCAAGCGCTTTGAGGCCTACGGTAGAAAAGGAAACATCTTCTTATAAAATCTAGACAGAATCATTCACAGAAACTTCTTTTTGATGTGTGTGTTCAGCTCACAGAGTTTAACCTTTCTTTTGATGGAGCAGTTTGGAAACACTCTGTTTGTAATGTCTGCAAGTGGATATTTGGACCTCTTTGAGGCCTTCGTTGGAAACGGGATTTCTTCATGTAATGTTCGACAGAAGAATTCTCAGTAACTTATTTGTGGTGTGTGTATTCAACTCACAGAGTTGAACCTTCCTTTAGACAGAGCAGATTTGAAACACCCTATTTGTGCAGTTTCCAGTTGGAGATTTCAATCGCTTTGAGACCAAATGTAGAAAAGGAAACATCTTCGTATAAAAACTAGACAGAATCATTCTCAGAAACTACTTTGTGATGTGTGCCTTCAACTCAAGGAGTTTAAGCTTTCTCTTCATACAGTAGTTTGGAAACACTCTGTCTGTAAAGTCTGCAAGCAGATATTTGGACCTCTTAGGGGCCTTTGTTGGAAACGGGATTTCTTCATAGAACGCTAGAAAGAAGAATACTGAGTAAGTTCTTTGTGTTGCCTCTATCCAACTCACAGAGGTGAACTGTCCTTTAGACAGAGCAGATGTGAAACCCTCTTTTTGTGATATTTGCAGGTGGAGATTTCAAGCGCTTTTAGGCCAAATGTAGAAAAGGAAATATCTTCGGTATAAAAACTAGACAGAATCATTCTCAGAAAATACTTTGTGATGTGTGCGTTCAATTCACCGAGTATAACCTTTCTTTTGATGGAGGAGTTTGGAGACACTGTCTTTGTAAAGTCTGCAAGTGGATATTTGGACCTCTTTGAGGCCTTCGTTCAAACGGGATTTCCTCATATATTGTTACACAGAAGAATTCTCAGTAACTTATTTGTGGTGTGTGTATTCAACTCACAGAGTTGAACCTTCCTTCAGAAAGAGCAGATTTGAAACACTCTTTTTGTGGAGTTTCCATGTGGAGATTTCAATCGCTTTGAGACCAAAGGTAGAAAAGGAAACATCTTCGTATAAAAACTAGACAGAATCATTTACAGAAACTACTTTGTGATGTGTGTGTTCAACTCAAGGAGTTTAACCTTTCTTTTGATGGAGAAGTTTGGAAACACTCTGTGTGTAAAGTCTGCAAGCAGATATTTGGACCTCTTTGAGGTCTTCGTTGGAAACGGGATTTCTTCATATAATGTTTGATAGGAGAAGTCTCAGTAACTTCTTTGTGCTGTGTGTATTCAACTCATAGAGTTGAACTTTCCTTTAGAAGAGCAGATGTTAAACACCCTTTTTGTGGAATTTGCAGCTGGAGATTTCAAGCGCTTTGAGGCCTACGGTAGAAAAGGAAACATCTTCTTATAAAATCTAGACAGAATCATTCACAAAAACTACTTTTTGATGTGTGTGTTCAGCTCACAGAGTTTAACCTTTCTTTTGATGGAGCAGTTTGGAAACACTCTGTTTGTAATGTCTGCAAGTGGATATTTGGACCTCTTTGAGGCCTTCGTTGGAAACGGGATTTCTTCAAGTAATGTTCGACGGAAGAATTCTCAGTAACTTATTTGTGGTGTGTGTATTCAACTCACAGAGTTGAACCTTCCTTTAGACAGAGCAGATTTGAAACACCCTATTTGTGCAGTTTCCAGTTGGAGATTTCAATCGCTTTGAGACCAAATGTAGAAAAAGAAACATCTTCGTATAAAAACTAGACAGAATCATTCTCAGAAACTACTTTGTGATGTGTGCGTTCAACTCAAGGAGTTTAAGCTTTCTTTTCATAGAGTAGTTTGGAAGCACTCTGTCTGTAAAGTCTGCAAGCAGATATTTGGACCTTTTTGAGTCCTTCGTTGGAAACGGGATTTCTTCATATAACGCTAGAAAGAAGAATACTGAGTAAGTTCTTTGTGTTGCCTCTATTCAACTCACAGAGGTGAACTGTCCTTTAGACAGAGCAGATGTGAAACCCTCTTTTTGTGATATTTGCAGGTGGAGATTTCAAGCACTTTTTGGCCAAATGTAGAAAAGGAAACATCTTCGTATAAAAACTAGACAGAATCATTCTCAGAAACTACTTTGTGATGTGTGCGTTCAATTCACAGAGTATAACCTTTCTTTTGATGGAGGAGTTTGGAGACACTGTCTTTGTAAAGTCTGCAAGTGGATATTTGGACCTCTTTGAGGCCTTCGTTGGAAACGGGATTTCCTCATATAATGTTACACAGAAGAATTCTCAGTAACTTATTTGTGGTGTGTGTATTCAACTCACAAAGATGAACCTTCCTTCAGAAAGAGCAGATTTGAAACACTCTTTTTGTGGAGTTTCCATGTGGAGATTTCAATCGCTTTGAGACCAAAGGTAGAAAAGGAAACATCTTCGTATAAAAACTAGACAGAATCATTCACAGAAACTACTTTGTGATGTGTGTGTTCAACTCAGGAGGTTAACCTTTCTTTTGATGGAGCAGTTTGGAAACACTCTGTCTGTAAAGTCTGCAAGCAGATATTTGGACCTCTTTGAGGCCTTCGTTGGAAATGGGATTTTTTCATATAATGTTTGATAGGAGAAGTCTCAGTAACTTCTTTGTGCTGTGTGTATTCAACGCATAGAGTTGAACTTTCCTTTAGAAGAGCAGATGTTAAACACCCTTTTTGTGGAATTTGCAGCTGGAGATTTCAAGCGCTTTGAGGCCTACGGTAGAAAAGGAAACATCTTCTTACAAAATCTAGACAGAATCATTCACAGAAACTTCTTTTTGATGTGTGTGTTCAGCTCACAGAGTTTAACCTTTCTTTTGATGGAGCAGTTTGGAAACACTCTGTTTGTAATGTCTGCAAGTGGATATTTGGACCTCTTTGAGGCCTTCGTTGGAAACGGGATTTCTTCATGTAATGTTCGACAGAAAAATTCTCAGTAACTTATTTGTGGTGTGTGTATTCAACTCACAGAGTTGAACCTTCCTTTAGACAGAGCAGATTTGAAACACCCTATTTGTGCAGTTTCCAGTTGGAGATTTCAATCGCTTTGAGACCAAATGTAGAAAAGGAAACATCTTCGTATAAAAACTAGACAGAATCATTCTCAGAAACTACTTTGTGATGTGTGCGTTCAACTCAAGGAGTTTAAGCTTTCTTTTCATAGAGTAGTTTGGAAACACTCTGTCTGTAAAGTCTGCAAGCAGATATTTGGACCTCTTTAGGGCCTTCGGTTGGAAACGGGATTTCTTCATAGAACGCTAGAAAGAAGAATACTGAGTAAGTTCTTTGTGTTGCCTCTATTCAACTCACAGAGGTGAACTGTCCTTTAGACAGAGCAGATGTGAAACCCTCTTTTTGTGATATTTGCAGGTGGAGATTTCAAGCGCTTTTAGGCCAAATGTAGAAAAGGAAATATCTTTGTATAAAAACTAGACAGAATCATTCTCAGAAACTACTTTGTGATGTGTGCGTTCAATTCACAGAGTATAACCTTTCTTTTGATGGAGGAGTTTGGAGACACTGTCTTTGTAAAGTCTGCAAGTGGATATTTGGACCTCTTTGAGGCCTTCGTTGGAAACGGGATTTCCTCATATAATGTTACACAGAAGAATTCTCAGTAACTTATTTGTGGTGTGTGTATTCAACTCACAGAGATGAACCTTCCTTCAGAAAGAGCAGATTTGAAACACTCTTTTTGTGGAGTTTCCATGTGGAGATTTCAATCGCTTTGAGACCAAAGGTAGAAAAGGAAACATCTTCGTATAACAACTAGACAGAATCATTCACAGAAACTACTTTGTGATGTGTGTGTTCAACTCAAGGAGTTTAACCTTTCTTTTGATGGAGCAGTTTGGAAATACTCTGTCTGTAAAGTCTGCAAGCAGATATTTGGACCTCTTTGAGGCCTTCGTTGGAAACGGGATTTCTTCATATAATGTTTGATAGGAGAAGTCTCAGTAACTTCTTTGTGCTGTGTGTATTCAACTCATAGAGTTGAACTTTCCTTTAGAAGAGCAGATGTTAAACACCCTTTTTGTGGAATTTGCAGCTGGAGATTTCAAGCGCTTTGAGGCCTACGGTAGAAAAGGAAACATCTTCTTATAAAATCTAGACAGAATCATTCACAGAAACTTCTTTTTGATGTGTTTGTTCAGCTCACAGAGTTTAACCTTTCTTTTGATGGAGCAGTTTGGAAACACTCTGTTTGTAATATCTGCAAGTGGATATTTGGACCTCTTTGAGGCCTTCGTTGGAAACGGGATTTCTTCAAGTAATGTTCGGTAGAAGAATTCTCAGTAACTTATTTGTGGTGTGTGTATTCAACTCACAGAGTTGAACCTTCCTTTAGACAGAGCAGATTTGAAACACCCTATTTGTGCAGTTTCCAGTTGGAGATTTCAATCGCTTTGAGACCAAATGTAGAAAAGGAAACATCTTCGTATAAAAACAAGACAGAATCATTCTCAGAAACTTCTTTGTGATGTGTGCGTTCAACTCAAGGAGTTTAAGCTTTCTTTTCATAGAGTAGTTTGGAAACACTCTGTCTGTAAAGTCTGCAAGCAGATATTTGGACCTCTTTGAGGCCTTCGTTGGAAACGGGATTTCTTCATATAACGCTAGAAAGAAGAATACTGAGTAAGTTCTTTGTGTTGCCTCTATTCAACTCACAGAGGTGAACTGACCTTTAGACAGAGCAGATGTGAAACCCTCTTTTGGTGATATTTGCAGGTGGAGATTCCAAGCGCTTTTAGGCCAAATGTAGAAAAGGAAATATCTTCGTATAAAAACTGGACAGAAATCATTCTCAGAAACTACTTTGTGATGTATGCGTTCAATTCACAGAGTATAACCTTTCTTTTGATGGAGGAGTTTGGAGACACTGTCTTTGTAAAGTCTGCAAGTGGATATTTGGACCTCTTTGAGGCCTTCGTTGGAAACGGGATTTCCTCATATAATGTTACACAGAAGAATTCTCAGTAACTTATTTGTGGTGTGTGTATTCAACTCACAGAGTTGAACCTTCCTTCAGAAAGAGCAGATTTGAAACACTCTTTTTGTGGAGTTACCATGTGGAGATTTCAATCGCTTTGAGACCAAAGGTAGAAAAGGAAACATCTTCGTATAAAAACTAGACAGAATCATTCACAGAAACTACTTTGTGATGTGTGTGTTCAACTCAAGGAGTTTAACCTTTCTTTTGATGGAGCAGTTTGGAAACACTCTGTCTGTAAAGTCTGCAAGCAGATATTTGGACCTCTTTGAGGCCCTTCGTTGGAAACGGGATTTCTTCATATAATGTTTGATAGGAGAAGTCTCAGTAACTTCTTTGTGCTGTGTGTATTCAACTCATAGAGTTGAACTTTCCTTTAGAAGAGCAGATGTTAAACACCCTTTTTGTGGAATTTGCAGCTGGAGATTTCAAGCGCTTTGAGGCCTACGGTAGAAAAGGAAACATCTTCTTATAAAATCTAGACAGAATCATTCACAGAAACTTCTTTTTGATGTGTGTGTTCAGCTCACAGAGTTTAACCTTTCTTTTCATGGAGCAGTTTGGAAACACTCTGTTTGTAATGTCTGCAAGTGGATATTTTGACCTCTTTGAGACCTTCGTTGGAAACGGGATTTCTTTATGTAATGTTCGACAGAAGAATTCTCAGTAACTTATTTTTGGTGTGTGTATTCAACTCACAGAGTTGAACCTTCCTGTAGACAGAGCAGATTTGAAACACCCTATTTGTGCAGCTTCCAGTTGGAGATTTCAATGGCTTTGAGGCCAATCATAGAAACGGAAATATCTTCGTATAAAAACAAGACAGAATCATTCTCAGAAACTTCTTTGCTTTGTGTGCGTTCAACTCAAGGAGTTTAAGCTTTCTTTTCATAGAGTAGTTTGGAAACACTCTGTCTGTAAAGTCTGCAAGCAGATATTTGGACCTCTTTGAGGCCTTCGTTGGAAACGGGATTTCTTCATATAACGCTAGAAAGAAGAATACTGAGTAAGTTCTTTGTGTTGCCTCTATTCAACTCACAGAGGTGAACTGTCCTTTAGACAGAGTAGATGTGAAACCCTCTTTTTGTGATATTTGCACGTGGAGATTTCAAGCGCTTTTAGGCCAAATGTAGAAAAGGAAATATCTTCGTATAAAAACAAGACAGAATCATTCTCAGAAACTACTTTGTGATGTGTGCGTTCAATTCACAGAGTATAACCTTTCTTTTGATGGAGGAGTTTGGAGACACTGTCTTTGTAAAGTCTGCAAGTGGATATTTGGACCTCTTTGAGGCCTTCGTTGGAAACGGGATTTCCTCATATAATGTTACACAGAAGAATTCTCAGTAACTTATTTGTGGTGTGTGTATTCAACTCACAGAGATGAACCTTCCTTCAGAAAGAGCAGATTTGAAACACTCTTTTTGTGGAGTTTCCATGTGGAGATTTCAATCGCTTTGAGACCAAAGGTAGAAAAGGAAACATCTTCGTATAAAAACTAGACAGAATAATTCACAGAAACTACTTTGTGATGTGTGTGTTCAACTCAAGGAGTTTAACCTTTCTTTTGATGGAGCAGTTTGGAAACACTCTGTCTGTAAAGTCTGCAAGCAGATATTTGGACCTCTTTGAGGCCTTCGTTGGAAACGGGATTTCTTCATATAATGTTTGATAGGAGAAGTCTCAGTAACTTCTTTGTGCTGTGTGCATTCAACTCATAGAGTTGAACTTTCCTTTAGAAGAGCAGATGTTAAACACCCTTTTTGTGGAATTTGCAGCTGGAGATTTCAAGCGCTTTGAGGCCTACGGTAGAAAAGGAAACATCTTCTTATAAAATCTAGACAGAATCATTCACAGAAACTTCTTTTCGATGTGTGTGTTCAGCTCACAGAGTTTAACCTTTCTTTTGATGGAGCAGTTTGGAAACACTCTGTTTGTAATGTCTGCAAGTGGATATTTGGACCTCTTTGAGGCCTTCGTTGGAAACGGGATTTCTTCAAGTAATGTTCGACAGAAGAATTCTCAGTAACTTATTTGTGGTGTGTGTATTCAACTCACAGAGCTGAACCTTCCTTTAGACAGAGCAGATTTGAAACAGCCTATTTGTGCAGTTTCCAGTTGGAGATTTCAATCGCTTTGAGACCAAATGTAGAAAAGGAAACATCTTCGTATAAAAACTAGACAGAATCATTCTCAGAAACTACTTTGTGATGTGTGCGTTCAACTCAAGGAGTTTAAGCTTTCTTTTCATAGAGTAGTTTGGAAACACTCTGTCTGTAAAGTCTGCAAGCAGATATTTGGACCTCTTTGAGGCCTTCGTTGGAAACGGGATTTCTTCATAGAACGGTAGAAAGAAGAATACTGAGTAAGTTCTTTGTGTTGTCTCTATTCAACTCACAGAGGTGAACTGTCCTTTAGACAGAGCAGATGTGAAACCCTCTTTTTGTGATATTTGCAGGTGGAGATTTCAAGCGCTTTTAGGCCAAAGGTAGAAAAGGAAACATCTTCGTATAAAAACTAGACAGAATCATTCACAGAAACTACTTTGTGATGTGTGTGTTCAACTCAAGGAGGTTAACCTTTCTTTTGATGGAGCAGTTGGGAAACACTCTGTCTGTAAAGTCTGCAAGCAGATATTTGGACCTCTTTGAGGCCTTCGTTGGAAACGGGATTGCTTCATATAATGTTTGATAGGAGAAGTCTCAGTAACTTCTTTGTGCTGTGTGTATTCAACTCATAGAGTTGAACTTTCCTTTAGAAGAGCAGATGTTAAACACCCTTTTTGTGGAATTTGCAGCTGGAGATTTCAAGCGCTTTGAGGCCTACGGTAGAAAAGGAAACATCTTCTTATAAAATCTAGACAGAATCATTCACAGAAACTTCTTTTTGATGTGTGTGTTCAGCTCACAGAGTTTAACCTTTCTTTTGATGGAGCAGTTTGGAAACACTCTGTTTGTAATGTCTGCAAGTGGATATTTGGACCTCTTTGAGGCCTTCTTTGGAAACGGGATTTCTTCAAGTAATGTTCGACAGAAGAATTCTCAGTAACTTATTTGTGGTGTGTGTATTCAACTCACAGAGTTGAACCTTCCTTTAGACAGAGCAGATTTGAAACACCCTATTTGTGCAGTTTCCAGTTGGAGATTTCAATCGCTTTGAGACCAAATGTAGAAAAGGAAACATCTTCGTATAAAAACTAGACAGAATCATTCTCAGAAACTACTTTGTGATGTGTGCGTTCAACTCAAGGAGTTTAAGCTTTCTTTTCATAGAGTAGTTTGGAAACACTCTGTCTGTAAAGTCTGCAAGCAGATATTTGGACCTCTTTGAGGCCTTCGTTGGAAACGGGATTTCTTCATAGAACGCTAGAAAGAAGAATACTGAGTAAGTTCTTTGTGTTGCCTCTATTCAACTCACAGAGGTGAACTGTCCTTTAGACAGAGCAGATGTGAAACCCTCTTTTTGTGATATTTGCAGGTGGAGATTTCAAGCGCTTTTAGGCCAAATGTAGAAAAGGAAATATCTTCGTATAAAAACTAGACAGAATCATTCTCAGAAACTACTTTGTGATGTGTGCGTTCAATTCACAGAGTATAACCTTTCTTTTGATGGAGGAGTTTGGAGACACTGTCTTTGTAAAGTCTGCAAGTGGATATTTGGACCTCTTTGAGGCCTTCGTTGGAAACGGGATTTCCTCATATAATGTTACACAGAAGAATTCTCAGTAACTTATTTGTGGTGTGTGTATTCAACTCACAGAGTTGAACCTTCCTTCAGAAAGAGCAGATTTGAAACACTCTTTTTGTGGAGTTTCCATGTGGAGATTTCAATCGCTTTGAGACCAAAGGTAGAAAAGGAAACATCTTCGTATAAAAACTAGACAGAATCATTCACAGAAACTACTTTGTGATGTGTGTGTTCAACTCAAGGAGTTTAACCTTTCTTTTGATGGAGCAGTTTGGAAAAACTCTGTCTGTAAAATCTGCAAGCAGATATTTGGACCTCTTTGAGGCCTTCGTTGGAAACGGGATTTCTTCATATAATGTTTGATAGGAGAAGTCTCAGTAACTTCTTTGTGCTGTGTGTATTCAACTCATAGAGTTGAACTTTCCTTTAGAAGAGCAGATGTTAAACACCCTTTTTGTGGAATTTGCAGCTGGAGATTTCAAGCGCTTTGAGGCCTACGGTAGAAAAGGAAACATCTTCTTATAAAATCTAGACAGAATCATTCACAGAAACTTCTTTTTGATGTGTGGGTTCAGCTCACAGAGTTTAACCTTTCTTTTGATGGAGCAGTTTGGAAACACACTGTTTGTAATCTCTGCAAGTGGATATTTGGACCTCTTTGAGGCCTTCGTTGGAAACGGGATTTCTTCATGTAATGTTCGACAGAAGAATTCTCAGTAACTTATTTGTGGTGTGTGTATTGAACTCACAGAGTTGAACCTCCCTTTAGACAGAGCAGATTTGAAACACCCTATTTGTGCAGTTTCCAGTTGGAGATTTCAATCGCTTTGAGACAAAAGTAGAAAAGGAAACATCTTCGTATAAAAACTAGACAGAATCATTCTCAGAAACTACTTTGTGATGTGTGCGTTCAACTCAAGGAGTTACAAGCTTTCTTTTCATAGAGTAGTTTGGAAACACTCTGTCTGTAAAGTCTGCAAGCAGATATTTGGACCTCTTTGAGGCCTTCGTTGGAAACGGGATTTCTACATATAACGCTAGAAAGAAGAATGCTGAGTAAGTTCTTTGTGTTGCCTCTATTCAACTCACAGAGGTGAAATGTCCTTTAGACAGAGCAGATGTGAAACCCTCTTTTTGTGATATTTGCAGGTGGAGATTTCAAGCGCTTTTAGGCCAAATGTACAAAAGGAAATATCTTCGTATAAAAACTAGACAGAATCATTCTCAGAAAATACTTTGTGATGTGTGTGTTCAATTCACCGAGTATAACCTTTCTTTTGATGGAGGAGTTTGGAGACACTGTCTTTGTAAAGTCTGCAAGTGGATATTTGGACCTCTTTGAGGCCTTCGTTCAAACGGGATTTCCTCATATATTGTTACACAGAAGAATTCTCAGTAACTTATTTGTGGTGTGTTTATTCAACTCACAGAGTTGAACCTTCCTTCAGAAAGAGCAGATTTGAAACACGCTTTTTGTGGAGTTTCCATGTGGAGATTTCAATCGCTTTGAGACCAAAGGTAGAAAAGGAAACATCTTCGTATAAAAACTAGACAGAATCATTCACAGAAACTACTTTGTGATGTGTGTGTTCAACTCAAGGAGTTTAACCTTTCTTTTGATGGAGCAGTTTGGAAACACTCTGTCTGTAAAGTCTGCAAGCAGATATTTGGACCTCTTTGAGGCCTTCGTTGGAAACGGGATTTCTTCATATAATGTTTGATAGGAGAAGTCTCAGTAACTTCTTTGTGCTGTGTGTATTCAACTCATAGAGTTGAACTTTCCTTTAGAAGAGCAGATGTTAAACACCCTTTTTGTGGAATTTGCAGCTGGAGATTTCAAGCGCTTTGAGGCCTACGGTAGAAAAGGAAACATCTTCTTATAAAATCTAGACAGAATCATTCACAGAAACTTCTTTTTGATGTGTGTGTTCAGCTCACAGAGTTTAACCTTTCTTTTGATGGAGCAGTTTGGAAACACTCTGTTTGTAATGTCTGAAAGTGGATATTTGGACCTCTTTGAGGCCTTCGTTGGAAACGAGATTTCTTCATGTAATGTTCGACAGAAGAATTCTCAGTAACTTATTTGTGGTGTGTGTATTCAACTCACAGAGTTGAACCTTCCTTTAGACAGAGCAGATTTGAAACACCCTATTTGTGCAGTTTCCAGTTGGAGATTTCAATCGCTTTGAGACCAAATGTAGAAAAGGAAACATCTTCGTATAAAAACTAGACAGAATCATTCTCAGAAGCTACTTTGTGATGTGTGCGTTCAACTCAAGGAGTTTAAGCTTTCTTTTCATAGAGTAGTTTGGAAACACTCTGTCTGTAAAGTCTGCAAGCAGATATTTGGACCTCTTTGGGGCCTTCGTTGGAAACGGGATTTCTTCATAGAACGCTAGAAAGAAGAATACTGAGTAAGTTCTTTGTGTTGCCTCTATTCAACTCACAGAGGTGAACTGTCCTTTAGACAGAGCAGATGTGAAACCCTCTTTTTGTGATATTTGCAGGTGGAGATTTCAAGCGCTTTTAGGCCAAATGTAGAAAAGGAAATATCTTCGTATAAAAACTAGACAGATTCATTCTCAGAAACTACTTTGTGATGTGTGCGTTCAATTCACAGAGTATAACCTTTCTTTTGATGGAGGAGTTTGGAGAAACTGTATTTGTAAAGTCTGCAAGTGGATATTTGGACCTCTTTGAGGCCTTCGTTGGAAACGGGATTTCCTCATATAATGTTACACAGAAGAATTCTCAGTAACTTATTTGTGGTGTGTTTATTCAACTCACAGAGGTGAACCTTCCTTCAGAAAGAGCAGATTTGAAACACTCTTTTTGTGGAGTTTCCATGTGGAGATTTCAATCGCTTTGAGACCAAAGGTAGAAAAGGAAACATCTTCGTATAAAAACTAGACAGAATCATTCACAGAAACTACTTTGTGATGTGTGTGTTCAACTCAAGGAGTTTCACCTTTCTTTTGATGGAGCAGTTTGGAAACACTCTGTCTGTAAAGTCTGCAAGCAGATATTTGGACCTCTTTGAGGCCTTCGTTGGAAACGGGATTTCTTCATATAATGTTTGATAGGAGAAGTCTCAGTAACTTCTTTGTGCTGTGTGTATTCAACTCATAGAGTTGAACTTTCCTTTAGAAGAGCAGATGTTAAACACCCTTTTTGTGGAATTTGCAGCTGGAGATTTCAAGCGCTTTGAGGCCTACGGTAGAAAAGGAAACATCTTCTTATAAAATCTAGACAGAATCATTCACAGAAACTTCTTTTTGATGTGTGTGTTCAGCTCACAGAGTTTAACCTTTCTTTTGATGGAGCAGTTGGGAAACACACTGTTTGTAATGTCTGCAAGTGGATATTTGGACCTCTTTGAGGCCTTCGTTGGAAACGGGATTTCTTCCTGTAATGTTCGACAGAAGAATTCTCAGTAACTTATTTGTGGTGTGTGTATTCAACTCACAGAGTTGAACCTTCATTTAGACAGAGCAGATTTGAAACAGCCTATTTGTGCAGTTTCCAGTTGGAGATTTCAATCGCTTTGAGACCAAATGTAGAAAGGGAAACATCTTCGTATAAAAACTAGACAGAATCATTCTCAGAAACTACTTTGTGATGTGTGCGTTCAACTCAAGGAGTTTAAGCTTTCTTTTCATAGAGTAGTTTGGAAACACTCTGTCTGTAAAGTCTGCAAGCAGATATTTGACCTCTTTGAGGCCTTCGTTGGAAACGGGATTTCTTCATAGAACGCTGGAAAGAAGAATACTGAGTAAGTTCTTTGTGTTGCCTCTATTCAACTCACAGAGGTGAACTGTCCTTTAGACAGAGCAGATGTGAAACCCTCTTTTTGTGATATTTGCAGGTGGAGATTTCAAGCGCTTTTAGGCCAAATGTAGAAAAGGAAATATCTTCGTATAAAAACTAGACAGAATCATTCTCAGAAACTACTTTGTGATGTGTGCGTTCAATTCACAGAGTATAACCTTTCTTTTGATGGAGGAGTTTGGAGACACTGTCTTTGTAAAGTCTGCAAGTGGATATTTGGACCTCTTTGAGGCCTTCGTTGGAAACGGGATTTCCTCATATAATGTTACACAGAAGAATTCTCAGTAACTTATTTGTGGTGTGTGTATTCAACTCACAGAGATGAACCTTCCTTCAGAAAGAGCAGATTTGAAACACTCTTTTTGTGGAGTTTCCATGTGGAGATTTCAATCGCTTTGAGACCAAAGGTAGAAAAGGAAACATCTTCGTATAAAAACTAGACAGAATCATTCACAGCAAACTACTTTGTGATGTGTGTGTTCAAGTCAAGGAGTTTAACCTTTCTTTTGATGGAGCAGTTTGGAAACACTCTGTCTGTAAAGTCTGCAAGCAGATATTTGGACCTCTTTGAGGCCTTCGTTGGAAACGGGATTTCTTCATATAATGTTAGATAGGAGAAGTCTCAGTAACTTCTTTGTGCTGTGTGTATTCAACTCATAGAGTTGAACTTTCCTTTAGAAGAGCAGATGTTAAACACCCTTTTTGTGGAATTTGCAGCTGGAGATTTCAAGCGCTTTGAGGCCTACGGTAGAAAAGGAAACATCTTCTTATAAAATCTAGACAGAATCATTCACAGAAACTTCTTTTTGATGTGTGTGTTCAGCTCACAGAGTTTAACCTTTCTTTTGATGGAGCAGTTTGGAAACACTCTGTTTGTAATGTCTGCAAGTGGATATTTGGACCTCTTTGAGGCCTTCGTTGGAAACGGGATTTCTTCATGTAATGTTCGACAGAAGAATACTGAGTAAGTTCTTTGTGTTGCCTCTATTCAACTCACAGAGATGAACTGTCATTTAGACAGAGCAGATGTGAAACCCTCTTTTTGTGATATTTGCAGGTGGAGATTTCAAGCGCTTTTAGGCCAAATGTAGAAAAGGAAATATCTTCGTATAAAAACTAGACAGAATCATTCTCAGAAACTACTTTGTGATGTGTGCGTTCAACTCAAGGAGTTTAAGCTTTCTTTTCATAGAGTAGATTGGAAACACTTTGTCTGTAAAGTCTGCAAGCAGATATTTGGACCTCTTTGAGGCCTTCGTTGGAAACGGGATTTCTTCATAGAACGCTAGAAAGAAGAATACTGAGTAAGTTCTTTGTGTTGCCTCTATTCAACTCACAGAGGTGAACTGTCCTTTAGACAGAGCAGATGTGAAACCCTCTTTTTGTGATATTTGCAGTTGGAGATTTCAAGCGCTTTTAGGCCAAATGTAGAAAAGGAAATATCTTCGTACTAAACTAGACAGAATCATTCTCAGAAACTACTTTGTGATGTGTGCGTTCAATTCACAGAGTATAACCTTTCTTTTGATGGAGGAGTTTGGAGACACTGTCTTTGTAAAGTCTGCAAGCAGATATTTGGACCTCTTTGAGGCCTTCGTTGGAAACGGGATTTCTTCATATAATGTTTGATAGGAGAATTCTCAGTAACTTATTTGTGGTGTGTGTATTCAACTCACAGAGTTGAACCTTCCTTCAGAAAGAGCAGATTTGAAACACTCTTTTTGTGGAGTTTCCATGTGGAGATTTCAATCGCTTTGAGACCAAAGGTAGAAAAGGAAACATCTTCGTATAAAAACTAGACAGAATCATTCACAGAAACTACTTTGTGATGTGTGTGTTCAACTCAAGGAGTTTAACCTTTCTTTTGATGGAGCAGTTTGGAAAAACTCTGTCTTTAAAGTCTGCAAGCAGATATTTGGACCTCTTTGAGGCCTTCGTTGGAAACGGGATTTCTTCATATAATGTTTGATAGGAGAAGTCTCAGTAACTTCTTTGTGCTGTGTGTATTCAACTCATAGAGTTGAACTTTCCTTTAGAAGAGCAGATGTTAAACACCCTTTTTGTGGAATTTGCAGCTGGAGATTTCAAGCGCTTTGAGGCCTACGGTAGAAAAGGAAACATCTTCTTATAAAATCTAGACAGAATCATTCACAGAAACTTCTTTTTGATGTGTGTGTTCAGCTCACAGAGTTTAACCTTTCTTTTGATGGAGCAGTTTGGAAACACTCTGTTTGTAATGTCTGCAAGTGGATATTTGGACCTCTTTGAGGCCTTCGTTGGAAACGGGATTTCTTCATATAATGTTTGATAGGAGAATTCTCAGTAACTTATTTGTGGTGTGTGTATTCAACTCACAGAGTTGAACCTTCCTTTAGACAGAGCAGATTTGAAACACCCTATTTGTGCAGTTTCCAGTTGGAGATTTCAATCGCTTTGAGACCAAATGTAGAAAAGGAAACATCTTCGTATAAAAACTAGACAGAATCATTCTCAGAAACTACTTTGTGATGTGTGCGTTCAACTCAAGGAGTTTAAGCTTTCTTTTCATAGAGTAGTTTGGAAACACTCTGTCTGTAAAGTCTGCAAGCAGATATTTGGACCTCTTTGGGGCCTTCGTTGGAAACGGGATTTCTTCATAGAACGCTAGAAAGAAGAATACTGAGTACGTTCTTTGTGTTGCCTCTATTCAACTCACAGAGGTGAACTGTCCTTTAGACAGAGCAGATGTGAAACCCTCTTTTTGTGATATTTGCAGGTGGAGATTTCAAGCGCTTTTAGGCCAAATGTAGAAAAGGAAATATCTTCGTATAAAAACTAGACAGAATCATTCTCAGAAACTACATTGTGATGTGTGCTCAATTCACAGAGTATAACCTTTCTTTTGATGGAGGAGTTTGGAGACACTGTCTTTGAAAAGTCTGCAAGTGGATATTTGGACCTCTTTCAGGCCTTCGTTGGAAACGGGATTTCCTCATATAATGTTACACAGAAGAATTCTCAGTAACTTATTTGTGGTGTGTGTATTCAACTCACAGAGATGAACCTTCCTTCAGAAAGAGCAGATTTGAAACACTCTTTTTGTGGAGTTTCCATGTGGAGATTTCAATCGCTTTGAGACCAAAGGTAGAAAAGGAAACATCTTCGTATAACAACTAGACAGAATCATTCACAGAAACTACTTTGTGATGTGTGTGTTCAACTCAAGGAGTTTAACCTTTCTTTTGATGGAGCTGTTTGGAAAAACTCTGTCTGTAAAGTCTGCAAGCAGATATTTGGACCTCTTTGGGGCCTTCGTTGGAAACGGGATTTCTTCATATAATGTTTGATAGGAGAAGTCTCAGTAACTTCTTTGTGCTGTGTGTATTCAACTCATAGAGTTGAACTTTCCTTTAGAAGAGCAGATGTTAAACACCCTTTTTGTGGAATTTGCAGCTGGAGATTTCAAGCGCTTTGAGGCCTACGGTAGAAAAGGAAACATCTTCTTATAAAATCTAGACAGAATCATTCACAGAAACTTCTTTTCGATGTGTGTGTTCAGCTCACAGAGTTTAACCTTTCTTTTGATGGAGCAGTTTGGAAACACTCTGTTTGTAATGTCTGCAAGTGGATATTTGGACCTCTTTGAGGCCTTCGTTGGAAACGGGATTTCATCAAGTAATGGTCGACAGAAGAATTCTCAGTAACTTATTTGTCGTGTGTGTATTCAACTCACAGAGTTGAACCTTCCTTTAGACAGAGCAGATTTGAAACACCCTATTTGTGCAGTTTCCAGTTGGAGATTTCAATCGCTTTGAGACCAAATGTAGAAAAGGAAACAGTCTTCGTATAAAAACTAGACAGAATCATTCTCAGAAACTACTTTCTGATGTGTGCGTTCAACTCAAGAAGTTTAAGCTTTCTTTTCATAGAGTAGTTTGGAAACACTCTGTCTGTAAAGTCTGCAAGCAGATATTTGGACCTCATTGGGGCCTTCGTTGGAAACGTGATTTCTTCATAGAACGCTGGAAAGACAAGAATACTGAGTAAGTTCTTTGTGTTGCCTCTATTCAACTCACAGAGGTGAACTGTCCTTTAGACAGAGCAGATGTGAAACCCTGTTTTTGTGATATTTGCAGGTGGAGATTTCAAGCGCTTTTAGGCCAAATGTAGAAAAGGAAATATCTTCGTATAAAAACTAGACAGAATCATTCTCAGAAACTACTTTGTGATGTGTGCGTTCAATTCACAGAGTATAACCTTTCTTTTGATGGAGGAGTTTGGAGACACTGTCTTTGTAAAGTCTGCAAGTGGATATTTGGACCTCTTTGAGGCCTTCGTTGGAAACGGGATTTCCTCATATAATGTTACCCAGAAGAATTCTCAGTAACTTATTTGTGGTGTGTGTATTCAACTCACAGAGTTGAACCTTCCTTCAGAAAGAGCAGATTTGAAACACTCTTTTTGTGGAGTTTCCATGTGGAGATTTCAATCGCTTTGAGACCAAAGGTAGAAAAGGAAACATCTTCGTATAAAAACTAGACAGAATCATTCACAGAAACTACTTTGTGATGTGTGTGTTGAACTCAAGGAGTTTAACCTTTCTTTTGATGGAGCAGTTTGGAAAAACTCTGTCTGTAAAGTCTGCAAGCAGATATTTGGACCTCTTTGAGGCCTTCGTTGGAAACGGGATTTCTTCATATAATGTTTGATAGGAGAAGTCTCAGTAACTTCTTTGTGCTGTGTGTATTCAACTCATAGAGTTGAACTTTCCTTTAGAAGAGCAGATGTTAAACACCCTTTTTGTGGAATTTGCAGCTGGAGATTTCAAGCGCTTTGAGGCCTACGGTAGAAAACGAAACATCTTCTTATAAAATCTAGACAGAATCATTCACAGAAACTTCTTTTTGATGTGTGTGTTCAGCTCACAGAGTTTAACCTTTCTTTTGATGGAGCAGTTTGGAAACACTCTGTTTGTAATGTCTGCAAGTGGATATTTGGACCTCTTTGAGGCCTTCGTTGGAAACGGGATTTCTTCAAGTAATGTTCGACAGAAGAATTCTCAGTAACTTATTTGTGGTGTGTGTATTCAACTCACAGAGTTGAACCTTCCTTTAGACAGAGCAGATTTGAAACACCCTATTTGTGCAGTTTCCAGTTGGAGATTTCAATCGCTTTGAGACCAAATGTAGAAAAGGAAACATCTTCGTATAAAAACTAGACAGAATCATTCTCAGAAACTACTTTGTGATGTGTGCGTTCAACTCAAGGAGTTTAAGCTTTCTTTTCATAGAGTAGTTTGGAAACACTCTGTCTGTAAAGTCTGCAAGCAGATATTTGGACCTCTTTGAGGCCTTCGTTGGAAACGGGATTTCTTCATAGAACGGTAGAAAGAAGAATACTGAGTAAGTTTTTTGTGTTGCCTCTATTTAACTCACAGAGGTGAACTGTCCTTTAGACAGAGCAGATGTGAAACCCTCTTTTTGTGATATTTGCAGGTGGAGATTTCAAGCGCTTTTAGGCGAAATGTAGAAAAGGAAATATCTTCGTATAAAAACTAGACAGAATCATTCTCAGAAACTACTTTGTGATGTGTGCGTTCAATTCACAGAGTATAACCTTTCTTTTGATGGAGGAGTTTGGAGACACTGTCTTTGTAAAGTCTGCAAGTGGATATTTGGACCTCTTTGAGGCCTTCGTTGGAAACGGGATTTCCTCATATAACGTTACACAGAAGAATTCTCAGTAACTTATTAGTGGTGTGTGTATTCAACTCACAGAGTTGAACCTTCCTTCAGAAAGAGCAGATTTGAAACACTCTTTTTGTGGAGTTTCCATGTGGAGATTTCAATCGCATTGAGACCAAAGGTAGAAAAGGAAACATCTTCGTATAACAACTAGACAGAATCATTCACAGAAACTACTTTGTGATGTGTGTGTTCAACTCAAGGAGTTTAACCTTTCTTTTGATGGAGCAGTTTGGAAAAACTCTGTCTGTAAAGTCTGCAAGCAGATATTTGGACCTCTTTGAGGCCTTCGTTGGAAACGGGATTTCTTCATATAATGTTTGATAGGAGGAGTCTCAGTAACTTCTTTGTGCTGTGTGTATTCAACTCATAGAGTTGAACTTTCCTTTAGAAGAGCAGATGTTAAACACCCTTTTTGTGGAATTTGCAGCTGGAGATTTCAAGCGCTTTGAGGCCTACGGTAGAAAAGGAAACATCTTCTTATAAAATCTAGACATAATCATTCACAGAAACTTCTTTTTGATGTGTGTGTTCAGCTCACAGAGTTTAACCTTTCTTTTGATGGAGCAGTTTGGAAACACTCTGTTTGTAATGTCTGCAGGTGGATATTTGGACCTCTTTGAGGCCTTCTTTGGAAACGGGATTTCTTCAAGTAATGTTCGACAGAAGAATTCTCAGTAACTTATTTGTGGTGTGTGTATTCAACTCACAGAGTTGAACCTTCCTTTAGACAGAGCAGATTTGAAACACCCTATTTGTGCAGTTTCCAGTTGGAGATTTCAATCGCTTTGAGACCAAATGTAGAAAAGGAAACATCTTCGTATAAAAACTAGACAGAATCATTCTCAGAAACTACTTTGTGATGTGTGCGTTCAACTCAAGGAGTTTAAGCTTTCTTTTCATAGAGTAGTTTGGAAACACTCTGTCTGTAAAGTCTGCAAGCAGATATTTGGACCTCTTAGGGGCCTTCGTTGGAAACGGGATTTCTTCATAGAACGCTAGAAAGAAGAATACTCAGTAACTTCTTTGTGCTGCCTCTATTCAACTCACAGAGGTGAACTGTCCTTTAGACAGAGCAGATGTGAAATCCTGTTTTTGTGATATTTGCAGGTGGAGATTTCAAGCGCTTTTAGGCCAAATGTAGAAAAGGAAATATCTTCGTATAAAAACTAGACAGAATCATTCTCAGAAACTACTTTGTGATGTGTGCGTTCAATTCACATAGTATAACCTTTCTTTTGATGGAGGAGTTTGGAGACACTGTCTTTGTAAAGTCTGCAAGTGGATATTTGGACCTCTTTGAGGCCTTCGTTGGAAACGGGATTTCCTCATATAATGTTACACAGAAGAATTCTCAGTAACTTATTTGTGGTGTGTGTATTCAACTCACAGAGTTGAACCTTCCTTCAGAAAGAGCAGATTTGAAACACTCTTTTTGTGGAGTTTCCATGTGGAGATTTCAATCGCTTTGAGACCAAAGGTAGAAAAGGAAACATCTTCGTATAAAAACTAGACAGAATCATTCTCAGAAACTACTTTGTGATGTGTGTGTTCAACTCAAGGAGGTTAACCTTTCTTTTGATGGAGCAGTTTGGAAACACTCTGTCTGTAAAGTCTGCAAGCAGATATTTGGACCTCTTTGAGGCCTTCGTTGGAAACGGGATTGCTTCATTTAATGTTTGATAGGAGAAGTCTCAGTAACTTCTTTGTGCTGTGTGTATTCAACTCATAGAGTTGAACTTTCCTTTAGAAGAGCAGATGTTAAACACCCTTTTTGTGGAATTTGCAGCTGGAGATTTCAAGCGCTTTGAGGCCTACGGTAGAAAAGGAAACATCTTCTTATAAAATCTAGACAGAATCATTCACAGAAACTTCTTTTTGATGTGTGTGTTCAGCTCACAGAGTTTAACCTTTCTTTTGATGGAGCAGTTGGGAAACACACTGTTTGTAATGTCTGCAAGTGGATATTTGGACCTCTTTGAGGCCTTCGTTGGAAACGGGATTTCTTCCTGTAATGTTCGACAGAAGAATTCTCAGTAACTTATTTGTGGTGTGTGTATTCAACTCACAGAGTTGAACCTTCCTTTAGACAGAGCAGATTTGAAACACCCTATTTGTGCAGTTTCCAGTTGGAGATTTCAATCGCTTTGAGACCAAATGTAGAAAAGGAAACATCTTCGTATAAAAACTAGACAGAATCATTCTCAGAAACTACTTTGTGATGTGTGCGTTCAACTCAAGGAGTTTAAGCTTTCTTTTCATAGAGTAGTTTGGAAACACTCTGTCTGTAAAGTCTGCAAGCAGATATTTGGACCTCTTTGGGGCCTTCGTTGGAAACGGGATTTCTTCATAGAACGCTAGAAAGAAGTATACTGAGTAAGTTCTTTGTGTTGCCTCTATTCAACTCACAGAGGTGAACTGTCCTTTAGACAGAGCAGATGTGAAACCCTCTTTTTGTGATATTTGCAGGTGGAGATTTCAAGCGCTTTTAGGCCAAATGTAGAAAAGGAAATATCTTCGTATAAAAACTAGACAGAATCATTCTCAGAAACTACTTTGTGATGTGTGCGTTCAATTCACAGAGTATAACCTTTCTTTTGATGGAGGAGTTTGGAGACACTGTCTTTGTAAAGTCTGCAAGTGGATATTTGGACCTCTTTGAGGCCCTCGTTGGAAACGGGATTTCCTCATATAATTTTACACAGAAGAATTCTCAGTAACTTATTTGTGGTGTGTGTATTCAACTCACAGAGTTGAACCTTCCTTCAGAAAGAGCAGATTTGAAACACTCTTTTTGTGGAGTTTCCATGTGGAGATTTCAATCGCTTTGAGACCAAAGGTAGAAAAGGAAACATCTTCGTATAAAAACTAGACAGAATCATTCACAGAAACTACTTTGTGATGTGTGTGTTCAACTCAAGGAGTTTAACCTTTCTTTTGATGGAGCAGTTTGGAAAAACTCTGTCTTTAAAGTCTGCAAGCAGATATTTGGACCTCTTTGAGGCCTTCGTTGGAAACGGGATTTCTTCATATAATGTTTGATAGGAGAAGTCTCAGTAACTTCTTTGTGCTGTGTGTATTCAACTCACAGAGTTGAACTTTCCTTTAGAAGAGCAGATGTTAAACACCCTTTTTGTGGAATTTGCAGCTGGAGATTTCAAGCGCTTTGAGGCC
Source organism: Homo sapiens (assembly GCF_000001405.40). Classification (NCBI taxonomy): domain Eukaryota; kingdom Metazoa; phylum Chordata; class Mammalia; order Primates; family Hominidae; genus Homo; species Homo sapiens. Next base: position 36,430,909 of record NC_000012.12, read on the forward strand.
TACGGTAGAAAAGGAAACATCTTCTTATAAAATCTAGACAGAATCATTCTCAGAAACTACTTTGTGATGTGTGCGTTCAACTCAAGGAGTTTAAGCTTTCTTTTCATAGAGTAGTTTGGAAACACTCTGTATGTAAAGTCTGCAAGCAGATATTTGGACCTCTTTGAGGCCTTCGTTGTAAACGGGATTTCTTCATAGAACGCTAGAAAGAAGAATTCTCAGTAACTTATTTGTGGTGTGTGTATTCAACTCACAGAGTTGAACCTTCCTTTAGACAGAGCAGATTTGAAACACCGTATTTGTGCAGTTTCCAGTTGGAGATTTCAATCGCTTTGAGACCAAATGTAGAAAAGGAAACATCTTCATATAAAAACTGGACAGAATCATTCTCAGAAACTATTTTGTGATGTGTGCGTTCAACTCAAGGAGTTTAAGCTTTCTTTTCATAGAGTAGTTTGGAAACACTCTGTCTGTAAAGTGTGCAAGCAGATATTTGGACCTCTTTGGGGCCTTCGTTGGAAACGGGATTTCTTCATAGAACGCAAGAAAGAAGAAAACTGAGTAAGTTCTTTGTGTTGCCTCTACTCAACTCACAGAGGTGAACTGTCCTTTAGACAGAGCAGATGTGAAACCCTCTTTTTGTGATATTTGCAGGTGGAGATTTCAAGCGCTTTTAGGCCAAATGTAGAAAAGGAAATATCTTCGTATAAAAACTAGACAGAATCATTCTCAGAAACTACTTTGTGATGTGTGCGTTCAATTCACAGAGTATAACCTTTCTTTTGATGGAGGAGTTTGGAGACACTGTCTTTGTAAAGTCTGCAAGTGGATATTTGGACCTCTTTGAGGCCTTCGTTGGAAACGGGATTTCCTCATATAATGTTACACAGAAGAATTCTCAGTAACTTATTTGTGGTGTGTGTATTCAACTCACAGAGTTGAACCTTCCTTCAGAAAGAGCAGATTTGAAACACTCTTTTTGTGGAGTTTCCATGTGGAGATTTCAATCGCTTTGAGACCAAAGGTAGAAAAGGAAACATCTTCGTATAAAAACTAGACAGAATCATTCACAGAAACTACTTTGTGATGTGTGTGTTCAACTCAAGGAGTTTAACCTTTCTTTTGATGGAGCAGTTTGGAAACACTCTGTCTGTAAAGTCTGCAAGCAGACATTTGGACCTCTTTGAGGCCTTCGTTGGAAACGGGATTTCTTCATATAATGTTTGATAGGAGAAGTCTCAGTAACTTCTTTGTGCTGGGTGTATTCAACGCATAGAGTTGAACTTTCCTTTAGAAGAGCAGATGTTAAACACGCTTTTTGTGGAATTTGCAGCTGGAGATTTCAAGCGCTTTGTGGCCTACGGTAGAAAAGGAAATATCTTCTTATAAAATCTAGACAGAATCATTCACAGAAACTTCTTTTTGATGTGTGTGTTCAGCTCACAGAGTTTAACCTTTCTTTTGATGGAGCAGTTTGGAAACACTCTGTTTGTAATGTCTGCAAGTGGATATTTGGACCTCTTTGAGGCCTTCGTTGGAAACGGGATTTCTTCAAGTAATGTTCGACAGAAGAATTCTCAGTAACTTATTTGTGGTGTGTGTATTCAACTCACAGAGTTGAACCTTCCTTTAGAAAGAGCAGATTTGAAACACCCTATTTGTGCAGTTTCCAGTTGGAGATTTCAATCGCTTTGAGACCAAATGTAGAAAAGGAAACATCTTCGTATAAAAACTAGACAGAATCATTCTCAGAAACTACTTTGTGATGTGTGCGTTCAACTCAAGGAGTTTAAGCTTTCTTTTCATAGAGTAGTTTGGAAACACTCTGTCTGTAAAGTCTGCAAGCAGATATTTGACCTCTTTGAGGCCTTCGTTGGAAACGGGATTTCTTCATAGAACGCTAGAAAGAAGAATACTGAGTAAGTTCTTTGTGTTGCCTCTATTCAACTCACAGACGTGAACTGTCCTTTAGACAGAGCAGATGTGAAACCCTCTTTTTGTGATATTTGCAGGTGGAGATTTCAAGCGCTTTTAGGCCAAATGTAGAAAAGGAAATATCTTCGTATAAAAACTAGACAGAATCATTCTCAGAAACTACTTTGTGATGTGTGCGTTCAATTCACAGAGTATAACCTTTCTTTTGATGGAGGAGTTTGGAGACACTGTCTTTGTAAAGTCTGCAAGTGGATATTTGGACCTCTTTGAGGCCTTCGTTGGAAACGGGATTTCCTCATATAATGTTACACAGAAGAATTCTCAGTAACTTATTTGTGGTGTGTGTATTCAACTCACAGAGTTGAACCTTCCTTCAGAAAGAGCAGATTTGAAACACTCTTTTTGTGGAGTTTCCATGTGGAGATTTCAATCGCTTTGAGACCAAAGGTAGAAAAGGAAACATCTTCGTATAAAAACTAGACAGAAATCATTCACAGAAACTACTTTGTGATGTGTGTGTTCAACTCAAGGAGTTTAACCTTTCTTTTGATGGAGCAGTTTGGAAACACTCTGTCTGTAAAGTCTGCAAGCAGATATTTGGACCTCTTTGAGGCCTTCGTTGGAAACGGGATTTCTTCATATAATGTTTGATAGGAGAAGTCTCAGTAACTTCTTTGTGCTGTGTGTATTCAACGCATAGAGTTGAACTTTCCTTTAGAAGAGCAGATGTTAAACACCCTTTTTGTGGAATTTGCAGCTGGAGTTTTCAAGCGCTTTGTGGCCTACGGTAGAAAAGGAAACATCTTCTTATAAAATCTAGACAGACAATCATTCACAGAAACTTCTTTTTCATGTGTGTGTTCAGCTCACAGAGTTTAACCTTTCTTTTGATGGAGCAGTTTTGAAACACTCTGTTTGTAATGTCTGCAAGTGGATATTTTGACCTCTTTGAGGCCTTCTTTGGAAACGGTATTTCTTCAAGTAATGTTCGACAGAAGAATTCTCAGTAACTTATTTGTGGTGTGTGTATTCAACTCACAGAGTTGAACCTTCCTTTAGACAGAGCAGATTTGAAACACCCTATTTGTGCAGTTTCCAGTTGGAGATTTCAATCGCTTTGAGACCAAATGTAGAAAAGGAAACATGCTTCGTATAAAAACTAGACAGAATCATTCTCAGAAACTACTTTGTGATGTGTGCGTTCAACTCAAGGAGTTTAAGCTTTCTTTTCATAGAGTAGTTTGGAAACACTCTGTAAAGTCTGCAAGCAGATATTTGGACCTCCTTGAGGCCTTCGTTGGAAACGGGATTTCTTCATAGAACGCTAGAAAGAAGAATACTGAGTACGTTCTTTGTGTTGCCTCTATTCAACTCACAGAGGTGAACTGTCCTTTAGACAGAGCAGATGTGAAACCCTCTTTTTGTGATATTTGCAGGTGGAGATTTCAAGCGCTTTTAGGCCAAATGTAGAAAAGGAAATATCTTCGTATAAAAACTAGACAGAATCATTCTCAGAAACTACTTTGTGATGTGTGCGTTCAATTCACAGAGGATAACCTTTCTTTTGATGGAGGAGTTTGGAGACACTGTCTTTGTAAAGTCTGCAAGTGGATATTTGGACCTCTTTGAGGCCTTCGTTGGAAACGGGATTTCCTCCTATAATGTTACACAGAAGAATTCTCAGTAACTTATTTGTGGTGTGTGTATTCAACTCACAGAGTTGAACCTTCCTTCAGAAAGAGCAGATTTGAAACACTCTTTTTGAGGAGTTTCCATGTGGAGATTTCAATCGCTTTGAGACCAAAGGTAGAAAAGGAAACATCTTCTTATAAAAACTAGACAGAATCATTCACAGAAACTACTTTGTGATGTGTGTGTTCAACTCAAGGAGTTTAACCTTTCTTTTGATGGAGCAGTTTGGAAACACTCTGTCTGTAAAGTCTGCAAGTAGATATTTGGACCTCTTTGAGGCCTTCGTTGGAAACGGGATTTCTTCATATAATGTTTGATAGGAGAAGTCTCAGTAACTTCTTTGTGCTGTGTGTATTCAACTCATAGTAGTTGAACTTTCCTTTAGAAGAGCAGATGTTAAACACCCTTTTTGGGGAATTTGCAGCTGGAGGTTTCAAGCGCTTTGAGGCCTACTGTAGAAAAGGAAACATCTTCTTATAAAATCTAGACAGAATCATTCACAGAAACTTCTTTTCGATGTGTGTGTTCAGCTCACAGAGTTTAACCTTTCTGTTGATGGAGCAGTTTGGAAACACTCTGTTTGTAATGTCTGCAAGTGGATATTTGGACCTCTTTGAGGCCTTCGTTGGAAACGGGATTTCTTCAAGTAATGGTCGACAGAAGAATTCTCAGTAACTTATTTGTGGTGTGTGTATTCAACTCACAGAGTTGAACCTTCCTTTAGACAGAGCAGATTTGAAACACCCTATTTGTGCAGTTTCCAGTTGGAGATTTCAATCTCTTTGAGGCCAATCGTAGAAACGGAAATATCTTCGTATAAAAACAAGACAGAATCATTCTCAGAAACTACTTTGTGATGTGTGCGTTCAACTCAAGGAGTTTAAGCTTTCTTTTCATAGAGTAGTTTGGAAACACTCTGTCTGTAAAGTCTGCAAGCAGATATTTGACCTCTTTGAGGCCTTCGTTGGAAACGGGATTTCTTCATAGAACGCTGGAAAGAAGAATACTGAGTAAGTTCTTTGTGTTGCCTCTATTCAACTCACAGAGGTGAACTGTCCTTTAGACAGAGCAGATGTGAAACCCTCTTTTTGTGATATTTGCAGGTGGAGATTTCAAGCGCTTTTAGGCCAAATGTAGAAAAGGAAATATCTTCGTATAAAAACTAGACAGAATCATTCTCAGAAACTACTTTGTGATGTGTGCGTTCAATTCACAGAGTATAACCTTTCTTTTGATGGAGGAGTTTGGAGACACTGTCTTTGTAAAGTCTGCAAGTGGATATTTGGACCTCTTTGAGGCCTTCGTTGGAAACGGGATTTCCTCATATAATGTTACCCAGAAGAATTCTCAGTAACTTATTTGTGGTGTGTGTATTCAACTCACAGAGTTGAACCTTCCTTCAGAAAGAGCAGATTTGAAACACTCTTTTTCTGGAGTTTCCATGTGGAGATTTCAATCGCTTTGAGACCAAAGGTAGAAAAGGAAACATCTTCGTATAAAAACTAGACAGAATCATTCACAGAAACTACTTTGTGATGTGTGTGTTCAACTCAAGGAGTTTAACCTTTCTTTTGATGGAGCAGTTTGGAAAAACTCTGTCTGTAAAGTCTGCAAGCAGATATTTGGTCCTCTTTGAGGCCTTCGTTGGAAACGGGATTTCTTCATATAATGTTTGATAGGAGAAGTCTCAGTAACTTCTTTGTGCTGTGTGTATTCAACTCATAGAGTTGAACTTTCCTTTAGAAGAGCAGATGTTAAACACCCTTTTTGTGGAATTTGCAGCTGGAGATTTCAAGCGCTTTGAGGCCTACGGTAGAAAAGGAAACATCTTCTTATAAAATCTAGACAGAATCATTCACAGAAACTTCTTTTTGATGTGTGTGTTCAGCTCACAGAGTTTAACCTTTCTTTTGATGGAGCAGTTTGGAATCACTCTGTTTGTAATGTCTGCAAGTGGATATTTGGACCTCTTTGAGGCCTTCGTTGGAAACGGGATTTCTTCATGTAATGTTCGACAGAAGAATTCTCAGTAACTTATTTGTGGTGTGTGTATTCAACTCACAGTGTTGAACCTTCCTTTAGACAGAGCAGATTTGAAACACCCTATTTGTGCAGTTTCCAGTTGGAGATTTCAATCGCTTGGAGGCCAATCATAGAAACGGAAATATCTTCGTATAAAAACAAGACAGAATCATTCTCAGAAACTACTTTGTGATGTGTGCGTTCAACTCAAGGAGTTTAAGCTTTCTTTTCATAGAGTAGTTTGGAAACACTCTGTCTGTAAAGTCTGCAAGCAGATATTTGGACCTCTTTGAGGCCTTCGTTGGAAACGGGATTTCTTCATGTAACGCTAGAAAGAAGAATACTGAGTAAGTTCTTTGTGTTGCCTCTATTCAACTCACAGAGGTGAACTGTCCTTTAGACAGAGCAGATGTGAAACCCTCTTTTTGTGATATTTGCAGGTGGAGATTTCAAGCGCTTTTAGGCCAAATGTAGAAAAGGAAATATCTTCGTATAAAAACTAGACAGAATCATTCTCAGAAACTACTTTGTGATGTGTGCGTTCAATTCACAGAGGATAACCTTTCTTTTGATGGAGGAGTTTGGAGACACTGTCTTTGTAAAGTCTGCAAGTGGATATTTGGACATCTTTGTGGCCTTCGTTGGAAACGGGATTTCCTCATATAATGTTACACAGAAGAATTCTCAGTAACTTATTTGTGGTGTGTGTATTCAACTCACAGAGTTGAACCTGCCTTCAGAAAGAGCAGCTTTGAAACACTCTTTTTGTGGAGTTTCCATGTGGAGATTTCAATCGCTTTGAGACCAAAGGTAGAAAAGGAAACATCTTCGTATAAAAACTAGACAGAATCATTCACAGAAACTACTTTGTGATGTGTGTGTTCAACTCACAGAGTTTAACCTTTCTTTTGATGGAGCAGTTTGGAAACACTCTGTTTGTCACGTCTGCAAGTGGATATTTGGACCTCTTTGAGGCCTTCGTTGGAAACGGGATTTCTTCATATAATGTTTGATAGGAGAAGCCTCAGTAACTTCTTTGTGCTGTGTGTATTCAACTCATAGAGTTGAACTTTCCTTTAGAAGAGCAGATGTTAAACACCCTTTTTGTGGAATTTGCAGCTGGAGATTTCAAGCGCTTTGAGGCCTACAATAGAAAAGGAAACATCTTCGTATAAAATCTAGACAGAATCATTCACAGAAACTTCTTTTTGATGTGTGTGTTCAGCTCACAGAGTTTAACCTTTCTTTTGATGGAGCAGTTTGGAAACACTCTGTTTGTAATGTCTGCAAGTGGATATTTGGACCTCTTTGAGGCCTTCGTTGGAAACGGGATTTCTTCCTGTAATGTTCGACAGAAGAATTCTCAGTAACTTATTTGTGGTGTGTGTATTCAACTCACAGAGCTGAACCTTCCTTTAGACAGAGCAGATTTGAAACAGCCTATTTCTGCAGTTTCCAGTTGGAGATTTCAATCGCTTTGAGACCAAATGTAGAAAAGGAAACATCTTCGTATAAAAACTAGACAGAATCATTCTCAGAAACTACTTTGTGATGTGTGCGTTCAACTCAAGGAGTTTAAGCTTTCTTTTCATAGAGTAGTTTGGAAACACTCTGTCTGTAAAGTCTGCAAGCAGATATTTGGACCTCTTTGGGGCCTTCGTTGGAAACGGGATTTCTTCATAGAACGCTAGAAAGAAGAATACTGAGTAAGTTCTTTGTGTTGCCTCTATTCAACTCACAGAGGTGAACTGTCCTTTAGACAGAGCAGATGTGAAACCCTCTTTTTGTGATATTTGCAGGTGGAGATTTCAAGCGCTTTTAGGCCAAATGTAGAAAAGGAAATATCTTCGTATAAAAACTAGACAGAATCATTCTCAGAAACTACTTTGTGATGTGTGCGTTCAATTCACAGAGTATAACCTTTCTTTTGATGGAGCAGTTTGGAGACACTGTCTTTGTAAAGTCTGCAAGTGGATATTTGGACCTCTTTGAGGCCTTCGTTGGAAACGGGATTTCCTCATATAATGTTACACAGAAGAATTCTCAGTAACTTATTTGTGGTGTGTGTATTCAACTCACAGAGTTGAACCTTCCTTCAGAAAGAGCAGATTTGAAACACTCTTTTTGTGGAGTTTCCATGTGGAGATTTCAATCGCTTTGAGACCAAAGGTAGAAAAGGAAACATCTTCGTATAAAAACTAGACAGAATCATTCACAGAAACTACTTTGTGATGTGTGTGTTCAACTCAAGGAGTTTAACCTTTCTTTTGATGGAGCAGTTTGGAAACACTCTGTCTGTAAAGTCTGCAAGCAGATATTTGGACCTCTTTGAGGCCTTCGTTGGAAACGGGATTTCTTCATATAATGTTTGATAGGAGAAGTCTCAGTAACTTCTTTGTGCTGTGTGTATTCAACTCATAGAGTTGAACTTTCCTTTAGAAGAGCAGATGTTAAACACCCTTTTTGAGGAATTTGCAGCTGGAGATTTCAAGCGCTTTGAGGCCTACGGTAGAAAAGGAAACATCTTCTTATAAAATCTAGACAGAATCATTCACAGAAACTTCTTTTTGATGTGTGTGTTCAGCTCACAGAGTTTAACCTTTCTTTTGATGGAGCAGTTTGGAAACACTCTGTTTGTAATGTCTGCAAGTGGATATTTGGACCTCTTTGAGGCCTTCGTTGGAAACGGGATTTCTTCATGTAATGTTCGACAGAAGAATTCTCAGTAACTTATTTGTGGTGTGTGTATTCAACTCACAGAGTTGAACCTTCCTTTAGACAGAGCAGATTTGAAACACCCTATTTGTGCAGTTTCCAGTTGGAGATTTCAATCGCTTTGAGACCAAATGTAGAAAAGGAAACATCTTCGTATAAAAACTAGACAGAATCATTCTCAGAAACTACTTTGTGATGTGTGCGTTCAACTCAAGGAGTTTAAGCTTTCTTTTCATAGAGTAGTTTGGAAACACTCTGTCTGTAAAGTCTGCAAGCAGATATTTGGACCTCATTGAGGCCTTCGTTGGAAACGGGATTTCTTCATAGAACGCTAGAAAGAAGAATACTGAGTAAGTTCTTTGTGTTGCCTCTATTCAACTCACAGAGGTGAACTGTCCTTTAGACAGAGCAGATGTGAAACCCTCTTTTTGTGATATTTGCAGGTGGAGATTTCAAGCGCTTTTAGGCCAAATTTAGAAAAGGAAATATCTTCGTATAAAAACTAGACAGAATCATTCTCAGAAACTACTTTGTGATGTGTGCGATCAATTCACAGAGCATAACCTTTCTTTTGATGGAGGAGTTTGGAGACACTGTCTTTGTAAAGTCTGCAAGTGGATATTTGGACCTCTTTGAGGCCTTCGTTGGAAACGGGATTTCCTCATATAATGTTACACAGAAGAATTCTCAGTAACTTAATTGTGGTGTGTGTATTCAACTCACAGAGTTGAACCTTCCTTTAGACAGAGCAGATTTGAAACACTCTTTTTGTGGAGTTTCCATGTGGAGATTTCAATCGCATTGAGACCAAAGGTAGAAAAGGAAACATCTTCGTATAAAAACTAGACAGAATCATTCACAGAAACTACTTTGTGATGTGTGTGTTCAACTCAAGGAGGTTAACCTTTCTTTTGATGGAGCAGTTTGGAAACAGTCTGTCTGTAAAGTCGGCAAGCAGATATTTGGACCTCTTTGAGGCCTTCGTTGGAAACGGGATTTCTTCATATAATGTTTGATAGGAGAAGTCTCAGTAACTTCTTTGTGCTGTGTGTATTCAACTCATAGAGTTGAACTTTCCTTTAGAAGAGCAGATGTTAAACACCCTTTTTGTGGAATTTGCAGCTGGAGATTTCAAGCACTTTGAGGCCTACGGTAGAAAAGAAAACATCTTCTTATAAAATCTAGACAGAATCATTCACAGAAACTTCTTTTTGATGTGTGTGTTCAGCTCACAGAGTTTAACCTTTCTTTTGATGGAGCAGTTGGGAAACACACTGTTTGTAATGTCTGCAAGTGGATATTTGGACCTCTTTGAGGCCTTCGTTGGAAACGGGATTTCTTCAAGTAATGTTCGACAGAAGAATTCTCAGTAACTTATTTGTGGTGTGTGTATTCAACTCACAGAGTTGAACCTTCCTTTAGACAGAGCAGATTTGAATCAGCCTATTTGTGCAGTTTCCAGTTGGAGATTTCAATCGCTTTGACACCAAATGTAGAAAAGGAAACATCTTCGTATAAAAACTAGACAGAATCATTCTCAGAAACTACTTTGTGATGTGTGCGTTCAACTCAAGGAGTTTAAGCTTTCTTTTCATAGAGTAGTTTGGAAACACTCTGTCTGTAAAGTCTGCAAGCAGATATTTGGACCTCTTTGGGGCCTTCGTTGGAAACGGGATTTCTTCATAGAACGCTAGAAAGAAGAATACTGAGTAAGTTCTTTGTGTTGCCTCTATTCAACTCACAGAGGTGAACTGTCCTTTAGACAGAGCAGATGTGAAACCCTCTTTTTGTGATATTTGCAGGTGGAGATTTCAAGCGCTTTTAGGCCAAATGTAGAAAAGGAAATATCTTCGTATAAAAACTAGACAGAATCATTCTCAGAAACTACTTTGTGATGTGTGCGTTCAATTCACAGAGTATAACCTTTCTTTTGATGGAGGAGTTTGGAGACACTGTCTTTGTAAAGTCTGCAAGTGGATATTTGGACCTCTTTGAGGCCTTCGTTGGAAACGGGATTTCCTCATATAATGTTACACAGAAGAATTCTCAGTAACTTATTTGTGGTGTGTGTATTCAACTCACAGAGTTGAACCTTCCTTCAGAAAGAGCAGATTTGAAACACTCCTTTTGTGGAGTTTCCATGTGGAGATTTCAATCGCTTTGAGACCAAAGGTAGAAAAGGAAACATCTTCATATAAAAACTAGACAGAATCATTCACAGAAACTACTTTGTGATGTGTGTGTTCAACTCAAGGAGTTTAACCTTTCTTTTGACGGAGCAGTTTGGAAACACTCTGTCTGTAAAGTCTGCAAGCAGATATTTGGACCTCTTTGAGGCCTTCGTTGGAAATGGGATTTCTTCATATAATGTTTGATAGGAGAAGTCTCAGTAACATCTTTGTGCTGTGTGTATTCAACTCATAGAGTTGAATTTTCCTTTAGAAGAACAGATGTTAAACACACTTTTTGTGGAATTTGCAGCTGGAGATTTCAAGCGCTTTGAGGCCTACGGTAGAAAAGGAAACATCTTCTTATAAAACCTAGACAGAATCATTCACAGAAACTTCTTTTTGATGTGTGTGTTCAGCTCACAGAGTTTAACCTTTCTTTTGATGGAGCAGTTTGGAAACACTCTGTTTGTAATGTCTGCAAGTGGATATTTGTACCTCTTTGAGGCCTTCGTTGGAAAAGGGATTTCCTCATGTAATGATAGACAGAAGAATTCTCAGTAACTTATTTGTGGTGCGTGTATTCAACTCACAGAGTTGAAACTTCCTTTAGACAGAACAGATTTGAAACACTCTATTTGTGCAGTTTCCAGTTGGAGATTTCAATCGCTTTGAGGCCAATCGTAGAAACGGAAATATCTTCGTATAAATACAAGACAGAATCATTCTCAGAAACTACTTTGTGATGTGTGCGTTCAACTCAAGGAGTTTAAGCTTTCTTTTCATAGAGTAGTTTGGAAACACTCTGTCTGTTAAGTCTGCAAGTAGATATTTGGACCTCTTTGGGGCCTTCGTTGGAAACGGGATTTCTTCATAGAACGCTAGAAAGAAGAATACTCAGTAACTTCTTTGTGTTGCCTCTATTCAACTCACAGAGGTGAACTGTCCTTTAGACAGAGCAGATGTGAAACCCTCTTTTTGTGATATTTGCAGGTGGAGATTTCAAGCGCTTTTAGGCCAAATGTAGAAAAGGGAATATCTTCGTATAAAAACTAGACAGAATCATTCTCAGAAACTACTTTGTGATGTGTGCGTTCAATTCACAGAGTATAACCTTTCTTTTGATGGAGGAGTTTGGAGACACTGTCTTTGTAAAGTCTGCAAGTGGATATTTGGACCTCTTTGAGGCCTTCGTTGGAAACGGGATTTCCTCATATAATGTTACACAGAAGAATTCTCAGTAACTTATTTGTGATGTGTGTATTCAACTCACAGAGTTGAACCTTCCTTCAGAAAGAGCAGATTTGAAACACTCTTTTTGTGGAGTTTCCATGTGGAGATTTCACTCACTTTGAGACCAAAGGTAGAAAAGGAAACATCTTCGTATAAAAACTAGACAGAATCATTCACAGAAACTACTTTGTGATGTGTGTGTTCAACTCAAGGAGTTTAACCTTTCTTTTGATGGAGCAGTTTGGAAACACTCTGTCTGAAAAGTCTGCAAGCAGATATTTGTACCTCTTTGAGTCCTTCGTTGGAAACGGGATTTCTTCATATAATGTTTGATAGGAGAAGTCTCAGTAACTTCTTTCTGCTCTGTGTATTCAACTCATAGAGTTGAACTTTCCTTTAGTAGAGCACATGTTAAACACCCTTTTTGTGGAATTTGCAGCTGGAGATTTCAAGCGCTTTGAGGCCTACGGTAGAAAAGGAAACATCTTCTTACAAAATCTAGACAGAATTATTCACAGAAACTTCTTTTTGATGTGTGTGTTCAGCTCACAGAGTTTAACCTTTCTTTTGATGGAGCAGTTTGGAAACACTCTGTTTGTAATATCTGCAAGTGAATATTTGGACCTCTTTTAGGCCTTCGTTGGAAACGGGATTTCTTCAAGTAATGTTCGACAGAAGAATTCTCAGTAACTTATTTGTGGTGTGTGTATTCAACTCACAGAGTTGAACCTTCCTTTAGACAGAGCAGATTTGAAACACCCTATTTGTGCAGTTTCCAGTTGGAGATTTCAATCGCTTTGAGACCAAATGTAGAAAAGGAAACATCTTCGTATAAAAACTGGACAGAATCATTCTCAGAAACTACTTTGTGATGTGTGCGTTCAACTCAAGGAGTTTAAGCTTTCTTTTCATAGAGTAGTTTGGAAACACTCTGTCTGTAAAGTCTGCAAGCAGATATTTGACCTCTTTGAGGCCTTCGTTGGAAACGGGATTTCTTCATAGAACGCTAGAAAGAAGAATACTCAGTAAGTTCTTTGTGTTGCCTCTATTCAACTCACAGGGGTGAACTGTCCTTTAGACAGAGCAGATGTGAAACCCTCTTTTTGTGATATTTGCAGGTGGAGATTTCAAGCGCTTTTAGGCCAAATGTAGAAAAGGAAATATCTTCGTATAAAAACTAGACAGAATCATTCTCAGAAACTACTTTGTGATGTGTGCGTTCAATTCACAGAGTATAACCTTTCTTTTGATGGAGGAGTTTGGAGACACTGTCTTTGTAAAGTCTGCAAGTGGATATTTGGACCTCTTTGAGGCCTTCGTTGGAAACGGGATTTCCTCATATAATGTTACACAGAAGAATTCTCAGTAACTTATTTGTGGTGTGTGTATTCAACTCACAGAGTTGAACCTTCCTTCAGAAAGAGCAGATTTGAAACACTCTTTTTGTGGAGTTTCCATGTGGAGATTTCAATCGCTTTGAGACCAAAGGTAGAAAAGGAAACATCTTCGTATAAAAACTAGACAGAATCATTCACAGAAACTACTTTGTGATGTGTGTGTTCAACTCAAGGAGTTTAACCTTTCTTTTGATGGAGCAGTTTGGAAACACTCTGTCTGTAATGTCTGCAAGCAGATATTTGGACCTCTTTGAGGCCTTCGTTGGAAATGGGATTTCTTCATATAATGTTTGATAGGAGAAGTCTCAGTAACTTCTTTGTGCTGTGTGTATTCAACTCATAGAGTTGAACTTTCCTTTAGAAGAGCAGATGTTAAACACCCTTTTTGGGGAATTTGCAGCTGGAGGTTTCAAGCGCTTTGAGGCCTACTGTAGAAAAGGAAACATCTTCTTATAAAATCTAGACAGAATCATTCACAGAAACTTCTTTTTGATGTGTGTGTTCAGCTCACAGAGTTTAACCTTTCTTTTGATGGAGCAGTTTGGAAACACTCTGTTTGTAATGTCTGCAAGTGGATATTTGGACCTCTTTGAGGCCTTCGTTGGAAACGGGATTTCTTCATATAATGTTTGATAGGAGAATTCTCAGTAACTTATTTGTGGTGTGTGTATTCAACTCACAGAGTTGAACCTTCCTTTAGACAGAGCAGATTTGAAACACCCTATTTGTGCAGTTTCCAGTTGGAGATTTCAATCGCTTTGAGACCAAATGTAGAAAAGGAAACATCTTCGTATAAAAACTAGACAGAATCATTCTCAGAAACTACTTTGTGATGTGTGCGTTCAACTCAAGGAGTTTAAGCTTTCTTTTCATAGAGTAGTTTGGAAACACTCTGTCTGTAAAGTCTGCAAGCAGATATTTGGACCTCTTTGAGGCCTTCGTTGGAAACGGGATTTCTTCATAGAACGCTAGAAAGAAGAATACTGAGTAAGTTCTTTGTGTTGCCTCTATTCAACTCACAAAGGTGAACTGTCCTTTAGACAGAGCAGATGTGAAACCCTCTTTTTGTGATATTTGCAGGTGGAGACTTCAAGCGCTTTTAGGCCAAATGTAGAAAAGGAAATATCTTCGTATAAAAACTAGACAGAATCATTCTCAGAAACTACTTTGTGATGTGTGCGTTCAATTCACAGAGTATAACCTTTCTTTTGATGGAGGAGTTTGGAGACACTGTCTTTGTAAAGTCTGCAAGTGGATATTTGGACCTCTTTGAGGCCTTCGTTGGAAACGGGATTTCCTCATATAATGTTACACAGAAGAATTCTCAGTAACTTATTTGTGGTGTGTGTATTCAACTCACAGAGTTGAACCTTCCTTCAGAAAGAGCAGATTTGAAACACTCTTTTTGAGGAGTTTCCATGTGGAGATTTCAATCGCTTTGAGACCAAAGGTAGAAAAGGAAACATCTTCTTATAAAAACTAGACAGAATCATTCACAGAAACTACTTTGTGATGTGTGTGTTCAACTCAAGGAGTTTAACCTTTCTTTTGATGGAGCAGTTTGGAAACACTCTGTCTGTAAAGTCTGCAAGCAGATATTTGGACCTCTCTGAGGCCTTCGTTGGAAACGGGATTTCTTCATATAATGTTTGATAGGAGAAGTCTCAGTAACTTCTTTGTGCTGTGTGTATTCAACTCATAGAGTTGAACTTTCCTTTAGAAGAGCAGATGTTAAACACCCTTTTTGTGGAATTTGCAGCTGGAGATTTCAAGCGCTTTGAGGCCTACGGTAGAAAAGGAAACATCTTCTTATAAAATCTAGACAGAATCATTCACAGAAACTTCTTTTCGATGTGTGTGTTCAGGTCACAGAGTTTAACCTTTCTTTTGATGGAGCAGTTTGGAAACACTCTGTTTGTAATGTCTGCAAGTGGATATTTGGACCTCTTTGAGGCCTTCGTTGGAAACGGGATTTCTTCAAGTAATGTTCGACAGAAGAATTCTCAGTAACTTATTTGTGGTGTGTGTATTCAACTCACAGAGTTGAACCTTCCTTTAGACAGAGCAGATTTGAAACACCCTATTTGTGCAGTTTCCAGTTGGAGATTTCAATCGCTTTGAGACCAAATGTAGAAAAGGAAACATCTTCGTATAAAAACTAGACAGAATCATTCTCAGAAACTACTTTGTGATGTGTGCGTTCAACTCAAGGAGTTTAAGCTTTCTTTTCATAGAGTAGTTTGGAAACACTCTGTCTGTAAAGTGTGCAAGCAGATATTTGGACCTCTTTGAGGCCTTCGTTGGAAACGGGATTTCTTCATATAACGCTAGAAAGAAGAATACTGAGTAAGTTCTTTGTGTTGCCTCTATTCAACTCACAGAGGTGAACTGTCCTTTAGACAGAGCAGATGTGAAACCCTCTTTTTGTGATATTTGCAGGTGGAGATTTCAAGCGCTTTTAGGCCAAATGTAGAAAAGGAAATATCCTCGTATAAAAACTAGACAGAATCATTCTCAGAAACTACTTTGTGATGTGTGCGTTCAATTCACAGAGTATAACCTTTCTTTTGATGGAGGAGTTTGGAGACACTGTCTTTGTAAAGTCTGCAAGTGGATATTTGGACCTCTTTGAGGCCTTCGTTGGAAACGGGATTTCCTCATATAATGTTACACAGAAGAATTCTCAGTAACTTATTTGTGGTGTGTGTATTCAACTCACAGAGTTGAACCTTCCTTCAGAAAGAGCAGATTTGAAACACTCTTTTTGTGGAGTTTCCATGTGGAGATTTCAATCGCTTTGAGACCAAAGGTAGAAAAGGAAACATCTTCGTATAAAAACTAGACAGAATCATTCACAGAAACTACTTTGTGATGTGTGTGTTCAACTCAAGGAGTTTAACCTTTCTTTTGATGGAGCAGTTTGGAAAAACTCTGTCTGTAAAGTCTGCAAACAGATATTTGGACCTCTTTGAGGCCTTCGTTGGAAACGGGATTTCTTCATATAATGTTTGATAGGAGAAGTCTCAGTAACTTCTTTGTGCTGTGTGTATTCAACTCATAGAGTTGAACTTTCCTTTAGAAGAGCAGATGTTAAACACCCTTTTTGTGGAATTTGCAGCTGGAGATTTCAAGCGCTTTGAGGCCTACGGTAGAAAAGGAAACATCTTCTTATAAAATCTAGACAGAATCATTCACAGAAACTTCTTTTTGATGTGTGTGTTCAGCTCACAGAGTTTAACCTTTCTTTTGATGGAGCAGTTTGGAAACACTCTGTTTGTAATGTCTGCAAGTGGATATTTGGACCTCTTTGAGGCCTTCGTTGGAAACGGGATTTCTTCATATAATGTTTGATAGGGAGAATTCTCAGTAACTTATTTGTGGTGTGAGTATTCAACTCACAGAGTTGAACCTTCCTTTAGACAGAGCAGATATGAAACACCCTATTTGTGCAGTTTCCAGTTGGAGATTTCAATCGCTTTGAGACCAAATGTAGAAAAGGAAATATCTTCGTATAAAAACTAGACAGAATCATTCTCAGAAACTACTTTGTGATGTGTGCATTCAACTCAAGGAGTTTAAGGTTTCTTTTCATAGAGTAGTTTGGAAACACTCTGTCTGTAAAGTCTGGAAGCAGATATTTGGACCTCTTTGAGGCCTTCGTTGGAAACGGGATTTCTTCATAGAACGCTAGAAAGAAGAATACTGAGTAAGTTCTTTGTGTTGCCTCTATTCAACTCACAGAGGTGAACTGTCCTTTAGACAGAGCAGATGTGAAACCCTCTTTTTGTGATATTTGCAGGTGGAGATTTCAAGCGCTTTTAGGCCAAATGTAGAAAAGGAAATATCTTCGTATAAAAACTAGACAGAATCATTCTCAGAAACTACTTTGTGATGTGTGCGTTCAATTCACAGAGTATAACCTTTCTTTTGATGGAGGAGTTTGGAGACACTGTCTTTGTAAAGTCTGCAAGTGGATATTTGGACCTCTTTGAGGCCTTCGTTGGAAACGGGATTTCCTCATATAATGTTACACAGAAGAATTCTCAGTAACTTATTTGTGGTGTGTGTATTCAACTCACAGATTTGAACCTTCCTTCAGAAAGAGCAGATTTGAAACACTCTTTTTGTGGAGTTTCCATGTGGAGATTTCAATCACTTTGAGACCAAAGGTAGAAAAGGAAACATCTTCGTATAAAAACTAGACAGAATCATTCACAGAAACTACTTTGTGATGTGTGTGTTCAACTCAAGGAGTTTAACCTTTCTTTTGATGGAGCAGTTTGGAAATACTCTGTCTGTAAAGTCTGCAAGCAGATATTTGGACCTCTTTGAGGCCTTCGTTGGAAACGGGATTTCTTCATATAATGTTTGATAGGAGAAGTCTCAGTAACTTCTTTGTGCTGTGTGTATTCAACTCATAGAGTTGAACTTTCCTTTAGAAGAGCAGATGTTAAACACCCTTTTTGTGGAATTTGCAGCTGGAGATTTCAAGCGCTTTGAGGCCTACGGTAGAAAAGGAAACATCTTCTTATAAAATCTAGACAGAATCATTCACAGAAACTTCTTTTCGATGTGTGTGTTCAGCTCACAGAGTTTAACCTTTCTTTTGATGGAGCAGTTTTGAAACACTCTGTTTGTAATGTCTGCAAGTGGATATTTTGACCTGTTTGAGGCCTTCTTTGGAAACGGGATTTCTTCAAGTAATGTTCGACAGAAGAATTCTCAGTAACTTATTTGTGTTGTGTGTATTCAACTCACAGAGTTGAACCTTCCTTTAGACAGAGCAGATTTGAAACACCCTATTTGTGCAGTTTCCAGTTGGAGATTTCAATCGCTTTGAGACCAAATGTAGAAAAGGAAACATCTTCGTATAAAAACTAGACAGAATCATTCTCAGAAACTACTTTGTGTTGTGTGCGTTCAACTCAAGGAGTTTAAGCTTTCTTTTCATAGAGTAGTTTGGAAACACTCTGTCTGTAAAGTCTGCAAGCAGATATTTGGACCTCTTTGATGCCTTCGTTGGAAACGGGATTTCTTCATAGAACGCTAGAAAGAAGAATAGTGAGTAAGTTCTTGGTGTTGCCTCTATTCAACTCACAGAGGTGAACTGTCCTTTAGACAGAGCAGATGTGAAACCCTCTTTTTGTGATATTTGCAGGTGGAGATTTCAAGCGCTTTTAGGCCAAATGTAGAAAAGCAAATATCTTCGTATAAAAACTAGACAGAATCATTCTCAGAAACTACTTTGTGATGTGTGCGTTCAATTCACAGAGTATAACCTTTCTTTTGATGGAGGAGTTTGGAGACACTGTCTTTGTAAAGTCTGCAGGTGGATATTTGGACCTCTTTGAGGCCTTCGTTGGAAACGGGATTTCCTCATATAATTTTACACAGAAGAATTCTCAGTAACTTATTTGTGGTGTGTGTATTCAACTCACAGAGTTGAACCTTCCTTCAGAAAGAGCAGATTTGAAACACTCTTTTTGTGGAGTTTCCATGTGGAGATTTCAATCGCATTGAGACCAAAGGTAGAAAAGGAAACATCTTCGTATAAAAACTAGACAGAATCATTCACAGAAACTACTTTGTGATGTGTGTGTTCAACTCACAGAGTTTAACCTTTCTTTTGATGGAGCAGTTTGGAAACACTCTGTTTGTCACGTCTGCAAGTGGATATTTGGACCTCTTTGAGGCCTTCGTTGGAAACGGGATTTCTTCATATAATGGTTGATAGGAGAAGTCTCTGTAACTTCTTTGTGCTGTGTGTATTCAACTCATGGAGTTGAACTTTCCTTTAGAAGAGCAGATGTTAAACACCCTTTTTGTGGAATTTGCAGCTGGAGATTTCAAGCGCTTTGAGGCCAACGGTAGAAAAGGAAACATCTTCTTCTAAAGTCTAGACAGAATCATTCACAGAAACTTCTTTTTGATGTGTGTGTTCAGCTCACAGAGTTTAACCTTTCTTTTGATGGAGCAGTTTGGAAACACTCTGTTTGTAATGTCTGCAAGTGGATATTTGGACTTCTTTGAGGCCTTCGTTGGAAACGGGATTTCTTCATGTAATGTTCGACAGAAGAATTCTCAGTAACTTCTTTGTGGTGTGTGTATTCAACTCACAGAGTTGAACCTTCCTTTAGACAGAGCAGATTTGAAACACCCTATTTGTGCAGTTTCCAGTTGGAGATTTCAATCGCTTTGAGACCAAATGTAGAAAAGGTAACATCTTCGTATAAAAACTAGACAGAATCATTCTCAGAAACTACTTTGTGATGTGTGAGTTCAACTCAAGGAGTTTAAGCTTTCTTTTCATAGAGTAGTTTGGAAACACTCTGTCTGTAAAGTCTGCAAGCAGATATTTGGACCTCATTGGGGCCTTCGTTGGAAAAGGGATTTCTTCATAGAACGATAGAAAGAAGAATACTGAGTACGTTCTTTGTGTTGCCTCTATTCAACTCACAGAGGTGAACTGTCCTTTAGACAGAGCAGATGTGAAACCCTCTTTTTGTGATATTTGCAGGTGGAGATTTCAAGCGCTTTTAGGCCAAATGTAGAAAAGGAAATATCTTCGTATAAAAACTAGACAGAATCGTTCTCAGAAACTACTTTGTGATGTGTGCGTTCAATACACAGAGTATAACCTTTCTTTTGATGGAGGAGTTTGGAGACACTGTCTTTGTAAAGTCTGCAAGTGGATATTTGGACCTCTTTGAGGCCTTCGTTGGAAACGGGATTTCCTCATATAATGTTACACAGAAGAATTCTCAGTAACTTATTTGTGGTATGTGTATTCAACTCACAGAGATGAACCTTCCTTCAGAAAGAGCAGATTTGAAACACTCTTTTTGTGGAGTTTCCATGTGGAGATTTCAATCGCTTTGAGACCAAAGGTAGAAAAGGAAACATCTTCATATAAAAACTAGACAGAATCATTCACAGAAACTACTTTGTGATGTGTGTGTTCAACTCAAGGAGGTTAACCTTTCTTTTGATGGAGCAGTTTGGAAACCCTCTGTCTGTAAGGTCTGCAAGCAGATATTTGGACCTCTTTGAGGCCTTCGTTGGAAACGGGATTTCTTCATATAATGTTTGATAGGAGAAGTCTCAGTAACTTCTTTGTGCTGTGTGTATTCAAATCACAGAGCTGAACTTTACTTTAGAACGAGCAGATGTTAAACACACTTTTTGTGGAATTTTCAGCTGGAGATTTCTTGTGCTTTGAGGCCTATGGTAGAAAAGGAAACATCTTCTTATAAAATCTAGACACAATCATTCACAGAAACTTCTTTTCGATATGTGTGTTCAGCTCACAGAGTTTAACCTTTCTTTTGATGGAGCAGTTTGGAAACACACTGTTTGTAATGTCTGTAAGTGGATATTTGGACCTCTTTGAGGCCTTCGTTGGAAACGGGATTTCTTCATGTAATGTTCGACAGAAGAATTCTCAGTAACTTATTTGTGGTGTGTGTATTCAACTCACAGAGTTGAGCCTTCCTTTAGACAGAGCAGATTTGAAACAACCTATTTGTGCAGTTTGCACTTGGAGATTTCAATCGCTTTGAGACCAAATGTAGAAAAGGAAACATCTTCGTATAAAAACTAGACACAATCATTCTCAGAAACTACTTTGTGATGTGTGCGTTCAACTCAAGGAGTTTAAGCTTTCTTTTCATAGAGTAGTTTGGAAACACTCTGTCTGTAAAGTCTGCAAGCAGATATTTGGACCTCTTTGAGGCCTTCGTTGGAAACGGGATTTCTTCATAGAACGCTAGAAAGAAGAATAGTGAGTAAGTTCTTTGTGTTGCCTCTATTCAACTCACAGAGGTGAACTGTCCTTTAGACAGAGCAGATGTGAAACCCTCTTTTTGTGATATTTGCAGGTGGAGATTTCAAGCGCTTTTAGGCCAAATGTAGAAAAGGAAATATCTTCGTATTAAAACTAGACAGAATCATTCTCAGAAACTACTTTGTGATGTGTGCGTTCAATTCACAGAGTATAACCTTTCTTTTGATGGAGGAGATTGGAGACACTGTCTTTGTAAAGTCTGCAAGTGGATATTTGCACCTCTTTGAGGCCTTCGTTGGAAACGGGATTTCCTCATATAATGTTACACAGAAGAATTCTCAGTAACTTATTTGTGGTGTGTTTATTCAACTCACAGAGGTGAACCTTCCTTCAGAAAGAGCAGATTTGAAACACTCTTTTTGTGGAGTTTCCATGTGGAGATTTCAATCGCTTTGAGACCAAAGGTAGAAAAGGAAACATCTTCGTATAAAAACTAGACAGAATCATTCACAGAAACTACTTTGTGATGTGTGTGTTCAACTCAAGGAGTTTAACCTTTCTTTTGATGGAGCAGTTTGGAAACACTCTGTCTGTAAAGTCTGCAAGCAGATATTTGGACCTCTTTGAGGCCTTCGTTGGAAACGGGATTTCTTCATATAATGTTTGATAGGAGAAGTCTCAGTAACTTCTTTGTGCTGTGTGCATTCAACTCATAGAGTTGAAATTTCCTTTAGAAGAGTAGATGTTAAACACCCTTTTTGTGGAATTTGCAGCTGGAGATTTCAAGCGCTTTGAGGCCTACTGTAGAAAAGGAAACATCTTCTTATAAAATCTAGACAGAATCATTCACAGAAACTTCTTTTCGATGTGTGTGTTCAGCTCACAGAGTTTAACCTTTCTTTTGATGGAGCAGTTTGGAAACACTCTGTGTGTAATGTCTGCAAGTGGATATTTGGACCTCTTTGAGGCCTTCGTTGGAAACGGGATTTCTTCAAGTAATGTTCGACAGAAGAATTCTCAGTAACTTATTTGTGGTGTGTGTATTCAACTCACAGAGTTGAACCTTCCTTTAGACAGAGCAGATTTGAAACACCCTATTTGTGCAGTTTCCAGTTGGAGATTTCAATCGCTTTGAGACCAAATGTAGAAAAGGAAACATCTTTGTATAAAAACTAGACAGAATCATTCTCAGAAACTACTTTGTGATGTGTGCGTTCAACTCAAGGAGTTTAAGCTTTCTTTTCATAGAGTAGTTTGGAAACACTCTGTCTGTAAAGTCTGCAAGCAGATATTTGGACCTCTTTGGGGCCTTCGTTGGAAACGGGATTTCTTCATAGAACGCTAGAAAGAAGAATACTGAGTAAGTTCTTTGTGTTGCCTCTATTCAACTCACAGAGGTGAACTCTCCTTTAGATAGAGCAGATGTGAAACCCTCTTTTTGTGATATTTGCAGGTGGAGATTTCAAGCGCTTTTAGGCCAAATGTAGAAAAGGAAATATCTTCGTATAAAAACTAGACAGAATCATTCTCAGAAACTATTTTGTGATGTGTGCCTTCATTTCACAGAGTATAACCTTTCTTTTGATGGAGGAGTTTGGAGACACTGTCTTTGTAAAGTCTGCAAGTGGATATTTGGACCTCTTTGAGGCCTTCGTTGGAAAAGGGATTTCCTCATATAATGTTACACAGAAGAATTCTCAGTAACTTATTTGTGGTGTGTGTATTCAACTCACAGAGTTGAACCTTCCTTCAGAAAGAGCAGATTTGAAACACTCTTTTTGTGGAGTTTCCATGTGGAGATTTCAATCGCTTTGAGACCAAAGGTAGAAAAGGAAACATCTTCTTATAAAAACTAGACAGAATCATTCACAGAAACTACTTTGTGATGTGTGTGTTCAACTCAAGGAGTTTAACCTTTCTTTTGATGGAGCAGTTTGGAAACACTCTGTCTGTAAAGTCTGCAAGCAGATATTTGGACCTCTTTGAGGCCTTCGTTGGAAACGGGATTTCTTCATATAATGTTTGATAGGAGAAGTCTCAGTAACTTCTTTGTGCTGTGTGTATTCAACTCATAGAGTTGAACTTTCCTTTAGAAGAGCAGATGTTAAACACCCTTTTTGTGGAATTTGCAGCTGGAGATTTCAAGCGCTTTGAGGCCTACGGTAGAAAAGGAAACATCTTCTTATAAAATCTAGACAGAATCATTCACAGAAACTTCTTTTTGATGTGTGTGTTCAGCTCACAGAGTTTAACCTTTCTTTTGATGGAGCAGTTTGGAAACACTCTGTTTGTAATGTCTGCAAGTGGATATTTGGACCTCTTTGAGGCCTTCTTTGGAAACGGGATTTCTTCAAGTAATGTTCGACAGAAGAATTCTCAGTAACTTATTTGTGGTGTGTGTATTCAACTCACAGAGTTGAACCTTCCTTTAGACAGAGCAGATTTGAAACACCCTATTTGTGCAGTTTCCAGTTGGAGATTTCAATCGCTTTGAGACCAAATGTAGAAAAGGAAACATCTTCGTATAAAAACTAGACAGAATCATTCTCAGAAACTACTTTGTGATGTGTGCGTTCAACTCAAGGAGTTTAAGCTTTCTTTTCATAGAGTAGTTTGGAAACACTCTGTCTGTAAAGTCTGCAAGCAGATATTTGGACCTCTTTGGGGCCTTCGTTGGAAACGGGATTTCTTCATAGAACGCTAGAAAGAAGAATACTGAGTAAGTTCTTTGTGTTGCCTCTATTCAACTCACAGAGGTGAACTGTCCTTCAGACAGAGCAGATGTGAAACCCTCTTTTTGTGATATTTGCAGGTGGAGATTTCAAGCGCTTTTAGGCCAAATGTAGAAAAGGAAATATCTTCGTATAAAAACTAGACAGAATCATTCTCAGAAACTGCTTTGTGATGTGTGCGTTCAATTCACAGAGTATAACCTTTCTTTTGATGGAGGCGTTTGGAGACACTGTCTTCGTAAAGTCTGCAAGTGGATATTTGGACCTCTTTGAGGCCTTCGTTGGAAACGGGATTTCCTCATATAATGTTACACAGAAGAATTCTCAGTAACTTATTTGTGGTGTGTGTATTCAACTCACAGAGTTGAACCTTCCTTCAGAAAGAGCAGATTTGAAACACTCTTTTTGTGGAGTTTCCATGTGGAGATTTCAATCGCTTTGAGACCAAAGGTAGAAAAGGAAACATCTTCGTATAAAAACTAGACAGAATCATTCACAGAAACTACTTTGTGATGTGTGTGTTCAACTCAAGGAGTTTAACCTTTCTTTTGATGGAGCAGTTTGGAAACACTCTGTCTGTAAAGTCTGCAAGCAGATATTTGGACCTCTTTGAGGCCTTCGTTGGAAACGGGATTTCTTCATATAATGTTTGATAGGAGAAGTCTCAGTAACTTCTTTCTGCTGTGTTTATTCAACGCATAGAGTAGAACTTTCCTTTAGAAGAGCAGATGTTAAACACCCTTTTTGTGGAATTTGCAGCTGGAGATTTCAAGCGCTTTGAGGCCTACGGTAGAAAAGGAAACATCTTCTTATAAAATCTAGACAGAATCATTCACAGAAACTTCTTTTTGATGTGTGTGTTCAGCTCACAGAGTTTAACCTTTCTTTTGATGGAGCAGTTTGGAAACACTCTGTTTGTAATGTCTGCAAGTGGATATTTGGACCTCTTTGAGGCCTTCGTTGGAAACGGGATTTCTTCCTGTAATGTTCGACAGAAGAATTCTCAGTAACTTATTTGTGGTGTGTGTATTCAACTCACAGAGTTGAACCTTCCTTTAGACAGAGCAGATTTGAAACACCCTATTTGTGCAGTTTCCAGTTGGAGATTTCAATCGCTTTGAGACCAAATGTAGAAAAGGAAACATCTTCGTATAAAAACTAGACAGAATCATTCTCAGAAACTACTTTGTGATGTGTGCGTTCAACTCAAGGAGTTTAAGCTTTCTTTTCATAGAGTAGTTTGGAAACACTCTGTCTGTGAAGTCTGCAAGCAGATATTTGGACCTCTTTGAGGCCTTCGTTGGAAACGGGATTTCTTCATAGAACGCTAGAAAGAAGAATACTGAGTAAGTTCTTTGTGTTGCCTCTATTCAACTCACAGAGGTGAACTGTCCTTTAGACAGAGCAGATGTGAAACCCTCTTTTTGTGATATTTGCAGGTGGAGATTTCAAGCACTTTTAGGCCAAATGTAGAAAAGCAAACATCTTCGTATAAAAACTAGACAGAATCATTCTCAGAAACTACTTTGTGATGTGTGCGTTCAATTCACAGAGTATAACCTTTCTTTTGATGGAGGAGTTTGGAGACACTGTCTTTGTAAAGTCTGCAAGTGGATATTTGGACCTCTTTGAGGCCTTCGTTGGAAACGGGATTTCCTCATATAATGTTACACAGAAGAATTCCCAGTAACTTATTTGTGGTGCGTGTATTCAACTCACAGAGTTGAACCTTCCTTCAGAAACAGCAGATTTGAAACACTCTTTTTGTGGAGTTTCCATGTGGAGATTTCAATCGCTTTGAGACCAAAGCTAGAAAAGGAAACATCTTCGTATAAAAACTAGACAGAATCATTCACAGAAACTACTTTGTGATGTGTGTGTTCAACTCAAGGAGTTTAACCTTTCTTTTGATGGAGCAGTTTGGAAAAACTCTGTCTGTAAAGTCTGCAAGCAGATATTTGGACCTCTTTGAGGCCTTCGTTGGAAACGGGATTTCTTCATATAATGTTTGATAGGAGAAGTCTCAGTAACTTCTTTGTGCTGTGTGTATTCAAATCACAGAGCTGAACTTTACCTTAGAACGAGCAGATGTTAAACACACTTTTTGTGGAATTTGCAGCTGGAGATTTCTAGCGCTTTGAGGCCTATGGTAGAAAAGGAAACATCTTCTTATAAAATCTAGACACAATCATTCACAGAAACTTCTTTTTGATGTGTGTGTTCAGCTCACAGAGTTTAACCTTTCTTTTGATGGAGCAGGTTGGAAACAATCTGTTTGTAATGTCTGCAAGTGGGTATTTGGACCTCTTTGAGGCCTTCGTTGGAAACGGGATTTCTTCAAGTAATGTTCGACAGAAAGAATTCTCAGTAACTTATTTGTGGTGTGTGTATTCAACTCACAGAGTTGAACCTTCCTTTAGACAGAGCAGATTTGAAACACCCTATTTGTGCAGTTTCCAGTTGGAGATTTCAATCGCTTTGAGACCAAATGTTGAAAAGGAAACATCTTCGTATAAAAACTAGACAGAATCATTCTCAGAAACTACTTTGTGATGTGTGCGTTCAACTCAAGGAGTTTAAGCTTTCTTTTCATAGAGTAGTTTGGAAACACTCTGTCTGTAAAGTCTGCAAGCAGATATTTGGACCTCTTTGAGGCCTTCGTTGGAAACGGGATTTCTTCATAGAACGCTAGAAAGAAGAATACTGAGTAAGTTCTTTGTGTTGCCTCTATTCAACTCACAGAGGTGAACTGTCCTTTAGACAGAGCAGATGTGAAACCCTCTTTTTGTGATATTTGCAGGTGGAGATTTCAAGCACTTTTAGGCCAAATGTAGAAAAGGAAATATCTTCGTATAAAAACTAGACAGAATCATTCTCAGAAACTACTTTGTGATGTGTGCGTTCAATTCACAGAGTATAACCTTTCTTTTGATGTAGGAGTTTGGAGACACTGTCTTTGTAAAGTCTGTAAGTGGATATTTGGACCTCTTTGAGGACTTCGTTGGAATCGGGATTTCCTCATATAATGTTACACAGAAGAATTCTCAGTAACTTATTTGTGGTGTGTGTATTCAACTCACAGAGATGAACCTTCCTTCAGAAAGAGCAGATTTGAAACACTCTTTTTGTGGAGTTTCCATGTGGAGATTTCAATCGCTTTGAGACCAAAGGTAGAAAAGGAAACATCTTCTGTATAACAACTAGACAGAATCATTCACGGAAACTACTTTGTGATGTGTGTGTTCAACTCAAGGAGGTTAACCTTTCTTTTGATGGAGCAGTTTGCAAACACTCTGTCTGTAAAGTCTGCAAGCAGATATTTGGACCTCTTTGAGGCCTTCGTTGGAAACGGGATTTCTTCATATAATGTTTGATAGGAGAAGTCTCAGTAACTTCTTTGTGCTGTGTGTATTCAACTCATAGAGTTGAACTTTCCTTTAGAAGAGCAGATGTTAAACACCCTTTTTGTGGAATTTGCAGCTGGAGATTTCAAGCGCTTTGAGGCCTACGGTAGAAAAGGAAACATCTTCTTATAAAATCTAGACAGAAATCATTCACAGAAACTTCTTTTTGATGTGTGGGTTCAGCTCACAGAGTTTAACCTTTCTTTTGATGGAGCAGTTTGGAAACACTCTGTTTGTAATGTCTGCAAGTGGATATTTGGACCTCTTTGAGGCCTTCGTTGGAAACGGGATTTCTTCAAGTAATGTTCGACAGAAGAATTCTCAGTAACTTATTTGTGGTGTGTGTATTCAACTCACAGAGTTGAACCTTCCTTTAGACAGAGCAGATTTGAAACACCCTATTTGTGCAGTTTCCAGTTGGAGATTTCAATCGCTTTGAGACCAAATGTAGAAAAGGAAACATCTTCGTATAAAAACTAGACAGAATCATTCTCAGAAACTGCTTTGTGATGTGTGCGTTCAACTCAAGGAGTTTAAGCTTTCTTTTCATAGAGTAGTTTGGAAACACTTTGTCTGTAAAGTCTGCAAGCAGATATTTGGACCTCTTTGAGGCCTTCTTTGGAAACGGGATTTCTTCATAGAACGCTAGAAAGAAGAATACTGAGTAAGTTCTTTGTGTTGCCTCTATTCAACTCACAGAGGTGAACTGTCCTTTAGACAGAGCAGATGTGAAACCCTCTTTTTGTGATATTTGCAGGTGGAGATTTCAAGCGCTTTTAGGCCAAATGTAGAAAAGGAAATATCTTCGTATAAAAACTAGACAGAATCATTCTCAGAAACTACTTTGTGATGTGTGCGTTCAATTCACAGCAGGATAACCTTTCTTTTGATGGAGGAGTTTGGAGACACTGTCTTTGTAAAGTCTGCAAGTGGATATTTGGACCTCTTTGAGGCCTTCGTTGGAAACGGGATTTCCTCCTATAATGTTACACAGAAGAATTCTCAGTAACTTATTTGTGGTGTGTGTATTCAACTCACAGAGTTGAACCTTCCTTCAGAAAGAGCAGATTTGAAACACTCTTTTTGTGGAGTTTCCATGTGGAGATTTCAATGGCTTTGAGACCAAAGGTAGAAAAGGAAACATCTTCGTATAAAAACTAGACAGAATCATTCACAGAAACTACTTTGTGATGTGTGTGTTCAACTCAAGGAGTTTAACCTTTCTTTTGATGGAGCAGTTTGGAAACACTCTGTCTGTAAAGTCTGCAAGCAGATATTTGGACCTCTTTGAGGCCTTCGTTGGAAACGGGATTTCTTCATATAATGTTTGATAGGAGAAGTCTCAGTAACTTCTTTGTGCTGTGTGTATTCAACTCATAGAGTTGAACTTTCCTTTAGAAGAGCAGATGTTAAACACCCTTTTTGTGGAATTTGCAGCTGGAGATTTCAAGCGCTTTGAGGCCTACGGTAGAAAAGGAAACATCTTCTTATAAAATCTAAACAGAATCATTCACAGAAACTTCTTTTTGATGTGTGTGTTCAGCTCACAGAGTTTAACCTTTCTTTTGATGGAGCAGTTTGGAAACACACTGTTTGTAATGTCTGCAAGTGGATATTTGGACCTCTTTGAGGCCTTCGTTGGAAACGGGATTTCTTCATATTATGTTAGACAGAAGAATTCTCAGTAACTTATTTGTGGTGTGTGTATTCAACTCACAGAGTTGAACCTTCCTTTAGACACAGCAGATTTGAAACAACCTATTTGTGCAGTTTGCACTTGGAGATTTCAATCGCTTTGAGACCAAATGTAGAAAAGGAAACATCTTCGTATAAAAACTAGACACAATCATTCTCAGAAACTACTTTGTGATGTGTGCGTTCAACTCAAGGAGATTAAGCTTTCTTTTCATAGAGTAGTTTGGAAACACTCTGTCTGTAAAGTCTGCAAGCAGATATTTGGACCTCATTGGGGCCTTCGTTGGAAACGGGATTTCTTCATAGAACGCCAGAAAGAAGAATACTGAGTAAGTTCTTTGTGTTGCCTCTATTCAACTCACAGAGGTGAACTGTCCTTTAGACAGAGCAGATGTGAAACCCTCTTTTTGTGATATTTGCAGGTGGAGATTTCAAGCGCTTTGAGGCCAAATGTAGAAAAGGAAATATCTTCGTATAAAAACTAGACAGAATCATTCTCAGAAACTACTTTGTGATGTGTGCGTTCAATTCACAGAGTATAACCTTTCTTTTGATGGAGGAGTTTGGAGACACTGTCTTTGTAAAGTCTGCAAGTGGATATTTGGACCTCTTTGAGGCCTTCGTTGGAAACGGGATTTCCTCATATAATGTTACACAGAAGAATTCTCAGTAACTTATTTGTGGTGTGTGTATTCAACTCAGAGAGTTGAACCTTCCTTCAGAAAGAGCAGATTTGAAACACTCTTTTTGTGGAGTTTCCATGTGGAGATTTCAATCGCTTTGAGACCAAAGGTAGAAAAGGAAACATCTTCGTATAAAAACTAGACAGAATCATTCACAGAAACTACTTTGTGATGTGTGTGTTCAACTCAAGGAGTTTAACCTTTCTTTTGATGGAGCAGTTTGGAAAAACTCTGTCTTTAAAGTCTGCAAGCAGATATTTGGACCTCTTTGAGGCCTTCGTTGGAAACGGGATTTCTTCATATAATGTTTGATAGGAGAAGTCTCAGTAACTTCTTTGTGCTGTGTGTATTCAACTCATAGAGTTGAACTTTCCTTTAGAAGAGCAGATGTTAAACACCCTTTTTGTGGAATTTGCAGCTGGAGATTTCAAGCGCTTTGAGGCCTACGGTAGAAAAGGAAACATCTTCTTATAAAATCTAGACAGAATCATTCACAGAAACTTCTTTTTGATGTGTGTGTTCAGCTCACAGAGTTTAAACTTTCTTTTCATGGAGCAGTTTGGAAACACTCTGTTTGTAATGTCTGCAAGTGGATATTTGGACCTCTTTGAGGCCTTCTTTGGAAACGGGATTTCTTCAAGTAATGTTCGACAGAAGAATTCTCAGTAACTTATTTGTGGTGTGTGTATTCAACTCACAGAGTTGAACCTTCCTTTAGACAGAGCAGATTTGAAACACCCTATTTGTGCAGTTTCCAGTTGGAGATTTCAATCGCTTTGAGACCAAATGTAGAAAAGGAAACATCTTCGTATAAAAACTAGACAGAATCATTCTCAGAAACTACTTTGTGATGTGTGCGTTCAACTCAAGTAGTTTAAGCTTTCTTTTCATAGAGTAGTTTGGAAACACTTTGTCTGTAAAGTCTGCAAGCAGATATTTGGACCTCTTTGGGGCCTTCGTTGGAAACGGGATTTCTTCATATAACGCTAGAAAGAAGAATACTGAGTAAGTTCTTTGTGTTGCCTCTATTCAACTCACAGAGGTGAACTGTCCTTTAGACAGAGCAGATGTGAAACCGTCTTTTTGTGATATTTGCAGGTGGAGATTTCAAGCGCTTTTAGGCCAAATGTAGAAAAGGAAATATCTTCGTATAAAAACTAGACAGAATCATTCTCAGAAACTACTTTGTGATGTGTGCGTTCAATTCACAGAGTATAACCTTTCTTTTGATGGAGGAGTTTGGAGACACTGTCTTTGTAAAGTCTGCAAGTGGATATTTGGACCTCTTTGAGGCCTTCGTTGGAAACGGGATTTCCTCATATAATGTTACACAGAAGAATTCTCAGTAACTTATTTGTGGTGTGTGTATTCAACTCACAGAGTTGAACCTTCCTTCAGAAAGAGCAGATTTGAAACACTCTTTTTGTGGAGTTTCCATGTGGAGATTTCAATCGCTTTGAGACCAAAGGTAGAAAAGGAAACATCTTCGTATAAAAACTAGACAGAATCATTCACAGAAACTACTTTGTGATGTGTGTGTTCAACTCAAGGAGTTTAACCTTTCTTTTGATGGAGCAGTTTGGAAACACTCTGTCTGTAAAGTCTGCAAGCAGATATTTGGACCTCTTTGAGGCCTTCGTTGGAAACGGGATTTCTTCATATAATGTTTGATAGGAGAAGTCTCAGTAACTTCTTTGTGCTGTGTGTATTGAACTCATAGAGTTGAACTTTCCTTTAGAAGAGCAGATGTTAAACACCCTTTTTGTGGAATTTGCAGCTGGAGATTTCAAGCGCTTTGAGGCCTACGGTAGAAAAGGAAACATCTTCTTATAAAATCTAGACAGAATCATTCACAGAAACTTCTTTTTGATGTGTGTGTTCAGCTCACAGAGTTTAACCTTTCTTTTGATGGAGCAGTTTGGAAACACTCTGTTTGTAATGTCTGCAAGTGGATATTTGGACCTCTTTGAGGCCTTCTTTGGAAACGGGATTTCTTCAAGTAATGTTCGACAGAAGAATTCTCAGTAACTTATTTGTGGTGTGTGTATTCAACTCACAGAGTTGAACCTTCCTTTAGACAGAGCAGATTTGAAACCCCCTATTTGTGCAGTTTCCAGTTGGAGATTTCAATCGCTTTGAGACCAAATGTAGAAAAGGAAACATCTTCGTATAAAAACTAGACAGAATCATTCTCAGAAACTACTTTGTGATGTGTGCGTTCAACTCAAGGAGTTTAAGCTTTCTTTTCATAGAGTAGTTTGGAAACACTCTGTCTGTAAAGTCTGCAAGCAGATATTTGAACCTCTTTGAGGCCTTCGTTGGAAACGGGATTTCTTCATAGAACGCTAGAAAGAAGAATACTGAGTAAGTTCTTTGTGTTGCCTCTATTCAACTCACAGAGGTGAACTGTCCTTTAGACAGAGCAGATGTGAAACCCTCTTTTTGTGATATTTGCAGGTGGAGATTTCAAGCGCTTTTAGGCCAAATGTAGAAAAGGAAATATCTTCGTATAAAAACTAGACAGAATCATTCTCAGAAACTACTTTGTGATGTGTGCGTTCA
This sequence comes from Homo sapiens, assembly GCF_000001405.40. Classification (NCBI taxonomy): domain Eukaryota; kingdom Metazoa; phylum Chordata; class Mammalia; order Primates; family Hominidae; genus Homo; species Homo sapiens. The sequence goes on from NC_000012.12 coordinate 36,462,930, forward strand.
ATTCACAGAGTATAACCTTTCTTTTGATGGAGGAGTTTGGAGACACTGTCTTTGTAAAGTCTGCAAGTGGATATTTGGACCTCTTTGAGGCCTTCGTTGGAAACGGGATTTCCTCATATAATGTTACACAGAAGAATTCTCAGTAACTTATTTGTGGTGTGTGTATTCAACTCACAGAGATGAACCTTCCTTCAGAAAGAGCAGATTTGAAACACTCTTTTTGTGGAGTTTCCATGTGGAGATTTCAATCGCTTTGAGACCAAAGGTAGAAAAGGAAACATCTTCGTATAAAAACTAGACAGAATCATTCACAGAAACTACTTTGTGATGTGTGTGTTCAACTCAAGGAGGTTAACCTTTCTTTTGATGGAGCAGTTTGGAAACACTCTGTCTGTAAAGTCTGCAAGCAGATATTTGGACCTCTTTGAGGCCTTCGTTGGAAACGGGATTTCTTCATATAATGTTTGATAGGAGAAGTCTCAGTAACTTCTTTGTGCTGTGTGTATTCAACTCATAGAGTTGAACTTTCCTTTAGAAGAGCAGATGTTAAACACCCTTTTTGTGGAATTTGCAGCTGGAGATTTCAAGCGCTTTGAGGCCTACGGTAGAAAAGGAAACATCTTCTTATAAAATCTAGACAGAATCATTCACAGAAACTTCTTTTTGATGTGTGTGTTCAGCTCACAGAGTTTAACCTTTCTTTTGATGGAGCAGTTGGGAAACACACTGTTTGTAATGTCTGCAAGTGGATATTTGGACCTCTTTGAGGCCTTCGTTGGAAACGGGATTTCTTCATGTAATGTTCGACAGAAGAATTCTCCGTAACTTATTTGTGGTGTGTGTATTCAACTCACAGAGTGGAACCTTCCTTTAGACACAGCAGATTTGAAACACCCTATTTGTGCAGTTTCCAGTTGGAGATTTCAATCGCTTGGAGGCCAATCGTAGAAACGGAAATATCTTCGTATAATAACAAGACAGAATCATTCTCAGAAACTACTTTGTGATGTGTGCGTTCAACTCAAGGAGTTTAAGCTTTCTTTTCATAGAGTAGTTTGGAAACACTCTGTCTGTAAAGTCTGCAAGCAGATATTTGGACCTCTTTGAGGCCTTCGTTGGAAACGGGATTTCTTCATGTAACGCTAGAAAGAAGAATACTGAGTAAGTTCTTTGTGTTGCCTCTATTCAACTCACAGAGGTGAACTGTCCTTTAGACAGAGCAGATGTGAAACCCTCTTTTTGTGATATTTGCAGGTGGAGATTTCAAGCGCTTTTAGGCCAAATGTAGAAAAGGAAATATCTTCGTATAAAAACTAGACAGAATCATTCTCAGAAACTACTTTGTGATGTGTGCTCAATTCACAGAGAATAACCTTTCTTTTGATGGAGGAGTTTGGAGACACTGTCTTTGTAAAGTCTGCAAGTGGACATTTGGACCTCTTTGAGGCCTTCGTTGGAAACGGGATTTCCTCATATAATGTTACACAGAAGAATTCTCAGTAACTTATTTGTGGTGTGTGTATTCAACTCACAGTAGTTGAACCTTCCTTCAGAAAGAGCAGATTTGAAACACTCTTTTTGTGGAGTTTCCATAAGGAGATTTCAATCTCTTTGAGACCAAAGGTAGAAAAGGAAACATCTTCGTATAAAAACTAGACAGAATCATTCACAGAAACTACTTTGTGATGTGTGTGTTCAGCTCACAGAGTTTAACCTTTCTTTTGATGGTGCAGTTTGGAAACACTCTGTTTGACAAGTCTGCAAGTGGATATTTGGACCTCTTTGAGGCCTTCGTTGGAAACGGGATTTCTTCATATAATGTTAGACAGAAGAATTCTCAGTAACTTATTTGTGGTGTGTGTATTCAACTCACAGAGTTGAACCTTCCTTTAAACAGAGCAGATTTGAAACACCCTATTTGTGCAGTTTCCAGTAGGAGATTTCAATCGCTTTGAGACCAAATGTAGAAAAGGAAAAATCTTCGTATAAAAACTAGACAGAATCATTCTCAGAAACTACTTTGTGATGTGTGCGTTCAACTCAAGGAGTTTAAGCTTTCTTTTCATAGAGTAGTTTGGAAACACTCTGTCTGTAAAGTCTGCAAGCAGATATTTGGACCTCTTTGAGGCCTTCGTTGGAAACGGGATTTCTTCATAGAACGGTAGAAAGAAGAATACTGAGTAAGTTCTTTGTGTTGCCTCTATTCAACTCACAGAGGTGAACTGTCCTTTAGACAGAGCAGATGTGAAACCCTCTTTTTGGGATATTTGCAGGTGGAGATTTCAAGCGCTTTTAGGTCAAATGTAGAAAAGGAAATATCTTCGTATAAAAACTAGACAGAATCATTCTCAGAAACTACTTTGTGATGTGTGCGTTCAATTCACAGAGTATAACCTTTCTTTTGATGGAGGAGTTTGGAGACACTGTCTTTGTAAAGTCTGCAAGTGGATATTTGGACCTCTTTGAGGCCTTCGTTGGAAACGGGATTTCCTCATATAATGTTACACAGAAGAATTCTCAGTAACTTATTTGTGGTGTGTGTATTCAACTCACAGAGATGAACCTTCCTTCAGAAAGAGCAGATTTGAAACACTCTTTTTGTGGAGTTTCCATGTGGAGATTTCAATCGCTTTGAGACCAAAGGTAGAAAAGGAAACATCTTCGTATAAAAACTAGACAGAATCAATCACAGAAACTGCTTTGTGATGTGTGTGTTCAACTCAAGGAGTTTAACATTTCTTTTGATGGAGCAGTTTGGAAAAACTCTGTCTGTAATGTCTGCAAGCAGATATTTGGACCTCTTTAAGGCCTTCGTTGGAAACGGGATTTCTTCATATAATGTTTGATAGGAGAAGTCTCAGTAACTTCTTTGTGCTGTGTGTATTCAACTCATAGAGTTGAACTTTCCCTTAGAAGAGCAGATGTTAAACACCCTTTTTGTGGAATTTGCAGCTGGAGATTTCAAGCGCTTTGAGGCCTACCGTAGAAAAGGAAACATCTTCTTATAAAATCTAGACAGAATCATTCACAGAAACTTCTTTTTGATGTGTGTGTTCAGCTCACAGAGTTTAACCTTTCCTTTCATGGAGCAGTTTGGAAACACTCTGTTTGTAATGTCTGCAAGTGGATATTTGGACCTCTTTGAGGCCTTCGTTGGAAACGGGATTTCCTCATATAATGTTACACAGAAGAATTCTCAGTAACTTATTTGTGGTGTGTGTATTCAACTCACAGAGTTGAACCTTCCTTTAGACAGAGCAGATTTGAAACACCCTATTTGTGCAGTTTCCAGTTGGAGATTTCAATCGCTTTGAGACCAAATGTAGAAAAGGAAACATCTTCGTATAAAAACTAGACAGAATCATTCTCAGAAACTACTTTGTGATGTGTGCGTTCAACTCAAGGAGTTTAAGCTTTCTTTTCATAGAGTAGTTTGGAAACACTCTGTCTGTAAAGTCTGCAAGCAGATATTTGGACCTCTTTGAGGCCTTCGTTGGAAACGGGATTTCTTCATAGAACGCTAGAAAGAAGAATTCTCAGTAACTTATTTGTGGTGTGTGTATTCAACTCATAGAGTTGAACCTTCCTTTAGACAGAGCAGATTTGAAACCCTCTTTTTGTGATATTTGCAGGTGGAGATTTCAAGCACTTTTAGGCCAAATGTAGAAAAGGAAATATCTTCATATAAAAACTAGACAGAATCATTCTCAGAAACTACTTTGTGATGTGTGCGTTCAATTCACAGAGTATAACCTTTCTTTTGATGGAGGAGTTTGGAGACACTGTCTTTGTAAAGTCTGCAAGTGGATATTTGGACCTCTTTGAGGCCTTCGTTGGAAACGGGATTTCCTCATATAATGTTACACAGAAGAATTCTCAGTAACTTATTTGTGGTGTGTGTATTCAACTCACAGAGATGAACCTTCCTTCAGAAAGAGCAGATTTGAAACACTCTTTTTGTGGAGTTTCCATGTGGAGATTTCAATCGCTTTGAGACCAAAGGTAGAAAAGGAAACATCTTCGTATAAAAACTAGACAGAATCATTCACAGAAACTACTTTGTGATGTGTGTGTTCAACTCAAGGAGTTTAACCTTTCTTTTGATGGAGCAGTTTGGAAAAACTCTGTCTTTAAAGTCTGCAAGCAGATATTTGGACCTCTTTGAGGCCTTCGTTGGAAACGGGATTTCTTCATATAATGTTTGATAGGAGAAGTCTCAGTAACTTCTTTGTGCTGTGTGTATTCAACGCATAGAGTTGAACTTTCCTTTAGAAGAGCAGATGTTAAACACCCTTTTTGTGGAATTTGCAGCTGGAGATTTCAAGCGCTTTGAGGCCTACGGTAGAAAAGGAAACATCTTCTTATAAAATCTAGACAGAATCATTCACAGAAACTTCTTTTTGGTGTGTGTGTTCAGCTCACAGAGTTTAACCTTTCTTTTGATGGAGCAGTTTGGAAACACTCTGTTTGTAATGTCTGCAAGTGGATATTTGGACCTCTTTGAGGCCTTCGTTGGAAACGGGATTTCTTCAACTAATGTTCGACAGAAGAATTCTCAGTAACTTATTTGTGGTGTGTGTATTCAACTCAAAGAGTTGAACCTTCCTTTAGACAGAGCAGATTTGAAACACCCTATTTGTGCAGTTTCCAGTTGGAGATTTCAATCGCTTTGAGACCAAATGTAGAAAAGGAAACATCTTCGTATAAAAACTAGACAGAATCATTCTCAGAAACTACTTTGTGATGTGTGCGTTCAACTCACGGAGTTTAAGCTTTCTTTTCATAGAGTAGTTTGGAAACACTCTGTTTGTAAAGTCTGCAAGCAGATATTTGGACCTCTTTGAGGCCTTCGTTGGAAACGGGATTTCTTCATATAACGCTAGAAAGAAGAATACTGAGTAAGTACTTTGTGTTGCCTCTATTCAACTCACAGAGGTGAACTGTCCTTTAGACAGAGCAGATGTGAAACCCTCTTTTTCTGATATTTGCAGGTGGAGATTTCAAGCGCTTTTAGGCCAAATGTAGAAAAGGAAATATCTTCGTATAAAAACTAGACAGAATCATTCTCAGAAACTACTTTGTGATGTGTGCGTTCAATTCACAGAGTATAACCTTTCTTTTGATGGAGGAGTTTGGAGACACTGTCTTTGTAAAGTCTGCAAGTGGATATTTGGACCTCTTTGAGGCCTTCGTTGGAAACGGGATTTCCTCATATAATGTTACACAGAGTAATTCTCAGTAACTTATTTGTGGTGTGTGTATTCAACTCACAGAGTTGAACCTTCCCTCAGAAAGAGTAGATTTGAAACACTCTTTTTGTGAAGTTTCCATGTGGAGATTTCAATCGCTTTGAGACCAAAGGTAGAATAGGAACCATCTTCGTATAAAAACTAGACAGAATCATTCACAGAAACTACTTTGTGATGTGTGTGTTTAACTCAAGGAATTTAACCTTTCTTTTGATGGAGCAGTTTGGAAACACTCTGTCTGAAAAGTCTGCAAGCAGATATTTGGACCTCTTTGAGGCCTTCGTTGGAAACGGGATTTCTTCATGTAATGGTTGATAGGAGAAGTCTCAGTAACTTCTTTGTGCTGTGTGTATTCAACTCATAGAGTTGAACTTTCCTTTAGAAGAGCAGATGTTAAACACCCTTTTTGTGGAATTTGCAGCTGGAGATTTCAAGCGCTTTGAGGCCTACGGTAGAAAAGGAAACATCTTCTTATAAAATCTAGACAGAATAATTCACAGAAACTTCTTTTTGATGTGTGTGTTCAGCTCACCGAGTTTAACCTTTCTTTTGATGGAGCAGTTTGGAAACACTCTGTTTGTAATATCTGCAAGTGGATATTTGGACCTCTTTGGGGCCTTCGTTGGAAACGGGATTTCTTCAAGTAATGTTCGACAGAAGAATTCTCAGTAACTTATTTGTGGTGTGTGTATTCAACTCACAGAGTTGAACCTTCCTTTAGACAGAGCAGATTTGAAACACCCTATTTGTGCAGTATCCAGTTGGAGATTTCAGTTGCTTTGAGACCAAATGTAGAAAAGGAAACATCTTCGTATAAAAACTAGACAGAATCATTCTCAGAAACTACTTTGTGATGTGTGCGTTCAACTCAAGGAGTTTAAGCTTTCTTTTCATAGAGTAGTTTGGAAACATTCTGTCTGTAAAGTCTGCAGGCAGATATTTGGACCTCTTTGGGGCCTTCGTTGGAAACGGGATTTCTTCATAGAACGCCAGAAAGAAGAATACTGAGTAAGTTCTTTGTGTTGCCTCTATTCAACTCACAGAGGTGAACTGTCCTTTAGACAGAGCAGATGTGAAACCCTCTTTTTGTGATATTTGCAGGTGGAGATTTCAAGCGCTTTTAGGCCAAATGTAGAAAAGGAAATATCTTCGTATAAAAACTAGACAGAATCATTCTCAGAAACTACTTTGTGATGTGTGCGTTCAATTCACAGAGTATAACCTTTCTTTTGATGGAGGAGTTTGGAGACACTGTCTTTGTAAAGTCTGCAAGTGGATATTTGGACCTCTTTGAGGCCTTCGTTGGAAACGGGATTTCCTCATATAATGTTACACAGAAGAATTCTCAGTAACTTATTTGTGGTGTGTGTATTCAACTCACAGAGTTGAACCTTCCTTCACAAAGAGCAGATTTGAAACACTCTTTTTGTGGAGTTTCCATGTGGAGATTTCAATCGCTTTGAGACCAAAGGTAGAAAAGGAAACATCTTCGTATAAAAACTAGACAGAATCATTCACAGAAACTACTTTGTGATGTGTGTGTTCAACTCAAGGAGTTTAACCTTTCTTTTGATGGAGCAGTTTGGAAAAACTCTGTCTGTAAAGTCTGCAAGCAGACATTTGGACCTCTTTGAGGCCTTCGTTGGAAACGGGATTTCTTCATATAATGTTTGATAGGAGAAGTCTCAGTAACTTCTTTGTGCTGTGTGTATTCAACTCATAGAGTTGAACTTTCCTTTAGAAGAGCAGATGTTAAACACCCTTTTTGTGGAATTTGCAGCTGGAGATTTCAAGCGCTTTGAGGCCTACGGTAGAAAAGGAAACATCTTCTTATAAAATCTAGACAGAATCATTCACAGAAACTTCTTTTTGATGTGTGTGTTCAGCTCACAGAGTTTAACCTTTCTTTTGATGGAGCAGTTTGGAAACACTCTGTTTGTAATGTCTGCAAGTGGATATTTGGACCTCTTTGAGGCCTTCGTTGGAAACGGGATTTCTTCAAGTAATGTTCGACAGAAGAATTCTCAGTAACTTATTTGTGGTGTGTGTATTCACCTCACAGAGTTGAACCTTCCTTTAGACAGAGCAGATTTGAAACACCCTATTTGTGCAGTTTCCAGTTGGAGATTTCAATCGCTTTGAGACCAAATGTAGAAAAGGAAACATCTTCGTATAAAAACTAGACAGAATCATTCTCAGAAACTACTTTGTGATGTGTGCGTTCAACTCAAGGAGTTTAAGCTTTCTTTTCATAGAGTAGTTTGGAAACACTCTGTCTGTAAAGTCTGCAAGCAGATATTTGGACCTCTTTGGGGCCTTCGTTGGAAACGGGATTTCTTCATAGAACGCTAGAAAGAAGAATACTGAGTAAGTTCTTGGTGTTGCCTCTATTCAACTCACAGAGGTGAACAGTCCTTTAGACAGAGCAGATGTGAAACCCTCTTTTTGTGATATTTGCAGGTGGAGATTTCCAGGGCTTTTAGGCCAAATGTGGAAAAGGAAATATCTTCTTATAAAAAGTAGACAGAATCGTTCTCAGAATCTACTTTGTGATGTGTGCGTTCAATTCACAGAGTATAACCTTTCTTTTGATGGAGGAGTTCGGAGACACTGTCTTTGTAAAGTCTGCAAGTGCATATTTGGACCTCTTTGAGGCCTTCGTTGGAAACGGGATTTCCTCATATAATGTTACACAGAAGAATTCTCAGTAACTTATTTGTGGTGTGTGTATTCAACTCACAGAGTTGAACCTTCCTTCAGAAAGAGCAGATTTGAAACACTCTTTTTGTGGAGTTTCCATGTGGAGATTTCAATCGCTTTGAGACCAAAGGTAGAAAAGGAAACATCTTCGTATAAAAACTAGACAGAATCATTCACAGAAACTACTTTGTGATGTGTGTGTTCAACTCAAGGAGTTTAACCTTTCTTTTGATGGAGCAGTTTGGAAAAACTCTGTCTTTAAAGTCTGCAAGCAGATATTTGGACCTCTTTGAGGCCTTCGTTGGAAACGGGATTTCTTCATATAATGTTTGATAGGAGAAGTCTCAGTAACTTCTTTGTGCTGTGTGTATTCAACGCATAGAGTTGAACTTTCCTTTAGAAGAGCAGATGTTAAACACCCTTTTTGTGGAATTTGCAGCTGGAGATTTCAAGCGCTTTGAGGCCTACGGTAGAAAAGCAAACATCTTCTTATAAAATCTAGACAGAAATCATTCACAGAAACTTCTTTTCGATGTGTGTGTTCAGCTCACAGAGTTTAACCTTTGTTTTGATGGAGCAGTTTGGAAACACTCTGTTTGTAATGTCTGCAAGTGGATATTTGGACCTCTTTGAGGCCTTCGTTGGAAACGGGATTTCTTCAAGTAATGTTCGACAGAAGAATTCTCAGTAACTTATGTGTGGTGTGTGTATTCAACTCACAGAGTTGAACCTTCCTTTAGACAGAGCAGATTTGAAACACCCTATTTGTGCAGTTTCCAGTTGGAGATTTCAATCGCTTTGAGACCAAATGTAGAAAAGGAAACATCTTCGTATAAAAACTAGACAGAATCATTCTCAGAAACTACTTTGTGATGTGTGCGTTCAACTCAAGGAGTTTAAGCTTTCTTTTCATAGAGTAGTTTGGAAACACTCTGTCTGTAAAGTCTGCAAGCAGATATTTGGACCTCTTTGGGGCCTTCGTTGGAAACGGGATTTCTTCATAGAACGCTAGAAAGAAGAATACTGAGTACGTTCTTTGTGTTGCCTCTATTCAACTCACAGAGGTGAACTGTCCTTTAGACAGAGCAGATGTGAAACCCTCTTTTTGTGATATTTGCAGGTGGAGATTTCAAGCGCTTTTAGGCCAAATGTAGAAAAGGAAATATCTTCGTATAAAAACTAGACAGAATCATTCTCAGAAACTACTTTGTGATGTGTGCGTTCAATTCACAGAGTATAACCTTTCTTTTGATGGAGGAGTTCGGAGACACTGTCTTTGTAAAGTCTGCAAGTGGATATTTGGACCTCTTTGAGGCCTTCGTTGGAAACGGGATTTCCTCATATAATGTTACAGAGAAGAATTCTCAGTAACTTATTTGTGGTGTGTGTATTCAACTCACAGAGTTGAACCTTCCTTCAGAAAGAGCAGATTTGAAACACTCTTTTTGTGGAGTTTCCATGTGGAGATTTCAATCGCTTTGAGACCAAAGGTAGAAAAGGAAACATCTTCGTATAAAAACTAGACAGAATCATTCACAGAAACTACTTTGTGATGTGTGTGTTCAACTCAAGGAGTTTAACCTTTCTTTTGATGGAGCAGTTTGGAAAAACTCTGTCTGTAAAGTCTGCAAGCAGATATTTGGACCTCTTTGAGGCCTTCGTTGGAAACGGGATTTCTTCATACAATGTTTGATAGGAGAAGTCTCAGTAACTTCTTTGTGCTGTGTGTATTCAACTCACAGAGTTGAACTTTCTTTTAGAAGAGCAGATGTTAAACACCCTTTTTGTGGAATTTGCAGCTGGAGATTTCAAGCGCTTTGAGGCCTACGGTAGAAAAGGAAACATCTTCTTATAAAATCTAGACAGAATCATTCACAGAAACTTCTTTTTGATGTGTGTGTTCAGCTCACAGAGTTTAACCTTTCTTTTGATGGAGCAGTTGGGAAACACACTGTTTGTAATGTCTGCAAGTGGATATTTGGACCTCTTTGAGGCCTTCGTTGGAAACGGGATTTCTTCCTGTAATGTTCGACAGAAGAATTCTCAGTAACTTATTTGTGGTGTGTGTATTCAACTCACAGAGTTGAACCTTCCTTTAGAGAGAGCAGATTTGAAACACCCTATTTGTGCAGTTTCCAGTTGGAGATTTCAATCGCTTTGAGACCAAATGTAGAAAAGGAAACATCTTCGTATAAAAACTAGACAGAATCATTCTCAGAAACTACTTTGTGATGTGTGCGTTCAACTCAAGGAGTTTAAGCTTTCTTTTCATAGAGTAGTTTGGAAACACTCTGTCTGTAAAGTCTGCAAGCAGATATTTGGACCTCTTTGAGGCCTTCGTTGGAAACGGGATTTCTTCATAGAACGCTAGAAAGAAGAATACTGAGTAAGTTCTTTGTGTTGCCTCTATTCAACTCACAGAGGTGAACTGTCCTTTAGACAGAGCAGATGTGAAACCCTCTTTTTGTGATATTTGCAGGTGGAGATTTCAAGCGCTTTTAGGCCAAATGTAGAAAAGGAAATATCTTCGTATAAAAACTAGACAGAATCATTCTCAGAAACTACTTTCTGATGTGTGCGTTCAATTCACAGGGTATAACCTTTCTTTTGATGGAGGAGTTTGGAGACACTGTCTTTGTAAAGTCTGCAAGTGGATATTTGGACCTCTTTGAGGCCTTCGTTGGAAACGGGATTTCCTCATATAATGTTACACAGAAGAATTCTCAGTAACTTATTTGTGGTGTGTGTATTCAACTCACAGAGATGAACCTTCCTTCAGAAAGAGCAGATTTGAAACACTCTTTTTGTGGAGTTTCCATGTGGAGATTTCAATCGCTTTGAGACCAAAGGTAGAAAAGGAAACATCTTCGTATAAAAACTAGACAGAATCATTCACAGAAACTACTTTGTGATGTGTGTGTTCAACTCAAGGAGTTTAACCTTTCTTTTGATGGAGCAGTTTGGAAACACTCTGTCTGTAAAGTCTGCAAGCAGATATTTGGACCTCTTTGAGGCCTTCGTTGGAAACGGGATTTCTTCATATAATGTTTGATAGGAGAAGTCTCAGTAACTTCTTTGTGCTGTGTGTATTCAACTCATAGAGTTGAACTTTCCTTTAGAAGAGCAGATGTTAAACACCCTTTTTGTGGAATTTGCAGCTGGAGATTTCAAGCGCTTTGAGGCCTACGGTAGAAAAGGAAACATCTTCTTATAAAATCTAGACAGAATCATTCACAGAAACTTCTTTTTGATGTGTGTGTTCAGCTCACAGAGTTTAACCTTTCTTTTGATGGAGCAGTTTGGAAACACTCTGTTTGTAATGTCTGCAAGTGGATATTTGGACATCTTTGAGGCCTTCGTTGGAAACGGGATTTCTTCAAGTAATGTTCGACAGAAGAATTCTCAGTAACTTATTTGTGGTGTGTGTATTCAACTCACAGAGTTGAACCTTCCTTTAGACAGAGCAGATTTGAAACACCCTATTTGTGCAGTTTCCAGTTGGAGATTTCAATCGCTTTGAGACCAAATGTAGAAAAGGAAACATCTTCGTATAACAACTAGACAGAATCATTCTCAGAAACTACTTTGTGATGTGTGCGTTCAACTCAAGGAGTTTAAGCTTTCTTTTCATAGAGTAGTTTGGAAACACTCTGTCTGTAAAGTGTGCAAGCAGATATTTGGACCTCTTTGAGGCCTTCGTTGGAAACGGGATTTCTTCATAGAACGCAAGAAAGAAGAATACTGAGTAAGTTCTTTGTGTTGCCTCTATTCAACTCATAGAGGTGAACTGTCCTTTAGACAGAGCAGATGTGAAACCCTCTTTTTGTGATATTTGCAGGTGGAGGTTTCAAGCGCTTTTAGGCCAAATGTAGAAAAGGAAATATCTTCGTATAAAAACTAGACAGAATCATTCTCAGAAACTACTTTGTGATGTGTGCGTTCAATTCACAGAGTATAACCTTTCTTTTGATGGAGGAGTTTGGAGACACTGTCTTTGTAAAGTCTGCAAGTGGATATTTGGACCTCTTTGAGGCCTTCGTTGGAAACGGGATTTCCTCATATAATGTTACACAGAAGAATTCCTCAGTAACTTATTTGTGGTGTGTGTATTCAACTCACAGAGATGAACCTTCCTTCAGAAAGAGCAGATTTGAAACACTCTTTTTGTGGAGTTTCCATGTGGAGATTTCAATCGCTTTGAGACCAAAGGTAGAAAAGGAAACATCTTCGTATAAAAACTAGACAGAATCATTCACAGAAACTACTTTGTGATGTGTGTGTTCAACTCAAGGAGTTTAACCTTTCTTTTGATGGAGCAGTTTGGAAACACTCTGTCTGTAAAGTCTGCAAGTAGATATTTGGACCTCTTTGAGGCCTTCGTTGGAAACGGGATTTCTTCATATAATGTTTGATAGGAGAAGTCTCAGTAACTTCTTTGTGCTGTGTGTATTCAACTCATAGAGTTGAACTTTCCTTTAGAAGAGTAGATGTTAAACACCCTTTTTGTGGAATTTGCAGCTGGAGATTTCAAGCGCTTTGAGGCCTACGGTAGAAAAGGAAACATCTTCTTATAAAATCTAGACAGAATCATTCACAGAAACTTCTTTTTGATGTGTGTGTTCAGCTCACAGAGTTTAACCTTTCTTTTGATGGAGCAGTTGGGAAACACACTGTTTGTAATGTCTGCAAGTGGATATTTGGACCTCTTTGAGGCCTTCGTTGGAAACGGGATTTCTTCCTGTAATGTTCGACAGAAGAATTCTCAGTAACTTATTTGTGGTGTGTGTATTCAACTCACAGAGTTGAACCCTCTTTTAGACAGAGCAGATTTGAAACAGCCTATTTGTGCAGTTTCCAGTTGGAGATTTCAATCGCTTTGAGACCAATTGTAGAAAGGGAAACATCTTCGTATAAAAACTAGACAGAATCATTCTCAGAAACTACTTTGTGATGTGTGCGTTCAACTCAAGGAGTTTAAGCTTTCTTTTCATAGAGTAGTTTGGAAACACTCTGTCTGTAAAGTCTGCAAGCAGATATTTGGACCTCTTTGGGGCCTTCGTTGGAAACGGGATTTCTTCATAGAACGCTAGAAAGAAGAATACTGAGTAAGTTCTTTGTGTTGCCTCTATTCAACTCACAGAGGTGAACTGTCCTTTAGACAGAGCAGATGTGAAACCCTCTTTTTGTGATATTTGCAGGTGGAGATTTCAAGCGCTTTTAGGCCAAATGTAGAAAAGGAAATATCTTCGTATAAAAACTAGACAGAATCATTCTCAGAAACTACTTTGTGATGTGTGCGTTCAATTCACAGAGTATAACCTTTCTTTTGATGGAGGAGTTTGGAGACACTGTCTTTGTAAAGTCTGCAAGTGGATATTTGGACCTCTTTGATGCCTTCGTTGGAAACGGGATTTCCTCATATAATGTTACACAGAAGAATTCTCAGTAACTTATTTGTGGTGTGTGTATTCAACTCACAGAGTTGAACCTTCCTTCAGAAAGAGCAGATTTGAAACACTCTTTTTGTGGAGTTTCCATGTGGAGATTTCAATCGCATTGAGACCAAAGGTAGAAAAGGAAACATCTTCGTATAAAAACTAGACAGAATCATTCACAGAAACTACTTTGTGATGTGTGTGTTCAACTCAAGGAGTTTCACCTTTCTTTTGATGGAGCAGTTTGGAAAAACTCTGTATGTAACGTCTGCAAGCAGATATTTGGACCTCTTTGAGGCCTTCGTTGGAAACGGGATTTCTTCATATAATGTTTGATAGGAGAAGTCTCAGTAACTTCTTTGTGCTGTGTGTATTCAACTCATAGAGTTGAACTTTCCTTTAGAAGAGCAGATGTTAAACACCCTTTTTGTGGAATTTGCAGCTGGAGATTTCAAGCGCTTTGAGGCCTACGGTAGAAAAGGAAACATCTTCTTATAAAATCTAGACAGAATCATTCACGGAAACTTCTTTTTGATGTGTGTGTTCCGCTCACAGAGTTTAACCTTTCTTTTGATGGAGCAGTTTGGAAACACTCTGTTTGTAATGTCTGCAAGTGGATATTTGGACCTCTTTGAGGCCTTCGTTGGAAACGGGATTTCTTCAAGTAATGGTCGACAGAAGAATTCTCAGTAACTTATTTGTGGTGTGTGTATTCAACTCACAGAGTTGAACCTTCCTTTAGAAAGAGCAGATTTGAAACACCCTATTTGTGCAGTTTCCAGTTGGAGATTTCAATCGCTTTGAGACCAAATGTAGAAAAGGAAACATCTTCGTATAAAAACTAGACAGAATCATTCTCAGAAACTACTTTGTGATGTGTGCGTTCAACTCAAGGAGTTTAAGCTTTCTTTTCATAGAGTAGTTTGGAAACACTCTGTCTGTAAAGTCTGCAAGCAGATATTTGGACCTCTTTGAGGCTTTCGTTGGAAACGGGATTTCTTCATAGAACGCTAGAAAGAAGAATACTGAGTAAGTTCTTTGTGTTGCCTCTATTCAACTCACAGAGGTGAACTGTCCTTTAGACAGAGCAGATGTGAAACCCTCTTTTTGTGATATTTGCAGGTGGAGATTTCAAGCGCTTTTAGGCCAAATGTAGAAAAGGAAATATCTTCGTATAAAAACTAGACAGAATCATTCTCAGAAACTACTTTGTGATGTGTGCGTTCAATTCACAGAGTATAACCTTTCTTTTGATGGAGGAGTTTGGAGACACTGTCTTTGTAAAGTCTGCAAGTGGATATTTGGACCTCTTTGAGGCCTTCGTTGGAAACGGGATTTCCTCATATAATGTTACACAGAAGAATTCTCAGTAACTTATTTGTGGTGTGTGTATTCAACTCACAGAGTTGAACCTTCCTTCAGAAAGAGCAGATTTGAAACACTCTTTTTGTGGAGTTTCCATGTGGAGATTTCAATCGCATTGAGACCAAAGGTAGAAAAGGAAACATCTTCGTATAAAAACTAGACAGAATCATTCACAGAAACTACTTTGTGATGTGTGTGTTCAACTCACAGAGTTTAACCTTTCTTTTGATGGAGCAGTTTGGAAACACTCTGTTTGTCACGTCTGCAAGTGGATATTTGGACCTCCTTGAGGCCTCCGTTGGAAACGGGATTTCTTCATATAATGTTAGACAGAAGAATTCTCAGTAACTTATGTGTGCTGTGTGTGTTCAACTCACAGCGTGGAAATTTCCTTTAGAAGAGCAGATGTTAAACACCCTTTTTGTGGAATTTGCAGCTGGAGATTTAAAGCTCTTTGAGGCCAATGGTAGAAAAGGAAACATCTTCGTATAACATCTAGACAGCATCATTCACAGAAACTTCTTTCTGATGTGTGTGTTCAGCTCACAGAGTTTAACCTTTCTTTTGATGGAGCAGTTTGGAAACACTCTGTTTGTAGTGTCTGCAAGTGGACATTTGGACCTCTTTGAGGCCTTCGTTGGAAACCGGATTTCTTCATGTAATGTTCGACAGAAGAATTCTCAGTAACTTATTTGTGGTGTGTGTATTCAACTCACAGAGTTGAACCTTCCTTTAGACAGAGCAGATTTGAAACACCCTATTTGTGCAGTTTCCAGTTGGAGATTTCAATCGCTTTGAGACCAAATGTAGAAAAGGAAACATCTTCGTATAAAAACTAGACAGAATCATTCTCAGAAACTACTTTGTGATGTGCGCGTTCAACTCAAGGAGTTTAAGCTTTCTTTTCATAGAGTAGTTTGGAAACACTCTGTCTGTAAATTCTGCAAGCAGATATTTGGACCTCTTTGGGGCCTTCGTTAGAAACGGGATTTCTTCATAGAACGCTAGAAAGAAGAATACTCAGTAACTGCTTTGTGTTGCCTCTATTCAACTCACAGAGGTGAACTGTCCTTTAGACAGAGCAGATGTGAAACCCTCTTTTTGTGATATTTGCAGGTGGACATTTCAAGCACTTTCAGGCCAATTGTAGAAAAGGCAATATCTTCGTATAAAAACCAGACAGAATCATTCTCAGAAACTACTTTGTGATGTGTGCGTTCAATTCACAGAGTATAACCTTTCTTTTGATGGAGGAGTTTGGAGACACTGTCTTTGTAAAGTCTGCAAGTGGATATTTGGACCTCTTTGAGGCCTTCGTTGGAAACGGGATTTCCTCATATAATGTTACCCAGAAGAATTCTCAGTAACTTATTTGCGGTGTGTGTATTCAACTCACAGAGTTGAACCTTCCTTCAGAAAGAGCAGATTTGAAACACTCTTTTTGTGGAGTTTCCATGTGGAGATTTCAATCGCTTTGAGACCAAACGTAGAAAAGGAAACATCTTCGTATAGAAACTAGACAGAATCATTCACAGAAACTACTTTGTGATGTGTGTGTTCAACTCAAGGAGTTTAACCTTTCTTTTGATGGAGCAGTTTGGAAACACTCTGTCTGTAAAGTCTGCAAGCAGATATTTGGACCTCTTTGAGGCCTTCGTTGGAAACGGGATTTCTTCATATAATGTTTGATAGGGAGAAGTCTCAGTAACTTCTTTGTGCTGTGTGTATTCAACTCATAGAGTTGAACTTTCCTTTAGAAGTGCAGATGTTAAACACCCTTTTTGTGGAATTTGCAGCTGGAGATTTCAAGCGCTTTGAGGCCTACGGTAGAAAAGGAAACATCTTCTTATAAAATCTAGACAGAATCATTCACAGAAACTTCTTTTTGATGTGTGTGTTCAGCTCACAGAGTTTAACCTTTCTTTTGATGGAGCAGTTTGGAAACACACTGTTTGTAATGTCTGCAAGTGGATATTTGGACCTCTTTGAGGCCTTCGTTGGAAACGGGATTTCTTCATGTAATGTTCGACAGAAGAATTCTCAGTAACTTATTTGTGGTGTGTGTATTCAACTCACAGAGTTGAACCTTCCTTTAGACAGAGCAGATTTGAAACACCCTATTTGTGCAGTTTCCAGTTGGAGATTTCAATCGCTTTGAGACCAAATGTAGAAAAGGAAACATCTTCGTATAAAAACTAGACAGAATCATTCTCAGAAACTACTTTGTGATGTGTGCGTTCAACTCAAGGAGTTTAAGCTTTCTTTTCATAGAGTAGTTTGGAAACACTCTGTCTGTAAAGTCTGCAAGCAGATATTTGGACCTCTTTGGGGCCTTCGTTGGAAACGGGATTTCTTCATAGAACGCTAGAAAGAAGAATACTGAGTAAGTTCTTTGTGTTGCCTCTATTCAACTCACAGAGGTGAACTGTCCTTTAGACAGAGCAGATGTGAAACCCTCTTTTTGTGATATTTGCAGGTGGAGATTTCAAGCGCTTTTAGGCCAAATGTAGAAAAGGAAATATCTTCGTATAAAAACTAGACAGAATCATTCTCAGAAACTACTTTGTGATGTGTGCGTTCAATTCACAGAGTATAACCTTTCTTTTGATGGAGGAGTTTGGAGACACTGTCTTTGTAAAGTCTGCAAGTGGATATTTGGACCTCTTTGAGGCCTTCGTTGGAAACGGGATTTCCTCATATAATGTTACACAGAAGAATTCTCAGTAACTTATTTGTGGTGTGTGTATTCAACTCACAGAGTTGAACCTTCCTTCAGAAAGAGCAGATTTGAAACACTCTTTTTGTGGAGTTTCCATGTGGAGATTTCAATCGCTTTGAGACCAAAGGTAGAAAAGGAAACATCTTCGTATAAAAACTAGACAGAATCATTCACAGAAACTACTTTTTGATGTGTGTGTTCAACTCACGGAGTTTAAACTTTCTTTTGATGCAGCAGTTTGGAAACACTCTGTTTGTCACGTCTGCAAGTCGGATATTTGGACCTCTTTGAGGCCTTCAGTTGGAAACGGGATTTCTTCATATAATGTTTGATAGGAGAAGTCTCAGTAACTTCTTTGTGCTGTGTGTATTCAACTCATAGAGTTGAACTTTCCTTTAGAAGAGCAGATGTTAAACACCCTTTTTGTGGAATTTGCAGCTGGAGATTTCAAGCGCTTTGAGGCCTACGATAGAAAAGGAAACATCTTCTTATAAAATCTAGACAGAATCATTCACAGAAACTTCTTTTTGATGTGTGTGTTCAGCTCACAGAGTTTAACCTTTCTTTTGATGGAGCAGTTTGGAAACACACTGTTTGTAATGTCTGCAAGTGGTTATTTGGACGTCTTTGAGGCCTTCGTTGGAAACGGGATTTCTTCATATAATGTTTGATAGGAGAATTCTCAGTAACTTATTTGTGGTGTGTGTATTCAACTCACAGAGTTGAACCTTCCTTTAGACAGAGCAGATTTGAAACACCCTATTTGTGCAGTTTGCAGTTGGAGATTTCTATCGCTTTGAGGCCAATCATAGAAACGGAAATATCTTCGTATAAAAACAAGACAGAATCATTCTCAGAAACTACTTTGTGATGTGTGCGTTCAACTCAAGGAGTTTAAGCTTTCTTTTCATAGAGTAGTTTGGAAACACTCTGTCTGTAAAGTCTGCAAGCAGATATTTGGGCCTCTTTGAGGCCTTCGTTGGAAACGGGATTTCTTCATAGAACGCTAGAAAGAAGAATACTCAGTAACTTCTTTGTGTTGCCTCTATTCAACTCACAGAGTTGAACTGTCCTTTAGACAGAGCAGATGTGAAACCCTCTTTTTGTGATATTTGCAGGTGGAGATTTCAAGCGCTTTTAGGCCAAATGTAGAAAAGGAAATATCTTCGTATAAAAACTAGACAGAATCATTCTCAGAAACTACTTTGTGATGAGTGCTTTCAATTCACAGTGTATAATATTTCTTTTGATGGAGGAGTTTGGAGACACTGTCTTTGTAAAGTCTGCAAGCAGATATTTGGACCTCTTTGGGGCCATCGTTGGAAACGGGATTTCTTCATATAATGTTTGATAGGAGAATTCTCAGTAACTTATTTGTGGTGTGTGTATTCAACTCACAGAGTTGAACCTTCCTTCAGAAAGAGCAGATTTGAAACCCTCTTTTTGTGGAGTTTCCATGTGGACATTTCAATGGCTTTGAGACCAAAGGTAGAAAACGAAACATCTTCGTATGAAAACTAGACAGAATCATTCACAGAAACTACTTTGTGATGTGTGTGTTCAACTCACAGAGTTTAACCTTTCTTTTGATGGAGCAGTTTGGAAACACTCTGTTTGTCACGTCTGCAAGTGGATATTTGGACCTCTTTGAGGCCTTCGTTGGAAACGGGATTTCTTCATATAATGTTTGATAGGAGAAGTCTCAGTAACTTCTTTGTGCTGTGTGTATTCAACTCATGGAGTTGAACTTTCCTTTAGAAGAGCAGATGTTAAACACCCTTTTTGTGGAATTTGCAGCTGGAGATTTCAAGCGCTTTGAGGCCTACGGTAGAAAAGGAAACATCTTCTTCTAAAGTCTAGACAGAATCATTCACAGAAACTTCTTTTCGATGTGTGTGTTCAGCTCACAGAGTTTAACCTTTCTTTTGATGGAGCAGTTTGGAAACACTCTGTTTGTAATGTCTGCAAGTGGATATTTGGACCTCTTTGAGGCCTTCGTTGGAAACGGGATTTCTTCAAGTAATGGTCGACAGAAGAATTCTCAGTAACTTATTTGTGGTGTGTGTATTCAACTCACAGAGTTGAACCTTCCTTTAGACAGAGCAGATTTGAAACACCCTATTTGTGCAGTTTCCAGTTGGAGATTTCAATCGCTTTGAGACCAAATGTAGAAAAGGAAACATCTTCTTATAAAAACTAGACAGAATCATTCTCAGAAACTACTTTGTGATGTGTGCGTTCAACTCAAGGAGTTTAAGCTTTCTTTTCATAGAGTAGTTTGGAAACACTCTGTCTGTTAAGTCTGCAAGCAGATATTTGGACCTCTTTGGGGCCTTCGTTGGAAACGGGATTTCTTCATAGAACGCTAGAAAGAAGAATACTGAGTAAGTTCTTTGTGTTGCCTCTATTCAACTCACAGAGGTGAACTGTCCTTTAGACAGAGCAGATGTGAAACCCTCTTTTTGTGATATTTGCAGGTGGAGATTTCAAGCGCTTTTAGGCCAAATGTAGAAAAGGAAATATCTTCGTATAAAAACTAGACAGAATCATTCTCAGAAACTACTTTGTGATGTGTGCGTTCAATTCACAGAGTATAACCTTTCTTTTGATGGAGGAGTTTGGAGACACTGTCTTTGTAAAGTCTGCAAGTGGATATTTGGACCTCTTTGAGGCCTTCGTTGGAAACGGGATTTCCTCATATAATGTTACACAGAAGAATTCTCAGTAACTTATTAGTGGTGTGTGTATTCAACTCACAGAGTTGAACCTTCCTTCAGAAAGAGCAGATTTGAAACACTCTTTTTGTGGAGTTTCCATGTGGAGATTTCAATCGCTTTGAGACCAAATGTAGAAACGGAAATATCTTCGTATAAAAACTAGACAGAATCATTCACAGAAACTACTTTGTGATGTGTGTGTTCAACTCAAGGAGTTTAACCTTTCTTTTGATGGAGCAGTTTGGAAACACTCTGTCTGTAAAGTCTGCAAGCAGATATTTGGACCTCTTTGAGGCCTTCGTTGGAAATGGGATTTCTTCATATAATGTTTGATAGGAGAAGTCTCAGTAACTTCTTTCTGCTGTGTTTATTCAACGCATAGAGTAGAACTTTCCTTTAGAAGAGCAGATGTTAAACACCCTTTTTGTGGAATTTGCAGCTGGAGATTTCAAGTGCTTTGAGGCCTACGGTAGAAAAGGAAACATCTTCTTATAAAATCTAGACAGAATCATTCACAGAAACTTCTTTTTGATGTGTGTGTTCAGCTCACAGAGTTTAACCTTTCTTTTGATGGAGCAGTTTGGAAACACTCTGTTTGTAATGTCTGCAAGTGGATATTTGGACGTCTTTGAGGCCTTCGTTGGAAACGGGATTTCTTCATGTAATGTTCGACAGAAGAATTCTCAGTAACTTATTTGTGGTGTGTGTATTCAACTCACAGAGTTGAACCTTCCTTTAGAGAGAGCAGATTTGAAACACCCTATTTGTGCAGTTTCCAGTTGGAGATTTCAATCGCTTTGAGACCAAATGTAGAAAAGGAAACATCTTCGTATTAAAACTAGACAGAATCATTCTCAGAAACTACTTTGTGATGTGTGCGTTCAACTCAAGGAGTTTAAGCTTTCTTTTCATAGAGTAGTTTGGAAACACTCTGTCTGTAAAGTCTGCAAGCAGATATTTGGACCTCTTTGGGGCCTTCGTTGGAAACGGGATTTCTTCATAGAACGCTAGAAAGAAGAATACTGAGTAAGTTCTTTGTGTTGCCTCTATTCAACTCACAGAGGTGAACTGTCCTTTAGACAGAGCAGATGTGAAACCCTCTTTTTGTGATATTTGCAGGTGGAGATTTCAAGCGCTTTTAGGCCAAATGTAGAAAAGGAAATATCTTCGTATAAAAACTAGACAGAATCATTCTCAGAAACTACTTTGTGATGTGTGCGTTCAATTCACAGAGTATAACCTTTCTTTTGATGGAGGAGTTTGGAGACACTGTCTTTGTAAAGTCTGCAAGTGGATATTTGGACCTCTTTGAGGCCTTCGTTGGAAACGGGATTTCCTCATATAATGTTACACAGAATAATTCTCAGTAACTTATTTGTGGTGTGTGTATTCAACTCACAGAGTTGAACCTTCCTTCAGAAAGAGCAGATTTGAAACACTCTTTTTGTGGAGTTTCCATGTGGAGATTTCAATCGCTTTGAGACCAAAGGTAGAAAAGGAAACATCTTCGTATAAAAACTAGACAGAATCATTCACAGAAACTACTTTGTGATGTGTGTGTTCAACTCAAGGAGTTTAACCTTTCTTTTGATGGAGGAGTTTGGAAACACTCTGTCTGTAAAGTCTGCAAGTGGATATTTGGACCTCTTTGGGGCCTTCGTTGGAAACGGGATTTCTTCATATAATGTTTGATAGGAGAAGTCTCAGTAACTTCTTTGTGCTGTGTGTATTCAACTCATAGAGTTGAACTTTCCTTTAGAAGAGCAGATGTTAAACACCCTTTTTGGGGAATTTGCAGCTGGAGGTTTCAAGCGCTTTGAGGCCTACTGTAGAAAAGGAAACATCTTCTTATAAAATCTAGACAGAATCATTCACAGAAACTTCTTTTTGATGTGTGTGTTCAGCTCACAGAGTTTAACATTTCCTTTGATGGAGCAGTTTGGAAACACTCAGTTTGTAATATCTGCAAGTGGATATATGGACCTCTTTGAGGCCTTGGTTGGAAACGGGATTTCTTCATGTAATGTTCGACAGAAGAATTCTCAGTAACTTATTTGTGGTGTGTGTATTCAACTCACAGAGTTGAACCTTCCTTTAGACAGAGCAGATTTGAAACAGCCTATTTGTGCAGTTTCCAGTTGGAGATTTCAATCGCTTTGAGACCAAATGTAGAAAAGGAAACATCTTCGTATAAAAACTAGACAGAATCATTCTCAGAAACTACTTTGTGATGTGTGCGTTCAACTCAAGGAGTTTAAGCTTTCTTTTCATAGAGTAGTTTGGAAACACTCTGTCTGTAAAGTCTGCAAGCAGATATTTGGACCTCTTTAGGGCCTTCGTTGGAAACGGGATTTCTTCATAGAACGCTAGAAAGAAGAATACTGAGTAAGTTCTTTGTGTTGCCTCTATTCAACTCACAGAGGTGAACTGTCCTTTAGACAGAGCAGATGTGAAACCCTCTTTTTGTGATATTTGCAGGTGGAGATTTCAAGCGCTTTTAGGCCAAATGTAGAAAAGGAAATATCTTCGTATAAAAACTAGACAGAATCATTCTCAGAAACTACTTTGTGATGTGTGCGTTCAATTCACAGAGTATAACCTTTCTTTTGATGGAGGAGTTTGGAGACACTGTCTTTGTAAAGTCTGCAAGTGGATATTTGGGCCTCTTTGAGGCCTTCGTTGGAAACGGGATTTCCTCATATAATGTTACACAGAAGAATTCTCAGTAACTTATTTGTGGTGTGTGTATTCAACTCACAGAGATGAACCTTCCTTCAGAAAGAGCAGATTTGAAACACTCTTTTTGTGGAGTTTCCATGTGGAGATTTCAATCGCTTTGAGACCAAAGGTAGAAAAGGAAACATCTTCGTATAAAAACTAGACAGAATCATTCACAGAAACTACTTTGTGATGTGTGTGTTCAACTCAAGGAGTTTAACCTTTCTTTTGATGGAGCAGTTTGGAAAAACTCTGTCTGTAAAGTCTGCAAGCAGATATTTGGACCTCTTTGAGGCCTTCGTTGGAAACGGGATTTCTTCATATAATGTTTGATAGGAGAAGTCTCAGTAACTTCTTTGTGCTGTGTGTATTCAACTCATAGAGTTGAACTTTCCTTTAGAAGAGCAGATGTTAAACACCCTTTTTGTGGAATTTGCAGCTGGAGATTTCAAGCGCTTTGAGGCCTACGGTAGAAAAGGAAACATCTTCTTATAAAATCTAGACAGAATCATTCACAGAAACTTCTTTTTGATGTGTGTGTTCATCTCACAGAGTTTAATCTTTCTTTTGACGGAGCAGTTTGGAAAAACTGTGTTTGCATTGTCGGCAACTGGATATTTGGACCTCTTTCAGGCCTTCGTTGGAAACGGGATTTCTTCATGTAATGTTCGCCAGAAGAATTCTCAGTAACTTATTTGTGGTGTGTGTATTCAACTCACAGAGTTGAACCTTCCTTTAGACAGAGCAGATTTGAAACACCCTATTTGTGCTGTTTCCAGTTGGAGATTTCAATCGCTTTGAGGCCAATCGTAGAAACGGAAATATCTTCGTATAAATACAAGACAGAATCATTCTCAGAAACTACTTTGTGATGTGTGCGTTCAACTCAAGGAGTTTAAGCTTTCTTTTCATAGAGTAGTTTGGAAACACTCTGTCTGTAAAGTCTGCAAGCAGATATTTGACCTCTTTGAGGCCTTCGTTGGAAACGGGATTTCTTCATAGAACGCTAGAAAGAAGAATACTGAGTAAGTTCTTTGTGTTGCCTCTATTCAACTCACAGAGGTGAACTGTCCTTTAGACAGAGCAGATGTGAAACCCTCTTTTTGTGATATTTGCAGGTGGAGATTTCAAGCGCTTTTAGGCCAAATGTAGAAAAGGAAATATCTTCGTATAAAAACTAGACAGAATCATTCTCAGAAACTACTTTGTGATGAGTGCGTTCAATTCACAGTGTATAATATTTCTTCTGATGGAGGAGTTTGGAGACACTGTCTTTGTAAAGTCTGCAAGCAGATATTTGGACCTCTTTGGGGCCATCGTTGGAAACGGGATTTCTTCATATAATGTTTGATAGGAGAATTCTCAGTAACTTATTTGTGGTGTGTGTATTCAACTCACAGAGTTGAACCTTCCTTCAGAAAGAGCAGATTTGAAACACTCTTTTTGTGGAGTTTCCATGTGGAGATTTCAATCGCTTTGAGACCAAAGGTAGAAAAGGAAACATCTTCGTATAAAAACTAGACAGAATCATTCACAGAAACTACTTTGTGATGTGTGTGTTCAACTCAAGGAGTTTAACCTTTCTTTTGATGGAGGAGTTTGGAAACACTCTGTCTGTAAAGTCTGCAAGCAGATATTTGGACCTCTTTGAGGCCTTCGTTGGAAACGGGATTTCTTCATATAATGTTTGATAGGAGAAGTCTCAGTAACTTCTTTGTGCTGTGTGTATTCAACTCATAGAGTTGAACTTTCCTTTAGAAGAGCAGATGTTAAACACCCTTTTTGTGGAATTTGCAGCTGGAGATTTCAAGCGCTTTGAGGCCTACGGTAGAAAAGGAAACATCTTCTTATAAAATCTAGACAGAATCATTCACAGAAACTTCTTTTTGATGTGTGTGTTCAGCTCACAGAGTTTAACCTTTCTTTTGATGGAGCAGGTTGGAAACACTCTGTTTGTAATGTCTGCAAGTGGTTATTTGGACCTCTTTTAGGCCTTCATTGGAAACGGGATTTCTTCAAGTAATGTTCGACAGAAGAATTCTCAGTAACTTATTTGTGGTGTGTGTATTCAACTCACAGAGTTGAACCTTCCTTTAGACAGAGCAGATTTGAAACACCCTATTTGTGCAGTTTCCAGTTGGAGATTTCAATCGCTTTGAGACCAAATGTAGAAAAGGAAACATCTTCGTATAAAAACTAGACAGAATCATTCTCAGAAACTACTTTGTGATGTGTGCGTTCAACTCAAGGAGTTTAAGCTTTCTTTTCATAGAGTAGTTTGGAAACACTCTGTCTGTAAAGTCTGCAAGCAGATATTTGGACCTCTTTGAGGCCTTCGTTGGAAACGGGATTTCTTCATAGAACGGTAGAAAGAAGAATACTCAGTAACTGCTTTGTGTTGCCTCTATTCAACTCACAGAGGTGAACTGTCCTTTAGACAGAGCAGATGTGAAACCCTCTTTTTGTGATATTTGCAGGTGGACATTTCAAGCACTTTCAGGCCAATTGTAGAAAAGGCAATATCTTCGTATAAAAACCAGACAGAATCATTCTCAGAAACTACTTTGTGATGTGTGCGTTCAATTCACAGAGTATAACCTTTCTTTTGATGGAGGAGTTTGGAGACACTGTCTTTGTAAAGTCTGCAAGTGGATATTTGGACCTCTTTGAGGCCTTTGTTGGAAACGGGATTTCCTCATATAATGTTACACAGGGAGAATTCTCAGTAACTTATTTGTGGTGTGTGTATTCAACTCACAGAGATGAACCTTCCTTCAGAAAGAGCAGATTTGAAACACTCTTTTTGTGGAGTTTCCATGTGGAGATTTCAATCGCTTTGAGACCAAAGGTAGAAAAGGAAACATCTTCGTATAACAACTAGACAGAATCATTCACAGAAACTTCTTTGTGATGTGTGTGTTCAACTCAAGGAGTTTAACCTTTCCTTTGATGGAGCAGTTTGTAAAAACTCTGTCTGTAAAGTCTACAAGCAGATATTTGGACCTCTTTGAGGCCTTCGTTGGAAACGGTATTTCTTCATATAATGTTTGATAGAAGTCTCAGTAACTTCTTTGTGCTGTGTGTATTCAATTCATAGAGTTGAACTTTCCTTTACAAGAGCAGATGTTAAACACCCTTTTTGTGGAATTTGCAGCTGGAGATTTCAAGCGCTTTGAGGCCTACGGTAGAAAAGGAAACATCTTCTTATAAAATCTAGACAGAATCATTCACAGAAACTTCTTTTTGATGTGTGTGTTCAGCTCACAGAGTTTAACCTTTCTTTTGATGGAGCAGTTTGGAAACACTCTGTTTGTAATGTCTGCAAGTGGATATTTGGACCTCTTTGAGGCCTTCGTTGGAAACGGGATTTCTTCAAGTAATGTTCGACAGAAGAATTCTCAGTAACTTATTTGTGGTGTGTGTATTCAACTCACAGAGTTGAACCTTCCTTTAGACAGAGCAGATTTGAAACACCCTATTAGTGCAGTTTCCAGTTGGAGATTTCAATCGCTTTGAGGCCAATCATAGAAACGGAAATATCTTCGTATAAAAACAAGACAGAATCATTCTCAGAAACTACTTTGTGATGTGTGCGTTCAACTCAAGGAGTTTAAGCTTTCTTTTCATAGAGTAGTTTGGAAACACTCTGTCTGTAAAGTCTGCAAGCAGATATTTGGACCTCTTTTGGGGGCCTTCGTTGGAAACGGGATTTCTTCATAGTAACTGCTAGAAAGAAGAATACTGAGTAAGTTCTTTGTGTTGCCTCTATTCAACTCACAGAGGTGAACTGTCCTTTAGACAGAGCAGATGTGAAACCCTCTTTTTGTGATATTTGCAGGTGGAGATTTCAAGCACTTTTAGGCCAAATGTAGAAAAGGAAATATCTTCGTATAAAAACTAGACAGAATCATTCTCAGAAACTACTTTGTGATGTGTGCGTTCAATTCACAGAGTATAACCTTTCTTTTGATGGAGGAGTTTGGAGACACTGTCTTTGTAAAGTCTGCAAGTGGATATTTGGATCTCTTCGAGGCCTTCGTTGGAAACGGGATTTCCTCATATAATGTTACACAGAAGAATTCTCAGTAACTTATTTGTGGTGTGTGTATTCAACTCACAGAGTTGAACCTTCCTTCAGAAAGAGCAGATTTGAAACACTCTTTTTGTGGAGTTTCCATGTGGAGATTTCAATCGCATTGAGACCAAAGGTAGAAAAGGAAACATCTTCGTATAAAAACTAGACAGAATCATTCACAGAAACTACTTTGTGATGTGTGTGTTCAACTCAAGGAGTTTAACCTTTCTTTTGATGGAGCAGTTTGGAAACACTCTGTCTGTAAAGTCTGCAAGCAGATATTTGGACCTCTTTGAGGCCTTCGTTGGAAACGGGATTTCTTCATATAATGTTTGATAGGAGAAGTCTCAGTAACTTCTTTGTGCTGTGTGTATTCAACGCATAGAGTTGAACTTTCCTTTAGAAGAGCAGATGTTAAACACCCTTTTTGTGGAATTTGCAGCTGGAGATTTCAAGCGCTTTGAGGCCTACGGTAGAAAAGCAAACATCTTCTTATAAAATCTAGACAGAATCATTCACAGAAACTTCTTTTTGATGTGTGTGTTCAGCTCACAGAGTTTAACCTTTCTTTTGATGGAGCAGTTTGGAAACACTCTGTTTGTAACGTCTGCAAGTGGATATTTGGACCTGTTTGAGGCCTTCGTTGGAAACGGGATTTCTTCAAGTAATGTTCGACAGAAGAATTCTCAGTAACTTATTTGTGCTGTGTGTATTCAACTCACAGAGTTGAACCTTCCTTTAGACAGAGCAGATTTGAAACACCCTATTTGTGCAGTTTCCAGTTGGAGATTTCAATCGCTTTGAGACCAAATGTAGAAAAGGAAACATCTTCGTATAAAAACTAGACAGAATCATTCTCAGAAACTACTTTGTGATGTGTGCGTTCAACTCAAGAAGTTTAAGCTTTCTTTTCATAGAGTAGTTTGGAAACACTCTGTCTGTAAAGTCTGCAAGCAGATATTTGGACCTCTTTGTGGCCTTCGTTGGAAACGGGATTTCTTCATAGAACGCTAGAAAGAAGAATACTGAGTAAGTTCTTTGTGTTGCCTCTATTCAACTCACAAAAGTGAACTGTCCTTTAGACAGAGCAGATGTGAAACCCTCTTTTTGTGATATTTGCAGGTGGAGATTTCAAGCGCTTTGAGGCCAAATGTAGAAAAGGAAATATCTTCGTATAAAAACTAGACAGAATCATTCTCAGAAACTACTTTGTGATGTGTGCGTTCAATTCACAGAGTATAACCTTTCTTTTGATGGAGGAGTTTGGAGACACTGTCTTTGTAAAGTCTGCAAGTGGATATTTGGACCTCTTTGAGGCCTTCGTTGGAAACGGGATTTCCTCATATAATGTTACACAGAAGAATTCTCAGTAACTTATTTGTGGTGTGTGTATTCAACTCACAGAGATGAACCTTCCTTCAGAAAGAGCAGATTTGAAACACTCTTTTTGTGGAGTTTCCATGTGGAGATTTCAATCGCATTGAGACCAAAGGTAGAAAAGGAAACATCTTCGTATAAAAACTAGACAGAATCATTCTCAGAAACTACTTGGTGATGTGTGCGTTCAATTCACAGAGTATAACCTTTGTTTTGATGGAGGAGTTTGGAGACACTGTCTTTGTAAAGTCTGCAAGTGGATATTTGGACCTCTTTGAAGCCTTCGTTGGAAACGGGTTTTCCTCATATAAAGTTACACAGATGAATTCTCAGTAACTTACTTGCGCTGTGTGTATTCATCTCAAAGAGTTGAACCTTCCTTCCGAAAGAGCAGATTTGAAACACTCTTTTTGTGGAGTTTCCATGTGGAGATTTCAAGCGCTTTGAGACCTATGGTAGAAAAGGAAACATCTTCGTATAAAATCTAGACAGAATCATTCACAGAAACTTCTTTTTGATGTGTGTGTTCAACTCACAGAGTTTAACCTTTCTTTTGATGGAGCAGTTTGGAAACACTCTGTTTGTCATGTCTGCAAGTGGATATTTGGACCTCTTTGAGGCCTTCGTTGGAAACGGGATTTCTTCTTGTAATGTTCGACAGAAGAATTCTCAGTAACTTATTTGTGGTGTGTGTATTCAACTCACAGAGTTGAACCTTCCTTTAGACAGAGCAGATTTGAAACACCCTATTTGTGCAGTTTCCAGTTGGAGATTTCAATCGCCTTGAGACCAAATGTAGAAAAGGAAACATCTTCGTATAAAAACTAGACAGAATCATTCTCAGAAACTACTTTGTGATGTGTGCGTTTAACTCAAGGAGTTTAAGCTTTCTTTTCATAGAGTAGTTTGGAAACACTCTGTCTGTAAAGTCTGCAAGCAGATATTTGGACCTCTTTGAGGCCTTCGTTGGAAACGGGATTTCTTCATAGAACGCTAGAAAGAAGAATACTGAGTAAGTTCTTTGTGTTGCCTCTATTCAACTCACAGAGGTGAACTGTCCTTTAGACAGAGCAGATGTGAAACCCTCTTTTTGTGATATTTGCAGGTGGAGATTTCAAGCACTTTTAGGCCAAATGTAGAAAAGGAAATATCTTCGTATAAAAACTAGACAGAATCATTCTCAGAAACTACTTTGTGATGTGTGCGTTCAATTCACAGAGTATAACCTTTCTTTTGATGGAGAAGTTTGGAGACACTGTGTGTGTAAAGTCTGCAAGTGGATATTTGGACCTCTTTGAGGCCTTCGTTGGAAACGGGATTTCCTCATATAATGTTACACAGAAAGAATTCTCAGTAACTTATTTGTGGTGTGTGTATTCAACTCACAGAGTTGGACCTTCCTTCAGAAAGAGCAGATTTGAAACACTCTTTTTGTGGAGTTTCCATGTGGAGATTTCAATCGCTTTGAGACCAAAGGTAGAAAAGGAAACATCTTCGTATAAAAACTAGACAGAATCATTCACAGAAACTACTTTGTGATGTGTGTGTTCAACTCAAGGAGTTTAACCTTTCTTTTGATGGAGCAGTTTGGAAACACTCTGTCTGTAAAGTCTGCAAGCAGATATTTGGACCTCTTTGAGGCCTTCGTTGGAAACGGGATTTCTTCATATAATGTTTGATAGGAGAAGTCTCAGTAACTTCTTTGTGCTGTGTGTATTCAACGCATAGAGTTGAACTTTCCTTTAGAAGAGCAGATGTTAAACACCCTTTTTGTGGAATTTGCAGCTGGAGATTTCAAGCGCTTTGTGGCCTACGGTAGAAAAGGAAACATCTTCTTATAAAATGCTAGACAGAATCATTCACAGAAACTTCTTTTTGATGTGTTTGTTCAGCTCACAGAGTTTAACCTTTCCTTTGATGGAGCAGTTTGGAAACACTCTGTTTGTAATGTCTGCAAGTGGATATTTGGACCTCTTTGAGGCCTTCGTTGGAAACGGGATTTCTTCATGTAATGTTCGACAGAAGAATTCTCAGTAACTTATTTCTGGTGTGTGTATTCAACTCACAGAGTTGAACCTTCCTTTAGACAGAGCAGATTTGAGACACCCTATTTGTTCAGTTTCCAGTTGGAGATTTCAATCGCTTTGAGGCCAATCGTAGAAACGGAAATATCTTCGTATAAAAACAAGACAGAATCATTCTCAGAAACTACTTTGTGATGTGTGCGTTCAACTCAAGGAGTTTAAGCTTTCTTTTCATAGAGTAGTTTGGAAACACTCTGTCTGTAAAGTCTGCAAGCAGATATTTGGACCTCTTTGGGGCCTTCGTTGGAAACGGGATTTCTTCATAGAACGCTAGAAAGAAGAATACTAAGTTCTTTGTGTTACCTCTATTCTACTCACAGAGGAGAATTGTCCTTTAGACAGAGCAGATGTGAAACCCTCTTTTTGGGATATTTGCAGGTGGAGATTTCAAGTGCTTTTAGGCCAAATGTAGAAAAGGAAATATCTTCGTATAAAAACTAGACAGAATCATTCTCAGAAACTACTTTGTGATGTGTGCGTTCAATTCACAGAGTATAACCTTTCTTTGATGGCGGAGTTTGGAGACACTGTCTTTGTAAAGTCTGCAAGTGGATATTTGGACCTCTTTGAGGCCTTCGTTGGAAACGGGATTTCCTCATATAATGTTACACAGAAGAATTCTCAGTAACTTATTTGTGGTGTGTGTATTCAACTCACAGAGTTGAACCTTCCTTCAGAAAGAGCAGATTTGAAACACTCTTTTTGTGGAGTTTCCATGTGGAGATTTCAATCGCTTTGAGACCAAAGGTAGAAAAGGAAACATCTTCGTATAAAAACTAGACAGAATCATTCACAGAAACTACTTTGTGATGTGTGTGTTCAACTCAAGGAGTTTAACCTTTCTTTTGATGGAGCAGTTTGGAAAAACTCTGTCTGTAAATTCTGCAAGCAGATATTTGGACCTCTTTGGGGCCTTCGTTGGAAACGGTATTTCTTCATAGAATGCTAGAAAGAAGAAGTCTCAGTAACTTCTTTGTGCTGTGTGTATTCAACTCATAGAGTTGAACTTTCCTTTAGAAGAGCAGATGTTAAACACACTTTTTGTGGAATTTGCAGCTGGAGATTTCAAGCGCTTTGAGTCCTACGGTAGAAAAGGAAACATCTTCTTATAAAATCTAGACAGAATCATTCAGAGAAACTTCTTTTTGATGTGTGTGTTCAGCTCACAGAGTTTAACCTTTCTTTTGATGGAGCAGTTTGGAAACACTCTGTTTGTAATGTCTGCAAGTGGATATTTGGACCTCTTTGAGGCCTTCTTTGGAAACGGGATTTCTTCATGTAATGTTCGACAGAAGAATTCTCAGTAACTTATTTGTGGTGTGTGTATTCAACTCACAGAGTTGAACCTTCCTTTAGACAGAGCAGATTTGAAACACCCTATTTGTGCAGTTTCCAGTTGGAGATTTCAATCGCTTTGAGGCCAATCATAGAAACGGAAATATCTTTGTATAAAAACAAGACAGAATCATTCTCAGAAACTACTTTGTGATGTGTGCGTTCAACTCAAGGAGTTTAAACTTTCTTTTCATAGAGTAGTTTGGAAACACTCTGTCTGTAAAGTCTGCCAGCAGATATTTGCACCTCTTTGAGGCCTTCGTTTTAAACGGGATTTCAACATATAACGCTAGAAAGAAGAATACTGAGTAAGTTCTTTGTGTTGCCTCTATCCAACTCACAGAGGTGAACTGTCCTTTAGACAGAGCAGATGTGAAACCCTCTTTTTGTGATATTTGCAGGTGGAGATTTCAAGCGCTTTTAGGCCAAATGTAGAAAAGGAAATATCTTCGTATAAAAACTAGACAGAATCATTCTCAGAAACTACTTTGTGATGTGTGCGTTCATTTCACAGAGTATAACCTTTCTTTTGATGGAGGAGTTTGGAGACACTGTCTTTGTAAAGTCTGCAAGTGGATATTTGGACCTCTTTGAGGCCTTCGTTGGAAACGGGATTTCCTCATATAATGTTACACAGAAGAATTCTCAGTAACTTATTTGTGGTGTGTGTATTCAACTCACAGAGATGAACCTTCCTTCAGAAAGAGCAGATTTGAAACACTCTTTTTGTGGAGTTTCCATGTGGAGATTTCAATCGCTTTGAGACCAAAGGTAGAAAAGGAAACATCTTCGTATAAAAACTAGACAGAATCATTCACAGAAACTACATTGTGATGTGTGTGTTCAACTCAAGGAGTTTAACCTTTCTTTTGATGGAGCAGTTTGGAAAAACTCTGTCTGTAAAGTCTGTAAGCAGATATTTGGACCTCTTTGAGGCCTTCGTTGGAAACGGGATTTCTTCATATAATGTTTGATAGGAGAAGTCTCAGTAACTTCTTTGTGCTGTGTGTATTCAACGCATAGAGTTGAACTTTCCTTTAGAAGAGTAGATGTTAAACACCCTTTTTGTGGAATTTGCAGCTGGAGATTTCAAGCGCCTTGAGGCCTACGGTAGAAAAGGAAACATCTTCTTATAAAATCTAGACAGAATCATTCACAGAAACTTCTTTTTGATGTGTGTGTTCAGCTCACAGAGTTTAACCTTTCTTTTGATGGAGCAGTTTGGAAACACTCTGTTTGTAATGTCTGCAAGTGGATATTTGGACCTCTTTGAGGCCTTCGTTGGAAACGGGATTTCCTCATATAATGTTACACAGAAGAATTCTCAGTAACTTATTTGTGGTGTGTGTATTCAACTCACAGAGTTGAACCTTCCTTCAGAAAGAGCAGATTTGAAACACTCTTTTTGTGGAGTTTCCATGTGGAGATTTCAATCGCTTGGAGACCGAAGGTAGAAAAGGAAACATCTTCGTAGAAAAACTAGACAGAATCATTCACAGATACTACTTTGTGACGTGTGTGTTCAACTCAAGGAGTTTAACCTTTTTTTGATGGAGCAGTTTGGAAAAACTCTGTCTGTAAAGTCTGCAAGCAGATATTTGGACGTCTTTGGGGTCTTCGTTGGAAAGGGGATTTCTTCATAGAACGCTAGAAAGAAGAATACTGAGTAAGTTCTTTGTGTTGCCTCTATTCAACTCACAGAGGTGAACTGCCCTTTAGACAGAGCAGATGTGAAACCCTCTTTTTGTGATATTTGCAGGTGGAGATTTCAAGCGCTTTTAGGCCAAATGTAGAAAAGGAAATATCTTCGTATAAAAACTAGACAGAATCATTCTCAGAATCTACTTTGTGATGTGTGCGTTCAATTCACAGAGTATAACCTTTCTTTTGATGGAGGAGTTTGGAGACACTGTCTTTGTAAAGTCTGCAACTGGATATTTGGACCTCTTTGAGGCCTTCGTTGGAAACGGGATTTCCTCATATAATGTTACACAGAAGAATTCTCAGTAACTTAATTGTGGTGTGTGTATTCAACTCACAGAGTTGAACCTTCCTTTAGACAGAGCAGATTTGAAACACTCTTTTTGTGGAGTTTCCATGTGGAGATTTCAATCGCTTTGAGACCAAAGGTAGAGAAGGAAACGTCTTCGTATAAAAACTAGACAGAAATCATTCACAGAAACTACTTTGTGATGTGTGTGTTCAACTCAAGGAGTTTAACCTTTCTTTTGATGGAGGAGTTTGGAGACACTGTCTTTGTAAAGTCTGCAAGCAGATATTTGGACCTCTTTGAGGCCTTCGTTGGAAACGGGATTTCTTCATATAATGTTTGATAGGAGAAGTCTCAGAAACTTCTTTGTGCTGTGTGTATTCAACTCATAGAGTTGAACTTTCCTTTAGAAGAGCAGATGTTAAACACCCTTTTTGTGGAATTTGCAGCTGGAGATTTCAAGCGCTTTGAGGCCTACGGTAGAAAAGGAAACATCTTCTTATAAAATCTAGACAGAATCATTCACAGAAACTTCTTTTTGATGTGTGTATTCATCTCACAGAGTTTAACCTTTCTTTTGACGGAGCAGTTTGCAAACACTGTGTTTGCCATGTCGGCAAGTGGATATTTGGACCTCTTTGCGGCCTTCGTTGGAAAAGGGATTTCTTCATGTAATGTTCGAGAGAAGAATTCTCAGTAACTTATTTGTGGTGTGTGTATTCAACTCACAGAGTTGAACCTTCCTTTAGACAGAGCAGATTTGAAACACCCTATTTGTGCAGTTTCCAGTTGGAGATTTCAATCGCTTTGAGACCAAATGTAGAAAAGGAAACATCTTCGTATAAAAACTAGACAGAATCATTCTCAGAAACTACTTTGTGATGTGTGCGTTCAACTCAAGAAGTTTAAGCTTTCTTTTCATAGAGTAGTTTGGAAACACTCTGTCTGTAAAGTCTGCAAGCAGATATTTGGACCTCATTGGGGCCTTCGTTGGAAACGTGATTTCTTCATAGAACGCTGGAAAGAAGAATACTGAGTAAGTTCTTTGTGTTGCCTCTATTCAACTCACAGAGGTGAACTGTCCTTTAGACAGAGCAGATGTGAAACCCTCTTTTTGTGATATTTGCAGGTGGAGATTTCAAGCGCTTTTAGGCCAAATGTAGAAAAGGAAATATCTTCGTATAAAAACTAGACAGAATCATTCTCAGAAACTACTTTGTGATGTGTGCGTTCAATTCACAGAGTATAACCTTTCTTTTGATGGAGGAGTTTGGAGACACTGTCTTTGTAAAGTCTGCAAGTGGATATTTGGACCTCTTTGAGGCCTTCGTTGGAAACGGGATTTCCTCATATAATGTTACACAGAAGAATTCTCAGTAACTTATTTGTGGTGTGTGTATTCAACTCACAGAGTTGAACCTTCCTTCAGAAAGAGCAGATTTGAAACACTCTTTTTGTGGAGTTTCCATGTGGAGATTTCAATCGCTTTGAGACCAAAGGTAGAAAAGGAAACATCTTCGTATAAAAACTAGACAGAATCATTCACAGAAACTACTTTGTGATGTGTGTGTTCAACTCAAGGAGTTTAACCTTTCTTTTGATGGAGCAGTATGGAAACACTCTGTCTGTAAAGTCTGCAAGCAGATATTTGGACCTCTTTGAGGCCTTCGTTGTAAACGGGATTTCTTCATATAATGTTTGATAGGAGAATTCTCAGTAAATTCTTTGTGCTGTGTGTATTCAACTCATAGATTTGAACTTTCCTTTAGAAGAGCAGATGTTAAACACCCTTTTTGTGGCATTTGCAGCTGGAGATTTCAAGCGTTTTGAGGCCTACGGTAGAAAAGGAAACATCTTCTTCTAAAATCTAGACAGAATCATTCACAGAAACTTCTTTTTGATGTGTGTGTTCAGCTCACAGAGTTTAACCTTTCTTTTGATGGAGCAGTTTGGAAACACTCTGTTTGTAATGTCTGCAATTGGATATTTGGACCTCTTTGAGGCCTTCGTTGGAAACGGGATTTCTTTCTCTAATGTTCGACAGAAGAATTCTCAGTAACTTATTTGTGGTGTGTGTATTCAACTCACAGAGTTGAACCTTCCTTTAGACAGAGCAGATTTGAAACAGCCTATTTGTGCAGTTTCCAGTTGGAGATTTCAAGAGCTTTGAGACCAAATGTAGAAAAGGAAACATCTTCGTATAAAAACTAGACAGAATCATTCTCCGAAACTACTTTGTGATGTGTGCGTTCAACTCAAGGAGTTTAAGCTTTCTTTTCATAGAGTAGTTTGGAAACACTCTGTCTGTAAAGTCTGCAAGCAGATATTTGGACCTCTTTGGGGCCTTCGTTGGAAACGGGATTTCTTCATAGAACGCTAGAAAGAAGAATACTGAGTAAGTTCTTTGTGTTGTCTCTATTCAACTCACAGAGGTGAACTGTCCTTTAGACAGAGCAGATGTGAAACCCTCTTTTTGTGATATTTGCAGGTGGAGATTTCAAGCGCTTTTAGGCCAAAGGTAGAAAAGGAAACATCTTCGTATAAAAACTAGACAGAATCATTCTCAGAAACTACTTTGTGATGTATGCGTTCAATTCACAGAGTATAACCTTTCTTTTGATGGAGGAGTTTGGAGACACTGTCTTTGTAAAGTCTGCAAGTGGATATTTGGACCTCTTTGAGGCCTTCGTTGGAAACGGGATTTCCTCATATAATGTTACACAGAAGAATTCTCAGTAACTTATTTGTGGTGTGTGTATTCAACTCACGGAGTTGAACCTTCCTTCAGAAAGATCAGATTTGAAACACACTTTTTGTGGAGTTTCCATGTGGAGATTTCAATTGCTTTGAGACCAAAGGTAGAAAAGGAAACATCTTCGTATAAAAACTAGACAGAATCATTCACAGAAACTACTTTGTGATGTGTTTGTTCAACTTAAGGAGTTTAACCTTTCTTTTGATGGAGCAGTATGGAAACACTCTGTCTGTAAAGTCTGCAAGCAGATATTTGGACCTCTTTGAGGCCTTCGTTGGAAACGGGATTTCTTCATATAATGTTTGATAGGAGAAGTCTCAGTAACTTCTTTGTCCTGTGTGTATTCAACGCATAGAGTTTAACTTTCCTTTAGAAGAGCAGATGTAAAACACCCTTTTTGTGGAATTTGCAGGTGGAGATTTCAAGCGCATTGAGGCCTACGGTAGAAAAGGAAACATCTTCTTACAAAATCTAGACAGAATCATTTACAGAAACTTCTTTTTGATGTGTGTGTTCAGCTCACAGAGTTTAACCTTTCTTTTGATGGAGCAGTTTGGAAACACTCTGTTTGTAATGTCTGCAAGTGGATATTTGGACCTACTTTGAGGCCTTCGTTGGAAACGGGATTTCTTCAAGTAATGTTCGACAGAAGAATTCTCAGTAACTTATTTGTGGTGTGTGTATTCAACTCACAGAGTTGAACCTTCCTTTAGACAGAGCAGATTTGAAACACCCTATTTGTGCAATTTCCAGTTGGAGATTTCAATCGCTTTGAGGCCAATCATAGAAACGGAAATATCTTCGTATAAAAACAAGACAGAATCATTCTCAGAAACTATTTTGTGATGTGTGCGTTCAACTCAAGGAGTTTAAGCTTTCTTTTCATAGAGTAGTTTGGAAACACTCTGTCTGTAAAGTCTGCAAGCAGATATTTGGACCTCTTTGAGGCCTTCGTTGGAAACGGGATTTCTTCATAGAACGCTAGAAAGAAGAATACTGAGTAAGTTCTTTGTGTTGCCTCTATTCAACTCACAGAGGCGAACTGTCCTTTAGACAGAGCAGATGTGAAAACCTCTTTTTGGGATATTTGCAGGTGGAGATTTCAAGTGCTTTTAGGCCAAATGTAGAAAAGGAAATATCTTCGTATAAAAACCAGACAGAATCATTCTCAGAAACTACTTTGTGATGTGTGCGTTCAATTCACAGAGTATAACCTTTCTTTTGATGGAGGAGTTTGGAGACACTGTCTTTGTAAAGTCTGCAAGTGGATATTTGGACCTCTTTGAGGCCTTCGTTGGAAACGGGATTTCCTCATATAATGTTACACAGAAGAATTCTCAGTAACTTATTTGTGGTGTGTGTATTCAACTCACAGAGTTGAACCTTCCTTCAGAAAGAGCAGATTTGAAACACTCTTTTTGTGGAGTTTCCATGTGGAGATTTCAATCGCTTTGAGACCAAAGGTAGAAAAGGAAACATCTTCGTATAAAAACTAGACAGAATCATTCACAGAAACTACTTTGTGATGTGTGTGTTCAACTCAAGGAGTTTAACCTTTCTTTTGATGGAGCAGTTTGGAAATACTCTGTCTGTAAAGTCTGCAAGCAGATATTTGGACCTCTTTGAGGCCTTCGTTGGAAACGGGATTTCTTCATATAATGTTTGATAGGAGAAGTCTCAGTAACTTCTTTGTGCTGTGTGTATTCAACTCATAGAGTTGAACTTTCCTTTAGAAGAGCAGATGTTAAACACCCTTTTTGTGGAATTTGCAGCTGGAGATTTCAAGCGCTTTGAGGCCTACGGTAGAAAAGGAAACATCTTCTTATAAAATCTAGACAGAATCATTCACAGAAACTTCTTTTTGATGTGTGTGTTCAGCTCACAGAGTTTAACCTTTCTTTTGATGGAGCAGTTTGGAAACACTCTGTTTGTAATGTCTGCAAGTGGATATTTGGACCTCTTTGAGTCCTTCGTTGGAAACGGGATTTCTTCAAGTAATGTTCGACAGAAGAATTCTCAGTAACTTATTTGTGGTGTGTGTATTCAACTCAAAGAGTTGAACCTTCCTTTAGACAGAGCAGATTTGAAACACCCTATTTGTGCAGTTTCCAATTGGAGATTTCAATCGCTTTGAGACCAAATGTAGAAAAGGAAACATCTTCGTATAAAAACTAGACAGAATCATTCTCAGAAACTACTTTGTGATCTGTGCGTTCAACTCAAGGAGTTTAAGCTTTCTTTTCATAGAGTAGTTTGGAAACACTCTGTCTGTAAAGTCTGCAAGCAGATATTTGGACCTCATTGGGGCCTTCGTTGGAAACGTGATTTCTTCATAGAACGCTAGAAAGAAGAATACTGAGTAAGTTCTTTGTGTTGCCTCTATTCAACTCACAGAGGTGAACTGTCCTTTAGACAGAGCAGATGTGAAACCCTCTTTTTGTGATATTTGCACGTGGAGATTTCAAGCGCTTTTAGGCCAAATGTAGAAAAGGAAATATCTTCGTATAAAAACTAGACAGAATCATTCTCAGAAACTACTTTGTGATGTGTGCGTTCAATTCACAGAGTATAACCTTTCTTTTGATGGAGGAGTTTGGAGACACTGTCTTTGTAAAGTCTGCAAGTGGATATTTGGACCTCTTTGAGGCCTTCGTTGGAAACGGGATTTCCTCATATAATGTTACACAGAAGAATTCTCAGTAACTTATTTGTGGTGTGTGTATTCAACTCACAGAGTTGAACCTTCCTTCCGAAAGAGCAGATTTGAAACACTCTTTTTGTGGAGTTTCCATGTGGAGATTTCAATCGCTTTGAGACCAAAGGTAGAAAAGGAAACATCTTCGTATAAAAACTAGACAGAATCATTCACAGAAACTACTTTGTGATGTGTGTGTTCAACTCAAGGAGTTTAACCTTTCTTTTGATGGAGCAGTTTGGAAACACTCTGTCTGTAAAGTCTGCAAGCAGATATTTGGACCTCTTTGAGGCCTTCGTTGGAAACGGGATTTCTTCATATAATGTTTGATAGGAGAAGTCTCAGTAACTTCTTTGTGCTGTGTGTATTCAACTCATAGAGTTGAACTTTCCTTTAGAAGAGCAGATGTTAAACACCCTTTTTGTGGAATTTGCAGCTGGAGATTTCAAGCGCTTTGAGGCCTACGGTAGAAAAGGAAACATCTTCTTATAAAATCTAGACAGAATCATTCACAGAAACTTCTTTTTGATGTGTGTGTTCAGCTCACAGAGTTTAACCTTTCTTTTGATGGAGCAGTTTGGAAACACTCTGTTTGTAATGCCTGCAAGTGGATATTTGGACCTCTTTGAGGCCTTCGTTGGAAACGGGAATTCTTCATGTAATGTTCGACAGAAGAATTCTCAGTAACTTATTTGTGGTGTGTGTATTCAACTCACAGAGTTGAACCTTCCTTTAGACAGAGCAGATTTGAAACACCCTATTTGTGCAGTTTCCAGTTGGAGATTTCAATCGCTTTGAGACCAAATGTAGAAAAGGAAACATCTTCGTATAAAAACTAGACAGAATCATTCTCAGAAACTACTTTGTGATGTGTGCGTTCAACTCAAGGAGTTTAAGCTTTCTTTTCATAGAGTAGTTTGGAAACACTCTGTCTGTAAAGTCTGCAAGCAGATATTTGGACCTCTTTGGGGCCTTCGTTGGAAACGGGATTTCTTCATAGAACGCTAGAAAGAAGAATACTGAGTAAGTTCTTTGTGTTGCCTCTATTCAACTCACAGAGGTGAACTGTCCTTTAGACAGAGCAGATGTGAAACCCTCTTTTTGTGATATTTGCAGGTGGAGATTTCAAGCGCTTTTAGGCCAAATGTAGAAAAGGAAATATCTTCGTATAAAACTAGACAGAATCGTTCTCAGAAACTACTTTGTGATGTGTGCGTTCAATTCACAGAGTATAACCTTTCTTTTGATGGAGGAGTTTGGAGACACTGTCTTTGTAAAGTCTGCAAGTGGATATTTGGACCTCTTTGAGGCCTTCGTTGGAAACGGGATTTCCTCATATAATGTTACACAGAAGAATTCTCAGTAACTTATTTGTGGTGTGTGTATTCAACTCACAGAGTTGAACCTTCCTTCAGAAAGAGCAGATTTGAAACACTCTTTTTGTGGAGTTTCCATGTGGAGATTTCAATCGCTTTGAGACCAAAGGTAGAAAAGGAAACATCTTCGTATAAAAACTAGACAGAATCATTCACAGAAACTACTTTGTGATGTGTGTGTTCAACTCAAGGAGTTTAACCTTTCTTTTGATGGAGCAGTTTGGAAAAACTCTGTCTGTAAAGTCTGCAAGCAGATATTTGGACCTCTTTGAGGCCTTCTTTGGAAACGGGATTTCTTCATATAATGTTTGATAGGA
This sequence comes from Homo sapiens, assembly GCF_000001405.40. Classification (NCBI taxonomy): domain Eukaryota; kingdom Metazoa; phylum Chordata; class Mammalia; order Primates; family Hominidae; genus Homo; species Homo sapiens. Next base: position 36,503,837 of record NC_000012.12, read on the forward strand.
GAAGTCTCAGTAACTTCTTTGTGCTGTGTGTATTCAACTCATAGAGTTGAACTTTCCTTTAGAAGAGCAGATGTTAAACACCCTTTTTGTGGAATTTGCAGCTGGAGATTTCAAGCGCTTTGAGGCCTACGGTAGAAAAGGAAACATCTTCTTATAAAATCTAGACAGAATCATTCACAGAAACTTCTTTTTGATGTGTGTGTTCAGCTCACAGAGTTTAACCTTTCTTTTGATGGAGCAGTTTGGAAACACTCTGTTTGTAATGTCTGCAAGTGGATATTTGGACCTCTTTGAGGCCTTCATTGGAAACGGGATTTCTTCAAGTAATGTTCGAAAGAAGAATTCTCAGTAACTTATTTGTGGTGTGTGTATTCAACTCACAGAGTTGAACCTTCCTTTAGACAGAGCAGATTTGAAACAACCTATTTGTGCAGTTTGCACTTGGAGATTTCAATCGCTTTGAGACTAAATGTAGAAAAGGAAACATCTTCGTATAAAAACTAGACACAATCATTCTCAGAAACTACTTTGTGATGTGTGCGTTTAACTCAAGGAGTTTAAGCTTTCTTTTCATAGAGTAGTTTGGAAACACTCTGTCTGTAAAGTCTGCAAGCAGATATTTGGACCTCTTTGAGGCCTTCGTTGGAAACGGGATTTCTTCATAGAACGCTAGAAAGAAGAATACTGAGTAAGTTCTTTGTGTTGCCTCTATTCAACTCACAGAGGTGAACTGTCCTTTAGACAGAGCAGATGTGAAACCCTCTTTTTGTGATAGTTGCAGGTGGAGATTTCAAGCGCTTTTAGGCCAAATGTAGAAAAGGAAATATCTTCGTATAAAAACTAGACAGAATCATTCTCAGAAACTACTTTGTGATGTGTGCGTTCAATTCACAGAGTATAACCTTTCTTTTGATGGAGGAGTTTGGAGACACTGTCTTTGTAAAGTCTGCAAGTGGATATTTGGACCTCTTTGAGGCCTTCGTTGGAAACGGGATTTCCTCATATAATGTTACACAGAAGAATTCTCAGTAACTTATTTGTGGTGTGTGTATTCAACTCACAGAGTTGAACCTTCCTTCAGAAAGAGCAGATTTGAAACACTCTTTTTGTGGAGTTTCCATGTGGAGATTTCAATCGCTTTGAGGCCAAAGGTAGAAAAGCAAACATCTTCGTATAAAAACTAGACAGAATCATTCACAGAAACTACTTTGTGATGTGTGTGTTCAACTCAAGGAGTTTAACCTTTCTTTTGATGGAGCAGTTTGGAAACACTCTGTCTGTAAAGTCTGCAAGCAGATATTTGGACCTCTTTGAGGCCTTCGTTGGAAACGGGATTTCTTCATATAATGTTTGATAGGAGAAGTCTCAGTAACTTCTTTGTGCTGTGTGTATTCAACTCACAGAGTTGAACTTTCCTTTAGAAGAGCAGATGTTAAACACCCTTTTTGTGGAATTTGCAGCTGGAGATTTCAAGCGCTTTGAGGCCTACGGTAGAAAAGGAAACATCTTCTTATAAAATCTAGACAGAATCATTCACAGAAACTTCTTTTTGATGTGTGTGTTCAGCTCACAGAGTTTAACCTTTCTTTTGATGGAGCAGTTTGGAAACACTCTGTTTGTAACGTCTGCAAGTGGATATTTGGACCTGTTTGAGGCCTTCGTTGGAAACGGGATTTCTTCACGTAATGTTCGACAGAAGAATTCTCAGTAACTTATTTGTGGTGTGTGTATTCAACTCACAGAGTTGAACCTCCCTTTAGACAGAGCAGATTTGAAACACCCTATTTGTGCAGGTTCCAGTTGGAGATTTCAATCGCTTTGAGACAAATGTAGAAAAGGAAACATCTTCGTATAAAAACTAGACAGAATCATTCTCAGAAACTACTTTGTGATGTGTGCGTTCAACTCAAGGAGTTTAAGCTTTCTTTTCATAGAGTAGTTTGGAAACACTCTGTCTGTAAAGTCTGCAAGCAGATATTTGGACCTCTTTGAGGCCTTCGTTGGAAACGGGATTTCTTCATATAACGCTAGAAAGAAGAATACTGAGTAAGTTCTATGTGTTGCCTCTATTCAATTCACAGAGGTGAACTGTCCTTTAGACAGAGCAGATGTGAAACCCTCTTTTTGTGATATTTGCACGTGGAGATTTCAAGCGCTTTTAGGCCAAATGTAGAAAAGGAAATATCTTCGTATAAAAACTAGACAGAATCATTCTCAGAAACTACTTTGTGATGTGTGCGTTCAATTCACAGAGTATAACCTTTCTTTTGATGGAGGAGTTTGGAGACACTGTCTTTGTAAAGTCTGCAAGTGGATATTTGGACCTCTTTGAGGCCTTCGTTGGAAACGGGATTTCCTCATATAATGTTACACAGAAGAATTCTCAGTAACTTATTTGTGGTGTGTGTATTCAACTCACAGAGTTGAACCTTCCTTCAGAAAGAGCAGATTTGAAACACTCTTTTTGTGGAGTTTCCATGTGGAGATTTCAATCGCTTTGAGACCAAAGGTAGAAAAGGAAACATCTTCGTATAAAAACTAGACAGAATCATTCACAGAAACTACTTTGTGATGTGTGTGTTCAACTCAAGGAGTTTAACCTTTCTTTTGATGGAGCAGTTTGGAAACACTCTGTCTGTAAAGTCTGCAAGCAGATATTTGGACCTCTTTGAGGCCTTCGTTGGAAACGGGATTTCTTCATATAATGTTTGATAGGAGAAGTCTCAGTAACTTCTTTGTGCTGTGTGTATTCAACTCATAGAGTTGAACTTTCCTTTAGAAGAGCAGATGTTAAACACCCTTTTTGTGGAATTTGCAGCTGGAGATTTCAAGCGCTTTGAGGCCTACGGTAGAAAAGGAAATATCTTCTTATAAAATCTAGACAGAATCATTCACAGAAACTTCTTTTTGATGTGTGTGTTCAGCTCACAGAGTTTAACCTTTCTTTTGATGGAGCAGTTTGGAAACACTCTGTTTGTAATGTCTGCAAGTGGATATTTGGACCTCCTTTGAGGCCTTCGTTGGAAACGGGATTTCTTCAAGTAATGTTCGACAGAAGAATTCTCAGTAACTTATTTGTGGTGTGTGTATTCAACTCACAGAGTTGAACCTTCCTTTAGACAGAGCAGATTTGAAACACCCTATTTGTGCAGTTTCCAGTTGGAGATTTCAATCGCTTTGAGACCAAATGTAGAAAAGGAAACATCTTCGTATAAAAACTAGACAGAATCTTTCTCAGAAACTACTTTGTGATGTGTGCATTCAACTCACGGAGTTTAAGCTTTCTTTTCATAGAGTAGTTTGGAAACACTCTGTCTGTAAAGTCTGCAAGCAGATATTTGGACCTCTTTGAGGCCTTCGTTGGAAACGGGATTTCTTCATAGAACGCTAGAAAGAAGAATACTGAGTAAGTTCTTTGTGTTGCCTCTATTCAACTCACAGAGGTGAACTGTCCTTTAGACAGAGCAGATGTGAAACCCTCTTTTTGTGATATTTGCAGGTGGAGATTTCAAGCACTTTTAGGCCAAATGTAGAAAAGGAAATATCTTCGTATAAAAACTAGACAGAATCATTCTCAGAAACTACTTTGTGATGTGTGCGTTCAATTCACAGAGTATAACCTTTCTTTTGATGGAGGAGTTTGGAGACACTGTCTTTGTAAAGTCTGCAAGTGGATATTTGGACCTCTTTGAGGCCTTCGTTGGAAACGGGATTTCCTCATATAATGTTACACAGAAGAATTCTCAGTAACTTATTTGTGGTGTGTTTATTCAACTCACAGAGTTGAACCTTCCTTCAGAAAGAGCAGGTTTGAAACACTCCATTTGTGGAGTTTCCATGTGGTGATTTCAATCGCTTTGAGACCAAAGGTAGAAAAGGAAACATCTTTGTATAAAAACTAGACAGAAATCATTCACAGAAACTACTTTGTGATGTGTGTGTTTAACTCAAGGAGTTTAACCTTTCTTTTGATGGAGCAGTTTGGAAAAACTCTGTCTGTAAAGTCTGCAAGCAGATATTTGGACCTCTTTGAGGCCTTCGTTGGAAACGGGATTTCTTCATATAATGTTTGATAGGAGAAGTCTCAGTAACTTCTTTGTGCTGTGTGTATTCAACTCATAGAGTTGAACTTTCCTTTAGAAGAGCAGATGTTAAACACCCTTTTTGTGGAATTTGCAGCTGGAGATTTCAAGCGCTTTGAGGCCTACGGTAGAAAAGGAAACATCTTCTTATAAAATCTAGACAGAATCATTCACAGAAACTTCTTTGTGATGTGTGTGTTCAGCTCACAGAGTTTAACCTTTCTTTTGTTGCAGCAGGTTGGAAACACTCTGTTTGTAATGTCTGCAAGTGGATATTTGGACCTCTTTGAGGCCTTCGTTGGAAACTGGATTTCTTCATGTAATGTTCGACAGAAGAATTCTCGGTAACTTATTTGTGGTGTGTGTATTCAACTCACAGAGTTGAACCTTCCTTTAGACAGAGCAGATTTGAAACACCCTATTTGTGCAGTTTCCAGTTGTAGAATTCAATCACTTTGAGGCCAATCGTAGAAACGGAAATATCTTCGTATAAAAAAAAAGACAGAATCATTCTCAGAAACTACATTGTGATGTGTGCGTTCAACTCACGGAGTTTAAGCTTTCTTTTTATAGAGTAGTTTGGAAACACTCTGTCTGTAAAGTGTTCAAGCAGATATTTGGACCTCTTTCAGGCCTTCGTTGGAAACGGGATTTCTTCATATAACGCTAGAAAGAAGAATACTCAGTAACTTCTTAGTGTTGCCTCTATTCAACTCACAGAGGTGAACTGTCCTTTCGACAGAGCAGATGTGAAACCCTCTTTTTGTGACATTTGCAGGTGCAGATTTCAAGCGCTTTTAGGCCAAATGTAGAAAAGGAAATATCTTCGTATAAAAACTAGACAGAATCATTCTCAGAAACTACTTTGTGATGTGTGCGTTCAATTCACAGAGTATAACCTTTCTTTTGATGGAGGAGTTTGGAGACACTGTCTTTGTAAAGTCTGCAAGTGGATATTTGGAACTCTTTAAGGCCTTCGTTGGAAACGGGATTTCCTCATATAATGTTACACAGAAGAATTCTCAGTAACTTATTTGTGGTGTGTGTATTCAACTCACAGAGTTGAACCTTCCTTCAGAAAGAGCAGATTTGAAACACTCTTTTTGTGGAGTTTCCATGTGGAGATTTCAATCGCTTTGAGACCAAAGGTAGAAAAGTAAACGTCTTCGTATAAAAACTAGACAGAATCATTCACAGAAACTACTTTGTGATGTGTGTGTTCAACTCAAGGAGTTTAACCTTTCTTTTGATGGAGCAGTTTGGAAACACTCTGTCTGTAAAGTCTGCAAGCAGATATTTGGACCTCTTTGAGGCCTTCGTTGGAAACGGGATTTCTTCATATAATGTTTGATAGGAGAAGTCTCAGTAACTTCTTTGTGCTGTGTGTATTCAACTCATAGAGTTGAACTTTCCTTTAGAAGAGCAGATGTTAAACACCCTTTTTGTGGAATTTGCAGCTATAGATTTCAAGCGCTTCGAGGCCTACGGTAGAAAAGGAAACATCTTCTTATACAATCTAGACAGAATCATTCACAGAAACTTCTTTTTGATGTGTGTGTTCAGCTCACAGAGTTTAACCTTTCTTTTGATGGAGCAGTTTGGAAACACACTGTTTGTAATGTCTGCAAGTGGATATTTGGACCTCTTAGAGGCCTTCGTTGGAAACGGGATTTCTTCATAGAACGCTAGAAAGAAGAATTCTCAGTAACTTATTTGTGGTGTGTGTATTCAACTCACAGAGTTGAACCTTCGTTTAGACAGAGCGGATTTGAAACACCCTATTTGTGCAGTTTCCAGTTGGAGATTTCAATCGCTTTGAGGTCAATCATAGAAACGGAAATAACTTTGTATAAAAACAAGACAGAATCATTCTCAGAAACTACTTTGTGATGTGTGCGTTCAACTTAAGGATTTTAAGCTTTCTTTTAATAGAGTAGTTTGGAAACACTCTGTCTGTAAAGTCTGCAAGCAGATATTTGGACCTCTTTGAGGCCTTCGTTGGAAACGGGATTTCTTCATAGAACGCTAGAAAGAAGAATACTGAGTAAGTTCTTTGTGTTGCCTCTATTCAACTCACACAGGTGAACTGTCCTTTAGACAGAGCAGATGTGAAACCCTCTTTTTGTGATATTTGCAGGTGGAGATTTCAAGCGCTTTTAGGCCAAATGTAGAAAAGGAAATATCTTCGTATAAAAACTAGACAGAATCATTCTCAGAAACTACTTTGTGATGTGTGCGTTCAATTCACAGAGTATAACCTTTCTTTTGATGGAGGAGTTTGGAGACACTGTCTTTGTAAAGTCTGCAAGTGGATATTTGGACCTCTTTGAGGCCTTCGTTGGAAACGGGATTTCCTCATATAATGTTACCCAGAAGAATTCTCAGTAACTTATTTGTGGTGTGTTTATTCAACTCACAGAGGTGAACCTTCCTTCAGAAAGAGCAGATTTGAAACACTCTTTTTGTGGAGTTTCCATGTGGAGATTTCAATCGCTTTGAGACCAAAGGTAGAAAAGGAAACATCTTCGTATAAAAACTAGACAGAATCATTCACAGAAACTACTTTGTGATGTGTGTGTTCAACTCAAGGAGTTTAACCTTTCTTTTGATGGAGCAGTTTGGAAAAACTCTGTCTGTAAAGTCTGCAAGCAGATATTTGGACCTCTTTGAGGCCTTCGTTGGAAACGGGATTTCTTCATATAATGTTTGATAGGAGAATTCTCAGTAACTTCTTTGTGCTGTGTGTATTCAACTCATAGAGTTGAACTTTCCTTTAGAAGAGCAGATGTTAAACACCCTTTTTGTGGAATTTGCAGCTGGAGATTTCAAGCGCTTTGAGGCCTACGGTAGAAAAGGAAACATCTTCTTATAAAATCTAGACAGAATCATTCACAGAAACTTCTTTTTGATGTGTGTGTTCAGCTCACAGAGTTTAACCTTTCTTTTGATGGAGCAGTTTGGAAACACTCTGTTTGTAATGTCTGCAAGTGGATATTTGGACCTCTTTGAGGCCTTCGTTGGAAACGGGATTTCTTCCTGTAATGTTCGACAGAAGAATTCTCAGTAACTTATTTGTGGTGTGTGTATTCAACTCACAGAGTTGAACCTTCCTTTAGACAGAGTAGATTTGAAACACCCTATTTGTGCAGTTTCCAGTTGGAGATTTCAATCGCTTTGAGACCAAAGGTAGAAAAGGAAACATCTTCGTATAAAAACTAGACAGAATCATTCTCAGAAACTACTTTGTGATGTGTGCGTTCAACTCAAGGAGTTTAAGCTTTCTTTTCATAGAGTAGTTTGGAAACACTCTGTCTGTAAAGTCTGCAAGCAGATATTTGGACCTCTTTGAGGCCTTCGTTGGAAACGGGATTTCTTCATAGAACGGTAGAAAGAAGAATACTGAGTAAGTTCTTTGTGTTGCCTCTATTCAACTCACAGAGGTGAACTGTCCTTTAGACAGAGCAGATGTGAAACCCTCTTTTTGTGATATTTGCAGATGGAGATTTCAAGCGCTTTTAAGCCAAATGTAGAAAAGGAAATATCTTCGTATAAAAACTAGACAGAATCATTCTCAGAAACTACTTTGTGATGTGTGCGTTCAATTCACACAGTATAACCTTTCTTTTGATGGAGGAGTTTGGAGACACTGTCTTTTTAAAATCTGCAAGTGGATATTTGGACCTCTTTGAGGCCATCGTTGGAAACGGGATTTCCTCATATAATGTTACACAGAAGAATTCTCAGTAACTTATCTGTGGTGTGTGTATTCAACTCACAGAGATGAACCTTCCTTCAGAAAGAGCAGATTTGAAACACTCTTTTTGTGGAGTTTCCATGTGGAGATTTCAATCGCTTTGAGACCAAAGGTAGAAAAGGAAACATCTTCGTATAACAACTAGACAGAATCATTCACAGAAACTACTTTGTGATGTGTGTGTTCAACTCAAGGAGTTTAACCTTTCTTTTGATGGAGCAGTTTGGAAAAACTCTGTCTTTAAAGACTGCAAGCAGATATTTGGACCTCTTTGAGGCCTTCGTTGGAAACGGGATTTCTTCATATAATGTTTGATAGGAGAAGTCTCAGTAACTTCTTTGAGCTGTGTGTACTCAACGCATAGAGTTGAACTTTCCTTTAGAAGAGCAGATGTTAAACACCCTTTTTGTGGAATTTGCAGCTGGAGATTTCAAGCGCTTTGTGGCCTACGGTAGAAAAGGAAATATGTTCTTATAAAATCTAGACAGAATCATTCACAGAAACTTCTTTTTGATGTGTGTGTTCAGCTCACAGAGTTTAACCTTTCTTTTGATGGAGCAGTTTGGAAACACTCTGTTTGTAATGTCTGCAAGTGGATATTTGGACCTCTTTGAGGCCTTCGTTGGAAACGGGATTTCTTCAAGTAATGTTCGACAGAAGAATTCTCCGTAACTTATTTGTGGTGTGTGTATTCAACTCACAGAGTGGAACCTTCCTTTAGACACAGCAGATTTGAAACACCCTATTTGTGCAGTTTCCAGTTGGAGATTTCAATCGCTTGGAGGCCAATCGTAGAAACAGAAATATCTTCGTATAATAACAAGACAGAATCATTCTCAGAAACTACTTTGTGATGTGTGCGTTCAACTCAAGGAGTTTAAGCTTTCTTTTCATAGAGTAGTTTGGAAACACTCTGTCTGTAAAGTCTGCAAGCAGATATTTGGGCCTCTTTGAGGCCTTCGTTGGAAACGGGATTTCTTCATGTAACGCTAGAAAGAAGAATACTCAGTAACTTCTTTGTGCTGCCTCTATTCAACTCACAGAGGTGAACTGTCCTTTAGACAGAGCAGATGTGAAACCCTCTTTTTGTGATATTTGCAGGTGGAGATTTCAAGCGCTTTTAGGCCAAATGTAGAAAAGGAAATATCTTCGTATAAAAACTAGACAGAATCATTCTCAGAAACTACTTTGTGATGTGTGCGTTCAATTCACAGAGGATAAGCTTTCTTTTGATGGAGGAGTTTGGAGACACTGTCTTTGTAAAGTCTGCAAGTGGATATTTGGACCTCTTTGAGGCCTTCGTTGGAAACGGGATTTCCTCCTATAATGTTACACAGAAGAATTCTCAGTAACTTATTTGTGGTGTGTGTATTCAACTCACAGAGTTGAACCTTCCTTCAGAAAGAGCAGATTTGAAACACTCTTTTTGTGGAGTTTCCATGTGGAGATTTCAATCGCTTTGAGACCAAAGGTAGAAAAGGAAACATCTTCGTATAAAAACTAGACAGAATCATTCACAGAAACTACTTTGTGATGTGTGTGTTCAACTCAAGGAGTTTAACCTTTCTTTTGATGGAGCAGTTTGGAAACACTCTGTCTGTAAAGTCTGCAAGCAGATATTTGGACCTCTTTGAGGCCTTCGTTGGAAATGGGATTTCTTCATATAATGTTTGATAGGAGAATTCTCAGTAACTTATTTGTGGTGTGTGTATTCAACTCACAGAGTTGAACCTTCCTTCAGAAAGAGCAGATTTGAAACACTCTTTTTGTGGAGTTTCCATGTGGAGATTTCAATCGCTTTGAGACCAAAGGTAGAAAACGAAACATCTTCGTATAAAAACTAGACAGAATCATTCACAGAAACTACTTTGTGTTGTGTGTGTTCAGCTCACAGAGTTTAACCTTTCTTTTGATGGTGCAGTTTGGAAACACTCTGTTTGACAAGTCTGCAAGTGGATATTTGGACCTCTTTGAGGCCTTCGTTGGAAACGGGATTTCTTCATATAATGTTAGACAGAGGAAGTCTCAGTAACTTCTTTGTGCTGTGTGTATTCAACTCACAGAGCTGAACTTTACTTTAGACCGAGCAGATGTTAAACACACTTTTTGTGGAATTTGCAGGTGGAGATTTCTTGTGCTTTGAGGCCTATGGTAGAAAAGGAAACATCTTCTTATGAAATCTGGACACAATCATTCACAGAAACTTCTTTTTGATGTGTGTGTTCATCTCACAGAGTTTAACCTTTCTTCTGACGGAGCAGTTTGCAAACGCTGTGTTTGCCATGTCGGCAAGTGGATATTTGGAACTCTTTGAGGCCTTCGTTGGAAACGGGGTTTCTTCATGTAATGTTCGACAGAAGAATTCTCAGTAACTTATTTGTGGTGTGTGTATTCAACTCACAGAGTTGAACCTTCCTTTAGACAGAGCAGATTTGAAACACCCTGTTTGTGCAGTTTCCAGTTGGAGATTTCAATCGCTTTGAGGCCAATCGTAGAAACGGAAATATCTTCGTATAAAAACAAGACAGAATCATTCTCAGAAACTACTTTGTGATGTGTGCGTTCAACTCACGGAGTTTAAGCTTTCTTTTCATAGAGTAGCTTGGAAACACTCTGTCTGTAAAGTCTGCAAGCAGATATTTGGACCTCTTTGAGGCCTTCGTTGGAAACGGGATTTCTTCATACAACGCTAGAAAGAAGAATACTGAGTAAGTTCTTTGTGTTGCCTCTATTCAACTCACAGAGGTGAACTGTCCTTTAGACAGAGCAGATGTGAAACCCTCTTTTTGTCATATTTGCAGGTGGAGATTTCAAGCGCTTTTAGGCCAAATGTAGAAAAGGAAATATCTTCGTATAAAAACTAGACAGAATCATTCTCAGAAACTACTTTGTGATGTGTGCGTTCAATTCACAGAGTATAAACTTTCTTTCGATGGAGGAGTTTGGAGACACTGTCTTTGTAAAGTCTGCAAGTGGATATTTGGACCTCTTTGAGGCCTTCGTTGGAAACGGGATTTCCTCATATAATGATACACAGAAGAATTCTCAGTAACTTATTTGTGGTGTGTGTATTCAACTCACAGATTTGAACCTTCCTTAAGAAAGAGCAGATTTGAAACACTCTTTTTGTGGAGTTTCCATGTGGAGATTTCAATCGCTTTGAGACCAAAGGTAGAAAAGGAAACATCTTCGTATAAAAACTAGACAGAATCATTCACAGAAACTACTTTGTGATGTGTGTGTTCAACTCAAGGAGTTTAACCTTTCTTTTGATGGAGCAGTTTGGAAACACTCTGTCTGTAAAGTCTGCAAGCAGATATTTGGACCTCTTTGAGGCCTTCGTTGGAAACGGGGTTTCTTCATATAATGTTTGATAGGAGAAGTCTCAGTAACTTCTTTGTGCTGTGTGTATTCAACTCATAGAGTTGAACTTTCCTTTAGAAGAGCAGATGTTAAACACCCTTTTTGTGGAATTTGCAGCTGGAGATTTCAAGCGCTTTGAGGCCTACGGTAGAAAAGGAAACATCTTCTTATAAAATCTAGACAGAATCATTCACAGAAACTTCTTTTTGATGTGTGTGTTCAGCTCACAGAGTTTAAACTTTCTTTTGATGGCGCAGTTTGGAAACACTCTGTAATGTCTGCAAGTGGATATTTGGACCTCTTTGAGGCCTTCGTTGGAAACGGGATTTCTTCATGTAATGTTCGACACAAGAATTCTCAGTAACTTATTTGTGGTGTGTGTATTCAACTCATAGAGTTGAACCTTCCTTTAGACAGAGCAGATTTGAAACACCCTATTTGTGCAGTTTCCAGTTGGAGATTTCAATCGCTTTGAGACCAAATGTAGAAAAGGAAACATCTTCGTATAAAAACTAGACAGAATCATTCTCAGAAACTACTTTGTGATGTGTGCGTTCAACTCAAGGAGTTTAAGCTTTCTTTTCATAGAGTAGTTTGGAAACACTCTGTCTGTAAAGTCTGCAAGCAGATATTTGACCTCTTTGCGGCCTTCGTTGGAAACGGGATTTCTTCATAGAACGCTAGAAAGAAGAATACTGAGTAAGTTCTTTGTGTTGCCTCTATTCAACTCACAGAGGTGAACTGTCCTTTAGACAGAGCAGATGTGAAACCCTCTTTTTGTGATATTTGCAGGTGGAGATTTCAAGCGCTTTTAGGCCAAATGTATAAAAGGAAATATCTTCGTATAAAAACTAGACAGAATCATTCTCAGAAACTACTTTGTGATGTGTGCGTTCAATTCACAGAGTATAACCTTTCTTTTGATGGAGGAGTTTGGAGACACTGTCTTTGTAAAGTCTGCAAGTGGATATTTGGACCTCTTTGAGGCCTTCGTTGGAAACGGGATTTCCTCATATAATGTTACACAGAAGAATTCTCAGTAACTTATTTGTGGTGTGTGTATTCAACTCACAGAGTTGAACCTTCCTTCAGAAAGAGCAGATTTGAAACACTCTTTTTGTGGAGTTTCCATGTGGAGATTTCAATCGCTTTGAGACCAAAGGTAGAAAAGGAAACATCTTCGTATAAAAACTAGACAGAATCATTCACAGAAACTACTTTGTGATGTGTGTGTTCAACTCAAGGAGTTTCACCTTTCTTTTGATGGAGCAGTTTGGAAACACTCTGTCTGTAAAGTCTGCAAGCAGACATTTGGACCTCTTTGAGGCCTTCGTTGGAAACGGGATTTCTTCATATAATGTTTGATAGGAGAAGTCTCAGTAACTTCTTTGTGCTGTGTGTATTCAACTCATAGAGTTGAACTTTCCTTTAGAAGAGCAGATGTTAAACACCCTTTTTGTGGAATTTGCAGCTGGAGATTTCAAGCGCTTTGAGGCCTACGGTAGAAAAGGAAACATCTTCTTATAAAATCTAGACAGAATCATTCACAGAAACTTGTTTTTGATGTGTGTGTTCAGCTCACAGAGTTTAACCTTTCTTTTGATGGAGCAGTTTGGAAACACTCTGTTTGTAATGTCTGCAAGTGGATATTTGGACCTCTTTGAGGCCTTCGTTGGAAACGGGATTTCTTCAAGTAATGTTCGACAGAAGAATTCTCAGTAACTTATTTGTGGTGTGTGTATTCAACTCACAGAGTTGAACCTTCCTTTAGACAGAGCAGATTTGAAACACCCTATTTGTGCAGTTTCCAGTTGGAGATTTCAATCCCTTTGAGACCAAATGTAGAAAAGGAAACATCTTCGTATAAAAACTAGACAGAATCATTCTCAGAAACTACTTTGTGATGTGTGCGTTCAACTCAAGGAGTTTAAGCTTTCTTTTCATAGAGTAGTTTGGAAACACTCTGTCTGTAAAGTCTGCAAGCAGATATTTGGACCTCTTTGAGGCCTTCGTTGGAAACGGGATTTCTTCATAGAACGGTAGAAAGAAGAATACTGAGTAAGTTCTTTGTGTTGCCTCTATTCAACTCACAGAGGTGAACTGTCCTTTAGAAAGAGCAGATGTGAAACCCTCTTTTTGTGATATTTGCAGGTGGAGATTTCAAGCGCTTTTAGGCCAAATGTAGAAAAAAAAATATCTTCGTATAAAAACTAGACAGAATCATTCTCAGAAACTACTTTGTGATGTGTGCGTTCAATTCACAGAGTATAACCTTTCTTTTGATGGAGGAGTTTGGAGACACTGTCTTTGTAAAGTCTGCAAGCAGATATTTGGACCTCTTTGAGGCCTTCGTTGGAAACGGGATTTGCTTCATATGATGTTTGATAGGAGAATTCTCAGTAACTTATTTGTGGTGTGTGTATTCAACTCACAGAGTTGAACCTTCCTTCAGAAAGAGCAGATTTGAAACACTCTTTTTGTGGAGTTTCCATGTGGAGATTTCAATCGCTTTGAGACCAAAGGTAGAAAAGGAAACATCTTCGTATAAAAACTAGACAGAATCATTCACAGAAACTACTTTGTGATGTGTGTGTTCACCTCAAGGAGTTTAACCTTTCTTTTGATGGAGCAGTTTGGAAACACTCTGTCTGTAAAGTCTGCAAGCAGATATTTGGACCTCTTTGAGGCCTTCGTTGGAAACGGGATTTCTTCATATAATGTTTGATAGGAGAAGTCTCAGTAACTTCTTTGTGCTGTGTGTATTCAACTCATAGAGTTGAACTTTCCTTTAGAAGAGCAGATGTTAAACACCCTTTTTGTGGAATTTGCAGCTGGAGATTTCAAGCGCTTTGAGGCCTATGGTAGAAAAGGAAACATCTTCTTATAAAATCTAGACAGAATCATTCACAGAAACTTCTTTTTGATGTGTGTGTTCAGCTCACAGAGTTTAACCTTTCTTTTGATGGAGCAGTTTGGAAACACTCTGTTTGTAATGCCTGCAAGTGGATATTTGGACCTCTTTGAGGCCTTCGTTGGAAACGGGAATTCTTCATGTAATGTTCGACAGAAGAATTCTCAGTAAGTTATTTGTGGTGTGTGTATTCAACTCACAGAGTTGAACCTTCCTTTAGACAGAGCAGATTTGAAACACCCTATTTGTGCAGTTTCCAGTTGGAGATTTCAATCGCTTTGAGGCCAATCATAGAAACGGAAATAACCTTGTATAAAAACAAGACAGAATCATTCTCAGAAACAACTTTGTGATGTGTGCGTTCAACTCAAGGAGTTTAAGCTTTCTTTTCATAGAGTAGTTTGGAAACACTCTGTCTGTAAAGTCGGCAAGCAGATATTTGGACCTCTTTGAGGCCTTCGTTGGAAACGGGATTTCTTCATATAACGCTAGAAAGAAGAATACTGAGTAAGTTCTTTGTGTTGCCTCTATTCAACTCACAGAGGTGAACTGTCCTTTAGACAGAGCAGATGTGAAACCCTCTTTTTGTGATATTTGCAGGTGGAGATTTCAAGCGCTTTTAGGCCAAATGTAGAAAAGGAAATATCTTCGTATAAAAACTAGACAGAATCATTCTCAGAAACTACTTTGTGATGTGTGCGTTCAATTCACAGAGTATAACCTTTCTTTTGATGGAGGAGTTTGGAGACACTGTCTTTGTAAAGTCTACAAGTGCATATTTCGACCTCTTTGAGGCCTTCGTTGGAAACGGGATTTCCTCATATAATGTTACACAGAAAGAATTCTCAGTAACTTATTTGTGGTGTGTGTATTCAACTCACAGAGATGAACCTTCCTTCAGAAAGAGCAGATTTGAAACACTCTTTTTGTGGAGTTTCCATGTGGAGATTTCAATCGCTTTGAGACCAAAGGTAGAAAAGGAAACATCTTCGTATAACAACTAGACAGAATCATTCACAGAAACTACTTTGTGATGTGTGTGTTCAACTCAAGGAGTTTAACCTTTCTTTTGATGGAGCAGTTTGGAAACACTCTGTCTGTAAAGTCTGCAAGCAGATATTTGGACCTCTTTGAGGCCTTCGTTGGAAACGGGATTTCTTCATATAATGTTTGATAGGAGAAGTCTCAGTAACTTCTTTGTGCTGTGTGTATTCAACGCATAGAGTTGAACTTTCCTTTAGAAGAGCAGATGTTAAACACCCTTTTTGTGGAATTTGCAGCTGGAGATTTCAAGCGCTTTGAGGCCTACGGTAGAAAAGGAAACATCTTCTTATAAAATCTAGACAGAATCATTCACAGAAACTTCTTTTTGATGTGTGTGTTCAGCTCACAGAGTTTAACCTTTCTTTTGATGGAGCAGTTTGGAAACACTCTGTTTGTAATGTCTGCAAGTGGATATTTGGACCTCTTTGAGGCCTTCGTTGGAAACGGGATTTCTTCATGTAATGTTCGACAGAAGAATTCTCAGTAACTTATTTGTGGTGTGTGTATTCAACTCACAGAGTTGAACCTTCCTTTAGACAGAGCAGATTTGAAACACCCTATTTGTGCAGTTTCCAGTTGGAGATTTCAATCGCTTTGAGACCAAATGTAGAAAAGGAAACATCTTCTTATAAAAACTAGACAGAATCATTCTCAGAAACTACTTTGTGATGTGTGCGTTCAACTCAAGGAGTTTAAGCTTTCTTTTCATAGAGTAGTTTGGAAACACTCTGTCTGTAAAGTCTGCAAGCAGATATTTGGACCTCTTTGAGGCCTTCGTTGGAAACGGGATTTCTTCATAGAACGCTAGAAAGAAGAATACTGAGTAAGTTCTTTGTGTTGCCTCTACTCAACTCACAGAGGTGAACTGTCCTTTAGACAGAGCAGATGTGAAACCCTCTTTTTGTGATATTTGCAGGTGGAGATTTCAAGCGCTTTTAGGCCAAATGTAGAAAAGGAAATATCTTCGTATAAAAACTAGACAGAATCATTCTCAGAAACTACTTTGTGATGTGTGCGTTCAATTCACAGAGTATAACCTTTCTTTTGATGGAGGAGTTTGGAGACACTGTCTTTGTAAAGTCTGCAAGTGGATATTTGGACCTCTTTGAGGCCTTCGTTGGAAACGGGATTTCCTCATATAATGTTACCCAGAAGAATTCTCAGTAACATATTTGTGGTGTGTGTATTCAACTCACAGAGTTGAACCTTCCTTCAGAAATAGCAGATTTGAAACGCTCTTTTTGTGGAGTTTCCATGTGGAGATTTCAATCGCTTTGAGACCAAAGGTAGAAAAGGAAACATCTTCGTATAAAAACTAGACAAAATCATTCACAGACACTACTTTGTGATGTGTGTGTTCAACTCACAGAGTTTAACCTTTCTTTGGATGGAGCAGTTTGGAAACACTCTGTTTGTCACGTCTGCAAGTGGATATTTGGACCTCTTTGAGGCCTTCGTTGGAAACGGGATTTCCTCCTATAATGTTACACAGAAGAATTCTCAGTAACTTATTTGTGGTGTGTGTATTCAACTCACAGAGTTGAACCTTCCTTCAGAAAGAGCAGATTTGAAACACTCTTTTTGTGGAGTTTCCATGTGGAGATTTCAATCGCTTTGAGACCAAAGGTAGAAAAGGAAACATCTTCGTATAAAAACTAGACAGAATCATTCACAGAAACTACTTTGTGATGTGTGTGTTCAACTCAAGGAGTTTAACCTTTCTTTTGATGGAGCAGTTTGGAAACACTCTGTCTGTAAAGTCTGCAAGCAGATATTTGGACCTCTTTGAGGCCTTCGTTGGAAACGGGATTTCTTCATATAATGTTTGATAGGAGAAGTCTCAGTAACTTCTTTGTGCTGTGTGTATTCAACTCATAGAGTTGAACTTTCCTTTAGAAGAGCACATGTTAAACACCCTTTTTGTGGAATTTGCAACCAGAGATTTCAAGCGCTTTGAGGCCTACGGTAGAAAAGGAAACATCTTCTTATAAAATCTAGACAGAATCATTCACAGAAACTTCTTTTTGATGTGTGTGTTCAGCTCACAGAGTTTAACCTTTCTTTTGATGGAGCAGTTTGGAAACACTCTGTTTGTAATGTCTGCAAGTGGATATTTGGACCTCTTTGAGGCCTTCGTTGGAAACGGGATTTCTTCAAGTAATGTTCGACAGAAGAATTCTCAGTAACTTATTTGTGGTGTGTGTATTCAACTCACAGAGTTGAACCTTCCTTTAGACAGAGCAGATTTGAAACACCCTATTTGTGCAGTTTCCAGTTGGAGATTTCAATCGCTTTGAGACGAAATGTAGAAAAGGAAACATCTTCGTATAAAAACTAGACAGAATCATTCTCAGAAACTACTTTGTGATGTGTGCGTTCAAGTCAAGGAGTTTAAGCTTTCTTTTCATAGAGTAGTTTGGAAACACTCTGTCTGTAAAGTCTGCAAGCAGATATTTGGACCTCTTTGAGGCCTTCGTTGGAAACGGGAGTTCTTCATATAACGCTAGAAAGAAGAATACTGAGTAAGTTCTTTGTGTTGCCTCTATTCAACTCACAGAGGTGAACTGTCCTTTAGACAGAGCAGATGTGAAACCCTCTTTTTGTGATATTTGCAGGTGGAGATTTCAAGCGCTTTGAGGCCAAATGTAGAAAAGGAAATATCTTCGTATAAAAACTAGACAGAATCATTCTCAGAAACTACTTTGTGATGTGTGCGTTCAATTCACAGAGTATAACCTTTCTTTTCATGGAGGAGTTTGGAGACACTGTCTTTGTAAAGTCTGCAAGTGGATATTTGGACCTCTTTGTGGCCTTCGTTGGAAACGGGATTTCCTCATATAATGTTACACAGAAGAATTCTCAGTAACTTATTTGTGGTGTTTGTATTCAACTCACAGAGTTGAACCTTCCTTCAAAAAGAGCAGATTTGAAACACTCTTTTTGTGGAGTTTCCATGTGGAGATTTCAATCGCTTTGAGACCAAAGGTAGAAAAGGAAACATCTTCGTATAAAAACTAGACAGAATCATTCACAGAAACTACTTTGTGATGTGTGTGTTCAACTCAAGGAGTTTAACCTTTCTTTTGATGGAGCAGTTTGGAAACACTCTGTCTGTAAAGTCTGCAAGCAGATATTTGGACCTCTTTGAGGCCTTCGTTGGAAACGGGATTTCTTCATATAATGTTTGATAGGAGAAGTCTCAGTAACTTCTTTGTGCTGTGTGTATTCAACGCATAGAGTTGAACTTTCCTTTAGAAGAGCAGATGTTAAACACCCTTTTTGTGGAATTTGCAGCTGGAGATTTCAAGTGCTTTGAGGCCTACGGTAGAAAAGGAAACATCTTCTTATAAAATCTAGACAGAATCATTCACAGAAACTTCTTTTTGATGTGTGTGTTCAGCTCACAGAGTTTAACCTTTCTTTTGATGGAGCAGTTTGGAAACACTCTGTTTGTAATGTCTGCAAGTGGATATTTGGACCTCCTTTGAGGCCTTCGTTGGAAACGGGATTTCTTCAAGTAATGTTCGACAGAAGATTTCTCAGTAACTTATTTGTGTTGTGTGTATTCAACTCACAGAGTTGAACCTTCCTTTAGACAGAGCAGATTTGAAACACCCTATTTGTGCAATTTCCAGTTGGAGATTTCAATCGCTTTGAGACCAAAGGTAGAAAAGGAAACATCTTCGTATAAAAACTAGACAGAATCATTCACAGAAACTACTTTGTGATGTGTGTGTTCAACTCAAGGAGTTTAACCTTTCTTTTGATGGAGCAGTTTGGAAACACTCTGTCTGTAAAGTCTGCAAGCAGATATTTGGACCTCTGTGAGGCCTTCGTTGGAAACGGGATTTCTTCAAGTAGTGTTCGACAGAAGAAGTCTCAGTAACTTCTTTGTGCTGTGTGTATTCAACTCATAGAGTTGAACTTTCCTTTAGAAGAGCAGATGTTAAACACCCTTTTTGTGGAATTTGCAGCTGGAGATTTCAAGCGTTTTGAGGCCTACGGTAGAAAATGAAACATCTTCTTATAAAATCTAGACAGAAATCATTCACAGAAACTTCTTTTCGATGTGTGTGTTCAGCTCACAGAGTTTAACCTTTGTTTTGATGGAGCAGTTTGGAAACACTCTGTTTGTAATGTCTGCAAGTGGATATTTGGACCTCTTTGAGGCCTTCGTTGGAAACGGGATTTCTTCAAGTAATGTTCGACAGAAGAATTCTCAGTAACTTATTTGTGGTGTGTGTATTCAACTCACAGAGTTGAACCTTCCTTTAGACAGAGCAGATTTGAAACACCCTATTTGTGCAGTTTCCAGTTGGAGATTTCAATCGCTTTGAGACCAAATGTAGAAAAGGAAACATCTTCGTACAAAAACTAGACAGCATCATTCTCAGAAACTACTTTGTGATGTGTGCGTTCAACTCAAGGAGTTTAAGCTTTCTTTTCATAGAGTAGTTTGGAAACACTCTGTCTGTAAAGTCTGCACGCAGATATTTGGACCTCTTTGGGGCCTTCGTTGGAAACGGGATTTCTTCATAGAACGCTAGAAAGAAGAATACTGAGTAAGTTCTTTGTGTTGCCTCTACTCAACTCACAGAGGTGAACTGTCCTTTAGACAGAGCAGATGTGAAACCCTCTTTTTGTGATATTTGCAGGTGGAGATTTCAAGCGCTTTTGGGCCAAATGTAGAAAAGGAAATATCTTCGTATAAAAACTAGACAGAATCATTCTCAGAAACTACTTTGTGATGTGTGCGTTCAATTCACAGAGTATAACCTTTCTTTTGATGGAGGAGTTTGGAGACACTGTCTTTGTAAAGTCTGCAAGTGGATATTTGGACCTTTTTGAGGCCTTCGTTGGAAACGGGATTTCCTCATATAATGTTACACAGAAGAATTCTCAGTAACTTATTTGTGGTGTGTGTATTCAACTCACAGAGTTGAACCTTCCTTCAGAAAGAGCAGATTTGAAACACTCTTTTTGTGGAGTTTCCATGTGGAGATTTCAATCGCTTTGAGACCAAAGGTAGAAAAGGAAACGTCTTCGTATAAAAACTAGACAGAATCATTCACAGAAACTACTTTGTGATGTGTTTGTTCAACTTAAGGAGTTTAACCTTTCTTTTGATGGAGCAGTTTGGAAACACTCTGTCTGTAAAGTCTGCAAGCAGATATTTGGACCTCTTTGAGGCCTTCGTTGGAAACGGGATTTCTTCATATAATGTTTGATAGGAGAAGTCTCAGTAACTTCTTTGTGCTGTGTGTATTCAACTCATAGAGTTGAACTTTCCTTTAGAAGAGCAGATGTTAAACACCCTTTTTGTGTAATTTGCAGCTGGATATTTCAAGCGCTTTGAGGCCTACGGTAGAAAAGGAAACATGTTCTTATAAAATCTAGACAGAATCATTCACAGAAACTTCTTTTTGATGTGTGTGTTCAGCTCACAGAGTTTAACCTTTCTTTTGATGGAGCAGTTTGGAAACACTCTGTTTGTAATGTCTGCAAGTGGATATTTGGACCTCTTTGAGGCCTTCGTTGGAAACGGGATTTCTTCATGTAATGTTCGACAGAAGAATTCTCAGTAACTTATTTGTGGTGTGTGTATTCAACTCACAGAGTTGAACCTTCCTTTAGACAGAGCAGATTTGAAACACCCTATTTGTGCAGTTTCCAGTTGGAGATTTCAATCGCTTTGAGACCAAATGTAGAAAAGGAAACATCTTCGTATAAAAACTAGACAGAATCATTCTCAGTAAACTGCTTTGTGATGTGTGCGTTCAACTCAAGGAGTTTAAGCTTTCTTTTGATGGAGCAGTTTGGAAACACTTTGTCTGTAAAGTCTGCAAGCAGATATTTGGACCTCTTTGAGGCATTCGTTGGAAACGGGATTTCTTCATAGAACGCTAGAAAGAAGAATACTGAGTAAGTTCTTTGTGTTGCCTCTTTTCAACTCACAGAGGTGAACTGTCCTTTAGACAGAGCAGATGTGAAACCCTCTTTTTGTGATATTTGCAGGTGGAGATTTCAAGCACTTTTAGGCCAAATGTAGAAAAGGAAATATCTTCGTATAAAAACTAGACAGAATCATTCTCAGAAACTACTTTGTGATGTGTGCGTTCAATTCACAGAGTATAACCTTTCTTTTGATGGAGGAGTTTGGAGACACTGTCTTTGTAAAGTCTGCAAGTGGATATTTGGACCTCTTTGAGGCCTTCGTTGGAAACGGGATTTCTTCCTGTAATGTTCGACAGAAGAATTCTCAGTAACTTATTTGTGGTGTGTGTATTCAACTCACAGAGTTGAACCTTCCTTCCGAAAGAGCAGATTTGAAACACTCTTTTTGTGGAGTTTCCATGTGGAGATTTCAATGGCTTTGAGACCAAAGGTAGAAAAGGAAACATCTTCGTATAAAAACTAGACAGAAATCATTCACAGGAAACTACTTTGTGATGTGTGTGTTCAACTCACAGAGTTTAACCTTTCTTTTGATGGAACAGTTTGGAAACACTCTGTTTGTCACGTCTGCAAGTGGATATTTGGACCTCTTTGAGGCCTTCGTTGGAAACGGGATTTCTTCCTATAATGTTTGATAGGAGAAGTCTCAGTAACTTCTTTGTGCTGTGTGTATTCAACTCATAGAGTTGAACTTTCCTTTAGAAGAGCAGATGTTAAACACCCTTTTTGTGGAATTTGCAGCTGGAGATTTCAAGCGCTTTGAGGCCTACGGTAGAAAAGGAAACATCTTCTTATAAAATCTAGACAGAATCATTCACAGAAACTTCTTTTTGATGTGTGTGTTCAGCTCACAGAGTTTAACCTTTCTTTTGATGGAGCAGTTTGGAAACACTCTGTTTGTAATGTCTGCAAGTGGATATTTGGACCTCTTTGAGGCCTTCTTTGGAAACGGGATTTCTTCAAGTAATGTTCGACAGAAGAATTCTCAGTAACTTATTTGTGGTGTGTGTATTCAACTCACAGAGTTGAACCTTCCTTTAGACAGAGCAGATTTGAAACACCCTATTTGTGCAGTTTCCAGTTGGAGATTTCAATCGCTTTGAGACCAAATGTAGAAAAGGAAACATCTTCGTATAAAAACTAGACAGAATCATTCTCAGAAACTACTTTGTGATGTGTGCGTTCAACTCAAGGAGTTTAAGCTTTCTTTTCATAGAGTAGTTTGGAAACACTCTGTCTGTAAAGTCTGCAAGCAGATATTTGGACCTCTTTGGGGCCTTCGTTGGAAACGGGATTTCTTCATAGAACGCTAGAAAGAAGAATACTGAGTAAGTTCTTTGTGTTGCCTCTATTCAACTCACAAAAGTGAACTGTCCTTTAGACAGAGCAGATGTGAAACCCTCTTTTTGTGATATTTGCAGGTGGAGATTTCAAGCGCTTTGAGGCCAAATGTAGAAAAGGAAATATCTTCGTATAAAAACTAGACAGAATCATTCTCAGAAACTACTTTGTGATGTGTGCGTTCAATTCACAGAGTATAACCTTTCTTTTGATGGAGGAGTTTGGAGACACTGTCTTTGTAAAGTCTGCAAGTGGATATTTGGACCTCTTTGAGGCCTTTGTTGGAAACGGGATTTCCTCATATAATGTTACACAGGGAGAATTCTCAGTAACTTATTTGTGGTGTGTGTATTCAACTCACAGAGATGAACCTTCCTTCAGAAAGAGCAGATTTGAAACACTCTTTTTGTGGAGTTTCCATGTGGAGATTTCAATCGCTTTGAGACCAAAGGTAGAAAAGGAAACATCTTCGTATAAAAACTAGACAGAATCATTCACAGAAACTACTTTGTGATGTGTGTGTTCAACTCAAGGAGTTTAACCCTTCTTTTGATGGAGCAGTTTGGAAAAACTCTGTCTGTAAAGTCTGCAAGCAGATATTTGGACCTCTTTGAGGCCTTCTTCGGAAACGGGATTTCTTCATATAATGTTTGATAGGAGAAGTCTCAGTAACTTCTTTGTGCTGTGTGTATTCAACTCATAGAGTTGAACTTTCCTTTAGAAGAGCAGATGTTAAACACCCTTTTTGTGGAATTTGCAGCTGGAGATTTCAAGCGCTTTGAGGCCTACGGTAGAAAAGGAAACATCTTCTTATAAAATCTAGACAGAATCATTCACAGAAACTTCTTTTTGATGTGTGTGTTCAGCTCACAGAGTTTAACCTTTCTTTTGATGGAGCAGTTTGGAAACACTCTGTTTGTAATGTCTGCAAGTGGATATTTGGACCTCTTTGAGGCCTTCGTTGGAAACGGGATTTCTTCAAGTAATGTTCGACAGAAGAATTCTCAGTAACTTATTTGTGGTGTGTGTATTCAACTCAAAGAGTTGAACCTTCCTTTAGACAGAGCAGATTTGAAACACCCTATTTGTGCAGTTTCCAGTTGGAGATTTCAATCGCTTTGAGACCAAATGTAGAAAAGGAAACATCTTCGTATAAAAACTAGACAGAATCATTCTCAGAAACTACTTTGTGATGTGTGCGTTCAACTCAAGGAGTTTAAGCTTTCTTTTCATAGAGTAGTTTGGAAACACTCTGTCTGTAAAGTCTGCAAGCAGATATTTGACCTCTTTGAGGCCTTCGTTGGAAACGGGATTTCTTCATAGAACGCTAGAAAGAAGAATACTGAGTAAGTTCTTTGTGTTGCCTCTACTCAACTCACAGAGGTAAACTGTCCTTTAGACAGAGCAGATGTGAAACCCTCTTTTTGTGATATTTGCAGGTGGAGATTTCAAGCGCTTTTAGGCCAAATGTAGAAAAGGAAATATCTTCGTATAAAAACTAGACAGAATCATTCTCAGAAACTACTTTGTGATGTGTGCGTTCAATTCAGAGTATAACCTTTCTGTTGATGGAGGAGTTTGGAGACACTGTCTTTGTAAAGTCTGCAAGTGGATATTTGGATCTATTTGAGGCCTTCGTTGGAAACGGGATTTCCTCATATAATGTTACACAGAAGAATTCTCACTAACTTATTTGTGGTGTGTGTACTCAACTCACAGAGATGAACCTTCCTTCAGAAAGAGCAGATTTGAAACACTCTTTTTGTGGAGTTTCCATGTGGAGATTTCAATCGCTTTGAGACCAAAGGTAGAAAAGGAAACATCTTCGTATAACAACTAGACAGAATCACTCACAGAAACTACTTTGTGATGTGTGTGTTCAACTCAAGGAGGTTAACCTTTCTTTTGATGGAGCAGTTTGGAAACACTCTGTCTGTAAAGTTTGTGAGCAGATATTTGGACTTCTTTGAGGCCTTCGTTGGAAGCGGGATTTCTTCATATAATGTTTGATAGGAGAAGTCTCAGTAACTTCTTTGTGCTGTGTGTATTCAACTCATAGAGTTGAACATTCCTTTAGAAGAGCAGATGTTAAACACCCTTTTTGTGGAATTTGCAGCTGGAGATTTCAAGCGCTTTGAGGCCTACGGTAGAAAAGGAAACATCTTCTTATAAAATCTAGACAGAATCATTCACAGAAACTTCTTTTTGATGTGTGTGTTCAGCTCACAGAGTTTAACCTTTCTTTTGATGGAGCAGTTTG
The DNA here is from genome assembly GCF_000001405.40 of Homo sapiens. Classification (NCBI taxonomy): domain Eukaryota; kingdom Metazoa; phylum Chordata; class Mammalia; order Primates; family Hominidae; genus Homo; species Homo sapiens. Next base: position 36,528,547 of record NC_000012.12, read on the forward strand.
GAAACACTCTGTTTGTAATGTCTGCAAGTGGATATTTGGACCTCTTTGAGGCCTTCGTTGGAAACGGGATTTCTTCATGTAATGTTCGACAGAAGAATTCTCAGTAACTTATTTGTGGTGTGTGTATTCAACTCACAGAGTTGAACCTTCCTTTAGACAGAGCAGATTTGAAACACCCTATTTGTGCAGTTTCCAGTTGGAGATTTCAATCGCTTTGAGACCAAATGTAGAAAAGGAAACATCTTCGTATAAAAACTAGACAGAATCATTCTCAGAAACTACTTTGTGATGTGTGCGTTCAACTCAAGGAGTTTAAGCTTTCTTTTCATAGAGTAGTTTGGAAACACTCTGTCTGTAAAGTCTGCAAGCAGATATTTGGACCTCTTTTGGGGGCCTTCGTTGGAAACGGGATTTCTTCATAGTAACTGCTAGAAAGAAGAATACTGAGTAAGTTCTTTGTGTTGCCTCTATTCAACTCACAGAGGTGAACTGTCCTTTAGACAGAGCAGATGTGAAACCCTCTTTTTGTGATATTTGCAGGTGGAGATTTCAAGCGCTTTTAGGCCAAATGTAGAAAAGGAAATATCTTCGTATAAAAACTAGACAGAATCATTCTCAGAAACTACTTTGTGAAGTGTGCGTTCAATTCACAGAGTATAACCTTTCTTTTGATGGAGGAGTTTGGAGACACTGTCTTTGTAAAGTCTGCAAGTGGATATTTGGACCTCTTTGAGGCCTTCGTTGGAAACGGGATTTCCTCATATAATTTTACACAGAAGAATTCTCAGTAACTTATTTGTGGTGTGTGTATTCAACTCACAGAGTTGAACCTTCCTTCAGAAAGAGCAGATTTGAAACACTCTTTTTGTGGAGTTTCCATGTGGAGATTTCAATCGCTTTGAGACCAAAGGTAGAAAAGGAAACATCTTCGTATAAAAACTAGACAGAATCATTCACAGAAACTACTTTGTGATGTGTGTGTTCAACTCAAGGAGTTTAACCTTTCTTTTGATGGAGCAGTTTGGAAACACTCTGTCTGTAAAGTCTGCAAGCAGATATTTGGACCTCTTTGAGGCCTTCGTTGGAAACGGGATTTCTTCATATAATGTTTGATAGGAGAAGTCTCAGTAACTTCTTTGTGCTATGTGTATTCAACTCATAGAGTTGAACTTTCCTTTAGAAGAGCAGATGTTAAACACCCTTTTTGTGGAATTTGCAGCTGGAGATTTCAAGCACTTTGAGGCCTACGGTAGAAAAGGAAACATCTTCTTATAAAATCTAGACAGAATCATTCACAGAAACTTCTTTTTCATGTGTGTGTTCAGCTCACAGAGTTTAACCTTTCTTTTGATGGAGCAGTTTGGAAACACACTGTTTCTAATGTCTGCAAGTGGATATTTGGACCTCTTTGAGGCCTTCGTTGGAAACGGGATTTCTTCCTGTAATGTTCGACAGAAGAATTCTCAGTAACTTATTTGTGGTGTGTGTATTCAACTCGCAGAGTTGAACCTTCCTTTAGACAGAGCAGATTTGAAACAGCCTATTTGTGCAGTTTCCAGTTGGAGATTTCAAGAGCTTTGAGACCAAATGTAGAAAAGGAAACATCTTCGTATAAAAACTAGACAGAATCATTCTCAGAAACTACTGTGTGATGTGTGCGTTCAACTCACGGAGTTTAAGCTTTCTTTTCATAGAGTAGTTTGGAAACACTCTGTCTGTAAAGTCTGCAAGCAGATATTTGGACCTGTTTGAGGCCTTCGTTGGAAATGGGATTTCTTCATATAACGCTAGAAATAAGAATACTCAGTAACTTCTTTGTGTTGCCTCTATTCAACTCACAGAGGTGAACTGTCCTTTAGACAGAGCAGATGTGAAACCCTCTTTTTGTGATATTTGCAGGTGGAGATTTCAAGCGCTTTTAGGCCAAATGTGGAAAAGGACATATCTTCGTAGAAAAACTAGACAGAATCATTCTCAGAAACTACTTTGTGATGTGTGCGTTCAATTCACAGAGTATAACCTTTCTTTTGATGGAGGAGTTTGGAGACACTGTCTTTGTAAAGTCTGCAAGTGGATATTTGGACCTCTTTGAGGCCTTCGTTGGAAACGGGATTTCCTCATATAATGTTACACAGAAGAATTCTCAGTAACTTATTTGTGGTGTGTGTATTCAACTCACAGAGATGAACCTTCCTTCAGAAAGAGCAGATTTGAAACACTCTTTTTGTGGAGTTTCCATGTGGAGATTTCAATCGCTTTGAGACCAAAGGTAGAAAAGGAAACATCTTCGTATAACAACTAGACAGAATCATTCACAGAAACTATTTTGTGATGTGTGTGTTCAACTCAAGGAGTTTAACCTTTCTTTTGATGGAGCAGTTTGGAAACACTCTGTCTGTAAAGTCTGCAAGCAGATATTTGGACCTCTTTGAGGCCTTCGTTGGAAACGGGATTTCTTCATATAATGTTTGATAGGAGAAGTCTCAGTAACTTCTTTGTGCGGTGTGTATTCAACGCATAGAGTTGGACTTTCCTTTAGAAGAGCAGATGTTAAACACCCTTTTTGTGGAATTTGCAGCTGGAGATTTCAAGCGCTTTGAGGCCTACGGTAGAAAAGGAAACATCTTCTTATAAAATCTAGACAGAATCATTAACAGAAACTTCTTTTTCATGTGTGTGTTCAGCTCACAGAGTTTAACCTTTCTTTTGATGGAGCAGTTTGGAAACACTCTGTTTGTAATGTCTGCAAGTGGATATTTGGACCTCTTTGAGGCCTTCTTTGGAAACGGGATTTCTTCAAGTAATGTTCGACAGAAGAATTCTCAGTAACTTATTTGTGGTGTGTGTATTCAACTCACAGAGTTGAACCTTCCTTTAGACAGAGCAGATTTGAAACAGCCTATTTGTGCAGTTTCCAGTTGGAGATTTCAAGAGCTTTGAGACCAAATGTAGAAAAGGAAACATCTTCGTATAAAAACTAGACAGAATCATTCTCAGAAACTACTTTGTGATGTGTGCGTTCAACTCAAGGAGTTTAAGCTTTCTTTTCATAGAGTAGTTTGGAAACACTCTGTCTGTAAAGTCTGCAAGCAGATATTTGACCTCTTTGAGGCCTTCGTTGGAAACGGGATTTCTTCATAGAACGCTAGAAAGAAGAATACTGAGTAAGTTCTTTGTGTTGCCTCTATTCAACTCACAGAGGTGAACTGTCCTTTAGACAGAGCAGATGTGAAACCCTCTTTTTGTGATATTTGCAGGTGGAGATTTCAAGCGCTTTTAGGCCAAATGTAGAAAAGGAAATATCTTCGTATAAAAACTAGACAGAATCATTCTCAGAAACTACTTTGTGATGTGTGCGTTCAATTCACAGAGTATAACCTTTCTTTTGATGGAGGAGTTTGGAGACACTGTCTTTGTAAAGTCTGCAAGTGGATATTTGGACCTCTTTGAGGCCTTCGTTGGAAACGGGATTTCCTCATATAATGTTACACAGAAGAATTCTCAGTAACTTATTTGTGGTGTGTGTATTCAACTCACAGAGATGAACCTTCCTTCAGAAAGAGCAGATTTGAAACACTCTTTTTGTGGAGTTTCCATGTGGAGATTTCAATCGCTTTGAGACCAAAGGTAGAAAAGGAAACATCTTCGTATAAAAACTAGACAGAATCATTCTCAGAAACTACTTTGTGATGTGTGTGTTCAACTCAAGGAGGTTAACCTTTCTTTTGATGGAGCAGTTTGGAAACACTCTGTCTGTAAAGTCTGCAAGCAGATATTTGGACCTCTTTGAGGCCTTCGTTGGAAACGGGATTGCTTCATTTAATGTTTGATAGGAGAAATCTCAGTAACTTCTTTGTGCTGTGTGTATTCAACTCATAGAGTTGAAATTTCCTTTAGAAGACCAGATGTTAAACACCCTTTTTGTGGAATTTGCAGCTGGAGATTTCAAGCGCTTTGAGGCCTACGGTAGAAAAGGAAACATCTTCTTATAAAATCTAGACAGAATCATTCACAGACAACTTCTTTTTGATGAGTGTGTTCAGCTCACAGAGTTTAACCTTTCTTTTGATGGAGCAGTTTGGAAACACTCTGTTTGTAATGTCTGCAAGTGGATATTTGGACCTCTTTGAGGCCTTCGTTGGAAACGGGATTTCTTCATGTAATGTTCGACAGAAGAATTCTCAGTAACTTATTTGTGGTGTGTGTATTCAACTCACAGAGTTGAACCTTCCTTTAGACAGAGCAGATTTGAAACACCCTATTTGTGCAGTTTCCAGTTGGAGATTTCAATTGCTTTGAGGCCATAGAAAAGGAAATACATTTGTATAAAAACTTGACAGAATCATTCTCAGAAACTACTTTGTGATGTGTGCGTTCAACTCAAGGAGTTTAAGCTTTCTTTTCATAGAGTAGTTTGGAAACACTCTGTCTGTAAAGTCTGCAAGCAGACATTTGGACCTCTTTGGGGCCTTCGTTGGAAACGGGATTTCTTCATAGAACGCTAGAAAGAAGAATACTGAGTAAGTTCTTTGTGTTGCCTCTATTCAACTCACAGAGGTGAACTGTCCTTTAGACAGAGCAGATGTGAAACCCTCTTTTTGTGATATTTGCACTTGGAGATTTCAAGCGCTTTTAGGCCAAATGTAGAAAAGGAAATATCTTCGTATAAAAACTAGACAGAATCATTCTCAGAAACTACTTTGTGATGTGTGCGTTCAATTCACAGAGTATAACCTTTCTTTTGATGGAGGAGTTTGGAGACACTGTCTTTGTAAAGTCTGCAAGTGGATATTTGGACCTCTTTGAGGCCTTCGTTGGAAACGGGATTTCCTCATATAATGTTACACAGAAGAATTCTCAGTAACTTATTTGTGGTGTGTGTATTCAACTCACAGATTTGAACCTTCCTTCAGAAAGAGCAGATTTGAAACACTCTTTTTGTGGAGTTTCCATGTGGAGATTTCAATCACTTTGAGACCAAAGGTAGAAAAGGAAACATCTTCGTATAAAAACTAGACAGAATCATTCACAGAAACTACTTTGTGATGTGTGTGTTCAACTCACAGAGTTTAACCTTTCTTTTGATGCAGCAGTTTGGAAACACTCTGTTTGTCACGTCTGCAAGTGGATATTTGGACCTCTTTGAGGCCTTCGTTAGAAACGGGATTTCTTCATATAATGTTTGATAGGAGAAGTCTCAGTAACTTCTTTGTGCTGTGTGTATTCAACTCATAGAGTTGAACTTTCCTTTAGAAGAGCAGATGTTAAACACACTTTTTGTGGAATTTGCAGCTGGAGATTTCAAGCGCTTTGAGGCCTACGGTAGAAAAGGAAACATCTTCTTATAAAATCTAGACAGAATCATTCACAGAAACTTCTTTTTGATGTGTGTGTTCAGCTCACCGAGTTTAACCTTTCTTTTGATGGAGCAGTTTGGAAACACTCTGTTTGTAATGTCTGCAAGTGGATATTTGGACCTCTTTGAGGCCTTCGTTGGAAACGGGATTTCTTCATGTAATGTTTGACAGAAGAATTCTCAGTAACTTATTTGTGGTGTGTGTATTCAACTCACAGAGTTGAACCTTCCTTTAGAAAGAGCAGATTTGAAACACCCTATTTGTGCAGTTTCCAGTTGGAGATTTCAATGGCTTTGAGGCCAATCATAGAAACGGAAATATCTTCGTATAAAAACAAGACAGAATCATTCTCAGAAACTACTTTGTGATGTGTGCGTTCAACTCAAGGAGTTTAAGCTTTCTTTTCATAGAGTAGTTTGGAAACACTCTGTCTGTAAAGTCTGCAAGCAGATATTTGGACCTCTTTGAGGCCTTCGTTGGAAACGGGATTTCTTCATATAACGCTAGAAAGAAGAATACTGAGTAAGTTCTTTGTGTTGCCTCTATTCAACTCACAGAGGTGAACTGTCCTTTAGACAGAGCAGATGTGAAACCCTCTTTTTGTGATATTTGCAGGTGGAGATTTCAAGCGCTTTTAGGCCAAATGTAGAAAAGGAAATATCTTCGTATAAAAACTAGACAGAATCATTCTCAGAAACTACTTTGTGATGTGTGCGTTCAATTCACAGAGTCTAACCTTTCTTTTGATGGAGGAGTTTGGAGACACTGTCTTTGTAAAGTCTGCAAGTGGATATTTGGACCTCTTTGAGGCCTTCGTTGGAAACGGGATTTCCTCATATAATGTTACACAGAAGAATTCTCAGTAACTTATTTGTGGTGTGTGTATTCAACTCACAGAGTTGAACCTTCCTTCAGAAAGAGCAGATTTGAAACACTCTTTCTGTGGAGTTTCCATGTGGAGATTTCAATCGCTTTGAGACCAAAGGTAGAAAAGGAAACATCTTCGTATAAAAACTAGACAGAATCATTCACAGAAACTACTTTGTGATGTGTGTGTTCAACTCAAGGAGTTTAACCTTTCTTTTGATGGAGCAGTTTGGAAACACTCTGTCTGTAAAGTCTGCAAGCAGATATTTGGACCTCTTTGAGGCCTTCGTTGGAAACGGGATTTCTTCATATAATGTTTGATAGGAGAAGTCTCAGTAACTTCTTTGTGCTGTGTGTATTCAACTCATAGAGTTGAACTTTCCTTTAGAAGAGCAGATGTTAAACACCCTTTTTGTGGAATTTGCAGCTGGAGATTTCAAGCGCTTTGAGGCCTACGGTAGAAAAGGAAACATCTTCTTATAAAATCTAGACAGAATCATTCACAGAAACTTCTTTTCGATGTGTGTGTTCAGCTCACAGAGTTTAACCTTTCTTTTGATGGAGCAGTTTGGAAACACTCTGTTTGTAATGTCTGCAAGTGGATATTTGGACCTCTTTGAGGCCTTCGTTGGAAACGGGATTTCTTCAAGTAATGGTCGACAGAAGAATTCTCAGTAACTTATTTGTGGTGTGTGTATTCAACTCACAGAGTTGAACCTTCCTTTAGACAGATCAGATTTGAAACTCCCTATTTGTGCAGTTTCCAGTTGGAGATTTCAATTGCTTTGAGACCAAATGTAGAAAAGGAAATATCTTCGTATAAAAACTAGACAGAATCATTCTCAGAAACTACTTTGTGATGTGTGCGTTCAACTCAAGGAGTTTAAGCTTTCTTTTCATAGAGTAGTTTGGAAACACTCTGTCTGTAAAGTCTGCAAGCAGATATTTGGACCTCTTTGAGGCCTTCGTTGGAAACGGGATTTCTTCATATAATGTTTGATAGGAGAAGTCTCAGTAACTTCTTTGTGCTGTGTGTATTCAACTCATAGAGTTGAACTTTCCTTTAGAAGAGCAGATGTTAAACACCCTTTTTGTGGAATTTGCAGCTGGAGATTTCAAGCGCTTTGAGGCCTACGGTAGAAAAGGAAACATCTTCTTATAATATCTAGACAGAATCATTCACAGAAACTTCTTTTTGATGTGTGTGTTCAGCTCACAGAGTTTAACCTTTCTTTTGATGGAGCAGTTTGGAAACACTCTGTTTGTAATGCCTGCAAGTGGATATTTGGACCTCTTTGAGGCCTTCGTTGGAAACGGGAATTCTTCATGTAATGTTCGACAGAAGAATTCTCAGTAACTTATTTGTGGTGTGTGTATTCAACTCACAGAGTTGAACCTTCCTTTAGACAGAGCAGATTTGAAACAGCCTATTTGTGCAGTTTCCAGTTGGAGATTTCAATCGCTTTGAGACCAAATGTAGAAAAGGAAACATCTTCGTATAAAAACTAGACAGAATCATTCTCAGAAACTACTTTGTGATGTGTGCGTTCAACTCAAGGAGTTTAAGCTTTCTTTTCATAGAGTAGTTTGGAAACACTCTGTCTGTAAAGTCTGCAAGCAGATATTTGGACCTCTTTGGGGCCTTCGTTGGAAACGGGATTTCTTCATAGAACGCTAGAAAGAAGAATACTGAGTAAGTTCTTTGTGTTGCCTCTATTCAACTCACAGAGGTGAACTGTCCTTTAGACAGAGCAGATGTGAAACCCTCTTTTTGTGATATTTGCAGGTGGAGATTTCAAGCGCTTTTAGGCCAAATGTAGAAAAGGAAATATCTTCGTATAAAAACTAGACAGAATCATTCTCAGAAACTACTTTGTGATGTGTGCGTTCAATTCACAGAGTATAACCTTTCTTTTGATGGAGGAGTTTGGAGACACTGTCTTTGTAAAGTCTGCAAGTGGATATTTGGACCTCTTTGAGGCCTTCGTTGGAAACGGGATTTCCTCATATAATGTTACACAGAAGAATTCTCAGTAACTTATTTGTGGTGTGTTTATTCAACTCACAGAGGTGAACCTTCCTTCAGAAAGAGCAGATTTGAAACACTCTTTTTGTGGAGTTTCCATGTGGAGATTTCAATCGCTTTGAGACCAAAGGTAGAAAAGGAAACATCTTCGTATAAAAACTAGACAGAATCATTCACAGAAACTACTTTGTGATGTGTGTGTTCAACTCAAGGAGTTTAACCTTTCTTTTGATGGAGCAGTTTGGAAAAACTCTGTCTGTAAAGTCTGCAAGCAGATATTTGGACCTCTTTGAGGCCTTCGTTGGAAACGGGATTTCTTCATATAATGTTTGATAGGAGAAGTCTCAGTAACTTCTTTGTGCTGTGTGTATTCAACTCACAGAGCTGAACTTTACTTTAGACAGAGCAGATGTTAAACACACTTTTTGTGGAATTTGCAGCTGGAGATTTCTAGCGCTTTGAGGCCTATGGTAGAAAAGGAAACATCTTCTTATAAAATCTAGACAGAATCATTCACAGAAACTTCTTTTTGATGTGTGTGTTCAGCTCACAGAGTTTAACCTTTCTTTTGATGGAGCAGTTTGGAAACACTCTGTTTGTAATGTCTGCAAGTGGATATTTGGACCTCTTTGAGGCCTTCGTTGGAAACGGGATTTCTTCAAGTAATGTTCGACAGAAGAATTCTCAGTAACTTATTTGTGGTGTGTGTATTCAACTCACAGAGTTGAACCTTCCTTTAGACAGAGCAGATTTGAAACACCCTATTTGTGCAGTTTCCAGTTGGAGATTTCAATCGCTTTGAGACCAAATGTAGAAAAGGAAACATCTTCGTATAAAAACTAGACAGAATCATTCTCAGAAACTACTTTGTGATGTGTGCGTTCAACTCAAGGAGTTTAAGCTTTCTTTTCATAGAGTAGTTTGGAAACACTCTGTCTGTAAAGTCTGCAAGCAGATATTTGGACCTCTTTGAGGCCTTCGTTGGAAACGGGATTTCTTCATATAACGCTAGAAAGAAGAATACTGAGTAAGTTCTCTGTGTTGCCTCTATTCAACTCACAGAGGTGAACTGTCCTTTAGACAGAGCAGATGTGAAACCCTCTTTTTGTGATATTTGCAGGTGGAGATTTCAAGCGCTTTCAGGCCAAATGTAGAAAAGGAAATATCTTCGTATAAAAACTAGACAGAATCACTCTCAGAAACTACTTTGTGATGTGTGCGTTCAATTCACAGAGTATAACCTTTCTTTTGATGGAGGAGTTTGGAGACACTGTCTTTGTAAAGTCTGCAAGCAGATATTTGGACCTCTTTGAGGCCTTCGTTGGAAACGGGATTTCTTCATATAATGTTTGATAGGAGAATTCCCAGTAACTTATTTGTGGTGCGTGTATTCAACTCACAGAGTTGAACCTTCCTTCAGAAACAGCAGATTTGAAACACTCTTTTTGTGGAGTTTCCATGTGGAGATTTCAATCGCTTTGAGACCAAAGCTAGAAAAGGAAACATCTTCGTATAAAAACTAGACAGAATCATTCACAGAAACTACTTTGTGATGTGTGTGTTCAACTCAAGGAGTTTAACCTTTCTTTTGATGGAGCAGTTTGGAAACACTCTGTCTGTAAAGTCTGCAAGCAGATATTTGGACCTCTTTGAGGCCTTCGTTGGAAACGGGACTTCTTCATATAATGTTTGATAGGAGAAGTCTCAGTAACCTCTTTTTGCTGTGTGTATTCAACTCATAGAGTTGAACTTTCCTTTAGAAGAGCAGATGTTAAACACCCTTTTTGTGGAATTTGCAGCTGGAGATTTCAAGCGCTTTGAGGCCTACGGTAGAAAAGGAAACATCTTCTTATAAAATCTAGACAGAATCATTCACAGAAACTTCTTTTCGATGTGTGTGTTCAGCTCACAGAGTTTAACCTTTCTTTTGATGGAGCAGTTTGGAAACACTCTGTTTGTAATGTCTGCAAGTGGATATTTGGACCTCTTTGGGGCCTTCGTTGGAAACGGGATTTCTTCAAGTAATGTTCGACAGAAGAATTTTCAGTAACTTATTTGTGGTGTGTGTATTCAACTCACAGAGTTGAGCCTTCCTTTAGACAGAGCAGATTTGAAACACCCTATTTGTGCAGTTTCCAGTTGGAGATTTCAATCGCTTTGAGACCAAATGTAGAAAAGGAAACATCTTCGTATAAAAACTAGACAGAATCATTCTCAGAAACTACTTTGTGATGTGTGCGTTCAACTCAAGGAGTTTAAGCTTTCTTTTCATAGAGTAGTTTGGAAACACTCTGTCTGTAAAGTCTGCAAGCAGATATTTGGACCTCTTGGGGCCTTCGTTGGAAACGGGATTTCTTCATAGAACGCTAGAAAGAAGAATACTGAGTAAGTTCTTTGTATTGCCTCTATTCAACTCACAGAGGTGAACTGTCCTTTAGACAGAGCAGATGTGAAACCCTCTTTTTGTGATATTTGCAGGTGGAGATTTCAAGCGCTTTTAGGCCAAATGTAGAAAAGGAAATATCTTCGTATAAAAACTAGACAGAATCATTCTCAGAAACTACTTTGTGATGTGTGCGTTCAATTCACAGAGTATAACCTTTCTGTTGATGGAGGAGTTTGGAGACACTGTCTTTGTAAAGTCTGCAAGTGGATATTTGGACCTCTTTGAGGCCTTCGTTGGAAACGGGATTTCCTCATATAATGTTACACAGAAGAATTCTCAGTAACTTATTTGTGGTGTGTGTATTCAACTCACAGAGTTGAACCTTCCTTCAGAAAGAGCAGATTTGAAACACTCTTTTTGTGGAGTTTCCATGTGGAGATTTCAATCGCTTTGAGACCAAAGGTAGAAAAGGAAACATCTTCGTATAAAAACTAGACAGAATCATTCACAGAAACTACTTTGTGATGTGTGTGTTCAACTCAAGGAGTTTAACCTTTCTTTTGATGGAGCAGTTTGGAAAAACTCTGTCTGTAAAGTCTGCAAGCAGATATTTGGACCTCTTTGAGGCCTTCGTTGGAAACGGGATTTCTTCATAGAATGCTAGAAAGAAGAAGTCTCAGTAACTTCTTTGTGCTGTGTGTATTCAACTCATAGAGTTGAACTTTCCTTTAGAAGAGCAGATGTTAAACACCCTTTTTGTGGAATTTGTAGCTGGAGATTTCAAGCGCTTTGAGTCCTACGGTAGAAAAGGAAACATCTTCTTATAAAATCTAGACAGAATCATTCACAGAAACTTCTTTTTGATGTGTGTGTTCAGCTCACAGAGTTTAACCTTTCTTTTGATGGAGCAGTTGGGAAACACACTGTTTGTAATGTCCGCAAGTGGATATTTGGACCTCTTTGAGGCCTTCGTTGGAAACGGGATTTCTTCAAGTAATGTTCGACAGAAGAATTCTCAGTAACTTATTTGTGGTGTGTGTATTCAACTCACAGAGTTGAACCTTCCTTTAGACAGAGCAGATTTGAAACAGCCTATTTGTGCAGTTTCCAGTTGGAGATTTCAAGAGCTTTGAGACCAAATGTAGAAAAGGAAACATCTTCGTATAAAAACTAGACAGAATCATTCTCAGAAACTACTTTGTGATCTGTGCGTTCAACTCAAGGAGTTTAAGCTTTCTTTTCATAGAGTAGTTTGGAAACACTCTGTCTGTAAAGTCTGCAAGCAGATATTTGAACCTCATTGGGGCCTTCATTGGAAACGGGATTTCTTCATAGAACGCTAGAAAGAAGAATACTGAGTAAGTTCTTTGTGTTGCCTCTATTCAACTCACAGAGGTGAACTGTCCTTTAGACAGAGCAGATGTGAAACCCTCTTTTTGTGATATTTGCAGGTGGAGATTTCAAGCGCTTTTAGGCCAAATGTAGAAAAGGAAATATCTTCGTATAAAAACTAGACAGAATCATTCTCAGAAACTTCTTTGTGATGTGTGTGTTCCATTCACAGAGTATAACCTTTCTTTTGATGGAGGAGTTTGGAGACACTGTCTTTGTAAAGTCTGCAAGTGGATATTTGTATCTCTTTGAGGCCTTCGTTGGAAACGGGATTTCCTCATATAATGTTACACAGAAGAATTCTCAGTAACTTATTTGTGGTGTGTGTATTCAACTCGCAGAGTTGAACCTTTCTTCAGAAAGAGCAGATTTGAAACACTCTTTTTGTGGAGTTTCCATGTGGAGATTTCAATCGCATTGAGACCAAAGGTAGAAAAGGAAACATCTTCGTATAAAAACTAGACAGAATCATTCACAGAAACTACTTTGTGATCTGTGTGTTCAACTCAAGGAGTTTAACCTTTCTTTTGATGGAGCAGTTTGGAAACACTCTGTCTGTAAAGTCCGCAAGCAGATATTTGGACCTCTTTGAGGCCTTCGTTGGAAACGGGATTTCTTCATATAATGTTTGATAGGAGAAGTCTCAGTAACTTCTTTGTGCTGTGTGTATTCAACTCATAGAGATGAACTTTCCTTTAGAAGAGCAGATGTTAAACACCCTTTTTGTGGAATTTGCAGCTGGAGATTTCAAGCGCTTTGAGGCCTACGGTAGAAAAGGAAACATCTTCTTATAAAATCTAGACAGAATCATTCACAGAAACTTCTTTTTGATGTGTGTGTTCAGCTCACAGAGTTTAACCTTTCTTTTGATGGAGCAGTTTGGAAACACTCTGTTTGTAATGTCTGCAAGTGGATATTTGGACCTCTTTGAGGCCTTCGTTGGAAACGGGATTTCTTCATGTAATGTTCGACAGAAAAATTCTCAGTAACTTATTTGTGGTGTGTGTATTCAACTCACAGAGTTGAACCTTCCTTTAGACAGAGCAGATTTGAAACACCCTATTTGTGCAGTTTCCAGTTGGAGATTTCAATCGCTTTGAGACCAAATGTAGAAAAGGAAACATCTTCGTATAAAAACTAGACAGAATCATTCTCAGAAACTACTTTGTGATGTGTGCGTTCAACTCAAGGAGTTTAAGCTTTCTTTTCATAGAGTAGTTTGGAAACACTCTGTCTGTAAAGTGTGCAAGCAGATATTTGGACCTCTTTGAGGCCTTCGTTGGAAACGGGATTTCTTCATAGAACGCTAGAAAGAAGAATACTGAGTAAGTTCTTTGTGTTGCCTCTATTCAACTCACAGAGGTGAACTGTCCTTTAGACAGAGCAGATGTGAAACCCTCTTTTTGTGATATTTGCAGGTGGAGATTTCAAGCGCTTTTAGGCCAAATGTAGAAAAGGAAATATCTTCGTATAAAAACTAGACAGAATCATTCTCAGAAACTACTTTGTGATGTATGCGTTCAATTCACAGAGTATAACCTTTCTTTTGATGGAGGAGTTTGGAGACACTGTCTTTGTAAAGTCTGCAAGTGGATATTTGGACCTCTTTGAGGCCTTCGTTGGAAACGGGATTTCCTCATATAATGTTACACAGAAGAATTCTCAGTAACTTATTTGTGGTGTGTGTATTCAACTCACAGAGTTGAACCTTCCTTTAGAAAGAGCAGATTTGAAACACTCTTTTTGTGGAGTTTCCATGTGGAGATTTCAATCGCTTTGAGACCAAAGATAGAAAAGGAAACATCTTCGTATAAAAACTAGACAGAATCATTCACAGAAACTACTTTGTGATGTGTGTGTTCAACTCATGGAGGTTAACCTTTCTTTTTACGGAGCAGTTTGGAAACACTCTGTCTGTAAAGTCTGCAAGCAGATATTTGGACCTCTTTGAGGCCTTCGTTGGAAACGGGATTTCTTCATAGAACGCTAGAAAGAAGAATACTGAGTAAGTTCTTTGTGTTGCCTCTATTCAACTCACAGAGGTGAACTGTCCTTTAGACAGAGCAGATGTGAAACCCTCTTTGTTCGTGATATTTGCAGGTGGAGATTTCAAGCGCTTTTAGGCCAAATGTAGAAAAGGAAATATCTTCGTATAAAAATTAGACAGAATCATTCTCAGAAACTACTTTGTGATGTGTGCGTTCAATTCACAGAGTATAACCTTTCTTTTGATGGAGGAGTTTGGAGACACTGTCTTTGAAAAGTCTGCAAGTGGATATTTGGACCTCTTTGAGGCCTTCGTTGGAAACGGGATTTCCTCATATAATGTTACACAGAAGAATTCTCAGTAACTTATTTGTGGTGTGTGTATTCAACTCACAGAGTTGAACCTTCCTTCAGAAAGAGCAGATTTGAAACACTCTTTTTGTGGAGTTTCCATGTGGAGATTTCAATCGCTTGGAGACCAAAGGTAGAAAAGGAAACATCTTCGTATAAAAACTAGACAGAATCATTTACAGAAACTACTTTGTTATGTGTGTGTTCAACTCACAGAGTTTAACCTTTCTTTTGATGGAGCAGTTTGGAAACACTCTGTTTTTCACGTCTGCAAGTGGATATTTGGACCTCTTTGAGGCCTTCGTTGGAAACGGGATTTCTTCATATAATGTTAGACAGAAGAAGTCTCAGTAACTTCTTTGTGCTGTGTGTATTCAACTCACAGAGCTGAATTTTACGTTACACCGAGCAGATGTTAAACACACTTTTTGTGGAATTTGCAGCTGGAGATTTCTAGAGCTTTGAGGCCTATGGTAGAAAAGGAAACATCTTCTTATAAAATCTAGACAGAATCATTCACAGAAACTTCTTTTTGATGTGTGTGTTCATCTCACAGAGTTTAACCTTTCTTTTGACGGAGCAGTTTGCAAACACTGTGTTTGCCATGTCGGCAAGTGGATATTTGGACCTCTTTGAGGCCTTCGTTGGAAACGGGATTTCTTCATGTAATGTTCGAGAGAAGAATTCTCAGTAACTTATTTGTGGTGTGTGTATTCAACTCACAGAGTTGAACCCTCTTTTAGACAGAGCAGATTTGAAACAGCCTATTTGTGCAGTTTCCAGTTGGAGATTTCAATCGCTTTGAGACCAATTGTAGAAAGGGAAACATCTTCGTATAAAAACTAGACAGAATCATTCTCAGAAACTACTTTGTGATGTGTGCGTTCAACTCAAGGAGTTTAAGCTTTCTTTTCATAGAGTAGTTTGGAAACACTCTGTCTGTAAAGTCTGCAAGCAGATATTTGGACCTCTTTGGGGCCTTCGTTGGAAACGGGATTTCTTCATAGAACGCTAGAAAGAAGAATACTGAGTAAGTTCTTTGTGTTGCCTCTATTCAACTCACAGAGGTGAACTGTCCTTTAGACAGAGCAGATGTGAAACCCTCTTTTTGTGATATTTGCAGGTGGAGATTTCAAGCGCTTTTAGGCCAAATGTAGAAAAGGAAATATCTTCGTATAAAAACTAGACAGAATCATTCTCAGAAACTACTTTGTGATGTGTGCGTTCAATTCACAGAGTATAACCTTTCTTTTGATGGAGGAGTTTGGAGACACTGTCTTTGTAAAGTCTGCAAGTGGATATTTGGACCTCTTTGGGGCCTTCGTTGGAAACGGGATTTCCTCATATAATGTTACACAGAAGAATTCTCAGTAACTTATTTGTGGTGTGTGTATTCAACTCACAGAGTTGAACCTTCCTTCAGAAAGAGCAGATTTGAAACACTCTTTTTGTGGAGTTTCCATGTGGAGATTTCAATCGCTTTGAGACCAAAGGTAGAAAAGGAAACATCTTCGTATAAAAACTAGACAGAATCATTCACAGAAACTACTTTGTGATGTGTGTGTTCAACTCAAGGAGTTTAACCTTTCTTTTGATGGAGCAGTTTGGAAACACTCTGTCTGTAAAGTCTGCAAGCAGATATTTGGACCTCTTTGAGGCCTTCGTTGGAAACGGGATTTCTTCAAGTAATGTTCGACAGAAGAATTCTCAGTAACTTATTTGTGGTGTGTGAATTCAACTCACAGAGTTGAACCTTCCTTTAGACAGAGCAGATTTGAAACACCCTTTTTGTGGAATTTGCAGCTGGAGATTTCAAGCGCTTTGAGGCCTACGGTAGAAAAGGAAACATCTTCTTATAAAATCTAGACAGAATCATTCACAGAAACTTCTTTTTGATGTGTGTGTTCAGCTCACAGAGTTTAACCTTTCTTTTGATGGAGCAGTTTGGAAACACTCTGTTTGTAATGTCTGCAAGTGGATATTTGGACCTCTTTGAGGTCTTCGTTGGAAACGGGATTTCTTCATGTAATGTTCGACAGAAGAATTCTCAGTAACTTATTTGTGGTGTGTGTATTCAACTCACAGAGTTGAACCTTCCTTTAGACAGAGCAGATTTGAAACACCCTATTTGTGCAGTTTCCAGTTGGAGATTTCAATCGCTTTGAGACCAAATGTAGAAAAGGAAACATCTTCGTATAAAAACTGGACAGAATCATTCTCAGAAACTACTTTGTGATGTGTGCGTTCAACTCAATGAATTTAAGCTTTCTTTTCATAGAGTAGTTTGGAAACACTCTGTCTGTAAAGTCTGCAAGCAGATATTTGGACCTCTTTGGGGCCTTCGTTGGAAAAGGGATTTCTTCATAGAACGCTAGAAAGAAGAATACTGAGTAAGTTCTTTGTGTTGCCTCTATTCAACTCACAGAGGTGAACTGTCCTTTAGACAGAGCAGATGTGAAACCCTCTTTTTGTGATATTTGCAGGTGGAGATTTCAAGCACTTTTAGGCCAAATGTAGAAAAGGAAATATCTTCGTATAAAAACTAGACAGAATCATTCTCAGAAACTACTTTGTGATGTGTGCGTTCAATTCACAGAGTATAACCTTTCTTTTGATGGAGGAGTTTGGAGACACTGTCTTTGTAAAGTCTGCAAGTGGATATTTGGACCTCTTTGAGGCCTTCGTTGGAAACGGGATTTCTTCAAGTAATGTTCGACAGAAGAATTCTCAGTAACTTATTTGTGGTGTGTGTATTCAACTCACAGATTTGAACCTTCCTTCAGAAAGAGCAGATTTGAAACACTCTTTTTGTGGAGTTTCCATGTGGAGATTTCAATCACTTTGAGACCAAAGGTAGAAAAGGAAACATCTTCGTATAAAAACTAGACAGAATCATTCACAGAAACTACTTTGTGATGTGTGTGTTCAGCTCACAGAGTTTAACCTTTCTTTTGATGGTGCAGTTTGGAAACACTCCGTTTGACAAGTCTGCAAGTGGATATTTGGACCTCTTTGAGGCCTTCGTTGGAAACGGGATTTCTTCATATAATGTTAGACAGAAGAAGTCTCAGTAACTTCTTTGTGCTGTGTGTATTCAAATCACAGAGCTGAACTTTACTTTAGAACGAGCAGATGTTAAACACACTTTTTGTGGAATTTGCAGCTGGAGATTTCTAGCGCTTTGGGGCCTATGGTAGAAAAGGAAACATCTTCTTATAAAATCTAGACACAATCATTCACAGAAACTTCCTTTTGATGTGTGTGTTCAGCTCACAGAGTTTAACCTTTCTTTTGATGGAGCAGTTTGGAAACACACTGTTTGTAATGTCTGCAAGTGGATATTTGGACCTCTTTGAGGCCTTCGTTGGAAACGGGATTTCTTCATGTAATGTTCGACAGAAGAATTCTCAGTAACTTATTTGTGGTGTGTGTATTCAACTCACAGAGTTGAACCTTCCTTTAGACAGAGCAGATTTGAAACACCCTATTTGTGCAGTTTCCAGTTGGAGATTTCAATTGCTTTGAGACCAAATGTAGAAAAGGAAACATCTTCGTATAAAAACTAGACAGAATCATTCTCAGAAACTACTTTGTGATATGTGCGTTCAATTCAAGGAGTTTAAGCTTTCTTTTCATAGAGTAGTTTGGAAACACTCTGTCTGTAAAGTCTGCAAGCAGATATTTGGACCTCTTTGAGGCCTTCGTTGGAAACGGGATTTCTTCATAGAACGCTAGAAAGAAGAATACTGAGTAAGTTCTTTGTGTTGCCTCTATTCAACTCACAGAGCTGAACTGTCCTTTAGACAGAGCAGATGTGAAACCCTCTTTTTGGGATATTTGCAGGTGGAGATTTCAAGCGCTTTTAGGCCAAATGTAGAAAAGGAAATATCTTCGTATAAAAACTAGACAGAATCATTCTCAGAAACTACTTTGTGATGTGTGCGTTCAATTCACAGAGTATAACCTTTCTTTTGATGGAGGAGTTTGGAGACACTGTCTTTGTAAAGTCTGCAAGTGGATATTTGGACCTCTTTGAGGCCTTCGTTGGAAACGGGATTTCCTCATATAATGTTACACAGAAGAATTCTCAGTAACTTATTTGTGGTGTGTGTATTCAACTCACAGAGATGAACCTTCCTTCAGAAAGAGCAGATTTGAAACACTCTTTTTGTGGAGTTTCCATGTGGAGATTTCAATCGCTTTGAGACCAAAGGTAGAAAAGGAAACATCTTCGTATAAAAACTAGACAGAATCATTCACAGAAACTACATTGTGATGTGTGTGTTCAACTCAAGGAGTTTAACCTTTCTTTTGATGGAGCAGTTTGGAAACACACTGTCTGTAAAGTCTGCAAGCAGATATTTGGACCTCTTTGAGGCCTTCGTTGGAAACGGGATTTCTTCATATAATGTTTGATAGGAGAAGTCTCAGTATCTTCTTTGTGCTGTGTGTATTCAACTCATAGAGTTGAACTTTCCTTTAGAAGAGCAGATGTTAAACACCCTTTTTGTCGAATTTGCAGCTGGAGATTTCAAGCGCTTTGAGGCCTACGGTAGAAAAGGAAACATCTTGTTTTAAAATCTAGACAGAATCATTCACAGAAACTTCTTTTTGATGTGTGTGTTCAGCTCACAGAGTTTAACCTTTCTTTTGATGGAGCAGTTTGGAAACACTCTGTTTGTAATATCTGCAAGTGGATATTTGGACCTCTTTGAGGCCTTCGTTGGAAACGGGATTTCTTCAAGTAATGTTCGACAATAGAATTCTCAGCAACTTATTTGTGGTGTGTGTATTCAACTCACAGAGTTGAACCTTCCTTTAGACAGAGCAGATTTGAAACACCCTATTTGTGCAGTTTCCATTTGGAGATTTCAAACGCTTTGAGAACAAATGTAGAAAAGGAAACATCTTCGTATAAAAACTAGACAGAATCATTCTCAGAAACTACTTTGTGATGTGTGCGTTCAACTCAAGGAGTTTAAGCTTTCTTTTCATAGAGTAGTTTGGAAACACTCTGTCTGTAAAGTCTGCAAGCAGATATTTGGACCTCTTTGAGGCCTTCGTTGGAAACGGGATTTCTTCATAGAACGGTAGAAAGAAGAATACTGAGTAAGTTCTTTGTGTTGCCTCTATTCAACTCACAGAGGTGAACTGTCCTTTAGACAGAGCAGATGTGAAACCCTCTTTTTGGGATATTTGCAGGTGGAGATTTCAAGCGCTTTTAGGCCAAATGTAGAAAAGGAAATATCTTCGTATAAAAACTAGACAGAATCATTCTCAGAAACTACTTTGTGATGTGTGCGTTCAATTCACAGAGTATAACCTTTCTTTTGATGGAGGAGTTTGGAGACACTGTCTTTGTAAAGTCTGCAAGTGGATATTTGGACCTCTTTGAGGCCTTCGTTGGAAACGGGATTTCCTCATATAATGTTACCCAGAAGAATTCTCAGTAACATATTTGTGGTGTGTGTATTCAACTCACAGAGTTGAACCTTCCTTCAGAAATAGCAGATTTGAAACGCTCTTTTTGTGGAGTTTCCATGTGGAGATTTCAATCGCTTTGAGACCAAAGGTAGAAAAGGAAACATCTTCGTATAAAAACTAGACAAAATCATTCACAGACACTACTTTGTGATGTGTGTGTTCAACTCACAGAGTTTAACCTTTCTTTGGATGGAGCAGTTTGGAAACACTCTGTTTGTCACGTCTGCAAGTGGATATTTGGACCTCTTTGAGGCCTTCGTTGGAAACGGGATTTCCTCCTATAATGTTACACAGAAGAATTCTCAGTAACTTATTTGTGGTGTGTGTATTCAACTCACAGAGTTGAACCTTCCTTCAGAAAGAGCAGATTTGAAACACTCTTTTTGTGGAGTTTCCATGTGGAGATTTCAATCGCATTGAGACCAAAGGTAGAAAAGGAAACATCTTCGTATAAAAACTAGACAGAATCATTCACAGAAACTACTTTGTGATGTGTGTGTTCAACTCAAGGAGTTTAACCTTTCTTTTGATGGAGCAGTTTGGAAACACTCTGTCTGTAAAGTCTGCAAGCAGATATTTGGACCTCTTTGAGGCCTTCGTTGGAAACGGGATTTCTTCATATAATGTTTGATAGGAGAAGTCTCAGTAACTTCTTTGTGCTGTGTGTATTCAACTCATAGAGTTGAACTTTCCTTTAGAAGAGCAGATGTTAAACACCCTTTTTGTGGAATTTGCAGCTGGAGATTTCAAGCGCTTTGAGGCCTACGGTAGAAAAGGAAACATCTTCTTATAAAATCTAGACAGAATCATTCACAGAAACTTCTTTTCGATGTGTGTGTTCAGCTCACAGAGTTTAACCTTTCTTTTGATGGAGCAGTTTGGAAACACTCTGTTTGTAATGTCTGCAAGTGGATATTTGGACCTCTTTGAGGCCTTCGTTGGAAACGGGATTTCTTCAAGTAATGTTCGACAGAAGAATTCTCAGTAACTTATTTGTGGTGTGTGTATTCAACTCAAAGAGTTGAACCTTCCTTTAGACAGAGCAGATTTGAAACACCCTATTTGTGCAGTTTCCAGTTGGAGATTTCAATCGCTTTGAGACCAAATGTAGAAAAGGAAACATCTTCGTATAAAAACTAGACAGAATCATTCTCAGAAACTACTTTGTGATGTGTGCGTTCAACTCAAGGAGTTTAAGCTTTCTTTTCATAGAGTAGTTTGGAAACACTCTGTCTGTAAAGTCTGCAAGCAGATATTTGACCTCTTTGAGGCCTTCGTTGGAAACGGGATTTCTTCATAGAACGCTAGAAAGAAGAATTCTGAGTAAGTTCTTTGTGTTGCCTCTATTCAACTCACAGAGGTGAACTGTCCTTTAGACAGAGCAGATGTGAAACCCTCTTTTTGTGATATTTGCAGGTGGAGATTTCAAGCGATTTTAGGCCAAATGTAGAAAAGGAAATATCTTCGTATAAAAACCAGACAGAATCATTCTCAGAAACTACTTTGTGATGTGTGCGTTCAATTCACAGAGTATAACCTTTCTTTTGATGGAGGAGTTTGGAGACACTGTCTTTGTAAAGTCTGCAAGCAGATATTTGGACCTCTTTGAGGCCTTCGTTGGAAACGGGATTTCTTCATATAATGTTTGATAGGAGAATTCTCAGTAACTTATTTGTGGTGTGTGTATTCAAATCACAGAGTTGAACCTTCCTTCAGAAAGAGCAGATTTGAAACACTCTTTTTGTGGAGTTTCCATGTGGAGATTTCAATCGCTTTGAGACGATAGGTAGAAAAGGAAACGTCTTCGTATAAAAACTAGACAGAATCATTCACAGAAACTACTTTGTGATGTGTGTCTTCAACTCAAGGAGTTTAACCTTTCTTTTGATGGAGGAGTTTGGAAACACTCTGTCTGTAAAGTCTGCAAGCAGATATTTGGACCTCTTTGTGGCCTTCGTTGGAAACGGGATTTCTTCATATAATGTTTGATAGGAGAATTCTCAGTAACTTATTTCTGCTGTGTGTATTCAACTCACAGAGTGGAACTTTCCTTTAGAAGAGCAGATGTTAAACACCCTTTTTGTGGAATTTGCAGCTGGAGATTTCAAGTGCTTTGAGGCCTATGTTAGAAAAGGAAACATCTTCGTATAAAATCTAGACAGAATCATTCACAGAAACTTCTTTTTGATATGTGTGTTCAACTCACAGAGTTTAACCATTCTTTTGATGGAGCAGTTTGGAAACATTCTATTTGTAATGTCTGCAAGTGGATATTTGGACCTCTTTGAGGCCTTCGTTGGAAACGGGATTTCTTCATGTAATGTTCGACAGAAGAATTCTCAGTAACTTATTTGTGGTGTGTGTATTCAACTCACAGAGTTGAACCTTCCTTTAGACAGAGCAGATTTGAAACACCCTATTTGTGCAGTTTCCAGTTGGAGATTTCAATCGCTTTGAGACCAAATGTAGAAAAGGAAACATCTTCGTATAAAAACTAGACAGAATCATTCTCAGAAACTACTTTGTGATGTGTGCGTTCAACTCAAGGAGTTTAAGCTTTCTTTTCATAGAGTAGTTTGGAAACACTCTGTCTGTAAAGTCTGCAAGCAGATATTTGGACCTCTTTGGGGCCTTCGTTGGAAACGGGATTTCTTCATAGAACGCTAGAAAGACGAATACTGAGTAAGTTCTTTGTGTTGCCTCTATTCAACTCACAGAGGTGAACAGTCCTTTAGACAGAGCAGATGTGAAACCCTCTTTTTGTGATATTTGCAGGTGGAGATTTCAAGGGCTTTTAGGCCTAATGTAGAAAAGGAAATATCTTCGTATAAAAACTAGACAGAATCATTCTCAGAAACTACTTTGTGATGTGTGCGTTCAATTCACAGAGTATAACCTTTCTTTTGATGGAGGAGTTTGGAGACACTGTCTTTGTAAAGTCTGCAAGTGGATATTTGGACCTCTTTGAGGCCTTCGTTGGAAACGGGATTTCCTCATATAATGTTACACAGAAGAATTCTCAGTAACTTATTTGTGGTGTGTGTATTCAACTCACAGAGTTGAACCTTCCTTCAGAAAGAGCAGATTTGAAACACTCTTTTTGTGGAGTTTCAATGTGGAGATTTCAATCGCTTTGAGACCAAAGGTAGAAAAGGAAACATCTTCGTATAAAAACTAGACAGAATCATTCACAGAAACTACTTTGTGATGTGTGTGTTCAGCTCACAGAGTTTAACCTTTCTTTTGATGGTGCAGTTTGGAAACACTCTGTTTGACAAGTCTGCAAGTGGATATTTGGACCTCTTTGAGGCCTTCGTTGGAAACGGGATTTCTTCATATAATGTTAGACAGAAGAAGTCTCAGTAACTTCTTTGTGCTGTGTGTATTTAACTCACAGAGCTGATCTTTACTTTAGACAGAGCAGATGTTAAACACACTTTTTGTGGAATTTGCAGGTGGAGATTTCTAGCGCTTTGAGGCCTACGGTAGAAAAGGAAACATCTTCTTATAAAATCTAGACAGAATCATTCACAGAAACTTCTTTTTGATGTGTGTGTTCAGCTCACAGAGTTTAACCTTTCTTTTGATGGAGCAGTTGGGAAACACACTGTTTGTAATGTCCGCAAGTGGATATTTGGACCTCTTTGAGGCCTTCGTTGGAAACGGGATTTCCTCATATAATGTTACACAGAAGAATTCTCAGTAACTTATTTGTGGTTTGTGTATTCAACTCACAGAGTTGAACCTTCCTTCAGAAAGAGCAGATTTGAAACACTCTTTTTGAGGAGTTTCCATGTGGAGATTTCAATCGCTTTGAGACCAAAGGTAGAAAAGGAAACATCTTCTTATAAAAACTAGACAGAATCATTCACAGAAACTACTTTGTGATGTGTGTGTTCAACTCAAGGAGTTTAACCTTTCTTTTGATGGAGCAGTTTGGAAAAACTCTGTCTGTAAAGTCTGCAAGCAGATATTTGGATCTCTTTGGGGCCTTCGTTGGAAACGGGATTTCTTCATAGAATGCTAGAAAGAAGAATACTGAGTAAGTTCCTTGTGTTGCCTCTATTCAACTCACAGAGGTGAACTGTCCTTTAGACAGAGCAGATGTGAAACCCTCTTTTTGTGATATTTGCAGGTGGAGATTTCAAGCGCTTTTAGGCCAAATGTAGAAAAGGAAATATCTTCGTATAAAAACTAGACAGAATCATTCTCAGCAAACTACTTTGTGATGTGTGCGTTCAATTCACAGCAGTATAACCTTTCTTTTGATGGAGGAGTTTGGAGACACTGTCTTTGTAAAGTCTGCAAGTGGATATTTGGACCTCTTTGAGGCCTTCGTTGGAAACGGGATTTCCTCATATAATGTTACACAGAAGAATTCTCAGTAACTTATTTTTGGTGTGTGTATTCAACTCACAGAGATGAACCTTCCTTCAGAAAGAGCAGATTTGAAACACTCTTTTTGTGGAGTTTCCATGTGGAGATTTCAATCGCTTTGAGACCAAAGGTAGAAAAGGAAACATCTTCGTATAACAACTAGACAGAATCATTCTCAGAAACTACTTTGTGATGTGTGCGTTCAATTCACAGAGTATAACCTTTCTTTTGATGGAGGAGTTTGGAGACACTGTCTTTGTAAAGTCTGCAAGTGGATATTTGGACCTCTTTGAGGCCTTCGTTGGAAACGGGATTTCTTCATATAATGTTTTATAGGAGAAGTCTCAGTAACTACTTTGTGCTGTGTGTATTCAACTCATAGAGTTGAACTTTCCTTTAGTAGAGCAGATGTTAATCACCCTTTTTGTGGAATTGGCAGCTGGAGATTTCAAGCGCTTTGAGGCCTACGGTAGAAAAGGAAACATCTTCTTATAAAATCTAGACAGAATCATTCACAGAAACTTCTTTTTGAAGTGTGTGTTCAGCTCACAGAGTTTAACCTTTCTTTTGATGGAGCAGTTTGAAAACACTCTGTTTGTAAAGTCTGCAAGTGGATATTTGGACCTCTTTGAGGCCTTCGTTGGAAACGGGATTTCTTCATGTAATGTTCGACAGAAGAATTCTCAGTAACTTATTTGTGGTGTGTGTATTCAACTCACAGAGTTGAACCTTCCTTTAGACAGAGCAGATTTGAAACACCCTGTTTGTGCAGTTTCCAGTTGGAGATTTCAATGGCTTTGAGGCCAATCATAGAAACGGAAATATCTTCGTATAAATACAAGACAGAATCATTCTCAGAAACTACTTTGTGATGTGTGCGTTCAACTCAAGGAGTTTAAGCTTTCTTTTCATAGAGTAGTTTGGAACCACTCTGTCTGTAATGTCTGCAAGCAGATATTTGGACCTCTTTGAGGCCTTCGTTGGAAACGGGATTTCTTCATATAACGCTAGAAAGAAGAATACTGAGTAAGTTCTTTGTGTTGCCTCTATTCAACTCACAGAGGTGAACTGTCCTTTAGACAGAGCAGATGTGAAACCCTCTTTTTGTGATATTTGCAGGTGGAGATTTCAAGCGCTTTTAGGCCAAATGTAGAAAAGGAAATATCTTCGTATAAAAACTAGACAGAATCATTCTCAGAAACTACTTTGTGATGTGTGCGTTCAATTCACAGAGTATAACCTTTCTTTTGATGGAGGAGTTTGGAGACACTGTCTTTGTAAAGTCTGCAAGTGGATATTTGGACCTCTTTGAGGCCTTCGTTGGAAACGGGATTTCCTCATATAATGTTACACAGAAGAATTCTCAGTAACTTATTTGTGGTGTGTGTATTCAACTCACAGAGTTGAACCTTCCTTCAGAAAGAGCAGATTTGAAACACTCTTTTTGTGGAGTTTCCATGTGGAGATTTCAATCGCTTTGAGACCAAAGGTAGAAAAGGAAACATCTTCGTATAAAAACTAGACAGAATCATTCACAGAAACTACTTTGTGATGTGTGTGTTCAACTCAAGGAGTTTAACCTTTCTTTTGATGGAGCAGTTTGGAAATACTCTGTCTGTAAAGTCTGCAAGCAGATATTTGGACCTCTTTGAGGCCTTCGTTGGAAACGGGATTTCTTCATATAATGTTTGATAGGAGAAGTCTCAGTAACTTCTTTGTGCTGTGTGTATTCAACTCATAGATTTGAACTTTCCTTTAGAAGAGCAGATGTTAAACACCCTTTTTGTGGAATTTGCAGCTGGAGATTTCAAGCGCTTTGAGGCCTACTGTAGAAAAGGAAACATCTTCTTATAAAATCTAGACAGAATCATTCACAGAAACATCTTTTTGATGTGTGTGTTCAGCTCACAGAGTTTAACCTTTCTTTTGATGGAGCAGTTTGGAAACACACTGTTTGTAATCTCTGCAAGTGGATATTTGGACCTCTTTGAGGCCTTCGTTGGAAACGGGATTTCTTCATGTAATGTTCGACAGAAGAATTCTCAGTAACTTATTTGTGGTGTGTGTATTCAACTCACAGAGTTGAACCTTCCTTTAGACAGAGCAGATTTGAAACAGCCTATTTGTGCAGTTTCCAGTTGGAGATTTCAATCGCTTTGAGACCAAATGTAGAAAAGGAAACATCTTCGTATAAAAACTAGACAGAATCATTCTCAGAAACTACTTTGTGATGTGTGCGTTCAACTCAAGGAGTTTAAGCTTTCTTTTCATAGAGTAGTTTGGAAACACTCTGTCTGTAAAGTCTGCAAACAGATATTTGGACCTCTTAGGGGCCTTCGTTGGAAACGGGATTTCTTCATAGAACGCTAGAAAGAAGAATACTGAGTAAGTTCTTTGTGTTGCCTCTATTCAACTCACAGAGGTGAACTGTCCTTTAGACAGAGCAGATGTGAAACCCTCTTTTTGTGATATTTGCAGGTGGAGATTTCAAGCGCTTTTAGGTCAAATGTAGAAAAGGAAATATCTTCGTATAAAAACTAGACAGAATCATTCTCAGAAACTACTTTGTGATGTGTGCGTTCAATTCACAGAGTATAACCTTTCTTTTGATGGAGGAGTTTGGAGACACTGTCTTTGTAAGTCTGCAAGTGGAAAATTGGACCTCTTTGAGGCCTTCGTTGGAAACGGGATTTCCTCATATAATGTTACACAGAAGAATTCTCAGTAACTTATTTGTGGTGTGTGTATTCAACTCACAGAGTTGAACCTTCCTTCAGAAAGAGCAGATTTGAAACACTCTTTTTGTGGAGTTTCCATGTGGAGATTTCAATCGCATTGAGACCAAAGGTAGAAAAGGAAACATCTTCGTATAAAAACTAGACAGAATCATTCACAGAAACTACTTTGTGATGTGTGTGTTCAACTCAAGGAGTTTAACCTTTCTTTTGATGGAGCAGTTTGGAAACACTCTGTCTGTAAAGTCTGCAACCAGATATTTGGACCTCTTTGAGGCCTTCGTTGGAAACGGGATTTCTTCATATAATGTTTGATAGGAGAAGTCTCAGTAACTTCTTTGTGCTGTGTGTATTCAACTCATAGAGTTGAACTTTCCTTTAGAAGAGCAGATGTTAAACACCATTTTTGTGGAATTTGCAGCTGGAGATTTCAAGCGCTTTGAGGCCTACGGTAGAAAAGGAAACATCTTCTTATAAAATCTAGACAGAATCATTCACAGAAACTTCTTTTTGATGTGTGTGTTCAGCTCACAGAGTTTAACCTTTCTTTTGATGGAGCAGTTGGGAAACACACTGTTTGTAATGTCTGCAAGTGGATATTTGGACCTCTTTGAGGCCTTCGTTGGAAACGGGATTTCTTCCTGTAATGTTCGACAGAAGAATTCTCAGCAACTTATTTGTGGTGTGTGTATTCAACTCACAGAGTTGAACCTTCCTTTAGACAGAGCAGATTTGAAACACCCTATTTGTGCAGTTTCCATTTGGAGATTTCAAACGCTTTGAGAACAAATGTAGAAAAGGAAACATCTTCGTATAAAAACTAGACAGAATCATTCTCAGAAACTACTTTGTGATGTGTGCGTTCAACTCAAGGAGTTTAAGCTTTCTTTTCATAGAGTAGTTTGGAAACACTCTGTCTGTAAAGTCTGCAAGCAGATATTTGACCTCTTTGAGGCCTTCGTTGGAAACGGGATTTCTTCATAGAACGCTAGAAAGAAGAATACTGAGTAAGTTCTTTGTGTTGCCTCTATTCAACTCACAGAGGTGAACTGTCCTTTAGACAGAGCAGATGTGAAACCCTCTTTTTGTGATATTTGCAGGTGGAGATTTCAAGCGCTTTTAGGCCAAATGTAGAGAAGGAAATATCTTCGTATAAAAACTAGACAGAATCATTCTCAGAATCTACTTTGTGATGTGTGCGTTCAATTCACAGAGTATAACCTTTCTTTTGATGGAGGAGTTTGGAGACACTGTCTTTGTAAAGTCTGCAAGTGGATATTTGGACCTCTTTGAGGCCTTCGTTGGAAACGGGATTTCCTCATATAATGTTACACAGAAGAATTCTCAGTAACTTATTTGTGGTGTGTGTATTCAACTCACAGAGTTGAACCTTCCTTCAGAAAGAGCAGATTTGAAACACTCTTTTTGTGGAGTTTCCATGTGGAGATTTCAATCGCTTTTAGACCAAAGGTAGAAAAGGAAACATCTTCGTATAAAAACTAGACAGAATCATTCACAGAAACTACTTTGTGATGTGTGTGTTCAACTCAAGGAGTTTAACCTTTCTTTTGATGGAGCAGTTTGGAAATACTCTGTCTGTAAAGTCTGCAAGCAGATATTTGGACCTCTTTGAGGCCTTCGTTGGAAACGGGATTTCTTCATATAATGTTTGATAGGAGAAGTCTCAGTAACTTCTTTGTGCTGTGTGTATTCAACTCATAGAGTTGAACTTTCCTTTAGAAGAGCAGATGTTAAACACCCTTTTTGTGGAATTTGCAGCTGGACATTTCAAGCGCTTTGAGGCCTACGGTAGAAAAGGAAACATCTTCTTATAAAATCTAGACGGAATCATTCACAGAAACTTCTTTTTGATGTGTGTGTTCAGCTCACAGAGTTTAACCTTTCTTTTGATGGAGCAGTTTGGAAACACACTGTTTGTAATGTCTGCAAGTGGATATTTGGACCTCCTTGAGGCCTTCGTTGGAAACGGGATTTCTTCAAGTAATGTTCGACAGAAGAATTCTCAGTAACTTATCTGTGGTGTGTGTATTCAACTCACAGAGTTGAACCTTCCTTTAGACAGAGCAGATTTGAAACACCCTATTTGTGCAGTTTCCAGTTGGAGATTTCAATCGCTTTGAGACCAAATGTAGAAAAGGAAACATCTTCGTATAAAAACTAGACAGAATCATTCTCAGAAACTACTTTGTGATGTGTGCGTTCAACTCACGGAGTTAAACTTTCTTTTCATAGAGTAGTTTGGAAACACTCTGTCTGTAAAGTCTGCAAGCAGATATTTGGACCTCTTTGAGGCCTTCGTTGGAAACGGGATTTCTTCATATAACGCTAGAAAGAAGAATACTCAGTAACTTCTTCGTGTTGAATCTATTCAACTCACAGAGGTGAACTGTCCTTTAGACAGAGCAGATGTGAAACCCTCTTTTTGTGATATTTGCAGGTGGAGATTTCAAGCGCTTTTTGGCCAAATGTAGAAAAGGAAATATCTTCGTATAAAAACTAGACAGAATCATTCTCAGAAACTACATTGTGATGTGTGCTCAATTCACAGAGTATAACCTTTCTTTTGATGGAGGAGTTTGGAGACACTGTCTTTGTAAAGTCTGCAAGTGGACATTTGGACCTCTTTGAGGCCTTCGTTGGAAACGGGATTTCCCCATACAATGTTATACAGAAGAATTCTCAGTAACTTATTTGTGGTGTGTGTATTCAACTCACAGAGTTGAACCTTCCTTCAGAAAGAGCACATTTGAAACACTATTTTGTGGAGTATCTATGTGGAGATTTCAATCGCTTTGAGACCAAAGGTAGAAAAGGAAACATCTTCGTATAAAAACTAGACAGAATCATTCACAGAAACTACTTTGTGATGTGTGTGTTCAGCTCACAGAGTTTAACCCTTCTTTTGATGGTGCAGTTTGGAAACACTCTGTTTGACAAGTCTGCAAGTGGATATTTGGACCTCTTTGAGGCCTTCGTTGGAAACGGGATTTCTTCATATAATGTTAGACAGAAGAATTCTCAGTAACATATTTGTGGTGTGTGTATTCAACTCACAGAGTTGAACCTTCCTTTAGACAGAGCAGATTTGAAACACCCTATTTGTGCAGTTTCCAGTTGGAGATTTCAATCGCTTTGAGACCAAATGTAGAAAAGGAAACATCTTCGTATAAAAACTAGACAGAATCATTCTCAGAAACTACTTTGTGATGTGTGCGTTCAACTCAAGGAGTTTAAGCTTTCTTTTCATAGAGTAGTTTGGAAACACTCTGTCTGTAAAGTCTGCAAGCAGATATTTGGACCTCTTTGGGGCCTTCGTTGGAAACGGGATTTCTTCATAGAACGCTAGAAAGAAGAATACTGAGTACGTTCTTTGTGTTGCCTCTATTCAACTCACAGAGGTGAACTGTCCTTTAGACAGAGCAGATGTGAAACCCTCTTTTTGTGATATTTGCAGGTGGAGATTTCAAGCGCTTTTAGGCCAAATGTAGAAAAGGAAATATCTTCGTATAAAAACTAGACAGAATCATTCTCAGAAACTACTTTGTGATGTGTGCGTTCAATTCACAGAGTATAACCTTTCTTTTGATGGAGGAGTTTGGAGACACTGTCTTTGTAAAGACTGCAAGTGGATATTTGGACCTCTTTGAGGCCTTCGTTGGAAACGGGATTTCCTCATATAATGTTACACAGAAGAATTATCAGTAACTTATTTGTGGGGTGTGTATTCAACTCACAGAGTTGAACCTTCCTTCACAAAGAGCAGATTGGAAACACTCTTTTTGTGGAGTTTCCATGTGGAGATTTCAATCGCTTTGAGACCAATGGTAGAAAAGGAAACATCTTTGTATATAATCTAGACAGAATCATTCACAGAAACTACTTTGTGATGTGTGTGTTCAACTCAAGGAGTTTAACCTTTCTTTTGATGGAGCAGTTTGGAAACACTCTGTCTGTAAAGTCTGCAAGTAGATATTTGGACCTCTTTGAGGCCTTCGTTGGAAACGGGATTTCTTCATATAATGTTTGATAGGAGAAGTCTCAGTAACTTCTTTGTGCTGTGTGTATTCAACGCATAGAGTTGAACTTTCCTTTAGAAGAGCAGATGTTAAACACCCTTTTTGTGGAATTTGCAGCTGGAGATTTCAAGCGCTTTGTGGCCTACGGTAGAAAAGGAAACATCTTCTTATAAAATCTAGACAGAATCATTCACAGAAACTTCTTTTTGATGTGTGTGTTCAGCTCACAGAGTTTAACCTTTCTTTTGATGGAGCAGTTTGGAAACACTCTGTAATGTCTGCAAGTGGATATTTGGACCTCTTTGAGGTCTTCGTTGGAAACGGGATTTCTTCATGTAATGTTCGACAGAAGAATTCTCAGTAACTTATTTGTGGTGTGTGTATTCAACTCACAGAGTTGACCCTCCCTTTAGACAGATCAGATTTGAAACTCCCTATTTGTGCAGTTTCCAGTTGGAGATTTCAATTGCTTTGAGACCCAATGTAGAAAAGGAAACATCTTCGTATAAAAACTAGACAGAATCATTCTCAGAAACTACTTTGTGATGTGTGCGTTCAACTCAAGGAGTTTAAGCTTTCTTTTCATAGAGTAGTTTGGAAACACTCTGTCTGTAAAGTCTGCAAGCAGATATTTGGACCTCTTTGGGGCCTTCGTTGGAAACGGGATTTCTTCATAGAACGCTAGAAAGAAGAATACTGAGTAAGTTCTTTGTGTTGCCTCTATTCAACTCACAGAGGTGAACTGTCCTTTAGACAGAGCAGATGTGAAACCCTCTTTTTGTGATATTTGCAGGTGGAGATTTCAAGCGCTTTTAGGCCAAATGTAGAAAAGGAAATATCTTCGTATAAAAACTAGACAGAATCATTCTCAGAAACTACTTTGTGATGTGTGCGTTCAATTCACAGAGTATAACCTTTCTTTTGATGGAGGAGTTTGGAGACACTGTCTTTGTAAAGTCTGCAAGTGGATATTTGGACCTCTTTGAGGCCTTCGTTGGAAACGGGATTTCCTCATATAATGTTACACAGAAGAATTCTCAGTAACTTATTTGTGGTGTGTGTATTGAACTCACAGAGATGAACCTTCCTTCAGAAAGAGCAGATTTGAAACACTCTTTTTGTGGAGTTTCCATGTGGAGATTTCAATCGCTTTGAGACCAAAGGTAGAAAAGGAAACATCTTCGTATAACAACAAGACAGAATCATTCACAGAAACTACTTTGTGATGTGTGTGTTCAACTCAAGGAGTTTAACCTTTCTTTTGATGGAGCAGTTTGGAAACACTCTGTCTGTAAAGTCTGCAAGCAGATATTTGGACCTCTTTGAGGCCTTCGTTGGAAACGGGATTTCTTCATATAATGTTTGATAGGAGAAGTCTCAGTAACTTCTTTGTGCTGTGTGTATTCAACTCATAGAGTTGAACTTTCCTTTAGAAGAGCAGATGTTAAACACCCTTTTTGTGGAATTTGCAGCTGGAGATTTCAAGCGCTTTGAGGCCTACGGTAGAAAAGGAAACATCTTCTTATAAAATCTAGACAGAATCATTCACAGAAACTTCTTTTTGATGTGTGTGTTCAGCTCACAGAGTTTAACCTTTCTTTTGATGGAGCAGTTTGGAAACACTCTGTTTGTAATGTCTGCAAGTGGATATTTGGACCTTTTTGAGGCCTTCGTTGGAAACGGGATTTCTTCCTGTAATGTTCGACAGAAGAATTCTCAGTAACTTATTTGTGGTGTGTGTATTCAACTCACAGAGTTGAACCTTCCTTTAGACAGAGCAGATTTGAAACACCCTATTTGTGCAGTTTCCAGTTGGAGATTTCAATCGCTTTGAGACCAAATGTAGAAAAGGAAACATCTTCGTATAAAAACTAGACAGAATCATTCTCAGAAACTACTTTGTGATGTGTGCGTTCAACTCAAGGAGTTTAAGCTTTCTTTTCATAGAGTAGTTTGGAAACACTCTGTCTGTTAAGTCTGCAAGCAGATATTTGGACCTCTTTGGGGCCTTCGTTGGAAACGGGATTTCTTCATAGAACGCTAGAAAGAAGAATACTGAGTAAGTTCTTTGTGTTGCCTCTATTCAACTCACAGAGGTGAACTGTCCTTTAGACAGAGCAGATGTGAAACCCTCTTTTTGTGATATTTGCAGGTGGAGATTTCAAGCGCTTTTAGGCCAAATGTAGAAAAGGAAATATCTTCGTATGAAAACTAGACAGAATCATTCTCAGAAACTACTTTGTGATGTGTGCGTTCAATTCACAGAGTATAACCTTTCTTTTGATGGAGGAGTTTGGAGACACTGTCTTTGTAAAGTCTGCAAGTGGATATTTGGACCTCTTTGAGGCCTTCGTTGGAAACGGGATTTCCTCATATAATGTTACCCAGAAGAATTCTCAGTAACTTATTTGTGGTGTGTGTATTCAACTCACAAAGATGAACCTTCCTTCAGAAAGAGCAGATTTGAAACACTCTTTTTGTGGAGTTTCCATGTGGAGATTTCAATCGCTTTGAGACCAAAGGTAGAAAAGGAAACATCTTCGTATAAAAACTAGACAGAATCATTCACAGAAACTACTTTGTGATGTGTGTGTTCAACTCAGGAGGTTAACCTTTCTTTTGATGGAGCAGTTTGGAAACACTCTGTCTGTAAAGTCTGCAAGCAGATATTTGGACCTCTTTGAGGCCTTCGTTGGAAATGGGATTTTTTCATATAATGTTTGATAGGAGAAGTCTCAGTAACTTCTTTGTGCTGTGTGTATTCAACTCATAGAGTTGAACTTTCCTTTAGAAGAGCAGATGTTAAACACCCTTTTTGTGGAATTTGCAGCTGGAGATTTCAAGCGCTTTGAGGCCTACGGTAGAAAAGGAAACATCTTCTTATAAAATCTAGACAGAATCATTCACAGAAACTTCTTTTTGATGTGTGTGTTCAGCTCACAGTGTTTAACCTTTCTTTTGATGGAGCAGTTTGGAAACACTCTGTTTGTAATGTCTGCAAGTGGATATTTGGACCTCTTTGAGGCCTTCGTTGGAAACGGGATTTCTTCAAGTAATGTTCGACAGAAGAATTCTCAGTAACTTATTTGTGGTGTGTGTATTCAACTCACAGAGCTGAACCTTCCTTTAGACAGAGCAGATTTGAAACAGCCTATTTGTGCAGTTTCCAGTTGGAGATTTCAATCGCTTTGAGACCAAATGTAGAAAAGGAAACATCTTCGTATAAAAACTAGACAGAATCATTCTCAGAAACTACTTTGTGATGTGTGCGTTCAACTCAAGGAGTTTAAGCTTTCTTTTCATAGAGTAGTTTGGAAACACTCTGTCTGTAAAGTCTGCAAGCAGATATTTGGACCTCTTTGGGGCCTTCGTTGGAAACGGGATTTCTTCATAGAACGCTAGAAAGAAGAATACTGAGTAAGTTCTTTGTGTTGCCTCTATTCAACTCACAGAGGTGAACTGTCCTTTAGACAGAGCAGATGTGAAACCCTCTTTTTGTGATATTTGCAGGTGGAGATTTCAAGCGCTTTTAGGCCAAATGTAGAAAAGGAAATATCTTCGTATAAAAACTAGACAGAATCATTCTCAGAAACTACTTTGTGATGTGTGCGTTCAATTCACAGAGTATAACCTTTCTTTTGATGGAGGAGTTTGGAGACACTGTCTTTGTAAAGTCTGCAAGTGGATATTTGGATCTCTTTGAGGCCTTCGTTGGAAACGGGATTTCCTCATATAATGTTACACAGAAGAATTCTCAGTAACTTATTTGTGGTGTGTGTATTCAACTCACAGAGTTGAACCTTCCTTCAGAAAGAGCAGATTTGAAACACTCTTTTTGTGGAGTTTCCATGTGGAGATTTCAATCGCTTTGAGACCAAAGGTAGAAAAGGAAACATCTTCGTATAAAAACTAGACAGAATCATTCACAGAAACTACTTTGTGATGTGTGTGTTCAACTCAAGGAGTTTAACCTTTCTTTTGATGGAGGAGTTTGGAAACACTCTGTCTGTAAAGTCTGCAAGTGGATATTTGGACCTCTTTGGGGCCTTCGTTGGAAACGGGATTTCTTCATATAATGTTTGATAGGAGAAGTCTCAGTAACTTCTTTGTGCTGTGTGTATTCAACTCATAGAGTTGAACTTTCCTTTAGAAGAGCAGATGTTAAACACCCTTTTTGTGGAATTTGCAGCTGGAGATTTCAAGCGCTTTGAGTCCTACGGTAGAAATGGAAACATCTTATAAAATCTTGACAGAATCATTCACAGAAACTTCTTTTCGATGTGTGTGTTCAGCTCACAGAGTTTAACCTTTCTTTTGATGGAGCAGTTTGGAAACACTCTGTTTGTAATGTCTGCAAGTGGATATTTGGACCTCTTTGAGGCCTTCGTTGGAAACGGGATTTCTTCAAGTAATGTTCGACAGAAGAATTCTCAGTAACTTATTTGTGGTGTGTGTATTCAACTCACAGAGTTGAACCTTCCTTTAGACAGAGCAGATTTGAAACACCCTATTTGTGCAGTTTCCAGTTGGAGATTTCAATCGCTTTGAGACCAAATGTAGAAAAGGAAACATCTTCGTATAAAAACTAGACAGAATAATTCTCAGAAACTACTTTCTGATGTGTGCGTTCAACTCAAGGAGTTTAAGCTTTCTTTTCATAGACTAGTTTGGAAACACTCTGTCTGTAAAGTCTGCAAGCAGATATTTGGACCTCTTTGGGGACTTTGTTAGAAACGGGATTTCTTCATAGAACGCTAGAAAGAAGAATACTGAGTAAGTTCTTTGTGTTGCCTCTATTCAACTCACAAAGGTGAACTGTCCTTTAGACAGAGCAGATGTGAAACCCTCTTTTTGTGATATTTGCACGTGGAGATTTCAAGCGCTTTGAGGCCAAATGTAGAAAAGGAAATATCTTCGTATAAAAACTAGACAGAATCATTCTCAGAAACTACTTTGTGATGTGTGCGTTCAATTCACAGAGTATAACCTTTCTTTTGATGGAGGAGTTTGGAGACACTGTCTTTGTAAAGTCTGCAAGTGGATATTTGGACCTCTTTGAGGCCTTCGTTGGAAACGGGATTTCCTCATATAATGTTACACAGAAGAATTCTCAGTAACTTATTAGTGGTGTGTGTATTCAACTCACAGAGTTGAACCTTCCTTCAGAAAGAGCAGATTTGAAACACTCTTTTTGTGGAGTTTCCATGTGGAGATTTCAATCGCTTTGAGACCAAAGGTAGAAAAGGAAACATCTTCGTATAAAAACTAGACAGAATCATTCACAGAAACTACTTTGTCATGTGTGTGTTCAACTCACAGAGTTTAAACTTTCTTTTGATGCAGCAGTTTGGAAACACTCTGTTTGTCACGTCTGCAAGTGGATATTTGGACCTCTTTGAGGCCTTCATTGGAAACGGGATTTCTTCATATAATGTTTGATAGGAGAAGTCTCAGTAACTTCTTTGTGCTGTGTGTATTCAACGCATAGAGTTGAACTTTCCTTTAGAAGAGCAGATGTTAAACACCCTTTTTGTGGAATTTGCAGCTGGAGATTTCAAGCGCTTTGTGGCCTACGGTAGAAAAGGAAACATCTTCTTATAAAATCTAGACAGAATCATTCACAGAAACTTCTTTTTGATGTGTGTGTTCAGCTCACAGAGTTTAACCTTTCTTTTGATGGAGCAGTTTGGAAACACTCTGTTTGTAATGTCTGCAAGTGGATATTTGGACCTCTTTGAGGCCTTCGTTGGAAACGGGATTTCTTCAAGTAGTGTTCGAAAGAAGAATTCTCAGTAACTTATTTGTGGTGTGTGTATTCAACTCACAGAGTTGAACCTTCCTTTACACAGAGCAGATTTGAAACACCCTATTTGTGCAGTTTCCAGTTGGAGATTTCAATCGCTTTGAGACCAAATGTAGAAAAGGAAACATCTTCGTATAAAAACTAGACAGAATCATTCTCAGAAACTACTTTGTGATGTGTGCGTTCAACTCAAGGAGTTTAAGCTTTCTTTTCATAGAGTAGTTTGGAAACACTCTGTCTGTAAAGTCTGCAAGCAGATATTTGGACCTCTTTGAGGCCTTCGTTGGAAACGGGATTTCTTCATAGAACGCTAGAAAGAAGAATACTGAGTAAGTTCTTTGTGTTGCCTCTATTCAACTCACAGAGGTGAACTGTCCTTTAGACAGAGCAGATGTGAAACCCTCTTTTTGTGATATTTGCAGGTGGAGATTTCAAGCGCTTTTAGGCCAAATGTAGAAAAGGAAATATCTTCGTATAAAAACTAGACAGAATCATTCTCAGAAACTACTTTGTGATGTGTGCGTTCAATTCACAGAGTATAACCTTTCTTTTGATGGAGGAGTTTGGAGACACTGTCTTTGTAAAGTCTGCAAGTGGATATTTGGACCTCTTTGAGGCCTTCGTTGGAAACGGGATTTCCTCATATAATGTTACCCAGAAGAATTCTCAGTAACTTATTTGTGGTGTGTGTATTCAACTCAGAGAGATGAACCTTCCTTCAGAAAGAGCAGATTTGAAACACTCTTTTTGTGGAGTTTCCATGTGGAGATTTCAATCGCTTTGAGACCAAAGGTAGAAAAGGAAACATACTTCGTATAACAACTAGACAGAATCATTCACAGAAACTACTTTGTGATGTGTGTGTTCAACTCAAGGAGTTTAACCTTTCTTTTGATGGAGCAGTTTGGAAACACTCTGTCTGTAAAGTCTGCAAGCAGATATTTGGACCTCTTTGAGGCCTTCGTTGGAAACGGGATTTCTTCATATAATGTTTGATAGGAGAAGTCTCAGTAACTTCTTTGTGCTGTGTGTATTCAACGCATAGAGTTGAACTTTCCTTTAGAAGAGCAGATGTTAAACACCCTTTTTGTGGAATTTGCAGCTGGAGATTTCAAGCGCTTTGTGGCCTACGGTAGAAAAGGAAACATCTTCTTATAAAATCTAGACAGAATCATTCACAGAAACTTCTTTTTGATGTGTGTGTTCAGCTCACAGAGTTTAACCTTTCTTTTGATGGAGCAGTTTGGAAACACTCTGTTTGTAATGTCTGCAAGTCGATATTTGGACCTCTTTGAGGCCTTCGTTGGAAACGGGATTTCTTCAAGTAATGTTCGACAGAAGAATTCTCAGTAACTTATTTGTGGTGTGTGTATTCAACTCACAGAGTTGAACCTTCCCTTTAGACAGAGCAGATTTGAAACAGCCTATTTGTGCAGTTTCCAGTTGGAGATTTCAAGAGCTTTGAGACCAAATGTAGAAAAGGAAACATCTTCGTATAAAAACTAGACAGAATCATTCTCAGAAACTACTTTGTGATGTGTGCGTTCAACTCAAGGAGTTTAAGCTTTCTTTTCATAGAGTAGTTTGGAAACACTCTGTCTGTAAAGTCTGCAAGCAGATATTTGGACCTCTTTGGGGCCTTCGTTGGAAACGGGATTTCTTCATAGAACGCTAGAAAGAAGAATACTGAGTAAGTTCTTTGTGTTGCCTCTATTCAACTCACAGAGGTGAACTGTTCTTTAGACAGAGCAGATGTGAAACCCTCTTTTTGTGATATTTGCAGGTGGAGATTTCAAGCGCTTTTAGGCCAAATGTAGAAAAGGAAATATCCTCGTATAAAAACTAGACAGAATCATTCTCAGCAAACTACTTTGTGATGTGTGCGTTCAATTCACAGCAGTATAACCTTTCTTTTGATGGAGGAGTTTGGAGACACTGTCTTTGTAAAGTCTGCAAGTGGATATTTGGACCTCTTTGAGGCCTTCGTTGGAAACGGGATTTCCTCATATAATGTTACACAGAAGAATTCTCAGTAACTTATTTGTGGTGTGTGTATTCAACTCACAGAGTTGAACCTTCCTTCAGAAAGAGCAGATTTGAAACACTCTTTTTGTGGAGTTTCCATGTGGAGATTTCAATCGCATTGAGACCAAAGGTAGAAAAGGAAACATCTTCGTATAAAAACTAGACAGAATCATTCACAGAAACTTCTTTGTGACGTGTGTGTTCAACTCAAGGAGGTTAACCTTTCTTTTGATGGAGCAGTTTGGAAACACTCTGTCTGTAAAGTCTGCAAGCAGATATTTGGACCTCTTTGAGGCCTTCGTTGGAAACGGGATTTCTTCATATAATGTTTGATAGGAGAAGTCTCAGTAACTTCTTTGTGCTGTGTGTATTCAACTCATAGAGTTGAACTTTCCTTTAGAAGAGCAGATGTTAAACACCCTTTTTGTGGAATTTGCAGCTGGAGATTTCAAGCGCTTTGAGGCCTACGGTAGAAAAGGAAACATCTTCTTATAAAATCTAGACAGAATCATTCACAGAAACTTCTTTTTGATGTGTGTGTTCAGCTCACAGAGTTTAACCTTTCTTTTGATGGAGCAGTTTGGAAACACTCTGTTTGTAACGTCTGCAAGTGGATATTTGGACCTCTTTGAGGCCTTCGTTGGAAACGGGATTTCTTCAAGTAATGTTCGACAGAAGAATTCTCAGTAACTTATTTGTGGTGTGTGTATTCAACTCAAAGAGTTGAACCTTCCTTTAGACAGAGCAGATTTGAAACACCCTATTTGTGCAGTTTCCAGTTGGAGATTTCAATCGCTTTGAGACCAAATGTAGAAAAGGAAACATCTTCGTATAAAAACTAGACAGAATCATTCTCAGAAACTACTTTGTGATGTGTGCGTTCAACTCAAGGAGTTTAAGCTTTCTTTTCATAGAGTAGTTTGGAAACACTCTGTCTGTAAAGTCTGCAAGCAGATATTTGGACCTCTTTGGGGCCTTCGTTGGAAATGTGATTTCTTCATAGAACGCTAGAAAGAAGAATACTGAGTAAGTTCTTTGTGTTGCCTCTATTCAACTCACAGAGGTGAACTGTCCTTTAGACAGAGCAGATGTGAAACCCTCTTTTTGTGATATTTGCAGGTGGAGATTTCAAGCGCTTTTAGGCCAAATGTAGAAAAGGAAATATCTTCGTATAAAAACTAGACACAATCATTCTCAGAAACTACTTTGTGATGTGTGCGTTCAATTCACAGAGTATAACCTTTCTTTTGATGGAGGAGTTTGGAGACACTGTCTTTGTAAAGTCTGCAAGTGGATATTTGGACCTCTTTGAGGCCTTCGTTGGAAACGGGATTTCCTCATATAATGTTACACAGAAGAATTCTCAGTAACTTATTTGTGGTGTGTGTATTCAACTCACAGAGTTGAACCTTCCTTCAGAAAGAGCAGATTTGAAACACTCTTTTTGTGGAGTTTCCATGTGGAGATTTCAATCGCTTTGAGACCAAAGGTAGAAAAGGAAACATCTTCGTATAAAAACTAGACAGATTCATTCACAGAAACTAGTTTGTGATGTGTGTGTTCAACTCAAGGAGTTTAAACTTTCTTTTGATGGAGCAGTTTGGAAAAACTCTGTCTGTAAAGTCTGCAAGCAGATATTTGGACCTCTTTGAGGCCTTCGTTGGAAACGGGATTTCTTCATATAATGTTTGATAGGAGAAGTCTCAGTAACTTCTTTGTGCTGTGTGTATTCAACTCATAGAGTTGAACTTTCTTTAGAAGAGCAGATGTTAAACACCCTTTTTGTGGAATTTGCAGCTGGAGATTTCAAGCGCTTTGAGGCCTACGGTAGAAAAGGAAACATCTTCTTATAAAATCTAGACAGAATCATTCACAGAAACTTCTTTTTGATGTGTGTGTTCAGCTCACAGGGTTTAATCTTTCTTTTGATGGAGCAGTTTGGAAACACTCTGTTTGTAATGTCTGCAAGTGGATATTTGGACCTCTTTGAGGCCTTCGTTGGAAACGGGATTTCTTCAAGTAATGTTCGACAGAAGAATTCTCAGTAACTTATTTGTGGTGTGTGTATTCAACTCACAGAGTTGAACCTTCCTTTAGACAGAGCAGATTTGAAACACCCTATTTGTGCAGTTTCCAGTTGGAGATTTCAATCGCTTTGAGACCAAATGTAGAAAAGGAAACATCTTCGTATAAAAACTAGACAGAATCATTCTCAGAAACTACTTTGTGATGTGTGCGTTCAACTCAAGGAGTTTAAGCTTTCTTTTCATAGAGTAGTTTGGAAACACTCTGTCTGTAAAGTCTGCAAGCAGATATTTGGACCTCTTTGAGGCCTTCGTTGGAAACGGGATTTCTTCATAGAACGCTAGAAAGAAGAATACTGAGTAAGTTCTTTGTGTTGCCTCTATTCAACTCACAGAGGTGAACTGTCCTTTAGACAGAGCAGATGTGAAACCCTCTTTTTGTGATATTTGCAGGTGGAGATTTCAAGCGCTTTTAGGCCAAATGTAGAAAAGGAAATATCTTCGTATAAAAACTAGACAGAATCATTCTCAGAAACTACTTTGTGATGTGTGCGTTGAATTCACAGAGCATAACCTTTCTTTTGATGGAGGAGTTTGGAGACACTGTCTTTGTAAAGTCTGCAAGTGGATATTTGGATCTCTTTGAGGCCTTCGTTGGAAACGGGATTTCCTCATATAATGTTACACAGAAGAATTCTCAGTAACTTATTTGTGGTGTGTGTATTCAACTCACAGAGTTGAACCTTCCTTCAGAAAGAGCAGATTTGAAACACTCTTTTTCTGGAGTTTCCATGTGGAGATTTCAATCGCTTTGAGAACAAAGGTAGAAAAGGAAACATCCTCATATAAAAACTAGACAGAATCATTCACAGAAACTACTTTGTGTTGTGTGTGTTCAACTCAAGGAGGTTAACCTTTCTTTTGATGGAGCAGTTTGGAAACACTCTGTCAGTAAAGTCTGCAAGCAGATATTTGGACCTCTTTGAGGCCTTCATTGGAAACGGGGTTTCTTCATATAATGCTAGAAAGAAGAAGTCTCAGTAACTTCTTTGTGCTGTGTGTATTCAACTCATAGAGTTGAACTTTCCTTTAGAAGAGCAGATGTTAAACACCCTTTTTGTGGAATTTGCAGCTGGAGATTTCAAGCGCTTTGTGGCCTACGGTAGAAAAGGAAATATGTTCTTATAAAATCTAGACAGAATCATTCACAGAAACTTCTTTTTGATGTGTGTGTTCAGCTCACAGAGTTTAACCTTTCTTTTGATGGAGCAGTTTGGAAACACTCTGTTTGTAATGTCTGCAAGTGGATATTTGGACCTCTTTGAGGCCTTCGCTGGAAACGGGATTTCTTCCTGTAATGTTCGACAGAAGAATTCTCAGTAACTTATTTGTGGTGTGTGTATTCAACTCACAGAGTTGAACCTTCCTTTAGACAGAGCAGATTTGAAACACCCTATTTGTGCAGTTTCCAGTTGGAGATTTCAATCGCTTTGAGACCAAATGTAGAAAAGGAAACATCTTCGTATAAAAACTAGACAGAATCATTCTCAGAAACTACTTTGTGATGTGTGCGTTCAACTCAAGGAGTTTAAGCTTTCTTTTCATAGAGTAGTTTGGAAACACTCTGTCTGTAAAGTCTGCAAGCAGATATTTGGACCTCTTTGGGGCCTTCGTTGGAAACGGGATTTCTTCATAGAACGCTAGAAAGAAGAATACTGAGTAAGTTCTTTGTGTTGCCTCTACTCAACTCACAGAGGTGAACTGTCCTTTAGACAGAGCAGATGTGAAACCCTCTTTTTGTGATATTTGCAGGTGGAGATTTCAAGCGCTTTTAGGCCAAATGTAGAAAAGGAAATATCTTCGTATAAAAACTAGACAGAATCATTCTCAGAAACTACTTTGTGATGTGTGCGTTCAATTCACAGAGTATAACCTTTCTTTTGATGGAGGAGTTTGGAGACACTGTCTTTGTAAAGTCTGCAAGTGGATATTTGGACCTCTTTGAGGCCTTCGTTGGAAACGGGATTTCCTCATATAATGTTACACAGAAGAATTCTCAGTAA
Organism: Homo sapiens; assembly: GCF_000001405.40. NCBI lineage: Eukaryota > Metazoa > Chordata > Mammalia > Primates > Hominidae > Homo > Homo sapiens. The sequence goes on from NC_000012.12 coordinate 36,571,460, forward strand.
CTTATTTGTGGTGTGTGTATTCAACTCACAGAGATGAACCTTCCTTCAGAAAGAGCAGATTTGAAACACTCTTTTTGTGGAGTTTCCATGTGGAGATTTCAATCGCTTTGAGACCAAAGGTAGAAAAGGAAACATCTTCGTATAAAAACTAGACAGAATCATTCACAGAAACTACTTTGTGATGTGTGTGTTCAACTCAAGGAGTTTAACCTTTCTTTTGATGGAGCAGTTTGGAAACACTCTGTCTGTAAAGTCTGCAAGCAGATATTTGGACCTCTTTGAGGCCTTCGTTGGAAACGGGATTTCTTCATATAATGTTTGATAGGAGAAGTCTCAGTAACTTCTTTGTGCTGTGTGTATTCAACTCATAGAGTTGAACTTTCCTTTAGAAGAGCAGATGTTAAACACCCTTTTTGTGGAATTTGCAGCTGGAGATTTCAAGCGCTTTGAGGCCTACGGTAGAAAAGGAAACATCTTCTTATAAAATCTAGACAGAATCATTCACAGAAACTTCTTTTTGATGTGTGTGTTCAGCTCACAGAGTTTAACGTTTCTTTTGATGGAGCAGTTTGGAAACACTCTGTTTGTAATGTCTGCAAGTGGATATTTGGACCTCTTTGAGGCCTTCGTTGGAAACGGGATTTTTTCATGTAATATTCGACAGAAGAATTCTCAGTAACTTATTTGTGGTGTGTGTATTCAACTCACAGAGTTGAACCTTCCTTTAGACAGAGCAGATTTGAAACAGCCTATTTGTGCAGTTTCCAGTTGGAGATTTCAATCGCTTTGAGACCAAATGTAGAAAAGGAAACATCTTCGTATAAAAACTAGACAGAATCATTCTCAGAAACTACTTTGTGATGTGTGCGTTCAACTCAAGGAGTTTAAGCTTTCTTTTCATAGAGTAGTTTGGAAACACTCTGTCTGTAAAGTCTGCAAGCAGATATTTGGACCTCATAGGGGTCTTCGTTGGAAACGGGATTTCTTCATAGAACGCTAGAAAGAAGAATACTGAGTAAGTTCTTTGTGTTGCCTCTATTCAACTCACAGAGGTGAACTGTCCTTTAGACAGAGCAGATGTGAAACCCTCTTTTTGTGATATTTGCAGGTGGAGATTTCAAGCGCTTTTAGGCCAAATGTAGAAAAGGAAATATCTTCGTATAAAAACTAGACAGAATCATTCTCAGAAACTACTTTGTGATGTGTGCGTTCAATTCACAGAGTATAACCTTTCTTTTGATGGAGGAGTTTGGAGACACTGTCTTTGTAAAGTCTGCAAGTGGATATTTGGACCTCTTTGAGGCCTTCGTTGGAAACGGGATTTCCTCATATAATGTTACACAGAAGAATTCTCAGTAACTTAATTGTGGTGTGTGTATTCAACTCACAGAGTTGAACCTTCCTTTAGACAGAGCAGATTTGAAACACTCTTTTTGTGGAGTTTCCATGTGGAGATTTCAATCGCTTTGAGACCAAAGGTAGAAAAGGAAACATCTTCGTATAAAAACTAGACAGAATCATTCTCAGAAACTACTTTGTGATGTGTGTGTTCAACTCAAGGAGGTTAACCTTTCTTTTGATGGAGCAGTTTGGAAACAGTGTCTGTAAAGTCTGCAAGCAGATATTTGGACCTCTTTGAGGCCTTCGTTGGAAACGGGATTTCTTCATATAATGTTTGATAGGAGAAGTCTCAGTAACTTCTTTGTGCTGTGTGTATTCAACTCATAGAGTTGAACTTTCCTTTAGAAGAGCAGATGTTAAACACCCTTTTTGTGGAATTTGCAGCTGGAGATTTCAAGCGTTTTGAGGCCTACGGTAGAAAATGAAACATCTTCTTATAAAATCTAGACAGAATCATTCACAGAAACTTCTTCTTGATGTGTGTGTTCAGCTCACAGAGTTTAACCTTTCTTTTGATGGAGCAGTTTGGAAACACTCTGTTTGTAATGTCTGCAAGTGGATATTTGGACCTCTTTGAGGCCTTCGTTGGGAACGGGATTTCTTCATGTAATGTTCGATAGAAGAATTCTCAGTAACTTATTTGTGGTGTGTGTATTCAACTCACAGAGTTGAACCTTCCTTTAGACAGAGCAGATTTGAAACACCCTATTTGTGCAGTTTCCAGTTGGAGATTTCAATCGCTTTGAGACCAAATGTAGAAAAGGAAACATCTTCGTATAAAAACTAGACAGAATCATTCTCAGAAACTACTTTGTGATGTGTGCGTTCAACTCAAGGAGTTTAAGCTTTCTTTTCATAGAGTAGTTTGGAAACACTCTGTCTGTAAAGTCTGCAAGCAGATATTTGGACCTCATTGGGGCCTTCGTTGGAAACGGGATTTCTTCATAGAACGCTAGAAAGAAGAATACTGAGTAAGTTCTTTGTGTTGCCTCTATTCAACTCACAGAGGTGAACTGTCCTTTAGACAGAGCAGATGTGAAACCCTCTTTTTGTGATATTTGCAGGTGGAGATTTCAAGCGCTTTTAGGCCAAATGTAGAAAAGGAAATATCTTCGTATAAAAACTAGACAGAATCATTCTCAGAAACTACTTTGTGATGTGTGCGTTCAATTCACAGAGTATAAACTTTCTTTTGATGGAGGAGTTTGGAGACACTGTCTTTGTAAAGTCTGCAAGTGGATATTTGGACCTCTTTGAGGCCTTCGTTGGAAACGGGATTTCCTCATATAATGTTACACAGAAGAATTCTCAGTAACTTATTTGTGGTGTGTGTATTCAACTCACAGAGTTGAACCTTCCTTCAGAAAGAGCAGATTTGAAACACTCTTTTTGTGGAGTTTCCATGTGGAGATTTCAATCGCTTTGAGACCAAAGGTAGAAAAGGAAACATCTTCGTATAAAAACTAGACAGAATCATTCACAGAAACTACTTTGTGATGTGTGTGTTCAACTCAAGGAGTTTAACCTTTCTTTTGATGGAGCAGTTTGGAAACACTCTGTCTGTAAAGTCTGCAAGTAGATATTTGGACCTCTTTGAGGCCTTCGTTGGAAACGGGATTTCTTCATATAATGTTTGATAGGAGAAGTCTCAGTAACTTCTTTGTGCTGTGTGTATTCAACTCATAGAGTTGAACTTTCCTTTAGAAGAGCAGATGTTAAACACCATTTTTGTGGAATTTGCAGCTGGAGATTTCAAGCGCTTTGAGGCCTACGGTAGAAAAGGAAACATCTTCTTATAAAATCTAGACAGAATCATTCACAGAAACTTCTTTTTGATGTGTGTGTTTATCTCACAGAGTTTAACCTTTCTTTTGATGGAGCAGTTTGCAATCACTGTGTTTGCCATGTCGGCAAGTGGATATTTGGACCTCTTTGAGGCCTTCGTTGGAAACGGGATTTCTTCATGTAATGTTCGACAGAAGAATTCTCAGTAACTTATTTGTGGTGTGTGTATTCAACTCACAGAGTTGAACCTTCATTTAGACAGAGCAGATTTGAAACAGCCTATTTGTGCAGTTTCCAGTTGGAGATTTCAATCGCTTTGAGACCAAATGTAGAAAGGGAAACATCTTCGTATAAAAACTAGACAGAATCATTCTCAGTAACTACTTTGTGATGTGTGCGTTCAACTCAAGGAGTTTAAGCTTTCTTTTCATAGAGTACTTTGGAAACACTCTGTCTGTAAAGTCTGCAAGCAGATATTTGGACCTCATTGGGGTCTTCGTTGGAAAAGGGATTTCTTCATAGAACGCTAGAAAGAAGAATACTGAGTAAGTTCTTTGTGTTGCCTCTATTCAACTCACAGAGGTGAACTGTCCTTTAGACAGAGCAGATGTGAAACCCTCTTTTTGTGATATTGCAGGTGGAGATTTCAAGCGCTTTTAGGCCAAATGTAGAAAAGGAAATATCTTCGTATAAAAACTAGACAGAATCATTCTCAGAAACTACTTTGTGATGTGTGCGTTCAATTCACAGAGTATAACCTTTCTTTTGATGGCGGAGTTTGGAGACACTGTCTTTGTAAAGTCTGCAAGTGGATATTTGGACCTCTTTGAGGCCTTCGTTGGAAACGGGATTTCCTCATATAATGTTACACAGAAGAATTCTCAGTAACTTATTTGTGGTGTGTGTATTCAACTCACAGAGTTGAACCTTCCTTCAGAAAGAGCAGATTTGAAACACTCTTTTTGTGGAGTTTCCATGTGGAGATTTCAATCGCATTGAGACCAAAGGTAGAAAAGGAAACATCTTCGTATAAAAACTAGACAGAATCATTCACAGAAACTACTTTGTGATGTGTGTGTTCAACTCAAGGAGTTTAACTTTTCTTTTGATGGAGCAGTTTGGAAACACTCTGTCTGTAAAGTCTGCAAGTAGATATTTGGACCTCTTTGAGGCCTTCGTTGGAAACGGGATTTCTTCATATAATGTTTGATAGGAGAAGTCTCAGTAACTTCTTTGTGCTGTGTGTATTCAACTCATGGAGTTGAACTTTCCTATAGAAGAGCAGATGTTAAACACACTTTTTGTGGAATTTGCAGCTGGAGATTTCAAGCGCTTTGAGGCCTACGGTAGAAAAGGAAACATCTTCTTCTAAAGTCTAGACAGAATCATTCACAGAAACTTCATTTTGATGTGTGTGTTCAGCTCACAGAGTTTAACCTTTCTTTTGATGGAGCAGTTTGGAAACACTCTGTTTGCAATGTCTGCAAGTGGATATTTGGACCTCTTTGAGGCCTTCGTTGGAAACGGGATTTCTTCATGTAATGTTCGACAGAAGAATTCTCAGTAACTTATTTGTGGTGTGTGTATTCAACTCACAGAGTTGAACCTTCCTTTAGACAGAGCAGATTTGAAACACCCTATTTGTGCAGTTTCCAGTTGGAGATTTCAATCGCTTGGAGGCCAATCATAGAAACGGAAATATCTTCGTATAAAAACAAGACAGAATCATTCTCAGAAACTACTTTGTGATGTGTGCGTTCAACTCAAGGAGTTTAAGCTTTCTTTTCATAGAGTAGTTTGGAAACACTCTGTCTGTAAAGTCTGCAAGCAGATATTTGGACCTCTTTGAGGCCTTCGTTGGAAACGGGATTTCTTCATGTAACGCTAGAAAAAAGAATACTGAGTAAGTTCTTTGTGTTGCCTCTATTCAACTCACAGAGGTGAACTGTCCTTTAGACAGAGCAGATGTGAAACCCTCTTTTTGTGATATTTGCAGGTGGAGATTTCAAGCGCTTTGAGGCCAAATGTAGAAAAGGAAATATCTTCGTATAAAAACTAGACAGAATCATTCTCAGAAACTACTTTGTGATGTGTGCGTACAATTCACAGAGTATAACCTTTCTTTTGATGGAGGAGTTTGGAGACACTGTCTTTGTAAAGTCTGCGTGTGGATATTTGGACCTCTTTGAGGCCTTCGTTGGAAACGGGATTTCCTCATATAATGTTACACAGAAGAATTCTCAGTAACTTATTTGTGGTGTGTGTATTCAACTCACAGAGTTGAACCTTCCTTCAGAAAGAGCAGATTTGAAACACTCTTTTTGTGGAGTTTCCATGTGGAGATTTCAATCGCTTTGAGACCAAAGGTAGAAAAGGAAACATCTTCGTATAAAAACTAGACAGAATCATTCACAGAAACTACTTTGTGATGTGTGTGTTCAACTCAAGGAGTTTAACCTTTCTTTTGATGGAGCAGTTTGGAAACACTCTGTCTGTAAAGTCTGCAAGCAGATATTTGGACCTCTTTGAGGCCTTCGTTGGAAACGGGATTTCTTCATATAATGTTTGATAGGAGAAGTCTCAGTAACTTCTTTGTGCTGTGTGTATTCAACTCATAGAGTTGAACTTTCCTTTAGAAGAGCAGATGTTAAACACCCTTTTTGTGGAATTTGCAGCTGGAGATTTCAAGCGCTTTGAGGCCTACGGTAGAAAAGGAAACATCTTCTTATAAAATCTAGACAGAATCATTCACAGAAACTTCTTTTTGATGTGTGGGTTCAGCTCACAGAGTTTAACCTTTCTTTTGATGGAGCAGTTTGGAAACACTCTGTTTGTAATGTCTGCAAGTGGATATTTGGACCTCTTTGAGGCCTTCGTTGGAAACGGGATTTCTTCAAGTAATGTTCGACAGAAGAATTCTCAGTAACTTATTTGTGGTGTGTGTATTCAACTCACAGAGTTGAACCTTCCTTTAGACAGAGCAGATTTGAAACACCCTATTTGTGCAGTTTCCAGTTGGAGATTTCAATCGCTTTGAGACCAAATGTAGAAAAGGAAACATCTTCGTATAAAAACTAGACAGAATCATTCTCAGAAACTACTTTGTGATGTGTGCGTTCAACTCAAGGAGTTTAAGCTTTCTTTTCATAGAGTAGTTTGGAAACACTCTGTCTGTAAAGTCTGCAAGCAGATATTTGGACCTCTTTGAGGCCTTCGTTGGAAACGGGATTTCCTCATATAATGCTAGAAAGAAGAATACTGAGTAAGTTCTTTGTGTTGCCTCTATTCAACTCACAGAGGTGAACTGTCCTTTAGACAGAGCAGATGTGAAACCCTCTTTTTGTGATATTTGCAGGTGGAGATTTCAAGCGCTTTTAGGCCAAATGTAGAAAAGGAAATATCTTCGTATAAAAACTAGACAGAATCATTCTCAGAAACTACTTTGTGATGTGTGCGTTCAATTCACAGAGTATAACCTTTCTTTTGATGGAGGAGTTTGGAGACACTGTCTTTGTAAAGTCTGCAATTGCATATTTGGACCTCTTTGAGGCCTTCGTTGGAAACGGGATTTCCCCATATAATGTTACACAGAAGAATTCTCAGTAACTTATTTGTGGTGTGTGTATTCAACTCACAGATTTGAACCTTCCTTCAGAAAGAGCAGATTTGAAACACTCTTTTTGTGGAGTTTCCATGTGGAGATTTCAATCACTTTGAGACCAAAGGTAGAAAAGGAAACATCTTCGTATAAAAACTAGACAGAATCATTCACAGAAACTACTTTGTGATGTGTGCGTTCAGCTCACAGAGTTTAACCTTTCTTTTGATGGTGCAGTTTGGAAACACTCTGTTTGACACGTCTGCAAGTGGATATTTGGACCTCTTTGAGGCCTTCGTTGGAAACTGGATTTCTTCATATAATGTTAGACAGAAGAATTCTCAGTAACTTATTTGTGGTGTGTGTATTCAACTCACAGAGTTGAACCTTCCTTTAGACAGAGCAGATTTGAAACACCCTATTTGTGCAGTTTCCAGTTGGAGATTTCAATCGCTTTGAGACCAAATGTAGAAAAGGAAACATCTTCGTATAAAAACTAGACAGAATCATTCTCAGAAACTACTTTGTGATGTGTGCGTTCAACTCAAGGAGTTTAAGCTTTCTTTTCATAGAGTAGTTTGGAAACACTCTGTCTGTAAAGTCTGCAAGCAGATATTTGGACCTCTTTGGGGCCTTCGTTGGAAACGGGATTTCTTCATAGAACGCTAGAAAGAAGAATACTGAGTAAGTTCTTTGTGTTGCCTCTATTCAAGTCACAGAGGTGAACTGACCTTTAGACAGAGCAGATGTGAAACCCTCTTTTTGTGATATTTGCAGGTGGAGATTTCAAGCGCTTTTTGGCCAAATGTAGAAAAGGAAATATCTTCGTATAAAAACTAGACAGAATCATTCTCAGAAACTACTTTGTGATGTGTGCGTTCAATTCACAGAGTATAACCTTTCTTTTGATGGAGGAGTTTGGAGACACTGTCTTTGTAAAGTCTGCAAGTGGATATTTGGACCTCTTTGAGGCCTTCGTTGGAAACGGGATTTCCTCATATAATGTTACACAGAAGAATTCTCAGTAACTTATTTGTGGTGTGTGTATTCAACTCACAGAGTTGAACCTTCCTTCAGAAAGAGCAGATTTGAAACACTCTTTTTGTGGAGTTTCCATGTGGAGATTTCAATCGCATTGAGACCAAAGGTAGAAAAGGAAACATCTTCGTATAAAAACTAGACAGAATCATTCACAGAAACTACTTTGTGATGTGTGTGTTCAACTCAAGGAGTTTAACCTTTCTTTTGATGGAGCAGTTTGGAAACACTCTGTCTGTAAAGTCTGCAAGCAGATATTTGGACCTCTTTGAGGCCTTCGTTGGAAACGGGATTTCTTCATATAATGTTTGATAGGAGAAGTCTCAGTAACTTCTTTGTGCTGTGTGTATTCAACTCATAGAGTTGAACTTTCCTTTAGAAGAGCAGATGTTAAACACCCTTTTTGTGGAATTTGCAGCTGGAGATTTCAAGCGCTTTGAGGCCTACGGTAGAAAAGGAAACATCTTCTTATAAAATCTAGACAGAATCATTCACAGAAACTTCTTTTCGATGTGTGTGTTCAGCTCACAGAGTTTAACCTTTCTTTTGATGGAGCAGTTTGGAAACACTCTGTTTGTAATGTCTGCAAGTGGATATTTGGACCTCTTTGAGGCCTTCGTTGGAAACGGGATTTCATCAAGTAATGGTCGACAGAAGAATTCTCAGTAACTTCTTTGTGGTGCGTGTATTCAACTCACAGAGTTGAACCTTCCTTTAGACAGAGCAGATTTGAAACAGCCTATTTGTGCAGTTTCCAGTTGGAGATTTCAATCGCTTTGAGACCAAATGTAGAAAAGGAAACATCTTCGTATAAAAACTAGACAGAATCATTCTCAGAAACTACTTTGTGATGTGTGCGTTCAACTCAAGGAGTTTAAGCTTTCTTTTCATAGATTAGTTTGGAAACACTCTGTCTGTAAAGTCTGCAAGCAGATATTTGGACCTCTTTGGGGCCTTCATTGGAAACGGGATTTCTTCATAGAACGCTAGAAAGAAGAATACTGAGTACGTTCTTTGTGTTGCCTCTATTCAACTCACAGAGGTGAACTGTCCTTTAGACAGAGCAGATGTGAAACCCTCTTTTTGTGATATTTGCAGGTGGAGATTTCAAGCGCTTTTAGGCCAAATGTAGAAAAGGAAATATCTTCGTATAAAAACTAGACAGAATCATTCTCAGAAACTACTTTGTGATGTGTGCGTTCAATTCACAGAGTATAACCTTTCTTTTGATGGAGGAGTTTGGAGACACTGTCTTTGTAAAGTCTGCAAGTGTATATTTGGACCTCTTTGAGGCCTTCTTTGGAAACGGGATTTCTTCATATAATGTTTGATAGGAGAAATCTCAGTAACTTCTTTGTGCTGTGTGTATTCAACTCATAGAGTTGAACTTTCCTTTAGAAGAGCAGATGTTAAACACCCTGTTTGTGGAATTTGCAGCTGGAGATTTCAAGCGCTTTGAGGCCTACAGTAGAAAAGGAAACATTTTCTTATAAAATCTAGACAGAATCATTCACAGAAACTTCTTTTTGATGTGTGTGTTCAGCTCACAGAGTTTAACCTTTCCTTTGATGGAGCAGTTTAGAAACACTCTGTTTGTAATGTCTGCAAGTGGATATTTGGACCTCTTTGAGGCCTTCGTTAGAAACGGGATTTCTTCATGTAATGTTCGACAGAAGAATTCTCAGTAACTTATTTGTGGTGTGTGTATTCAACTCACAGAGTTGAACCTTCCTATAGACAGAGCAGATTTGAAACACCCTGTTTGTGCAGTTTCCAGTTGGAGATTTCAATCGCTTTGAGGCCAATCGTAGAAACGGAAATATCTTCGTATAAAAACAAGACAGAATCATTCTCAGAAACTACTTTGTGATGTGTGCGTTCAACTCAAGGAGTTTAAGCTTTCTTTTCATAGAGTAGTTTGGAAACACTCTGTCTGTAAAGTCTGCAAGCAGATATTTGGACCTCTTTGGGGCCTTCGTTGGAAACGGGATTTCTTCATAGAACGCTAGAAAGAAGAATACTGAGTAAGTTCTTTGTGTTGCCTCTATTCAACTCACAGAGGTGAACTGTCCTTTAGACAGAGCAGATGTGAAACCCTCTTTTTGTGATATTTGCAGGTGGAGATTTCAAGCGCTTTTAGGCCAAATGTAGAAAAGGAAATATCTTCGTATAAAAACTAGACAGAATCATTCTCAGAAACTACTTTGTGATGTGTGCGTTCAATTCACAGAGTATAACATTTCTTTTGATGGAGGAGTTTGGAGACACTGTCTTTGTAATGTCTGCAAGTGGATATTTGGACCTCTTTGAGGCCTTCGTTGGAAACGGGATTTCCTCATATAATGTTACACAGAAGAATTCTCAGTAACTTATTTGTGGTGTGTGTATTCAACTCACAGAGTTGAACCTTCCTTCAGAAAGAGCAGATTTGAAACACTCTTTTTGTGGAGTTTCCATGTGGAGATTTCAATCGCTTTGAGACCAAAGGTAGAAAAGGAAACATCTTCGTATAAAAACTAGACAGAATCATTCACAGAAACTACTTTGTGATGTGTGTGTTCAACTCAAGGAGTTTAACCTTTCTTTTGATGGAGCAGTTTGGAAACACTCTGTCTGTAAAGTCTGCAAGTAGATATTTGGACCTCTTTGAGGCCTTCGTTGGAAACGGGATTTCTTCATATAATGTTTGATAGGAGAAGTCTCAGTAACTTCTTTGTGCTGTGTGTATTCAACTCGTAGAGTTGAACTTTCCTTTAGAAGGGCAGATGTTAAACACCATTTTTGTGGAATTTGCAGCTGGAGATTTCAAGCGCTTTGAGGCCTACGGTAGAAAAGGAAACATCTTCGTATAAAAACTAGACAGAATCATACACAGAAACTACTTTTTGATGTGAGTGTTCAGCTCACAGAGTTTAACCTTTCTTTTGATGGAGCAGTTTGGAAACACTCTGTTTGTCAAGCCTGCAAGTGGATATTTGGACCTCTTTGAGGCCTTCTTTGGAAAAGGGATTTCTTCATATAATGTTAGACAGAAGAATACTGAGTAAGTTCTTTGTGTTGCCTCTATTCAACTCACAGAGGTGAACTGTCCTTTAGACAGAGCAGATTTGAAACAGCCTATTTGTGCAGTTTCCAGTTGGAGATTTCAATCGCTTTGAGACAAATGTAGAAAAGGAAACATCTTCGTATAAAAACTAGACAGAATCATTCTCAGAAACTACTTTGTGATGTGTGCGTTCAATTCACAGAGTATAACCTTTCTTTTGATGGAGGAGTTTCGAGACACTGTCTTTGTAAAGTCTGCAAGTGGATATTTGGACCTCTTTGAGGCCTTCGTTGGAAATGGGATTTCCTCAGATAATGTTACACAGAAGAATTCTCAGTAACTTATTTGTGGTGTGTGTATTCAACTCACAGAGTTGAACCTTCCTTCAGAAAGAGCAGATTTGAAACACTCTTTTTGTGGAGTTTCCATGTGGAGATTTCAATCGCTTTGAGACCAAAGGTAGAAAAGGAAACATCTTCGTATAAAAACTAGACAGAATCATTCACAGAAACTACTTTGTGATGTGTGTGTTCAACTCAAGGAGTTTAACCTTTCTTTTGATGGAGCAGTTTGGAAACACTCTGTCTGTAAAGTCTGCAAGCAGATATTTGGACCTCTTTGAGGCCTTCGTTGGAAACGGTATTTCTTCATATAATGTATGATAGGAGAAGTCTCAGTAACTTCTTTGTGCTGTGTGTATTCAACTCATAGAGTTGAACTTTCCTTTAGAAGAGCAGATGTTAAACACCCTTTTTGTGGAATTTGCAGCTGGAGATTTCAAGCGCTTTGAGGCCTACGGTAGAAAAGGACATCTTCTTATAAAATCTAGACAGAATCATTCACAGAAACTTCTTTTCGATGTGTGTGTTCAGCTCACAGAGTTTAACCTTTCTTTTGATGGAGCAGTTTGGAAACACTCTGTTTGTAATGTCTGCAAGTGGATATTTGGACCTCTTTGAGGCCTTCATTGGAAACGGGATTTCTTCAAGTAATGGTCGACAGAAGAATTCTCAGTAACTTATTTGTGGTGTGTGTATTCAACTCACAGAGTTGAACCTTCCTTTAGACAGAGCAGATTTGAAACACCCTATTTGTGCAGTTTCCAGTTGGAGATTTCAATCGCTTTGAGACCAAATGTAGAAAAGGAAACATCTTCGTATAAAAACTAGACAGAATCATTCTCAGAAACTACTTTGTGATGTGTGCGTTCAACTCAAGGAGTTTAAGCTTTCTTTTCATAGAGTAGTTTGGAAACACTCTGTCTGTAATGTCTGCAAGCAGATATTTGACCTCTTTGAGGCCTTCGTTGGAAACGGGATTTCTTCATAGAACGCTAGAAAGAAGAATACTGAGTACGTTCTTTGTGTTGCCTCTATTCAACTCACAGAGGTGAACTGTCCTTTAGACAGAGCAGATGTGAAACCCTCTTTTTGTGATATTTGCAGGTGGAGATTTCAAGCGCTTTTAGGCCAAATGTAGAAAAGGAAATATCTTCGTATAAAAACTAGACAGAATCATTCTCAGAAACTACTTTGTGATGTGTGCCTTCATTTCACAGAGTATAACCTTTCTTTTGATGGAGGAGTTTGGAGACACTGTCTTTGTAAAGTCTGCAAGTGGATATTTGGACCTCTTTGAGGCCTTCGTTGGAAACGGGATTTCCTCATATAATGTTACACAGAAGAATTCTCAGTAACTTATTTGTGGTGTGTGTATTCTACTCACAGAGTTGAACCTTCCTTCAGAAATAGCAGATTTGAAACACTCTTTTTGTGGAGTTTCCATGTGGAGATTTCAATCGATTTGAGACCAAAGGTAGAAAAGGAAACATCTTCGTATAAAAAGTAGACAGAATCATTCACAGAAACTACTTTGTGATGTGTGTGTTCAACTCAAGGAGTTTAACCTTTCTTTTGATGGAGCAGTTTGGAAACACTCTGTCTGTAAAGTCTGCAAGTAGATATTTGGACCTCTTTGAGGCCTTCGTTGGAAACGGGATTTCTTCATATAATGTTTGATAGGAGAAGTCTCAGTAACTTCTTTGTGCTGTGTGTATTCAACTCATAGAGTTGAACTTTCCTTTAGAAGAGCAGATGTTAAACACCCTTTTTGTGGAATTTGCAGCTGGAGATTTCAAGCGCTTTGAGTCCTACGGTAGAAATGGAAACATCTTATAAAATCTTGACAGAATCATTCACAGAAACTTCTTTTTGATGTGTGTGTTCAGCTCACAGAGTTTAACCTTTCTTTTGATGGAGCAGTTTTGGAAACACTCTGTTTGTAATGTCTGCAAGTGGATATTTGGACCTCTTTGAGGCCTTCGTTGGAAACGGGATTTCTTCAAGTAATGTTCGACGGAAGAATTCTCAGTAACTTATTTGTGGTGTGTGTATTCAACTCACAGAGTTGAACCTTCCTTTAGACAGAGCAGATTTGAAACACCCTATTTGTGCAGTTTCCAGTTGGAGATTTCAATGGCTTTGAGGCCAATCATAGAAACGGAAATATCTTCGTATAAAAACAAGACAGAATCATTCTCAGAAACTACTTTGTGATGTGTGCGTTCAACTCAAGGAGTTTAAGCTTTCTTTTCATAGAGTAGTTTGGAAACACTCTGTCTGTAAAGTCTGCAAGCAGATATTTGGACCTCTTTGGGGCCTTCGTTGGAAACGGGATTTCTTCATAGAACGCTAGAAAGAAGAATACTGAGTAAGTTCTTTGTGTTGCCTCTATTCAACTCACAGAGGTGAACTGTCCTTTAGACAGAGCAGATGTGAAACCCTCTTTTTGTGATATTTGCAGGTGGAGATTTCAAGCGCTTTTAGGCCAAATGTAGAAAAGGAAATATCTTCGTATAAAAACTAGACAGAATCCTTCTCAGAAACTACTTTGTGATGTGTGCGTTCAATTCACAGAGTATAACCTTTCTTTTGATGGAGGAGTTTGGAGACACTGTCTTTGTAAAGTCTGCAAGTGGATATTTGGACCTCTTTGAGGCCTTCGTTGGAAACAGGATTTCCTCATATAATGTGACACAGAAGAATTCTCAGTAACTTATTTGTGGTGTGTGTATTCAACTCACAGAGATGAACCTTCCTTCAGAAAGAGCAGATTTGAAACACTCTTTTTGTGGAGTTTCCATGTGGAGATTTCAATCGCTTTGAGACCAAAGGTAGAAAAGGAAACATCTTCGTATAAAAACTAGACAGAATCATTCACAGAAACTACTTTGTGATGTGTGTGTTCAACTCAAGGAGTTTAACCTTTCTTTTGATGGAGCAGTTTGGAAACACTCTGTCTGTAAAGTCTGCAAGCAGATATTTGGACCTCTTTGAGGCCTTCGTTGGAAACGGGATTTCTTCATATAATGTTTGATAGGAGAAGTCTCAGTAACTTCTTTGTGCTGTGTGTATTCAACTCATGGAGTTGAACTTTCCTTTAGAAGAGCAGATGTTAAACACCCTTTTTGTGGAATTTGCAGCTGGAGATTTCAAGCGCTTTGAGGCCTACGGTAGAAAAGGAAACATCTTCTTCTAAAATCTAGACAGAATCATTCACAGAAACTTCTTTTTGATGTGTGTGTTCAGCTCACAGAGTTTAACCTTTCTTTTGATGGAGCAGTTTGGAAACACTCTGTTTGTAATGCCTGCAAGTGGATATTTGGACCTCTTTGAGGCCTTCGTTGGAAACGGGAATTCTTCATGTAATGTTCGACAGAAGAATTCTCAGTAACTTATTTGTGGTGTGTGTATTCAACTCACAGAGTTGAACCTTCCTTTAGACAGAGCAGATTTGAAACACCCTATTTGTGCAGTTTCCAGTTGGAGATTTCAATCGCTTTGAGACCAAATGTAGAAAAGGAAACATCTTCGTATAAAAACTAGACAGAATCATTCTCAGAAACTACTTTGTGATGTGTGCGTTTAACTCAAGGAGTTTAAGCTTTCTTTTCATAGAGTAGTTTGGAAACACTCTGTCTGTAAAGTCTGCAAGCAGATATATAGACCTCTTTGAGGCCTTCGTTGGAAACGGGATTTCTTCATAGAACGCTAGAAAGAAGAATACTGAGTAAGTTCTTTGTGTTGTCTCTATTCAACTCACAGAGGTGAACTGTCCTTTAGACAGAGCAGATGTGAAACCCTCTTTTTGTGATATTTGCAGGTGGAGATTTCAAGCGCTTTTAGGCCAAAGGTAGAAAAGGAAACATCTTCGTATAAAAACTAGACAGAATCATTCTCAGAAACTACTTTGTGATGTGTGCGTTCAATTCACAGAGTATAACCTTTCTTTTGATGGAGGAGTTTGGAGACACTGTCTTTGTAATGTCTGCAAGTGGATATTTGGACCTTTTTAAGGCCTTCGTTGGAAACGGGATTTCCTCATATAATGTTACACAGAAGAATTCCCAGTAACTTATTTGTGGTGTGTGTATTCAACTCACAGAGTTGAACCTTCCTTCAGAAAGAGCAGATTTGAAACACTCTTTTTGTGGAGTTTCCATGTGGAGATTTCAATCGCTTTGAGACCAAAGGTAGAAAAGGAAACATCTTCGTATAAAAACTAGACAGAATCATTCACAGAAACTACTTTGTGATGTGTGTGTTCAACTCAAGGAGTTTAACCTTTCTTTTGATGGAGCAGTTTGGAAACACACTGTCTGTAAAGTCTGCAAGCAGATATTTGGACCTCTTTGAGGCCTTCGTTGGAAACGGGATTTCTTCATATAATGTTTGATAGGAGAAGTCTCAGTAACTTCTTTGTGTTGTGTGTAATCAACTCATAGAGTTGAACTTTCCTTTAGAAGAGCAGATGTTAAACACCCTTTTTGTGTAATTTGCAGCTGGAGATTTCAAGCGCTTTGAGGCCTACGGTAGAAAAGGAAACATCTTCTTATAAAATCTAGACAGAATCATTCACAGAAACTTCTTTTTGATGTGTGTGTTCAGCTCACAGAGTTTAACCTTTCTTTTGATGGAGCAGTTGGGAAACACACTGTTTGTAATGTCTGCAAGTGGATATTTGGACCTCTTTGAGGCCTTCGTTGGAAACGGGATTTCTTCCTGTAATGTTCGACAGAAGAATTCTCAGTAACTTATTTGTGGTGTGTGTATTCAACTCACAGAGTTGAACCTTCCTTTAGACAGAGCAGATTTGAAACAGCCTATTTGTGCAGTTTCCAGTTGGAGATTTCAATCGCTTTGAGACCAAATGTAGAAAGGGAAACATCTTCGTATAAAAACTAGACAGAATGATTCTCAGAAACTACTTTGTGATGTGTGCGTTCAACTCAAGGAGTTTAAGCTTTCTTTTCATAGAGTAGTTTGGAAACACTCTGTCTGTAAAGTCTGCAAGCAGATATTTGACCTCTTTGAGGCCTTCGTTGGAAACGGGATTTCTTCATAGAACGCTAGAAAGAAGAATACTGAGTAAGTTCTTTGTGTTGCCTCTATTCAACTCACAGAGGTGAACTGTCCTTTAGACAGAGCAGATGTGAAACCCTCTTTTTGTGATATTTGCAGGTGGAGATTTCAAGCACTTTTAGGCCAAATGTAGAAAAGGAAATATCTTCGTATAAAAACTAGACAGAATCATTCTCAGAAACTACTTTGTGATGTGTGCGTTCAATTCACAGAGTATAACCTTTCTTTTGATGGAGGAGTTTGGAGACACTGTCTTTGTAAAGTCTGCAAGTGGATATTTAGACCTCTTTGAGGCCTTCGTTGGAAACGGGATTTCCTCATATAATGTTTCACAGAAGAATTCTCAGTAACTTATTTGTGGTGTGTGTATTCAACTCACAGAGTTGAACCTTCCTTCAGAAAGAGCAGATTTGAAACACTCTTTTTGTGGTGTTTCCATGTGGAGATTTCAATCGCTTTGAGACCAAAGGTCGAAAAGGAAACATCTTCGTATAAAAACTAGACAGAATCATTCACAGAAACTACTTTGTGATGTGTGTGTTCAACTCAAGGAGTTTAACCTTCCTTTTGATGGAGCAGTTTGGAAACACGCTGTCTGTAAAGTCTGCAAGCAGATATTTGGACCTCTTTGAGGCCTTCGTTGGAAACGGGATTTCTTCATATAATGTTTGATAGGAGAAGACTCAGTAACTTCTTTGTGCTGTGTGTATTCAAATCACAGAGCTGAACTTTACTTTAGAACGAGCAGATGTTAAACACACTTTTTGTGGAATTTGCAGCTGGAGATTTCTAGCGCTTTGAGGCCTATGGTAGAAAAGGAAACATCTTCTTATAAAATCTAGACACAGGGGTTCACAGAAACTTCTTTTTGATGTGTGTGTTCAGCTCACAGAGTTTAACCTTTCTTTTGATGGAGCAGTTGGGAAACACACTGTTTGTAATGTCCGCAAGTGGATATTTGGACCTCTTTGAGGCCTTCGTTGGAAACGGGATTTCTTCAAGTAATGTTCGACAGAAGAATTCTCAGTAACTTATTTGTGGTGTGTGTATTCAACTCAAAGAGTTGAACCTTCCTTTAGACAGAGCAGATTTGAAACACCCTATTTGTGCAGTTTCCAGTTGGAGATTTCAATCGCTTTGAGACCAAATGTAGAAAAGGAAACATCTTCGTATAAAAACTAGACAGAATCATTCTCAGAAACTACTTTGTGATGTGTGCGTTCAACTCAAGGAGTTTAAGCTTTCTTTTCATAGAGTAGTTTGGAAACAGTCTGTCTGTAAAGTCTGCAAGCAGATATTTGGACCTCATTGGGGTCTTCGTTGGAAACCGGATTTATTCATAGAACGCTAGAAAGAAGAATACTGAGTAAGTTCTTTGTGTTGCCTCTATTCAACTCACAGAGGTGAACTGTCCTTTAGACAGAGCAGATGTGAAACCCTCTTTTTGTGATATTTTCAGTGGAGATTTCAAGTGCTTTTAGGCCAAATGTAGAAAAGGAAATATCTTCGTATAAAAACTAGACAGAATCATTCTCAGAAACTACTTTGTGATGTGTGCGTTCAATTCACATAGTATAACCTTTCTTTTGATGGAGGAGTTTGGAGACACTGTCTTTGTAAAGTCTGCAAGTGGATATTTGGACCTCTTTGAGGCCTTCGTTGGAAACGGGATTTCCTCATATAATGTTACACAGAAGAATTCTCAGTAACTTATTTGTGGTGTGTGTATTCAACTCACAGAGTTGAACCTTCCTTCAGAAAGAGCAGATTTGAAACACTCTTTTTGTGGAGTTTCCATGTGGAGATTTCAATCGCTTTGAGACCAAAGGTAGAAAAGGAAACATCTTCGTATAAAAACTAGACAGAATCATTCACAGAAACTACTTTGTGATGTGTGTTTTCAACTCAAGGAGTTTAACCTTTCTTTTGATGGAGCAGTTTGGAAAAACTCTGTCTTTAAAGTCTGCAAGCAGATATTTGGACCTCTTTGAGGCCTTCGTTGGAAACGGGATTTCTTCATATAATGTTTGATAGGAGAAGTCTCAGTAACTTCTTTGTGCTGTGTGTATTCAACTCATAGTAGTTGAACTTTCCTTTAGAAGAGCAGATGTTAAACACCCTTTTTGGGGAATTTGCAGCTGGAGGTTTCAAGCGCTTTGAGGCCTACTGTAGAAAAGGAAACATCTTCTTATAAAATCTAGACAGAATCATTCACAGAAACTTCTTTTTGATGTGTGTGTTCAGCTCACAGAGTTTAACCTTTCTTTTGATGGAGCAGTTTGGAAACACTCTGTTTGTAATGTCTGCAAGTGGATATTTGGACCTCTTTGAGGCCTTCGTTGGAAACGGGATTTCTTCAAGTAATGTTCGACAGAAGAATTCTCAGTAACTTATTTGTGGTGTGTGTATTCAACTCACAGAGTTGAACCTTCCTTTAGACAGAGCAGATTTCAAACACCCTATTTGTGCAGTTTCCAGTTGGAGATTTCAATCGCTTTGAAGCCATAGAAACGGAAATACCTTTGTATAAAAACAAGACAGAATCATTCTCAGAAACTACTTTGTGATGTGTGCGTTCAACTCAAGGAGTTTAAGCTTTCTTTTCATAGAGTAGTTTGGAAACACTCTGTCTGTAAAGTCTGCAAGCAGATATTTGGACCTCTTTGGGGCCTTCGTTGGAAACGGGATTTCTTAATAGAACGCTAGAAAAAAGAATACTGAGTAAGTTCTTTGTGTTGCCTCTATTCAACTCACAGAGGTGAACTGTCCTTTAGACAGAGCAGATGTGAAACCCTCTTTTTGTGATATTTGCAGGTGGAGATTTCAAGCGCTTTTAGGCCAAATGTAGAAAAGGAAATATCTTCGTATAAAAACTAGACAGAATCATTCTCAGAAACTACTTTGTGATGTGTGCGTTCAATTCACAGAGTATAACCTTTCTTTTGATGGAGGAGTTTGGAGACACTGTCTTTGTAAAGTCTGCAAGTGGATATTTGGACCTCTTTGAGGCCTTCGTTGGAAACGGGATTTCCTCATATAATGTTACCCAGAAGAATTCTCAGTAACTTATTTGTGGTGTGTGTATTCAACTCACAGAGTTGAACCTTCCTTCAGAAAGAGCAGATTTGAAACACTCTTTTAGTGGAGTTTCCATGTGGAGATTTCAATCGCTTTGAGACCAAAGGTAGAAAAGGAAACATCTTCAAATAAAAACTAGACAGAATCATTCACAGAAACTACTTTGTGATGTGTGTGTTCAGCTCACAGAGTTTAACCTTTCTTTTGATGGTGCAGTTTGGAAAAACTCCGTTTGACAAGTCTGCAAGTGGATATTTGGACCTCTTTGAGGCCTTCGTTGGAAAAGGGAGTTCTTCATATAATGTTAGACAGAAGAATTCTCAGTAACTTATTTGTGGTGTGTGTATTCAACTCACAGAGTTGAACCTTCCTTTAGACAGAGCAGATTTGAAACACCCTATTTGTGCAGTTTCCAGTTGGAGATTTCAATCGCTTTGAGACAAATGTAGAAAAGGAAACATCTTCGTATAAAAACTAGACAGAATCATTCTCAGAAACTACTTTGTGATGTGTGCGTTCAACTCAAGGAGTTTAAGCTTTCTTTTTATAGAGTAGTTTGGAAACACTCTGTCTGTAAAGTCTGCAAGCAGATATTTGGACCTCTTTGGGGCCTTCGTTGGAAACGGGATTTCTTCATAGAACGCTAGAAAGAAGAATACTGAGTACGTTCTTTGTGTTGCCTCTATTCAACTCACAGAGGTGAACTGTCCTTTAGACAGAGCAGATGTGAAACCCTCTTTTTGTGATATTTGCAGGTGGAGATTTCAAGCGCTTTTAGGCCAAATGTAGAAAAGGAAATATCTTCGTATAAAAACTAGACAGAATCATACTCAGAAACTACTTTGTGATGTGTGCGTTCAATTCACAGAGTATAACCTTTCTTTTGATGGAGGAGTTTGGAGACACTGTCTTTGTAAAGTCTGCAAGTGGATATTTGGACCTCTTTGAGGCCTTCGTTGGAAACGGGATTTCCTCATATAATGTTACACAGAAGAATTCTCAGTAACTTATTTGTGGTGTGTGTATTCAACTCACAAGAGTTGAACCTTCCTTCAGAAAGAGCAGATTTGAAACACTCTTTTTGTGGAGTTTCCATGTGGAGATTTCAATCGCTTTGAGACCAAAGGTAGAAAAGGAAACATCTTCGTATAAAAACTAGACAGAATCATTCACAGAAACTACTTTGTGATGTGTGTGTTCAACTCAAGGAGTTTAACCTTTCTTTTGATGGAGCAGTTTGGAAACACTCTGTCTGTAATGTCTGCAAGGAGATATTTGGACCTCTTTGAGGCCTTCGTTGGAAACGGGATTTCTTCATATAATATTTGATAGGAGAAGTCTCAGTAACTTCTTTGTGCTGTGTGTATTCAACTCATAGAGTTGGACTTTCCTTTAGAAGAGCAGATGTTAAACACCCTTTTTGTGGAATTTGCAGCTGGAGATTTCAAGCGCTTTGAGGCCTACGGTAGAAAAGGAAACATCTTCTTATAAAATCTAGACAGAATCATTCACAGAAACTTCTTTTTGATGTGTGTGTTCAGCTCACAGAGTTTAACCTTTCTTTTGATGGAGCAGTTGGGAAACACACTGTTTGTAATGTCTGCAAGTGGATATTTGGACCTCTTTGAGGCCTTCGTTGGAAACGGGATTTCTTCATGTAATGTTCGACAGAAGAATTCTCAGTAACTTATTTGTGGTGTGTGTATTCAACTCACAGAGTTGAACCTTCCTTTAGACAGAGCAGATTTGAAACACCCTATTTGTGCAGTTCCCAGTTGGAGATTTCAATCGCTTTGAGACCAAATGTAGAAAAGGAAACATCTTCGTATAAAAACTAGACAGAATCATTCTCAGAAACTACTTTGTGATCTGTGCGTTCAACTCAAGGAGTTTAAGCTTTCTTTTCATAGAGTAGTTTGGAAACACTCTGTCTGTAAAGTCTGCAAGCAGATATTTGAACCTCATTGGGGCTTTCATTGGAAACGGGATTTCTTCATAGAACGCTAGAAAGAAGAATACTGAGTAAGTTCTTTGTGTTGCCTCTATTCAACTCACAGAGGTGAACTGTCCTTTAGACAGAGCAGATGTGAAACCCTCTTTTTGTGATATTTGCAGGTGGAGATTTCAAGCGCTTTGAGGCCAAATGTAGAAAAGGAAATATCTTCGTATAAAAACTAGACAGAATCATTCTCAGAAACTACTTTGTGATGTGTGCGTTCAATTCACAGAGTATAACCTTTCTTTTGATGGAGGAGTTTGGAGACACTGTCTTTGTAAAGTCTGCATGTGGATATTGGGACCTCTTTGAGGCCTTCGTTGGAAATGGGATTTCCTCATATAATGTTACACAGAAGAATTCTCAGTAACTTATTTGTGGTGTGTGTATTCAACTCACAAGAGTTGAACCTTCCTTCAGAAAGAGCAGATTTGAAACACTCTTTTTGTGGAGTTTCCATGTGGAGATTTCAATCGCTTTGAGACCAAAGGTAGAAAAGGAAACATCTTCGTATAAAAACTAGACAGAATCATTCACAGAAACTATTTTGTGATGTGTGTGTTCAACTCAAGGAGTTTAACCTTTCTTTTGATGGAGCAGTTTGGAAACACTCTGTCTGTAAAGTCTGCAAGCAGATATTTGGACCTCTTTGAGGCCTTCGTTGGAAACGGGATTTCTTCATATAATGTTTGATAGGAGAAGTCTCAGTAACTTCTTTGTGCTGTGTGTATTCAACTCATAGAGTTGAACTTTCCTTTAGAAGAGCAGATGTTAAACACCCTTTTTGTGGAATTTGCAGCTGGAGATTTCAAGCGCTTTGAGGCCTACGGTAGAAAAGGAAACATCTTCTTATAAAATCTAGACAGAATCATTCACAGAAACTTCTTTTTGATGTGTGTGTTCAGCTCACAGAGTTTAACCTTTCTTTTGATGGAGCAGTTTGGAAACACACTGTTTGTAATGTCTGCAAGTGGATATTTGGACCTCTTTGAGGCCTTCGTTGGAAACGGGATTTCTTCATGTAATGTTCGACAGAAGAATTCTCAGTAACTTATTTGTGGTGTGTGTATTCAACTCACAGAGTTGAACCTTCCTTTAGACAGAGCAGATTTGAAACACCCTATTTGTGCAGTTTCCAGTTGGAGATTTCAATCGCTTTGAGACCAAATGTAGAAAAGGAAACATCTTCGTATAAAAACTAGACAGAATCATTCTCAGAAACTATTTTGTGATGTGTGCGTTCAACTCAAGGAGTTTAAGCTTTCTTTTCATAGAGTAGTGTGGAAACACTCTGTCTGTAAAGTCTGCAAGCAGATGTTTGGACCTCTTTGAGGCCTTCGTTGGAAACGGGATTTCTTCATGTAACGCTAGGAAGAAGAATACTGAGTAAGTTCTTTGTGTTGCCTCTATTCAACTCACAGAGGTGAACTGTCCTTTAGACAGAGCAGATGTGAAACCCTCTTTTTGTGATATTTGCAGGTGGAGATTTCAAGCGCTTTTAGGCCAAATGTAGAAAAGGAAATATCTTCGTATAAAAACTAGACAGAATCATTCTCAGAAACTACTTTGTGATGTGTGCCTTCAATTCACAGAGTATAACCTTTCTTTTGATGGAGGAGTTTGGAGACACTGACTTTGTAAAGTCTGCAAGTGGATATTTGGACCTCTTTGAGGCCTTCGTTGGAAACGGGATTTCCTCATATAATGTTACACAGAAGAATTCTCAGTAACTTATTTGTGGTGTGTGTATTCAACTCACAGAGCATGAACCTTCCTTCAGAAAGAGCAGATTTGAAACACTCTTTTTGTGGAGTCTCCATGTGGAGATTTCAATCGCTTTGAGACCAAAGGTAGAAAAGGAAACATCTTCGTATAACAACTAGACAGAATCATTCACAGAAACTACTTTGTGATGTGTGTGTTCAACTCAAGGAGTTTAACCTTTCTTTTGATGGAGCAGTTTGGAAAAACTCTGTCTGTAAAGTCTGCAAGCAGATATTTGGACCTCTTTGAGGCCTTCGTTGGAAACGGGATTTCTTCATATAATGTTTGATAGGAGAATACTGAGTAAGTTCTTTGTGTTGCCTCTATTCAACTCAAGAGGTGAACTTTCCTTTAGAAGAGCAGATGTTAAACACCCTTTTTGTGGAATTTGCAGCTGGAGATTTCAAGCGCTTTGGGGTCTACGTTAGAAAAGGAAACATCTTCTTATAAAATCTAGACAGAATCATTCACAGAAACTTCTTTTTGATGTGTGTGTTCAGCTCACAGAGTTTAACCTTTCTTTTGATGGAGCAGTTTGGAAACACTCTGTTTGTAATGTCTGCAAGTGGATATTTGGACCTCTTTGAGGCCTACGTTGGAAACGGGATTTCTTCAAGTAATGTTCGACAGAAGAATTCTCAGTAACTTATTTGTGGTGTGTGTATTCAACCCACAGAGTTGAACCTTCCTTTAGACAGAGCAGATTTGAAACACCCTATTTGTGCAGTTTCCAGTTGGAGATTTCAATCGCTTTGAGACCAAATGTAGAAAAGGAAACATCTTCCTATAAAAACTAGACAGAATCATTCTCAGAAACTACTTTGTGATGTGTGCGTTCAACTCAAGGAGTTTAAGCTTTCTTTTCATAGAGTAGTTTGGAAACACTCTGTCTGTAAAGTCTGCAAGCAGATATTTGGACCTCTTTGGGGCCTTCGTTGGAAACGGGATTTCTTCATAGAACGCTAGAAAGAAGAATACTGAGTAAGTTCTTTGTGTTGCCTCTATTCAACTCACAGAGGTGAACTGTCCTTTAGACAGAGCAGATGTGAAACCCTCTTTTTGTGATATTTGCAGGTGGAGATTTCAAGCGCTTTTAGGCCAAATGTAGAAAAGGAAATATCTTCGTATAAAAACTAGACAGAATCATTCTCAGAAACTACTTTGTGATGTGTGCGTTCAATTCACAGAGTATAACCTTTCTTTTGATGGAGGAGTTTGGAGACACTGTCTTTGTAAAGTCTGCAAGTGGATATTTGGACCTCTTTGAGGCCTTCGTTGGAAACGGGATTTCCTCATATAATGTTACACAGAAGAATTCTCAGTAACTTATTTGTGGTGTGTGTATTCAACTCACAGAGTTGAACCTTCCTTCAGAAAGAGCAGATTTGAAACACTCTTTTTGTGGAGTTTCCATGTGGAGATTTCAATCGCTTTGAGACCAAAGGTAGAAAAGGAAACATCTTCGTATAAAAACTAGACAGAATCATTCACAGAAACTACTTTGTGATGTGTGTGTTCAACTCAAGGAGTTTAACCTTTCTTTTGATGGAGCAGTTTGGAAACACTCTGTCTGTAAAGTCTGCAAGCAGATATTTGGACCTCTTTGAGGCCTTCGTTGGAAACGGTATTTCTTCATATAATGTTTGATAGGAGAAGTCTCAGTAACTTCTTTGTGCTGTGTGTATTCAACTCATAGAGTTGAACTTTCCTTTAGAAGAGCAGATGTTAAACACCCTTTTTGTGGAATTTGCAGCTGGAGATTTCAAGCGCTTTGAGGCCTACGGTAGAAAAGGAAACATCTTCTTATAAAATCTAGACAGAATCATTCACAGAAACTTCTTTTTGATGTGTGTGTTCAGCTCACAGAGTTTAACCTTTCTTTTGATGGAGCAGTTTGGAAACACTCTGTTTGTAATGTCTGCAAGTGGATATTTGGACCTCTTTGAGGCCTTCTTTGGAAACGGGATTTCTTCAAGTAATGTTCGACAGAAGAATTCTCAGTAACTTATTTGTGGTGTGTGTATTCAACTCACAGAGTTGAACCTTCCTTTAGACAGAGCAGATTTGAAACACCCTATTTGTGCAGTTTCCAGTTGGAGATTTCAATCGCTTGGAGGCCAATCATAGAAACGGAAATATCTTCGTATAAAAACAAGACAGAATCATTCTCAGAAACTACTTTGTGATGTGTGCGTTCAACTCAAGGAGTTTAAGCTTTCTTTTCATAGAGTAGTTTGGAAACACTCTGTAAAGTCTGCAAGCAGATATTTGGACCTCTTTGAGGCCTTCTTTGGAAAAGGGATTTCTTCATAGAACGCTAGAAAGAAGAATACTGAGTAAGTTCTTTGTGTTGCCTCTATTCAACTCACAGAGGTGAACTGTCCTTTAGACAGAGCAGATGTGAAACCCTCTTTTTGTGATATTTGCAGGTGGAGATTTCAAGCGCTCTTAGGCCAAATGTAGAAAAGGAAATATCTTCGTATAAAAACTAGACAGAATCATTCTCAGAAACTACTTTGTGATGTGTGCGTTCAATTCACAGAGTATAACCTTTCTTTTGGTGGAGGAGTTTGGAGACACTGTCTTTGTAAAGTCTGCAAGTGGATATTTGGAGCTCTTTGAGGCCTTCGTTGGAAACGGGATTTCCTCATATAATGTTACACAGAAGAATTCTCAGTAACTTATTTGTGGTGTGTGTATTCAACTCACAGAGATGAACCTTCCTTCAGAAATAGCAGATTTGAAACACTCTTTTTGTGGAGTTTCCATGTGGAGATTTCAATCGCTTTGAGACCAAAGGTAGAAAAGGAAACATCTTCGTATAAAAACTAGACAGAATCATTCACAGAAACTACTTTGTGATGTGTGTGTTCAACTCAAGGAGTTTAACCTTTCTTTTGATGGAGCAGTTTGGAAACACTCTGTCTGTAAAGTCTGCAAGCAGATATTTGGACCTCTTTGAGGCCTTCGTTGGAAACGGGATTTCTTCATATAATGTTTGATAGGAGAAGTCTCAGTAACTTCTTTGTGCTGTGTGTATTCAACTCATAGAGTTGAACTTTCCTTTAGAAGAGCTGATGTTAAACACCCTTTTTGTGGAATTTGCAGCTGGAGATTTCAAGCGCTTTGAGGCCTACGGTAGAAAAGGAAACATCTTCTTATAAAATCTAGACAGAATCATTCACAGAAACTTCTTTTTGATGTGTGTGTTCAGCTCACCGAGTTGAACCTTTCTTTTGATGGAGCAGTTTGGAAACACTCCGTTTGTAATGTCTGCAAGTGGATATTTGGACCTCTTTGAGGCCTTCGTTGGAAACGGGATTTCTTCATGTAATGTTCGACAGAAGAATTCTCAGTAACTTATTTGTGGTGTGTGTATTCAACTCACAGAGTTGAACCTTCCTTTAGACAGAGCAGATTTGAAACACCCTATTTGTGCAGTTTCCAGTTGGAGATTTCAATCGCTTTGAGACCAAATGTAGAAAAGGAAACATCTTCGTATAAAAACTAGACAGAATCATTCTCAGAAACTACTTTGTGATGTGTGCGTTCAACTCAAGGAGTTTAAGCTTTCTTTTCATAGAGTAGTTTGGAAACACTCTGTCTGTAAAGTCTGCAAGCAGATATTTGGACCTCTTTGGGGCCTTCGTTGGAAACGGGATTTCTTCATAGAACGCTAGAAAGAAGAATACTGAGTAAGTTCTTTGTGTTGCCTCTATTCAACTCACAGAGGTGAACTGTCCTTTAGACAGAGCAGATGTGAAACCCTCTTTTTGTGATATTTGCAGGTGGAGATTTCAAGCGCTTTTAGGCCAAATGTAGAAAAGGAAATATCTTTGTATAAAAACTAGACAGAATCATTCTCAGAAACTACTTTGTGATGTGTGCGTTCTATTCACAGAGTATAACCTTTCTTTTGATGGAGCAGTTTGGAGACACTGTCTTTGTAAAGTCTGCAAGTGGATATTTGGACCTCTTTGAGGCCTTCGTTGGAAACGGGATTTCCTCATATAATGTTACACAGAAGAATTCTCAGTAACTTATTTGTGGTGTGTGTATTCAACTTACGGATTTGAACCTTCCTTCAGAAAGAGCAGGTTTGAAACACTCTTTTTGTGGAGTTTCCATGTGGAGATTTCAATCGCTTTGAGACCAAAGGTAGAAAAGGAAACATCTTCGTATAAAAACTAGACAGAATCATTCACAGAAACTACTTTGTGATGTGTGTGTTCAACTCACAGAGTTTAATCTTTCTTTTGATGGTGCAGTTTGGAAACACTCTGTTTGACAAGTCTGCAAGTGGATATTTGGACCTCTTTGAGGCCTTCGTTGGAAACGGGATTTCTTCATATAATGTTAGACAGAAGAAGTCTCAGTAACTTCTTTGTGCTGTGTGTATTCAACTCACAGAGCTGAACTTTACTTTAGACAGAGCGGATGTTAAACACACTTTTTGTGGAATTTGCAGCTGGAGATTTCTAGCGCTTTGAGGCCTATGGTAGAAAAGGAAACATCTTCGTATAAAATCTAGACAGAATCATTCACAGAAACTTCTTTTTGATGTGTGTGTTCATCTCACAGAGTTTAACCTTTCTTTTGACGAAGCAGTTTGCAAACACTGTGTTTGCCATGTCGGCAAGTGGATATTTGGACCTCTTTGAGGCCTTCGTTGGAAACGGGATTTCTTCATGTAATGTTCGAGAGAATAATTCTCAGTAACTTATTTGTGGTGTGTGTATTCAACTCAAAGAGTTGAACCTTCCTTTAGGCAGAGCAGATTTGAAACACCTTATTTGTGCAGTTTCCAGTTGGAGATTTCAATCGCTTTGAGGCCAATCGTGGAAACGGAAATATCTTCGTATAAAAACAAGACAGAATCATTCTCAGAAACTACTTTGTGATGTGTGTGTTCAACTCAAGGAGTTTAACCTTTCTTTTGATGGAGCAGTTTGGAAAAACTCTGTCTGTAAAGTCTGCAAGCAGATATTTGGACCTCTTTGGGGCCTTCGTTGGAAACGGGATTTCTTCATAGAATGCTAGAAAGAAGAATACTGAGTAAGTTCTTTGTGTTGCCTCTATTCAACTCACAGAGGTGAACTGTCCTTTAGACAGAGCAGATGTGAAACCCTCTTTTTGTGATATTTGCAGGTGCAGATTTCAAGCGCTTTTAGGCCAAATGTAGAAAAGGAAATATCTTCGTATAAAAACTAGACAGAATCATTCTCAGAAACTACTTTGTGATGTGTGCGTTCAATTCACATAGTATAACCTTTCTTTTGATGGAGGAGTTTGGAGACACTGTCTTTGTAAAGTCTGCAAGTGGATATTTGGACCTCTTTGAGGCCTTCGTTGGAAACGGGATTTCCTCATATAATGTTACACAGAAGAATTCTCAGTAACTTATTTGTGGTGTGTGTATTCAACTCACAGATTTGAACCTTCCTTCAGAAAGAGCAGATTTGAAACACTCTTTTTGTGGAGTTTCCATGTGGAGATTTCAATCACTTTGAGACCAAAGGTAGAAAAGGAAACATCTTCGTATAAAAACTAGACAGAATCATTCACAGAAACTACTTTGTGATGTGTGTGTTCAACTCAAGGAGTTTAACCTTTCTTTTGATGGAGCAGTTTGGAAAAACTCTGTCTGTAAAGTCTGCAAGCAGATATTTGGACCTCTTTGAGGCCTTCGTTGGAAACGGGATTTCTTCATATAATGTTTGATAGGAGAAGTCTCAGTAACTTCTTTGTGCTGTGTGTATTCAACTCATAGAGTTGAACTTTCCTTTAGAAGAGCAGATGTTAAACACCCTTTTTGTGGAATTTGCAGCTGGAGATTTCAAGCGCTTTGAGGCCTACGGTAGAAAAGGAAACATCTTCTTATAAAATCTAGACAGAATCATTCACAGAAACTTCTTTTTGATGTGTGTGTTCAGCTCACAGAGTTTAACCTTTCTTTTGATGGAGCAGTTTGGAAACACTCTGTTTGTAATGTCTGCAAGTCGATATTTGGACCTCTTTGAGGCCTTCGTTGGAAACGGGATTTCTTCAAGTAATGTTCGACAGAAGAATTCTCAGTAACTTATTTGTGGTGTGTGTATTCAACTCACAGAGTTGAACCTTCCTTTAGACAGAGCAGATTTGAAACACCCTATTTGTGCAGTTTCCAGTTGGAGATTTCAATCGCTTTGAGACCAAATGTAGAAAAGGAAACATCTTCGTATAAAAACTAGACAGAATCATTCTCAGAAACTACTTTGTGATGTGTGCGTTCAACTCAAGGAGTTTAAGCTTTCTTTTCATAGAGTAGTTTGGAAACACTCTGTCTGTAAAGTCTGCAAGCAGATATTTGGACCTCTTTAGGGCCTTCGGTTGGAAACGGGATTTCTTCATAGAACGCTAGAAAGAAGAATACTGAGTAAGTTCTTTGTGTTGCCTCTATTCAACTCACAGAGGTGAACTGTCCTTTAGACAGAGCAGATGTGAAACCCTCTTTTTGTGATATTTGCAGGTGGAGATTTCAAGCGCTTTTAGGCCAAATGTAGAAAAGGAAATATCTTCGTATAAAAACTAGACAGAATCATTCTCAGAAACTACTTTGTGATGTGTGCGTTCAATTCACAGAGTATAACCTTTCTTTTGATGGAGGAGTTTGGAGACACTGTCTTTGTAAAGTCTGCAAGCAGATATTTGGACCTCTTTGAGGCCTTCGTTGGAAACGGGATTTCTTCATATAATGTTTGATAGTAGAATTCTCAGTAACTTATTTGTGGTGTGTGTATTCAACTCACAGAGTTGAACCTTCCTTCAGAAAGAGCAGATTTGAAACACTCTTTTTGTGGAGTTTCCATGTGGAGATTTCAATCGCTTTGAGACCAAAGGTAGAAAAGGAAACATCTTCGTATAAAAACTAGACAGAATCATTCACAGAAACTACTTTGTGATGTGTGTGTTCAACTCAAGGAGGTTAACCTTTCTTTTGATGGAGCAGTTTGGAAACACTCTGTCTGTAAAGTCTGCAAGCAGATATTTGGACTTCTTTGAGGCCTTCGTTGGAAGCGGGATTTCTTCATATAATGTTTGATAGGAGAAGTCTCAGTAACTTCTTTGTGCTGTGTGTATTGAACTCATAGAGTTGAACTTTCCTTTAGAAGAGCAGATGTTAAACACCCTTTTTGTGTAATTTGCAGCTGGAGATTTCAAGCGCTTTGAGGCCTACGGTAGAAAAGGAAACATCTTCTTATAAAATCTAGACAGAATCATTCACAGAAACTTCTTTTTGATGTGTGTGTTCAGCTCACAGAGTTTAACCTTTCTTTTGATGGAGCAGTTGGGAAACACACTGTTTGTAATGTCCGCAAGTGGATATTTGGACCTCTTTGAGGCCTTCATTGGAAACGGGATTTCTTCCTGTAATGTTCGACAGAAGAATTCTCAGTAACTTATTTGTGGTGTGTGTATTCAACTCACAGAGTTGAACCTTCCTTTAGACAGAGCAGATTTGAAACACCCTATTTGTGCAGTTTCCAGTTGGAGATTTCAATCGCTTTGAGACCAAATGTAGAAAAGGAAACATCTTCGTATAAAAACTAGACAGAATCATTCTCAGAAACTACTTTGTGATGTGTGCGTTCAACTCAAGGAGTTTAAGCTTTCTTTTCATAGAGTAGTTTGGAAACACTCTGTCTGTAAAGTCTGCAAGCAGATATTTGGACCTCTTTGGGGCCTTCGTTGGAAACGGGATTTCTTCACAGAACGCTAGAAAGAAGAATTCTCAGTAACTTATTTGTGGTGTGTGTATTCAAGTCACAGAGTTGAACCTTCTTTTAGACAGAGCAGATTTGAGACACCCTATTTGTGCAGTTTCCAGTTGGAGATTTCAATCGCTTTGAGACCAAATGTAGAAAAGGAAACATCTTCGTATAAAAACTAGACAGAATCATTATCAGAAACTACTTTGTGATGTGTGCGTTCAATTCACAGAGTATAACATTTCTTTTGATGGAGGAGTTTGGAGACACTGTCTTTGTAAATCTGCAAGCAGATATTTGGACCTCTTTGAGGCCATCGTTGGAAACGGGATTTCTTCATATAATGTTTGATAGGAGAATTCTCAGTAACTTATTTGTGGTGTGTGTTTTCAACTCACAGAGTTGAACCTTCCTTCAGAGAGAGCAGATTTGAAACACTCTTTTTGTGGAGTTTCCATGTGGAGATTTCAATCGCTTTGAGACCAAATGTAGAAAAGGAAATATCTTCGTATAAAAACTAGACAGAATCATTCACAGAAACTACTTTGTGATGTGTGTGTTCAACTCAAGGAGTTTAACCTTTCTTTTGATGGAGCAGTTTGGAAACACTCTGTCTGTAAAGTCTGCAAGCAGATATTTGGACCTCTTTGAGGCCTTCGTTGGAAACGGGATTTCTTCATATAATGTTTGATAGGAGAAGTCTCAGTAACATCTTTGTGCTGTGTGTATTCAACTCATAGAGTTGAACTTTCCTTTAGAAGAGCAGATGTTAAACACACTTTTTGTGGAATTTGCAGCTGGAGATTTCAAGCGCTTTGAGGCCTACGGTAGAAAAGGAAACATCTTCTTATAAAATCTAGACAGAATCATTCACAGAAACTTCTTTTTGATGTGTGTGTTCAGCTCACAGAGTTTAACCTTTCTTTTGATGGAGCAGTTTGGAAACACTCTGTTTGTAATGTCTGCAAGTGGATATTTGGACCTCTTTGAGGCCTTCGTTGGAAACGGGATTTCTTCAAGTAATGTTCGACAGAAGAATTCTCAGTAACTTATTTGTGGTGTGTGTATTCAACTCACAGAGTTGAACCTTCCTTTAGACAGAGCAGATTTGAAACACCCTATTTGTGCAGTTTCCAGTTGGAGATTTCAATGGTTTGAGGCCAATCATAGAAACGGAAATATCTTCGTATAAAAACAAGACAGAATCATTCTCAGAAACTACTTTGTGATGTGTGCGTTCAACTCAAGGAGTTTAAGCTTTCTTTTCATAGAGTAGTTTGGAAACACTCTGTCTGTAAAGTCTGCAAGCAGATATTTGGACCTCTTTGGGGCCTTCGTTGGAAACGGGATTTCTTCATAGAACGCTAGAAAGAAGAATACTGAGTAAGTTCTTGGTGTTGCCTCTATTCAACTCACAGAGGTGAACTGTCCTTTAGACAGGGCAGATGTGAAACCCTCTTTTTGTGATATTTGCAGGTGGAGATTTCAAGCGCTTTTAGGCCAAATGTAGAAAAGGAAACATCTTCGTATAAAAACTAGACAGAATCATTCTCAGAAACTACTTTGTGATGTGTGCGTTCAATTCACAGAGTATAACCTTTCTTTTGATGGAGGAGTTTGGAGACACTGTCTTTGTAAAGTCTGCAAGTGGATATTTGGACCTCTTTGAGGCCTTCGTTGGAAACGGGATTTCCTCATATAATGTTACACAGAAGAATTCTCAGTAACTTATTTGTGGTGTGTGTATTCAACTCACAGAGTTGAACCTTCCTTCAGAAAGAGCAGATTTGAAACACTCTTTTTGTGGAGTTTCCATTTGGAGATTTCAATCGCTTTGAGACCAAAGGTAGAAAAGGAAACATCTTCGTATAAAAACTAGACAGAATCATTCACAGAAACTACTTTGTGATGTGTGTGTTCAACTCAAGGAGTTTAACCTTTCTTTTGATGGAGGAGTTTGGAAACACTCTGTCTGTAAAGTCTGCAAGCAGATATTTGGACCTCTTTGAGGCCTTCGTTGGAAACGGGATTTCTTCATATAATGTTTGATAGGAGTAGTCTCAGTAACTTCTTTGTGCTGTGTGTATTCAACTCATAGAGTTGAACTTTCCTTTAGAAGAGCAGATGTTAAACACCCTTTTTGTGGAATTTGCAGCTGGAGATTTCAAGCGCTTTGAGGCCTACAGTAGAAAAGGAAACATCTTCTTATAAAATCTAGACAGAATCATTCACAGAAACTTCCTTTTGATGTGTGTGTTCAGCTCACAGAGTTTAACCTTTCTTTTGATGGAGCAGTTTGGAAACACACTGTTTGTAATGTCTGCAAGTGGATATTTGGACCTCTTTTGGGCCTTTGTTGGAAACGGGATTTCTTCATGTAATGTTCGACAGAAGAATTCTCAGTAACTTATTTGTGGTGTGTGTATTCAACTCACAGAGTTGAACCTTCTTTTAGACAGAGCAGATTTGAGACACCCTATTTGTGCAGTTTCCAGTTGGAGATTTCAATCGCTTTGAGACCAAATGTAGAAAAGGAAACATCTTCGTATAAAAACTAGACAGAATCATTCTCAGAAACTACTTTGTGATGTGTGCGTTCAATTCACAGAGTATAACATTTCTTTTCATGGAGGAGTTTGGAGACACTGTCTTTGTAATTCTGCAAGCAGATATTTGGACCTCTTTGAGGCCATCGTTGGAAACGGGATTTCTTCATATAATGTTTGATAGGAGAAGTCTCAGTAACTTCTTTGTGCTGTGTGTATTCAACTCATAGAGTTGAACTTTCCTTTAGAAGAGCAGATGTTAAACACCCTTTTTGTGGAATTTGCAGCTGGAGATTTCAAGCGCTTTGAGGCCTACGGTAGAAAAGGAAACATCTTCTTATAAAATCTAGACAGAATCATTCACAGAAACTTCTTTTTGATGTGTGTGTTCAGCTCACAGAGTTTAACCTTTCTTTTGATGGAGCAGTTTGGAAACACTCTGTAATGTCTGCAAGTGGACATTAGGACCTCTTTGAGGCCTTCGTTGGAAACGGGATTGCTTCATGTAATGTTCAACAGAAGAATTCTCAGTAACTTATTTGTGGTGTGTGTATTCAACTCACAGAGTTGACCCTTCCTTTAGACAGATCAGATTTGAAACTCCCTATTTGTGCAGATTCCAGTTGGAGATTTCAATCGCTTTGAGACCAAATGTAGAAAAGGAAACATCTTCGTATAAAAACTAGACAGAATCATTCTCAGAAACTACTTTGTGATGTGTGCGTTCAACTCAAGGAGTTTAAGCTTTCTTTTCATAGAGTAGTTTGGAAACACTCTGTCTGTAAAGTCTGCAAGCAGATATTTGGACCTCTTTGAGGCCTTCGTTGGAAAAGGGATTTCTTCATAGAACGCTAGAAAGAAGAATACTGAGTAAGTTCTTTGTGTTGCCTCTATTCAACTCACAGAGGTGAAGTGTCCTTTAGACAGAGCAGATGTGAAACCCTCTTTTTGTGATATTTGCAGGTGGAGATTTCAAGCGCTTTTAGGCCAAATGTAGAAAAGGAAATATCTTCGTATAAAAACTAGACAGAATCATTCTCAGAAACTACTTTGTGATGTGTGCGTTCAATTCACAGAGTATAACCTTTCTTTTGATGGAGGAGTTTGGAGACACTGTCTTTGTAAAGTCTGCAAGTGGATATTTGGACCTCTTTGAGGCCTTCGTTGGAAATGGGATTTCCTCATATAATGTTACACAGAAGAATTCTCAGTAACTTATTTGTGGTGTCTGTATTCAACTCACACAGTTGAACCTTCCTTCAGAGAGAGCAGATTTGAAACACTCTTTTGGTGGAGTTTCCATGTGGAGATTTCAATCGCTTTGAGACCAAAGGTAGAAAAGGAAACATCTTCGTATAAAAACTAGACAGAATCATTCACAGAAACTACTTTGTGATGTGTGTGTTCAACTCAAGGAGTTTAACCTTTCTTTTGATGGAGCAGTTTGGAAACACTCTGTCTGTAAAGTCTGCAAGCAGATATTTGGACCTCTTTGAGGCCTTCGTTGGAAACGGGATTTCTTCATATAATGTTTGATAGGAGAAGTCTCAGTAACTTCTTCGTGCTGTGTGTATTCAACTCATGGAGTTGAACTTTCCTTTAGAAGAGCAGATGTTAAACACCCTTTTTGTGGAATTTGCAGCTGGAGATTTCAAGCGCTTTGAGGCCTACAGTAGAAAAGGAAACATCTTCTTCTAAAGTCTAGACAGAATTATTCACAGAAACTTCCTTTTGATGTGTGCGTTCAGCTCACAGAGTTTAGGCTTTCTTTTGATGGAGCAGTTTGGAAACACTCTCTTTGTAATGTCTGCAAGTGGATATTTGGACCTCTTTGAGGCCGTCGTTGGAAACGGGATCTCTTCATGTAATGTTCGACCGAAGAATTCTCAGTAACTTGTTTGTGGTGTGTGTATTCAACTCACAGAGTTGAACCTTCCTTTAGACAGAGCAGATTTGAAACACCCTATTTGTGCAGTTTCCAGTTGGAGATTTCAATCGCTTGGAGGCCAATCATAGAAACGGAAATATCTTCGTATAAAAACCAGACAGAAATCATTCTCAGAAACTACTTTGTGATGTGTGCGTTCAACTCAAGGAGTTTAAGCTTTCTTTTCATAGAGTAGTTTGGAAACACTCTGTCTGTAAAGTCTGCAAGCAGATATTTGGACCTCTTTGGGGCCTTCGTTGGAAACGGGATTTCTTCATAGAACGCTAGAAAGAAGAATACTGAGTAAGTTCTTTGTGTTGCCTCTATTCAACTCACAGAGGTGAACTGTCCTTTAGACAGAGCAGATGTGAAACCCTCTTTTTGTGATATTTGCAGGTGGAGATTTCAAGCGCTTTTAGGCCAAATGTAGAAAAGGAAATATCTTCGTATAAAAACTAGACAGAATCATTCTCAGAAACTACTTTGTGATGTGTGCGTTCAATTCACAGAGTATAACCTTTCTTTTGATGGAGGAGTTTGGAGACACTGTCTTTGTAAAGTCTGCAAGTGGATATTTGGACCTCTTTGAGGCCTTTGTTGGAAACGGGATTTCCTCATATAATGTTACACAGGGAGAATTCTCAGTAACTTATTTGTGGTGTGTGTATTCAACTCACAGAGTTGAACCTTCCTTCAGAAAGAGCAGATTTGAAACACTCTTTTTGTGGAGTTTCCATATGGAGATTTCAATCGCTTTGAGACCAAATGTAGAAAAGGAAACATCTTCGTATAAAAACTAGACAGAATCATTCACAGAAACTACTTTGTGATGTGTGTGTTCAACTCAAGGAGTTTAACCTTTCTTTTGATGGAGCTGTTTGGAAAAACTCTGTCTGTAAAGTCTGCAAGCAGATATTTGGACCTCTTTGGGGCCTTCGTTGGAAACGGGATTTCTTCATATAATGTTTGATAGGAGAAGTCTCAGTAACTTCTTTGTGCTGTGTGTATTCAACGCATAGAGTTGAACTTTCCTTTAGAAGAGCAGATGTTAAACACCCTTTTTGTGGAATTTGCAGCTGGAGATTTCAAGCGCTTTGTGGCCTACGGTAGAAAAGGAAACATCTTTTTATAAAATCTAGACAGAATCATTCTCAGAAACTACTTTGTGATGTGTGCGTTCAATTCACAGAGTATAACCTTTCTTTTGATGGAGCAGTTTGGAAACACTCTGTTTGTAATGTCTGCAAGTGGATATTTGGACCTCTTTGAGGCCTTCGTTGGAAACGGGATTTCTTCAAGTAGTGTTCGAAAGAAGAATTCTCAGTAACTTATTTGTGGTGTGTGTATTCAACTCAAAGAGTTGAACCTTCCTTTAGACAGAGCAGATTTGAAACACCCTATTTGTGCAGTTTCCAGTTGGAGATTTCAATCGCTTTGAGACCAAATGTAGAAAAGGAAACATCTTCGTATAAAAACTAGACAGAATCATTCTCAGAAACTACTTTGTGATGTGTGCGTTCAACTCAAGGAGTTTAAGCTTTCTTTTCATAGAGTAGTTTGGAAACACTCTGTCTGTAAAGTCTGCAAGCAGATATTTGGACCTCTTTGAGGCCTTCGTTGGAAACGGGATTTCTTCATGTAACGCTAGAAAGAAGAATACTGAGTAAGTTCTTTGTGTTGCCTCTATTCAACTCACAGAGGTGAACTGTCCTTTAGACAGAGCAGATGTGAAACCCTCTTTTTGTGATATTTGCAGGTGGAGATTTCAAGCGCTTTTAGGCCAAATGTAGAAAAGGAAATATCTTCGTATAAAAACTAGACAGAATCATTCTCAGAAACTACTTTGTGATGTGTGCGTTCAATTCACAGAGTATAACCTTTCTTTTGATGGAGGAGTTTGGAGACACTGTCTTTGTAAAGTCTGCAAGTGGATATTTGGACCTCTTTGAGGCCTTCGTTGGAAACGGGATTTCCTCATATAATGTTACACAGAAGAATTCTCAGTAACTTATTTGTGGTGTGTGTATTCAACTCACAGAGTTGAACCTTCCTTCAGAAAGAGCAGATTTGAAACACTCTTTTTGTGGAGTTTCCATGTGGAGATTTCAATCGCTTTGAGACCAAAGGTAGAAAAGGAAACATCTTCGTATAAAAACTAGACAGAATCATTCACAGAAACTACTTTGTGATGTGTGTGTTCAACTCAAGGAGTTTAACCTTTCTTTTGATGGAGCAGTTTGGAAACACTCTGTCTGTAAAGTCTGCAAGCAGATATTTGCACCTCTTTGAGGCCTTCGTTGGAAAAGGGATTTCTTCATATAATGTTTGATAGGAGAAGTCTCAGTAACTTCTTTGTGCTGTGTGTATTCAACTCATAGAGTTGAACTTTCCTTTAGAAGAGCAGATGTTAAACACCCTTTTTGTGGAATTTGCAGCTGGAGATTTCAAGCGCTTTGAGGCCTACGGTAGAAAAGGAAACATCTTCTTATAAAATTCTAGACAGAATCATTCACAGAAACTTCTTTTTGATGTGTGTGTTCAGCTCACAGAGTTTAACCTTTCTTTTGATGGAGCAGTTTGGAAACACTCTGTTTGTAACGTCTGCAAGTGGATATTTGGACCTCTTTGAGGCCTTCGTTGGAAACGGGATTTCTTCAAGTAATGTTCGACAGAAGAATTCTCAGTAACTTATTTGTGGTGTGTGTATTCAACTCACAGAGTTGAACCTTCCTTTAGACAGAGCAGATTTGAAACACCCTATTTGGGCAGTTTCCAGTTGGAGATTTCAATTGCTTTGAGGCCATAGAAACGGAAATACATTTGTATAAAAACAAGACAGAATCATTCTCAGAAACTACTTTGTGATGTGTGCGTTCAACTCAAGGAGTTTAAGCTTTCTTTTCATAGAGTAGATTGGAAATACTCTGTCTGTAAAGTCTGCAAGCAGATATTTGGACCTCTTTGAGGCCTTCGTTGGAAACGGCATTTCTTCATATAACGCTAGAAAGAAGAATACTGAGTAAGTTCTTTGTGTTGCCTCTATTCAACTCACAGAGGTGAACTGTCCTTCAGACAGAGCAGATGTGAAACCCTCTTTTTGTGATATTTGCAGGTGGAGATTTCAAGCGCTTATAGGCCAAATGTAGAAAAGGAAATATCTTCGTATAAAAACTAGACAGAATCATTCTCAGAAACTACTTTGTGATGTGTGCGTTCAATTCACAGAGTATAACCTTTCTTTTGATGGAGGAGTTTGGAGACCCTGTCTTTGTAAAGTCTGCAAGTGGATATATGGACCTCTTTGAGGCCTTCGTTGGAAACGGGATTTCCTCATATAATGTTACACAGAAGAATTCTCAGTAACTTATTTGTGGTGTGTGTATTCAACTCACAGAGATGAACCTTCCTTCAGAAAGAGCAGATTTGAAACACTCTTTTTGTGGAGTTTCCATGTGGAGATTTCAATCGCTTTGAGACCAAAGGTAGAAAAGGAAACATCTTCGTATAAAAACTAGACAGAATCATTCACAGAAACTACTTTGTGATGTGTGTGTTCAACTCAAGGAGTTTAACCTTTCTTTTGATGGAGCAGTTTGGAAACACTCTGTCTGTAAAGTCTGCAAGCAGATATTTGGACCTCTTTGAGGCCTTCGTTGGAAACGGGATTTCTTCATATAATGTTTGATAGGAGAAGTCTCAGTAACTTCTTTGTGCTGTGTGTATTCAACTCATAGAGTTGAACTTTCCTTTAGAAGAGCAGATGTTAAACACCCTTTTTGTGGAATTTGCAGCTGGAGATTTCAAGCGCTTTGAGGCCTACGGTAGAAAAGGAAACATCTTCTTATAAAATCTAGACAGAATCATTCACAGAAACTTCTTTTTGATGTGTGTGTTCAGCTCATAGAGTTTAACCTTTCTTTTGATGGAGCAGTTGGGAAACACACTGTTTGTAATGTCTGCAAGTGGATATTTGGACTTCTTTGAGGCCTTCGTTGGAAACGGGATTTCTTCCTGTAATGTTCGACAGAAGAATTCTCAGTAACTTATTTGTGGTGTGTGTATTCAACTCACAGAGCTGAACCTTCCTTTAGACAGAGCAGATTTGAAACAGCCTATTTGTGCAGTTTCCAGTTGGAGATTTCAATCGCTTTGAGACCAAATGTAGAAAAGGAAACATCTTCGTATAAAAACTAGACAGAATCATTCTCAGAAACTACTTTGTGATGTGTGCGTTCAACTCAAGGAGTTTAAGCTTTCTTTTCATAGAGTAGTTTGGAAACACTCTGTCTGTAAAGTCTGCAAGCAGATATTTGGACCTCTTTGGGGCCTTCGTTGGAAACGGGATTTCTTCATAGAACGCTAGAAAGAAGAATACTGAGTAAGTTCTTTGTGTTGCCTCTATTCAACTCACAGAGGTGAACTGTCCTTTAGACAGAGCAGATGTGAAACCCTCTTTTTGTGATATTTGCAGGTGGAGATTTCAAGCGCTTTTAGGCCAAATGTAGAAAAGGAAATATCTTCGTATAAAAACTAGACAGAATCATTCTCAGAAACTACTTTGTGATGTGTGCGTTCAATTCACAGAGTATAACCTTTCTTTTGATGGAGGAGTTTGGAGACACTGTCTTTGTAAAGTCTGCAAGTGGATATTTGGACCTCTTTGAGGCCTTCGTTGGAAACGGGATTTCCTCATATAATGTTACCCAGAAGAATTCTCAGTAACTTATTTGTGGTGTGTGTATTCAACTCACAGAGTTGAACCTTCCTTCAGAAAGAGCAGATTTGAAACACTCTTTTTGTGGAGTTTCCATGTGGAGATTTCAATCGCTTTGAGACCAAAGGTAGAAAAGGAAACATCTTCGTATAAAAACTAGACAGAATCATTCACAGAAACTACTTTGTGATGTGTGTGTTCAACTCAAGGAGTTTAACCTTTCTTTTGATGGAGCAGTTTGGAAAAACTCTGTCTGTAAAGTCTGCAAGCAGATATTTGGACCTCTTTGAGGCCTTCGTTGGAAACGGGATTTCTTCATAGAATGCTAGAAAGAAGAAGTCTCAAAAACTTCTTTGTGCTGTGTGTATTCAACTCATTGAGTTGAACTTTCCTTTAGAAGAGCAGATGTTAAACACCCTTTTTGTGGAATTTGCAGCTGGAGATTTCAAGCGCTTTGAGGCCTACGGAAGAACAGGAAACATCTTCTTATAAAATCTAGACAGAATCATTCACAGAAACTTCTTTTTGATGTGTGTGTTCAGCTCACAGAGTTTAACCTTTCTTTTGATGGAGCAGTTTGGAAACACTCTGTTTGTAATGTCTGCAAGTGGATATTTGGACCTCTTTGAGGCCTTCGTTGGAAACGGGATTTCCTCATATAATGTTACACAGAAGAATTCTCAGTAACTTATTTGTGGTGTGTGTATTCAACTCACAGAGTTGAACCTTCCTTCAGAAAGAGCAGATTTGAAACACTCTTTTTGTGGAGTTTCCATGTGGAGATTTCAATCGCTTGGAGACCGAAGGTAGAAAAGGAAACATCTTCGTAGAAAAACTAGACAGAATCATTCTCAGAAACTACATTGTGATGTGTGCGTTCAACTCAAGGAGTTTAAGCTTTCTTTTCATAGAGTAGTTTGGAAACACTCTGTCTGTAAAGTCTGCAAGCAGATATTTGGACCTCTTTGAGGCCTTCGTTGGAAACGGGATTTCTTCATGTAACGCTAGAAAGAAGAATACTCAGTAACTTCTTTGTGCTGCCTCTACTCAACTCACAGAGGTGAACTGTCATTTAGACAGAGCAGATGTGAAACCCTCTTTTTGTGATATTTGCAGGTGGAGATTTCAAGCGCTTTTAAGCCAAATGTAGAAAAGGAAATATCTTCGTAGAACAACTAGACAGAATCATTCTCAGAAACTACTTTGTGATGTGTGCGTTGAATTCACAGAGTATAACCTTTCTTTTCATGGAGGAGTTTGGAGACACTGTCTTTGTAAAGTCTGCAAGTGGATATTTGGACCTCTTTGAGGCCTTCGTTGGAAACGGGATTTCCTCATATAATGTTACACAGAAGAATTCTCAGTAACTTATTTGTGGTGTGTGTATTCAACTCACAGAGTTGAACCTTCCTTCAGAAAGAGCAGATTTGAAACACTCTTTTTGTGGAGTTTCCATGTGGAGATTTCAATCGCTTTGAGACCAAAGGTAGAAAAGGAAACATCTTCGTATAAAAACTAGACAGAATCATTCACAGAAACTACTTTGTGATGTGTGTGTTCAACTCAAGGAGTTTAACCTTTCTTTTGATGGAGCAGTTTGGAAACACTCTGTCTGTAAAGTCTGCAAGCAGATATTTTCACCTCTTTGAGGCCTTCGTTGGAAACGGGATTTCTTCATATAATGTTTGATAGGAGAAGTCTCAGTAACTTCTTTGTGCTGTGTGTATTCAACTCATAGAGTTGAACTTTCCTTTAGAAGAGCAGATGTTAAACACCCTTTTTGTGGAATTTGCAGCTGGAGATTTCAAGCGCTTTGAGGCCTACGGTAGAAAAGGAAACATCTTCTTATAAAATCTAGACAGAATCATTCACAGAAACTTCTTTTTGATGTGTGTGTTCAGCTCACAGAGTTTAACCTTTCTTTTTATGGAGCAGTTTGGAAACACTCTGTTTGTAATGTCTGCAAGTGGATATTTGGACCTCTTTGAGGCCTTCGTTGGAAACGGGATTTCTTCATGTAATGTTCGACAGAAGAATTCTCAGTAACTTATTTGTGGTGTGTGTATTCAACTCACAGATTTGAACCTTCCTTTAGACAGAGCAGATTTGAAACACCCTAGTTTGTGCAGTTTCCAGTTGCGAGATTTCAATCGCTTTGAGGCCAATCGTAGAAACGGAAATATCTTCGTATAAAAACAAGACAGAATCATTCTCAGAAACTACTTTGTGATGTGTGCGTTCAACTCAAGGAGTTTAAGCTTTCTTTTCATAGAGTAGTTTGGAAACACTCTGTCTGTAAAGTCTGCAAGCAGATATTTGGACCTCTTTGGGGCCTTCGTTGGAAACGGGATTTCTTCATAGAACGCTAGAAAGAAGAATACTGAGTAAGTTCTTTGTGTTGCCTCTATTCAACTCACAGAGGTGAACTGTCCTTTAGACAGAGCAGATGTGAAACCCTCTTTTTGTGATATTTGCAGGTGGAGATTTCAAGCGCTTTTAGGCCAAATGTAGAAAAGGAAATATCTTCGTATAAAAACTAGACAGAATCATTCTCAGAAACTACTTTGTGATGTGTGCGTTCAATTCACAGAGTATAACCTTTCTTTTGATGGAGGAGTTTGGAGACACTGTCTTTGTAAAGTCTGCAAGTGGATATTTGGACCTCTTTGAGGCCTTCGTTGGAAACGGGATTTCCTCATATAATGTTACACAGAAGAATTCTCAGTAACTTATTTGTGGTGTGTGTATTCAACTCACAGAGATGAACCTTCCTTCAGAAAGAGCAGATTTGAAACACTCTTTTTGTGGAGTTTCCATGTGGAGATTTCAATCGCTTTGAGACCAAAGGTAGAAAAGGAAACATCTTCGTATAAAAACTAGACAGAATCATTCACAGAAACTACTTTGTGATGTGTGTGTTCAACTCAAGGAGTTTAACCTTTCTTTTGATGGAGCAGTTTGGAAACACTCTGTCTGTAAAGTCTGCAGGCAGATATTTGGACCTCTTTGAGGCCTTCGTTGGAAACGGGATTTCTTCATATAATGTTAGACAGAAGAAGTCTCAGTAACTTCTTTGTGCTGTGTGTATTCAACTCATAGAGTTGAACTTTCCTTTAGAAGAGCAGATGTTAAACACCCTTTTTGTGGAATTTGCAGCTGGAGATTTCAAGCGCTTTGAGGCCTACGGTAGAAAAGGAAACATCTTCTTATAAAATCTAGACAGAATCATTCACAGAAACTTCTTTTCGATGTGTGTGTTCAGCTCACCGAGTTTAACCTTTCTTTTGATGGAGCAGCTTGGAAACACTCTGTTTGTAATGTCTGCAAGTGGATATTTGGACCTCTTTGAGGCCTTCGTTGGAAACGGGATTTCATCAAGTAATGGTCGACAGAAGAATTCTCAGTAACTTATTTGTGGTGTGTGTATTCAACTCACAGAGTTGAACCTTCCTTTAGACAGAGCAGATTTGAAACACCCTATTTGTGCAGTTTCCAGTTGGAGATTTCAATCGCTTTGAGACCAAATGTAGAAAAGGAAACATCTTCGTATAAAAACTAGACAGAATCATTCTCAGAAACTACTTTGTGATGTGTGCGTTCAACTCAAGGAGTTTAAGCTTTCTTTTCATAGAGTAGTTTGGAAACACTCTGTCTGTAAAGTCTGCAAGCAGATATTTGGACCTCTTTGGGGCCTTCGTTGGAAACGGGATTTCTTCATAGAACGCTAGAAAGAAGAATACTGAGTAAGTTCTTTGTGTTGCCTCTATTCAACTCACAGAGGTGAACTGTCCTTTAGACAGAGCAGATGTGAAACCCTCTTTTTGTGATATTTGCAGGTGGAGATTTCAAGCGATTTTAGGCCAAATGTAGAAAAGGAAATATCTTCGTATAAAAACTAGACAGAATCATTCTCAGAAACTACTTTGTGATGTGTGCGTTCAATTCACAGAGTATAACCTTTCTTTTGATGGAGGAGTTTGGAGACACTGTCTTTGTAAAGTCTGCATGTGGATATTTGGACCTCGTTGAGGCCTTCGTTGGAAACGGGATTTCCTCATATAATGTTACACAGAAGAATTCTCAGTAACTTATTTGTGGTGTGTGTATTCAACTCACAGAGTTGAACCTTCCTTCAGAAAGAGCAGATTTGAAACACTCTTTTTGTGGAGTTTCCATGTGGAGATTTCAATCGCTTTGAGACCAAAGGTAGAAAAGGAAACATCTTCGTATAAAAACTAGACAGAATCATTCACAGAAACTACTTTGTGATGTGTGTGTTCAACTCAAGGAGTTTAACCTTTCTTTTGATGGAGCAGTTTGGAAACACTCTGTCTGTAAAGTCTGCAAGCAGATATTTGGACCTCTTTGAGGCCTTCGTTGGAAACGGGATTTCTTCATATAATGTTTGATAGGAGAAGTCTCAGTAACTTCTTTGTGCTGTGTGTATTCAACTCATAGAGTTGAACTTTCCTTTAGAAGAGCAGATGTTAAACACCCTTTTTGTGGAATTTGCAGCTGGAGATTTCAAGCGCTTTGAGGCCTACGGTAGAAAAGGAAACATCTTCTTATAAAATCTAGACAGAATCATTCACAGAAACTTCTTTTTGATGTGTGTGTTCAGCTCACAGAGTTTAACCTTTCTTTTGATGGAGCAGTTGGGAAACACACTGTTTGTAATGTCCGCAAGTGGATATTTGGACCTCTTTGAGGCCTTCGTTGGAAACGGGATTTCCTCATATAATGTTACACAGAAGAATTCTCAGTAACTTATTTGTGGTGTGTGTATTCAACTCACAGAGTTGAACCTTCCTTTAGACAGAGCAG
This sequence comes from Homo sapiens, assembly GCF_000001405.40. Classification (NCBI taxonomy): domain Eukaryota; kingdom Metazoa; phylum Chordata; class Mammalia; order Primates; family Hominidae; genus Homo; species Homo sapiens. The sequence continues at coordinate 36,616,345 of NC_000012.12, forward strand.
ATTTGAAACACCCTATTTGTGCAGTTTCCAGTTGGAGATTTCAATCGCTTTGAGACCAAATGTAGAAAAGGAAACATCTTCGTATAAAAACTAGACAGAATCATTCTCAGAAACTACTTTGTGATGTGTGCGTTCAACTCACGGAGTTTAAGCTTTCTTTTCATAGAGTAGTTTGGAAACACTCTGTCTGTAAAGTCTGCAAGCAGATATTTGGACCTCTTTGAGGCCTTCGTTGGAAAAGGGATTTCTTCATATAACGCTAGACAGAAGAATACTGAGTACGTTCTTTGTGTTGCCTCTATTCAACTCACAGAGGTGAACTGTCCTTTAGACAGAGCAGATGTGAAACCCTCTTTTTGTGATATTTGCAGGTGGAGATTTCAAGCGCTTTTAGGCCAAATGTAGAAAAGGAAATATCTTCGTATAAAAACTAGACAGAATCATTCTCAGAAACTACTTTGTGATGTGTGCGTTCAATTCACAGAGTATAACCTTTCTTTTGATGGACGAGTTTGGAGACACTGTCTTTGTAAAGTCTGCAAGTGGATATTTGGACCTCTTTGAGGCCTTCGTTGGAAACGGGATTTCCTCATATAATGTTACACAGAAGAATTCTCAGTAACTTATTTGTGGTGTGTGTATTCAACTCACAGAGTTGAACCTTCCTTCAGAAAGAGCAGATTTGAAACACTCTTTTTGTGGAGTTTCCATGTGGAGATTTCAATCGCTTTGAGACCAAAGGTAGAAAAGGAAACATCTTCGTATAAAAACTAGACAGAATCATTCACGGAAACTACTTTGTGATGTGTGTGTTCAACTCAAGGAGTTTAACCTTTCTTTTGATGGAGCAGTTTGGAAAAACTCTGTCTGTAAAGTCTGCAAGCAGATATTTGGTCCTCTTTGAGGCCTTCGTTGGAAACGGGATTTCTTCATATAATGTTTCATAGGAGAAGTCTCAGTAACTTCTTTGTGCTGTGTGTATTCAACTCATAGAGTTGAAATTTCCTTTAGAAGAGCAGATCTTAAACACCCTTTTTGTGGAATTTGCAGTTGGAGATTTCAAGCGCTTTGAGGACTACTGTAGAAAAGGAAACATCTTCTTATAAAATCTAGACAGACTCATTCACAGAAACTTCTCTTTGATGTGTGTGTTCAGCTCACAGAGTTTAACCTTTCTTTTGATGGAGCACTTTGGAAACACTCTGTTTGTAATGTCTGCAAGTGGATATTTGGACCCCTTGAGGCCTTCTTTGGAAACGGGATTTCTTCATGTAATGTTCGACAGAAGAATTCTCAGTAACTTATTTGTGGTGTGTGTATTCAACTCACAGAGTTGAACCTTCCTTTAGACAGAGCAGATTTGAAACACCCTATTTGTGAAGTTTCCAGTTGGAGATTTCAATCGCTTTGAGACCAAATGTAGAAAAGGAAACATCTTCGTATAAAAACTAGACAGAATCATTCTCCGAAACTACTTTGTGATGTGTGCGTTCAACTCAAGGAGTTTAAGCTTTCTTTTCATAGAGTAGTTTGGAAACACTCTGTCTGTAAAGTCTGCAAGCAGATATTTGGACCTCTTTGGGGCCTTCGTTGGAAACGGGATTTCTTCATAGAACGCTAGAAAGAAGAATACTGAGTAAGTTCTTTGTGTTGCCTCTATTCAACTCACAGAGGTGAACTGTCCTTTAGACAGAGCAGATGTGAAACCCTCTTTTTGTGATATTTGCAGGTGGAGATTTCAAGCGCTTTTAGGCCAAATGTAGAAAAGGAAATATCTTCGTATAAAAACTAGACAGAATCATTCTCAGAAACTACTTTGTGATGTGTGCGTTCAATTCACAGAGTATAACCTTTCTTTTGATGGAGGAGTTTGGAGACACTGTCTTTGTAAGTCTGCAAGTGGATATTTGGACCTCTTTGAGGCCTTCGTTGGAAACGGGATTTCCTCATATAATGTTACACAGAAGAATTCTCAGTAACTTATTTGTGGTGTGTGTATTCAACTCACAGAGTTGAACCTTCCTTCAGAAAGAGCAGATTTGAAACACTCTTTTTGTGGAGTTTCCATGTGGAGATTTCAATCGCTTTGAGACCAAAGGTAGAAAAGGAAACATCTTCGTATAAAAACTAGACAGAATCATTCACAGAAACTACTTTGTGATGTGTGTGTTCAACTCAAGGAGTTTAACCTTTCTTTTGATGGAGCAGGTTGGAAAAACTCTGTCTTTAAAGTCTGCAAGCAGATATTTGGACCTCTTTGAGGCCTTCGTTGGAAACGGGATTTCTTCATATAATGTTTGATAGGAGAAGTCTCAGTAACTTCTTTGTGCTGTGTGTATTCAACTCATAGAGTTGAACTTTCCTTTAGAAGAGCAGATGTTAAACACCCTTTTTGTGGAATTTGTAGTTGGAGATTTCAAGCGCTTTGAGGACTACAGTAGAAAAGGAAACATCTTCTTATAAAATCTGGACAGAATCATTCACAGAAACTTCTTTTTGATGTGTGTGTTCAGCTCACAGAGTTTAACCTTTCTTTTGATGGAGCAGTTTGGAAACACTCTGTTTGTAATGTCTGCAAGTGGATATTTGGACCTCTTTGAGGCCTTCGCTGGAAACGGGATTTCTTCCTGTAATGTTCGACAGAAGAATTCTCAGTAACTTGTTTGTGGTTTGTGTATTCAACTCACAGAGTTGAACCTTCCTTTAGACAGAGCAGATTTGAAACACCCTATTTGTGCAGTTTCCAGTTGGAGATTTCAATCGCTTTGAGACCAAATGTAGAAAAGGAAACATCTTCGTATAAAAACTAGACAGAATCATTCTCAGAAACTACTTTGTGATGTGTGCGTTCAACTCAAGGAGTTTAAGCTTTCTTTTCATAGAGTAGTTTGGAAACACTCTGTCTGTAAAGTCTGCAAGCAGATATTTGGACCTCTTTGGGGCCTTCGTTGGAAACGGGATTTCTTCATAGAACGCTAGAAAGAAGAATACTGAGTAAGTTCTTTGTGTTGCCTCTATTCAACTCACAGAGGTGAACTGTCCTTTAGACAGAGCAGATGTGAAACCCTCTTTTTGTGATATTTGCAGGTGGAGATTTCAAGCACTTTTAGGCCAAATGTAGAAAAGGAAATATCTTCGTATAAAAACTAGACAGAATCATTCTCAGAAACTTACTTTGTGATGTGTGCGTTCAATTCACAGAGTATAACCTTTCTTTTGATGGAGGAGTTTGGAGACACTGTCTTTGTAAAGTCTGCAAGTGGATATTTGGACCTCTTTGAGGCCTTCGTTGGAAACGGGATTTCCTCATATAATGTTACACAGAAGAATTCTCAGTAACTTATTTGTGGTGTGTGTATTCAACTCACAAGAGTTGAACCTTCCTTCAGAAAGAGCAGATTTGAAACACTCTTTTTGTGGAGTTTCCATGTGGAGATTTCAATCGCTTTGAGACCAAAGGTAGAAAAGGAAACATCTTCGTATAAAAACTAGACAGAATCATTCAGAGACACTACTTTGTGATGTGTGTGTTCAACTCACAGAGTTTAACCTTTCTTTGGATGGAGCAGTGTGGAAACACTCTGTTTGTCACGTCTGCAAGTGGATATTTGGACCTCTTTGAGGCCTTCGTTGGAAACGGGATTTCTTCATATAATGTTTGATAGGAGAAGTCTCAGTAACTTCTTTGTGCTGTGTGTATTCAACTCATAGAGTTGAACTTTCCTTTAGAAGAGCAGATGTTAAACACCCTTTTTGTGGAATTTGCAGCTGGAGATTTCAAGCGCTTTGAGGCCTACGGTAGAAAAGGAAACATGTTCTTATAAAATCTAGACAGAATCATTCACAGAAACTTCTTTTCGATGTGTGTGTTCAGCTCACAGAGTTTAACCTTTCTTTTGATGGAGCAGTTTGGAAACACTCTGTTTGTAATGTCTGCAAGTGGATATTTGGACCTCTTTGAGGCCTTCGTTGGAAACGGGATTTCTTCAAGTAATGTTCGACAGAAGAATTCTCAGTAACTTATTTGTGGTGTGTGTATTCAACTCAAAGAGTTGAACCTTCCTTTAGACAGAGCAGATTTGAAACACCCTATTTGTGCAGTTTCCAGTTGGAGATTTCAATCGCTTTGAGACCAAATGTAGAAAAGGAAACATCTTCGTATAAAAACTAGACAGAATCATTCTCAGAAACTACTTTGTGATGTGTGCGTTCAACTCAAGGAGTTTAAGCTTTCTTTTCATAGAGTAGTTTGGAAACACTCTGTCTGTAAAGTCTGCAAGCAGATATTTGGACCTCTTTGAGGCCTTCGTTGGAAACGGGATTTCTTCATAGAACGGTAGAAAGAAGAATACTGAGTAAGTTCTTTGTGTTGCCTCTATTCAACTCACAGAGGTGAACTGTCCTTTAGACAGAGCAGATGTGAAACCCTCTTTTTGGGATATTTGCAGGTGGAGATTTCAAGCGCTTTTTGGTCAAATGTAGAAAAGGAAATATCTTCGTATAAAAACTAGACAGAATCATTCTCAGAAACTACTTTGTGATGTGTGCGTTCAATTCACAGAGTATAACCTTTCTTTTGATGGAGGAGTTTGGAGACACTGTCTTTGTAAAGTCTGCAAGTGGATATTTGGACCTCTTTGAGGCCTTCGTTGGAAACGGGATTTCCTCATATAATGTTACACAGAAGAATTCTCAGTAACTTATTTGTGGTGTGTGTATTCAACTCACAGAGTTGAACCTTCCTTCAGAAAGAGCAGATTTGAAACACTCTTTTTGTGGAGTTTCCATGTGGAGATTTCAATGGCTTTGAGACCATAGGTGGAAAAGGAAACATCTTCGTATAGAAAGTAGACAGAATCATTCACAGAAACTACTTTGTGATGTGTGTGTTCAACTCAAGGAGTTTAACCTTTCTTTTGATGGAGCAGTTTGGAAACACTCTGTCTGTAAAGTCTGCAAGCAGATATTTGGACCTCTTTGAGGCCTTCGTTGGAAACGGGATTTCTTCATATAATGTTTGATAGGAGAAGTCTCAGTAACTTCTTTGTGCTGTGTGTATTCAACTCATAGAGTTGAACTTTCCTTTAGAAGAGCAGATGTTAAACACCCTTTTTGTGGAATTTGCAGCTGGAGATTTCAAGCGCTTTGAGGCCTACGGTAGAAAAGGAAACATCTTCTTATAAAATCTAGACAGAATCATTCACGAGAAACTTCTTTTTGATGTGTGTGTTCAGCTCACAGAGTTTAACCTTTCTTTTGATGGAGCAGTCTGGAAACACTCTGTTTGTAATGTCTGCAAGTGGATATTTGGACCTCTTTGAGGCCTTCGTTGGAAACGGGATTTCTTCAAGTAATGTTCGACAGAAGAATTCTCAGTAACTTATTTGTGGTGTGTGTATTCAACTCAAAGAGTTGAACCTTCCTTTAGACAGAGCAGATTTGAAACACCCTATTTGTGCAGTTTCCAGTTGGAGATTTCAATCGCTTTGAGACCAAATGTAGAAAAGGAAACATCTTCGTATAAAAACTAGACAGAATCATTCTCAGAAACTACTTTGTGATGTGTGCGTTCAACTCAAGGAGTTTAAGCTTTCTTTTCATAGAGTAGTTTGGAAACATTCTGTCTGTAAAGTCTGCAGGCAGATATTTGGACCTCTTTGGGGCCTTCGTTGGAAACGGGATTTCTTCATAGAACGCCAGAAAGAAGAATACTGAGTAAGTTCTTTGTGTTGCCTCTATTCAACTCACAGAGGTGAACTGTCCTTTAGACAGAGCAGATGTGAAACCCTCTTTTTGTGATATTTGCAGGTGGAGATTTCAAGCGCTTTTAGGCCAAATGTAGAAAAGGAAATATCTTCGTATAAAAACTAGACAGAATCATTCTCAGAAACTACTTTGTGATGTGTGCGTTCAATTCACAGAGTATAACCTTTCTTTTGATGGAGGAGTTTGGAGACACTGTCTTTGTAAAGTCTGCAAGTGGATATTTGGACCTCTTTGAGGCCTTCGTTGGAAACGGGATTTCCTCATATAATGTTACACAGAAGAATTCTCAGTAACTTATTTGTGGTGTGTGTATTCAACTCACAGAGATGAACCTTCCTTCAGAAAGAGCAGATTTGAAACACTCTTTTTGTGGAGTTTCCATGTGGAGATTTCAATCGCTTTGAGACCAAAGGTAGAAAAGGAAACATCTTCGTATAAAAACTAGACAGAATCATTCACAGAAACTACTTTGTGATGTGTGTGTTCAACTCAAGGAGTTTAACCTTTCTTTTGATGGAGCAGTTTGGAAAAACTCTGTCTGTAAAGTCTGCAAGCAGATATTTGGACCTCTTTGAGGCCTTCGTTGGAAACGGGATTTCTTCATATAATGTTTGATAGGAGAAGTCTCAGTAACTTCTTTGTGCTGTGTGTATTCAACTCATAGAGTTGAACTTTCCTTTAGAAGAGCAGATGTTAAACACCCTTTTTGTGGAATTTGCAGCTGGAGATTTCAAGCGCTTTGAGGCCTACGGTAGAAAAGGAAACATCTTCTTCTAAAATCTAGACAGAATCATTCACAGAAACTTCTTTTTGATGTGTGTGTTCAGCTCACAGAGTTTAACCTTTCTTTTGATGGAGCAGTTTGGAAACACTCTGTTTGTAATGTCTGCAAGTGGATATTTGGACCTCTTTGAGGCCTTCGTTGGAAAAGGGATCTCTTCATGTAATGTTCGACAGAAGAATTTTCAGTAAGTTATTTGTGGTGTGTGTATTCAACTCACAGAGTTGAACCTTCCTTTAGACAGAGCAGATTTGAAACACCCTATCTGTGCAGTTTCCAGTTGGAGATTTCAATCGCTTGGAGGCCAATCATAGAAACGGAAATATCTTCGTATAAAAACAAGACAGAATCATTCTCAGAAACTACTTTGTGATGTGTGCGTTCAACTCAAGGAGTTTAAGCTTTGTTTTCATAGAGTAGTTTGGAAACACTGTGTCTGTAATGTCTGCAAGCAGATATTTGGACCTCATTGAGGCCTTCGTTGGAAACGGGAATTCTTCATAGAACGCTAGAAAGAAGAATACTGAGTAAGTTCTTTGTGTTGCCTCTATTCAACTCACAGAGGTGAACTGTCCTTTAGACAGAGCAGATGTGAAACCCTCTTTTTGTGATATTTGCAGGTGGAGATTTAAAGCGCTTTTAGGCCAAATGTAGAAAAGGAAATATCTTCGTATAAAAACTAGACAGAATCATTCTCAGAAACTAATTTGTGATGTGTGCGTTCAATTCACAGAGTATAACCTTTCTTTTGATGGAGGAGTTTGGAGACACTGTCTTTGTAAAGTCTGCAAGTGGATATTTGGACCTCTTTGAGGCCTTCGTTGGAAACGGGATTTCCTCAGATAATGTTACACAGAAGAATTCTCAGTAACTTATTTGTGGTGTGTGTATTCAACTCACAGAGTTGAAGCTTCCTTTAGACAGAGCAGATTTGAAACACTCTTTTTGTGGAGTTTCCATGTGGAGATTTCAATCGCTTTGAGACCAAAGGTAGAAAAGGAAACATCTTCGTATAAAAACTAGACAGAATCATTCACAGAAACTACATTGTGATGTGTGTGTTCAACTCAAGGAGGTTAACCTTTCTTTTGATGGAGCAGTTTGGAAACACTCTGTCTGTAAAGTCTGCAAGGAGATATTTGGACCTCTTTGAGGCCTTCGTTGGAAACGGGATTTCTTCATATAATGTTTCATAGGAGAAGTCTCAGTAACTTGTTTGTGCTGTGTGTATTCAACTCAGAGAGTTGAACTTTCCTTTAGAAGAGCAGATGTTAAACACCCTTTTTGTGGAATTTGCAGCTGGAGATTTCAAGCACTTTGAGGCCTACGGTAGAAAAGGAAACATCTTCTTATAAAATCTAGACAGAATCATTCACAAAAACTTCTTTTTGATGTGTGTGTTCATCTCACAGAGTTTAACCTTTCTTTTGACGGAGCAGTTTGGAAAATCTGTGTTTGCATTGTCGGCAACTGGATATTTGGACCTCTTTGAGGCCTTCGTTGGAAACGGGGTTTCTTCATGTAATGTTCGAGAGAAGAATTCTCAGTAACTTATTTGTGGTGTGTGTATTCAACTCACAGAGTTGAACCTTCCTTTAGACAGAGCAGATTTGAAACACCCTATTTGTGCTGTTTCCAGTTGGAGATTTCAATCGCTTTGAGGTCAATCGTAGAAACGGAAATATCTTCGTATAAATACAAGACAGAATCATTATCAGAAACTACTTTGTGATGTGTGCGTTCAACTCAAGGAGTTTAAGCTTTCTTTTCATAGAGTAGTTTGGAAACACTCTGTCTGTAAAGTCTGCAAGCAGATATTTGGACCTCTTTGAGGCCTTCGTTGGAAACGGGATTTCTTCAAGTAATGTTCGACAGAAGAATACTGAGTAACTTTTTTGTGTTGCCTCTATTCAACACACAGAGGTGAACTGTCCTTTAGAAACAGCAGATGTGAAACACTCTTTTTGTGATATTGGCAAGTGGAGATTTCAAACGCTTTTAGGCCAAATGTAGGAAAGGAAATATCTTCGTATGAATCTAGGCTGTATCATTCCCAGAAACTACTTTGTGATGTCTGCGTTCCATTCACAGAGTATAACCTTTCTTTTGATTGAGGAGTTTGGAGACACTGTCTTTGTAATGTCTGCAAGTGGATATTTGCACCTCTTTGAGGCCTTCGTTGGAAACTGGATTTCCTCATATAATATTACACAGAAGAATTCTCAGTAACTTATTTGTGGTGTGTGTATTCAACTCACAGAGATGAACCTTCCTTCAGAAAGAGCAGATTTGAAACACTCTTTTTGTGGAGTTTCCATGTGGAGATTTCAATCACTTTGAGACCAAAGGTAGAAAAGGAAACATCTTCGTATAACAACTAGACAGAATCATTCACAGAAACTACTTTGTGATGTGTGTGTTCAACTCAAGGAGTTTAACCTTTCTTTTGATGGAGCAGTTTGGAAACACTCTGTCTGTAAAGTCTGCAAGCAGATATTTGGACCTCTTTGAGGCCTTCGTTGGAAACGGGATTTCTTCATATAATGTTAGATAGGAGAAGTCTCAGTAACTTCTTTGTGCTGTGTGTATTCAACTCATAGAGTTGAACTTTCCTTTAGAAGAGCAGATGTTAAACACCCTTTTTGTGGAATTTGCAGCTGGAGATTTCAAGCGCTTTGAGGCCTACGGTAGAAAAGGAAACATCTTCTTATAAAATCTAGACAGGAATCATTCACAGGAAACTTCTTTTTGATGTGTGTGTTCAGCTCACAGAGTTTAACCTTTCTTTTGATGGAGCAGTCTGGAAACACTCTGTTTGTAATGTCTGCAAGTAGATATTTGGACCTCTTTGAGGCCTTCGTTGGAAACGGGATTTCTTCAAGTAATGTTCGACAGAAGAATTCTCAGTAACTTATTTGTGGTGTGTGTATTCAACTCAAAGAGTTGAACCTTCCTTTAGACAGAGCAGATTTGAAACACCCTATTTGTGCAGTTTCCAGTTGGAGATTTCAATCGCTTTGAGACCAAATGTAGAAAAGGAAACATCTTCGTATAAAAACTAGACAGAATCATTCTCAGAAACTACTTTGTGATGTGTGCGTTCAACTCAAGGAGTTTAAGCTTTCTTTTCATAGAGTAGTTTGGAAACACTCTGTCTGTAAAGTCTGCAAGCAGATATTTGACCTCTTTGAGGCCTTCGTTGGAAACGGGATTTCTTCATAGAACGCTAGAAAGAAGAATACTGAGTAAGTTCTTTGTGTTGCCTCTGTTCAACTCACAGAGGTGAACTGTCCTTTAGACAGAGCAGATGTGAAACCCTCTTTTTGTGATATTTGCAGGTGGAGATTTCAAGCGCTTTTAGGCCAAATGTAGAAAAGGAAATATCTTCGTATAAAAACTAGACAGAATCATTCTCAGAAACTACTTTGTGATGTGTGTGTTCAATTCACAGAGTATAACCTTTCTTTTGATGGTGGAGTTTGGAGACACTGTCTTTGCAAAGTCTGCAAGTGGATATTTGGAACTCTTTGAGGCCTTCGTTGGAAACGGGATTTCCTCATATAATGTTACACAGAAGAATTCTCAGTAACTTATTTGTGGTGTGTGTATTCAACTCACAGAGTTGAACCTTCCTTCAGAAAGAGCAGATTTGAAACACTCTTTTTGTGGAGTTTCCATGTGGAGATTTCAATCGCTTTGACACCAAAGGTAGAAAAGGAAACATCTTCGTATAAAAACTAGACAGAATCATTCACAGAAACTACTTTGTGATGTGTGTGTTCAACTCAAGGAGTTTAACCTTTCTTTTGATGGAGCAGTTTGGAAACACTCTGTCTGTAAAGTCTGCAAGCAGATATTTGGACCTCTTTGAGGCCTTCGTTGGAAACGGGATTTCTTCATATAATGTTTGATAGGAGAAGTCTCAGTAACTTCTTTGTGCTGTGTGTATTCAACTCATAGAGTTGAACTTTCCTTTAGAAGAGCAGATGTTAAACACCCTTTTTGTGGAATTTGCAGCTGGAGATTTCAAGCGCTTTGAGGCCTACGGTAGAAAAGGAAACATCTTCTTATAAAATCTAGACAGAATCATTCACAGAAACTTCTTTTCGATGTGTGTGTTCAGCTCACAGTGTTTAACCTTTCTTTTGATGGAGCAGTTTGGAAACACTCTGTTTGTAATGTCTGCAAGTGGATATTTGGACCTCTTTGAGGCCTTCGTTGGAAACGGGATTTCTTCAAGTAATGTTCGACAGAAGAATTCTCAGTAACTTATTTGTGGTGTGTGTATTCAACTCACAGAGTTGAGCCTTCCTTTAGACAGAGCAGATTTGAAACACCCTATTTGTGCAGTTTCCAGTTGGAGATTTCAATCGCTTTGAGACCAAATGTAGAAAAGGAAACATCTTCGTATAAAAACTAGACAGAATCATTCTCAGAAACTACTTTGTGATGTGTGCGTTCAACTCAAGGAGTTTAAGCTTTCTTTTCATAGAGTAGTTTGGAAACACTCTGTCTGTAAAGTCTGCAAGCAGATATTTGGACCTCTTTGGGGCCTTCGTTGGAAACGGGATTTCTTCATAGAACGCTAGAAAGAAGAATACTGAGTAAGTTCTTTGTGTTGCCTCTATTCAACTCACAGAGGTGAACTGTCCTTTAGACAGAGCAGATGTGAAACCCTCTTTTTGTGATATTTGCAGGTGGAGATTTCAAGCGCTTTTAGGCCAAATGTAGAAAAGGAAATATCTTCGTATAAAAACTAGACAGAATCATTCTCAGAAACTACTTTGTGATGTGTGCGTTCAATTCACAGAGTATAACCTTTCTTTTGATGGAGGAGTTTGGAGACACTGTCTTTGTAAAGTCTGCAAGTGGATATTTGGACCTCTTTGAGGCCTTCGATGGAAACGGGATTTCCTCATATAATGTTACACAGAAGAATTCTCAGTAACTTATTTGTGGTGTGTGTATTCAACTCACAGAGTTGAACCTTCCTTCAGAAAGAGCAGATTTGAAACACTCTTTTTGAGGAGTTTCCATGTGGAGATTTCAATCGCTTTGAGACCAAAGGTAGAAAAGGAAACATCTTCTTATAAAAACTAGACAGAATCATTCACAGAAACTACTTTGTGATGTGTGTGTTCAACTCACAGAGTTTAACCTTTCTTTTGATGGAGCAGTTTGGAAACACTCTGTTTTTCACGTCTGCAAGTGGATATTTGGACCTCTTTGAGGCCTTCGTTGGAAACGGGATTTCTTCATATAATGTTTGATAGGAGAAGTCTCAGTAACTTCTTTGTGCTGTGTGTATTCAACTCATAGAGTTGAACTTTCCTTTAGAAGAGCAGATGTTAAACACCCTTTTTGTGGAATTTGCAGCTGGAGATTTCCAGCGCTTTGAGGCCTACGGTAGAAAAGGAAACATCTTATAAAATCTAGACAGAATCATTCACAGAAACTTCTTTTTGATGTGTGTGTTCAGCTCACAGAGTTTAACCTTTCTTTTGATGGAGCAGTTTGGAAACACTCTGTTTGTAATGTCTGCAAGTGGATATTTGGACCTCTTTGAGGCCTTCGCTGGAAACGGGATTTCTTCCTGTAATGTTCGACAGAAGAATTCTCAGTAACTTATTTGTGGTGTGTGTATTCAACTCACAGAGTTGAACCTTCCTTTAGAAAGAGCAGATTTGAAACACCCTATTTGTGCAGTTTCCAGTTGGAGATTTCAATGGCTTTGAGGCCAATCATTGAAACGGAAATATCTTCGTATAAAAACAAGACAGAATCATTCTCAGAAACTACTTTGTGATGTGTGCGTTCAACTCAAGGAGTTTAAGCTTTCTTTTCATAGAGTAGTTTGGAAACACTCTGTCTGTAAAGTCTGCAAGCAGATATTTGGACCTCTTTGAGGCCTTCGTTGGAAACGGGATTTCTTCATAGAACGGTAGAAAGAAGAATACTGAGTAAGTTCTTTGTGTTGCCTCTATTCAACTCACAGAGGTGAACTGTCCTTTAGACAGAGCAGATGTGAAACCCTCTTTTTGTGATATTTGCAGGTGGAGATTTCAAGCGCTTTTAGGCCAAATGTAGAAAAGGAAATATCTTCGTATAAAAACTAGACAGAATCATTCTCAGAAACTACTTTGTGATGTGTGCGTTCAATTCACAGAGTATAACCTTTCTTTTGATGGAGGAGTTTGGAGACACTGTCTTTGTAAAGTCTGCAAGTGGATATTTGGACCTCTTTGAGGCCTTCGTTGGAAACGGGATTTCCTCATATAATGTTACACAGAAGAATTCTCAGTAACTTATTTGTGGTGTGTGTATTCAACTCACAGAGATGAACCTTCCTTCAGAAAGAGCAGATTTGAAACACTCTTTTTGTGGAGTTTCCATGTGGAGATTTCAATCGCATTGAGAGCAAAGGTAGAAAAGGAAACATCTTCGTATAAAAACTAGACAGAATCATTCACAGAAACTACTTTGTGATGTGTGTGTTCAACTCAAGGAGTTTAACCTTTCTTTTGATGGAGCAGTTTGGAAACACTCTGTCTGTAAAGTCTGCAGGCAGATATTTGGACCTCTTTGAGGCCTTCGTTGGAAACGGGATTTCTTCATATAATGTTAGACAGAAGAAGTCTCAGTAACTTCTTTGTGCTGTGTGTATTCAACTCATAGAGTTGAACTTTCCTTTAGAAGAGCAGATGTTAAACACCCTTTTTGTGGAATTTGCAGGTGGAGATTTCAAGCGCTTTGAGGCCTACGGTAGAAAAGGAAACATCTTCTTATAAAATCTAGACAGAAATCATTCACAGAAACTTCTTTTCGATGTGTGTGTTCAGCTCACAGAGTTTAACCTTTCTTTTGATGGAGCAGTTTGGAAACACTCTGTTTGTAATGTCTGCAAGTGGATAATTGGACCTCTTTGAGGCCTTCGTTGGAAACGGGATTTCTTCAAGTAATGTTCGACAGAAGAATTCTCAGTAACTTATTTGTGGTGTGTGTATTCAACTCACAGAGTTGAACCTTCCTTTAGACAGAGCAGATTTGAAACACCCTATTTGTGCAGTTTCCAGTTGGAGATTTCAATCGCTTTGAGACCAAATGTAGAAAAGGAAACATCTTGGTATAAAAACTAGACAGAATCATTCTCAGAAACTACTTTGTGATGTGTGCGTTCAACTCAAGGAGTTTAAGCTTTCTTTTCATAGAGTAGTTTGGAAACACTCTGTCTGTAAAGTCTGCAAGCAGATATTTGGACCTCTTTGGGGCCTTCGTTGGAAACGGGATTTCTTCATAGAACGCTAGAAAGAAGAATACTGAGTAAGTTCTTTGTGTTGCCTCTATTCAACTCACAGAGGTGAACTGTCCTTTAGACAGAGCAGATGTGAAACCCTCTTTTTGTGATATTTGCTGGTGGAGATTTCAAGCGCTTTTAGGCCAAATGTAGAAAAGGAAGTATCTTCGTATAAAAACTAGACAGAATCATTCTCAGAAACTACTTTGTGATGTGTGCGTTCAATTCACAGAGTATAACCTTTCTTTTGATGGAGGAGTTTGGAGACACTGTCTTTGTAAAGTCTGCAAGTGGATATTTGGACCTCTTTGAGGCCTTCGTTGGAAACGGGATTTCCTCATATAATGTTACCCAGAAGAATTCTCAGTAACTTATTTGTGGTGTGTGTATTCAACTCACAGAGTTGAACCTTCCTTCAGAAAGAGCAGATTTGAAACACTCTTTTTGTGGAGTTTCCATGTGGAGATTTCAATCGCTTTGAGACCAAAGGTAGAAAAGGAAACATCTTCAGTATAGAAACTAGACAGAATCATTCACAGAAACTACTTTGTGATGTGTGTGTTCAACTCAAGGAGGTTAACCTTTCTTTTGATGGAGCAGTTTGGAAACACTCTGTCTGTAAAGTCTGCAAGCAGATATTTGGACCTCTTTGAGGCCTTCGTTGGAAACGGGATTTCTTCATATAATGTTTGATAGGAGAAGTCTCAGTAACTTCTTTGTGCTGTGTGTATTCAACTCATAGAGTTGAACTTTCCTTTAGAAGAGCAGATGTTAAACACCCTTTTTGTGGAATTTGCAGCTGGAGATTTCAAGCGCTTTGAGGCCTACGGTAGAAAAGGAAACATCTTCTTATAAAATCTAGACAGAATCATTCACAGAAACTTCTTTTTGATGTGTGTGTTCAGCTCACAGAGTTTAACCTTTCTTTTGATGGAGCAGTTTGGAAACACTCTGTTTGTAATGTCTGCAAGTGGATATTTGGACCTCTTTGAGGCCTTCTTTGGAAACGGGATTTCTTCAAGTAATGTTCGACAGAAGAATTCTCAGTAACTTATTTGTGGTGTGTGTATTCAACTCACAGAGTTGAACCTTCCCTTTAGACAGAGCAGATTTGAAACACCCTATTTGTGCAGTTTCCAGTTGGAGATTTCAATCGCTTTGAGACCAAATGTAGAAAAGGAAACATCTTCGTATAAAAACTAGACAGAATCATTCTCAGAAACTACTTTGTGATGTGTGCGTTCAACTCAAGGAGTTTAAGCTTTCTTTTCATAGAGTAGTTTGGAAACACTCTGTCTGTAAAGTCTGCAAGCAGATATTTGGACCTCTTTGGGGCCTTCGTTGGAAACGGGATTTCTTCATAGAACGCTAGAAAGAAGAATACTGAGTACGTTCTTTGTGTTGCCTCTATTCAACTCACAGAGGTGAACTGTCCTTTAGACAGAGCAGATGTGAAACCCTCTTTTTGTGATATTTGCAGGTGGAGATTTCAAGCGCTTTTAGGCCAAATGTAGAAAAGGAAATATCTTCGTATAAAAACTAGACAGAATCATTCTCAGAAACTACTTTGTGATGTGTGCGTTCAATTCACAGAGTATAACCTTTCTTTTGATGGAGGAGTTTGGAGACACTGTCTTTGTACAGTCTGCAAGTGGATATTTGGACCTCTTTGAGGCCTTCGTTGGAAACGGGATTTCCTCATATAATGTTACACAGAAGAATTCTCAGTAACTTATTTGTGGTGTGTGTATTCAACTCACAGAGATGAACCTTCCTTCAGAAAGAGCAGATTTGAAACACTCTTTTTGTGGAGTTTCCATGTGGAGATTTCAATCGCATTGAGACCAAAGGTAGAAAAGGAAACATCTTCGTATAAAAACTAGACAGAATCATTCACAGAAACTACTTTGTGATGTGTGTGTTCAACTCAAGGAGTTTAACCTTTCTTTTGATGGAGCAGTTTGGAAACACTCTGTCTGTAAAGTCTGCAAGCAGATATTTGGACCTCTTTGAGGCCTTCGTTGGAAACGGGATTTCTTCATATAATGTTTGATAGGAGAAGTCTCAGTAACTTCTTTGTGCTGTGTGTATTCAACTCATAGAGTTGAACTTTCCTTTAGAAGAGCAGATGTTAAACACCCTTTTTGTGGAATTTGCAGCTGGAGATTTCAAGCGCTTTGAGGCCTACGGTAGAAAAGGAAACATCTTCTTATAAAATCTAGACAGAATCATTCACAGAAACTTCATTTTGATGTGTGTGTTCAGCTCACAGAGTTTAACCTTTCTTTTGATGGAGCAGTTTGGAAACACTCTGTTTGCAATGTCTGCAAGTGGATATTTGTACCTCTTTGAGGCCTTCGTTGGAAACGGGATTTCTTCATGTAATGTTCGACAGAAGAATTCTCAGTAACTTATTTGTGGTGTGTGTATTCAACTCACAGAGTTGAACCTTCCTTTAGACAGAGCAGATTTGAAACACCCTATTTGTGCAGTTTCCAGTTGGAGATTTCAATCGCTTGGAGGCCAATCATAGAAACGGAAATATCTTCGTATAAAAACAAGACAGAATCATTCTCAGAAACTACTTTGTGATGTGTGCGTTCAACTCAAGGAGTTTAAGCTTTCTTTTCATAGAGTAGTTTGGAAACACTCTGTCTGTAAAGTCTGCAAGCAGATATTTGGACCTCTTTGGGGCCTTCGTTGGAAACGGGATTTCTTCATAGAACGCTAGAAAGAAGAATACTGAGTAAGTTCTTTGTGTTGCCTCTATTCAACTCACAGAGGTGAACTGTCCTTTAGACAGAGCAGATGTGAAACCCTCTTTTTGTGATATTTGCAGGTGGAGATTTCAAGCGCTTTTAGGCCAAATGTAGAAAAGGAAATATCTTCGTATAAAAACTAGACAGAATCATTCTCAGAAACTACTTTGTGATGTGTGCGTTCAATTCACAGAGTATAACCTTTCTTTGATGGAGGAGTTTGGAGACACTGTCTTTGTAAATTCTGCAAGTGGATATTTGGACCTCTTTGAGGTCTTCGTTGGAAACGGGATTTCCTCATATAATGTTACACAGAAGAATTCTCAGTAACTTATTTGTGGTGTGTGTATTCAACTCACAGAGTTGAACCTTCCTTCAGAAAGAGCAGATTTGAAACACTCTTTTTGTGGAGTTTCCATGTGGAGATTTCAATCGCTTTGAGACCAAAGGTAGAAAAGGAAACATCTTCGTATAAAAACTAGACAGAATCATTCACAGAAACTACTTTGTGATGTGTGTGTTCAACTCAAGGAGTTTAACCTTTCTTTTGATGGAGCAGTTTGGAAACACTCTGTCTGTAAAGTCTGCAAGCAGATATTTGGACCTCTTTGAGGCCTTCGTTGGAAACGGGATTTCTTCATATAATGTTTGATAGGAGAAGTCTCAGTAACTTCTTTGTGCTGTGTGTATTCAACTCATAGAGTTGAACTTTCCTTTAGAAGAGCAGATGTTAAACACCCTTTTTGGGGAATTTGCAGCTGGAGGTTTCAAGCGCTTTGAGGCCTACTGTAGAAAAGGAAACATCTTCTTATAAAATCTAGACAGAATCATTCACAGAAACTTCTTTTCGATGTGTGTGTTCAGCTCACAGAGTTTAACCTTTCTTTTGATGGAGCAGTTTGGAAACACTCTGTTTGTAATGTCTGCAAGTGGATATTTGGACCTCTTTGAGGCCTTCGTTGGAAACGGGATTTCTTCAAGTAATGTTCGACAGAAGAATTCTCAGTAACTTATTTGTGGTGTGTGTATTCAACTCACAGAGTTGAACCTTCCTTTAGACAGAGCAGATTTGAAACAGCCTATTTGTGCAGTTTCCAGTTGGAGATTTCAAGAGCTTTGAGACCAAATGTAGAAAAGGAAACATCTTCGTATAAAAACTAGACAGAATCATTCTCAGAAACTACTTTGTGATGTGTGCGTTCAACTCACGGAGTTTAAGCTTTCTTTTCATAGAGTAGCTTGGAAACACTCTGTCTGTAAAGTCTGCAAGCAGATATTTGGACCTCTTTGAGGCATTCGTTGGAAACGGGATTTCTTCATATAACGCTAGAAAGAAGAATACTGAGTAAGTTCTTTGTGTTGCCTCTATTCAACTCACAGAGGTGAACTGTCCTTTAGACAGAGCAGATGTGAAACCCTCTTTTTGTGATATTTGCACGTGGAGATTTCAAGCGCTTTTAGGCCAAATGTAGAAAAGGAAATATCTTCGTATAAAAACTAGACAGAATCATTCTCAGAAACTACTTTGTGATGTGTGCGTTCAATTCACAGAGTATAACCTTTCTTTTGATGGAGGAGTTTGGAGACACTGTCTTTGTAAAGTCTGCAAGTGGATATTTGGACCTCTTTGAGGCCTTCGTTGGAAACGGGATTTCCTCATATAATGTTACACAGAAGAATTCTCAGTAACTTATTTGTGGTGTGTGTATTCAACTCACAGAGTTGAACCTTCCTTCAGAAAGAGCAGATTTGAAACACTCTTTTTGTGGAGTTTCCATGTGGAGATTTCAATCGCTTTGAGACCAAAGGTAGAAAAGGAAACATCTTCGTATAAAAACTAGACAGAATCATTCACAGAAACTACTTTGTGATGTGTGTGTTCAACTCAAGGAGTTTAACCTTTCTTTTGATGAAGCAGTTTGGAAACACTCTGTCTGTAAAGTCTGCAAGCAGATATTTGGACCTCTTTGAGGCCTTCGTTGGAAACGGGATTTCTTCATATAATGTTTGATAGGAGAAGTCTCAGTAACTTCTTTGTGCTGTGTGTATTCAACTCATAGAGTTGAACTTTCCTTTAGAAGAGCAGATGTTAAACACCCTTTTTGTGGAATTTGCAGCTGGAGATTTCAAGCGCTTTGAGGCCTACGGTAGAAAAGGAAACATCTTCTTATAAAATCTAGACAGAATCATTCAGAGAAACTTCTTTTTGATGTGTGTGTTCAGCTCAGAGAGTTTAACGTTTCTTTTGATGGAGCAGTTTGGAAACACTCTGTTTGTAATGTCTGCAAGTGGATATTTGGACCTCTTTGAGGCCTTCGTTGGAAACGGGATTTCTTCAAGTAATGTTCGACAGAAGAATTCTCAGTAACTTATTTGTGGTGTGTGTATTCAACTCACAGAGTTGAACCTTCCGTTAGACAGAGCAGATTTGAAACACCCTATTTGTGCATTTTCCAGTTGGAGATTTCAATCGCTTTGAGGCCAATCATAGAAACGGAAATATCTTCGTAAAAAAACAAGACAGAATCATTCTCAGAAAGTATTTTGTGATGTGTGCGTTCAACTCAAGGAGTTTAAGCTTTCTTTTCATAGAGTAGTTTGGAAACACTCTGTCTGTAAAGTCTGCAAGCAGATATTTGGACCTCTTTGAGGCCTTCGTTGGAAACGGGATTTCTTCATGTAACGCTAGAAAGAAGAATACTGAGTAAGTTCTTTGTGTTGCCTCTATTCAACTCACAGAGGTGAACTGTCCTTTAGACAGAGCAGATGTGAAACCCTCTTTTTGTGATATTTGAAGGTGGAGATTTCAAGCACTTTCAGGCCAATTGTAGAAAAGGAAATATCTTCGTATAAAAACCAGACAGAATCATTCTCAGAAACTAGTTTGTGATGTGTGCGTTCAATTCACAGAGTATATCCTTTCTTTTGATGGAGGAGTTTGGAGACACTGTCTTTGTAAAGTCTGCAAGTGGATATTTGGACCTCTTTGAGACCTTCGTTGGAAACGGGATTTCCTCATATAATGTTACACAGAAGAATTCTCAGTAACTTATTTGTGGTGTGTGTATTCAACTCACAGAGATGAACCTTCCTTCAGAAAGAGCAGATTTGAAACACTCTTTTTGTGGAGTTTCCATGTGGAGATTTCAATCGCTTTGAGACCAAAGGTAGAAAAGGAAACATCTTCGTATAACAACTAGACAGAATCATTCACAGAAACTATTTTGTGATGTGTGTGTTCAACTCACAGAGTTTAACCTTTCTTTGGATGGAGCAGTTTGGAAACACTCTGTTTGTCACGTCTGCAAGTGGATATTTGGACCTCTTTGAGGCCTTCGTTGGAAACGGGATTTCTTCATATAATGTTTGAAAGGAGAAGTCTCAGTAACTTCTTTGTGCTGTGTGTATTCAACTCATGGAGTTGAACTTTCCTTTAGAAGAGCAGATGCTAAACACCCTTTTTGTGGAATTTGCAGCTGGAGAATTCAAGAGCTTTGAGGCCTACAGTAAAAAAGGAAACATCTTCTTCTAAAATCTAGACAGAATAATTCACAGAAACTTCTTTTTGATGTGGGTGTTCAGCTCACAGAGTTTAACCTTTCTATTGATGGAGCAGTTTGGAAACACTCTGTTTGTAATGTCTGCAAGTGGATATTTGGACCTCTTTGAGGCCTTCGTTGGAAACCGGATTTCTTCATGTAATGTTCGACAGAAGAATTCTCAGTAACTTATTTGTGGTGTGTGTATTCAACTCACAGAGTTGAACCTTCCTTTAGACAGAGCAGATTTGAAACACCCTATTTGTGCAGTTTCCAGTTGGAGATTTCAATGGCTTTGAGGCCAATCATAGAAAGGGAAATATCTTCATATAAAAACAAGACAGAATCATTCTCAGAAACTACTTTGTGATGTGTGCGTTCAACTCAAGGAGTTTAAGTTTTCTTTTCATAGAGTAGTTTGGAAACACTCTGTCTGTAAAGTCTGCAAGCAGATATTTGGACCTCTTTGAGGCCTTCGTTGGAAACGGGATTTCTTCATATAACGCTGGAAAGAAGAATACTGAGTAAGTTCTTGGTGTTGCCTCTATTCAACTCACAGAGGTGAACTGTCCTTTAGACAGAGCAGATGTGAAACCCTCTTTTTGTGATATTTGCAGGTGGAAATTTCAAGCGCTTTTTGGCCAAATGTAGAAAAGGATATATCTTCGTATAAAAACTAGACAGAATCATTCTCAGAAACTACTTTGTGATGTGTGCGTTCAATTCACAGAGTATAACCATTCTTTCGATGGAGGAGTTTGGAGACACTGTCTTTGTAAAGTCTGCAAGTGGATATTTGGACCTCTTTGAGGCCTTCGTTGGAAACGGGATTTCCTCATATAATGTTACACAGAAGAATTCTCAGTAACTTATTTGTGGTGTGTGTATTCAACTCACAGAGTTGAACCTTCCTTCAGGAAGAGCAGATTTGAAACACTCTTTTTGTGGAGTTTCCATGTGGAGATTTCAATCGCTTTGAGACCAAAGGTAGAAAAGGAAACATCTTCGTATAAAAACTAGACAGAATCATTCACAGAAACTACTTTGTGATGTGTGTGTTCAACTCAAGGAGTTTAACCTTTCTTTTGATGGAGCAGTTTGGAAACACTCTGTCTGTAAAGTCTGCAAGCAGATATTTGGACCTCTTTGAGGCCTTCGTTGGAAACGGGATTTCTTCATATAATGTTTGATAGGAGAAGTCTCAGTAACTTCTTTGTGCTGTGTGTATTCAACTCACAGAGTTGAACTTTCCTTTAGAAGAGCAGATGTTAAACACCCTTTTTGTGTAATTTGCAGCTGGAGATTTCAAGTGCTTTGAGGCCTACGGTAGAAAAGGAAACATCTTCTTATAAAATCTAGACAGAATCATTCACAGAAACTTCTTTTTGATGTGTGTGTTCAGCTCACAGAGTTTAACCTTTCTTTTGATGGAGCAGTTGGGAATCACACTGTTTGTAATGTCTGCAAGTGGATATTTGGACCTCTTTGAGGCCTTCGTTGTAAACGGGATTTCTTCCTGTAATGTTCGACAGAAGAATTCTCAGTAACTTATTTGTGGTGTGTGTATTCAACTCACAGAGTTGAACCTTCCTTTAGACAGAGCAGATTTGAAACACCCTATTTGTGCAGTTTCCAGTTGGAGATTTCAATCGCTTTGAGACAAATGTAGAAAAGGAAACATCTTCGTATAAAAACTAGACAGAATCATTCTCAGAAACTACTTTGTGATGTGTGCGTTCAACTCAAGGAGTTTAAGCTTTCTTTTCATAGAGTAGTTTGGAAACACTCTGTCTGTAAAGTCTGCAAGCAGATATTTGGACCTCTTTGGGGCCTTCGTTGGAAACGGGATTTCTTCGTAGAACGCTAGAAAGAAGAATTCTCAGTAACTTCTTTGTGGTGTGTGTATTCAACTCACAGAGTTGAACCTTCCTTTAGACAGAGCAGATTTGAAACACCCTATTTGTGCAGTTTCCAGTTGGAGATTTCAATCGCTTGGAGACCAAATGTAGAAAAGGAAACATCTTCGTATAAAAACTAGACAGAATCATTCTGAGAAACTACTTTGTGATGTGTGCGTTCAATTCACAGAGTATAACCTTTCTTTTGATGGAGGTGTTTGGAGACACTGTCTTTGTAAAGTCTGCAAGTGGATATTTGGACCTCTTTGAGGCCTTCGTTGGAAACGGGATTTCCTCATATAATGTTACACAGAAGAATTCTCAGTAACTTATTTGTGGTGTGTGTATTCAACTCACAGAGTTGAACCTTCCTTCAGAAAGAGCAGATTTGAAACACTCTTTTTGTGGAGTTTCCATGTGGAGATTTCAATCGCTTTGAGACCAAAGGTAGAAAAGGAAACATCTTCGTATAAAAACTAGACAGAATCATTCACAGAAACTACTTTGTGATGTGTGTGTTCAACTCAAGGAGTTTAACCTTTCTTTTGATGGAGCAGTTTGAAAACACTCTGTCTGTAAAGTCTGCAAGCAGATATTTGGACCTCTTTGAGGCCTTCGTTGGAAACGGGATTTCTTCATATAATGTTTGATAGGAGAATACTCAGTAACTTCTTTGTGTTGCCTCTATTCAACTCACAGAGGTGAACTGTCCTTTAGACAGAGCAGATGTGAAACCCTCTTTTTGTGATATTTGCAGGTGGAGATTTCAAGCGCTTTTAGGCCAAATGTAGAAAAGGAAACATCTTCGTATAAAAACTAGACAGAATCATTCACAGAAACTACTTTGTGATGTGTGTGTTCAGCTGACAGAGTTTAACCTTTCTTTTGATGGTGCAGTTTGGAAACACTCCGTTTGACAAGTCTGCAAGTGGATATTTGGACCTCTTTGAGGCCTTCGTTGGAAACGGGATTTCTTCATATAATGATAGACAGAAGAAGTCTCAGTAACTTCTTTGTGCTGTGTGTATTCAACTCACAGAGCTGAACTTTACTTTAGACAGAGCGGATGTTAAACACACTTTTTGTGGTATTTGCAGCTGGAGATTTCTAGCGCTTTGAGGCCTATGGTAGAAAAGGAAACATCTTCTTATAAAATCTAGACAGAATCATTCACAGAAACTTATTTTTGAAGTGTGTGTTCATCTCACAGAGTTTAACCTTTCTTTTGACGGAGCAGTTTGCAAACACTGTGTTTGCCATGTCTGCAATTGGATATTTGGACCTCTTTGAGGCCTTCGTTGGAAACGGGATTTCTTCATGTAATGTTCGGGAGAAGAACTCTCAGTAACTTATTTGTGGTGTGTGTATTCAACTCACAGAGTTGAACCTTCCTTTAGACAGAGCAGATTTGAAACACCCTATTTGTGCAGTTTCCAGTGGGAGATTTCAATCGCTTTGAGGCCAATCGTAGAAACGGAAATATCTTCGTATAAAAACAAGACAGAATCATTCTCAGTAAACTGCTTTGTGATGTGTGCGTTCAACTCAAGGAGTTTAAGCTTTCTTTTGATGGAGCAGTTTGGAAACACTTTGTCTGTAAAGTCTGCAAGCAGATATTTGGACCTCTTTGAGGCATTCGTTGGAAACGGGATTTCTTCATAGAACGCTAGAAAGAAGAATACTGAGTAAGTTCTTTGTGTTGCCTCTATTCAACTCACAGAGGTGAACTGTCCTTTAGACAGAGCAGATGTGAAACCCTCTTTTTGTGATATTTGCAGGTGGAGATTTCAAGCACTTTTAGGCCAAATGTAGAAAAATAAATATCCTCGTATAAAAACTAGACAGAATCATTCTCAGAAACTACTTTGTGATGTGTGCGTTCAATTCACAGAGTATAACCTTTCTTTTGATGGAGGAGTTTGGAGACACTGTCTTTGTAAAGTCTGCAAGTGGATATTTGGACCTCTTTGAGGCCTTCGTTGGAAACGGGATTTCCTCATATAATGTTACACAGAAGAATTCTCAGTAACTTATTTGTGGTGTGTGTATTCAACTCACAGATTTGAACCTTCCTTCAGAAAGAGCAGATTTGAAACACTCTTTTTGTGGAGTTTCCATGTGGAGATTTCAATCACTTTGAGACCAAAGGTAGAAAAGGAAACATCTTCGTATAAAAACTAGACAGAATCATTCACAGAAACTACTTTGTGATGTGTGTGTTCAACTCAAGGAGTTTAACCTTTCTTTTGATGGAGCAGTTTGGAAACACTCTGTCTGTAAAGTCTGCAAGCAGATATTTGGACCTCTTTGAGGCCTTCGTTGGAAACGGGATTTCTTCATATAATGTTTGATAGGAGAAGTCTCAGTAACTTCTTTGTGCTGTGTGTATTCAACTCATAGAGTTGAACTTTCCTTTAGAAGAGCAGATGTTAAACACCCTTTTTGTGGAATTTGCAGCTGGAGATTTCAAGCGCTTTGAGGCCTACGGTAGAAAAGGAAACATCTTCTTATAAAATCTAGACAGAATCATTCACAGAAACTTCTTTTTGATGTGTGTGTTCAGCTCACAGAGTTTAACCTTTCTTTTGATGGAGCAGTTTGGAAACACTCTGTTTGTAATGTCTGCAAGTGGATATTTGGACCTCTTTGAGGCCTTCGTTGGAAACGGGATTTCTTCATATAATGTTTGATAGGGAGAATTCTCAGTAACTTATTTGTGGTGTGTGTATTCAACTCACAGAGTTGAACCTTCCTTTAGACAGAGCAGATTTGAAACACCCTATTTGTGCAGTTTCCAGTTGGAGATTTCAATCGCTTTGAGACCAAATGTAGAAAAGGAAACATCTTCGTATAAAAACTAGACAGAATCATTCTCAGAAACTACTTTGTGATGTGTGCGTTCAACTCAAGGAGTTTAAGCTTTCTTTTCATAGAGTAGTTTGGAAACACTCTGTCTGTAAAGTCTGCAAGCAGATATTTGGACCTCTTTGGGGCCATCGTTGGAAACGGGATTTCTTCATAGAACGCTAGAAAGAAGAATACTGAGTAAGTTCTTTGTGTTGCCTCTATTCAACTCACAGAGGTGAACTGTCCTTTAGACAGAGCAGATGTGAAACCCTCTTTTTGTGATATTTGCAGGTGGAGATTTCAAGCGCTTTTAGGCCAAATGTAGAAAAGGAAATATCTTCGTATAAAAACTAGACAGAATCATTCTCAGAAACTACTTTGTGATGTGTGCGTTCAATTCACAGAGTATAACCTTTCTTTTGATGGAGGAGTTTCGAGACACTGTCTTTGTAAAGTCTGCAAGTGGATATTTGGACCTCTTTGAGGCCTTCGTTGGAAACGGGATTTCCTCATATAATGTTACACAGAAGAATTCTCAGTAACTTATTTGTGGTGTGTGTATTCAACTCACAGAGTTGAACCTTCCTTCAGAAAGAGCAGATTTGAAACACTCTTTTTGTGGAGTTTCCATGTGGAGATTTCAATCGCATTGAGACCAAAGGTAGAAAAGGAAACATCTTCGTATAAAAACTAGACAGAAACATTCACAGAAACTACTTTGTGATGTGTGTGTTCAACTCAAGGAGTTTAACCTTTCTTTTGATGGAGCAGTTTGGAAACACTCTGTCTGTAAAGTCTGCAAGCAGATATTTGGACCTCTTTGAGGCCTTCGTTGGAAACGGGATTTCTTCATATAATGTTTGATAGGAGAAGTCTCAGTAACTTCTTTGTGCTGTGTGTATTCAACTCATAGAGTTGAACTTTCCTTTAGAAGAGCAGATGTTAAACACCCTTTTTGTGGAATTTGCAGCTGGAGATTTCAAGCGCTTTGAGGCCTACGGTAGAAAAGGAAACATCTTCTTATAAAATCTAGACAGAATCATTCACAGAAACTTCTTTTCGATGTGTGTGTTCAGCTCACAGAGTTTAACCTTTCTTTTGATGGAGCAGTTTGGAAACACTCTGTTTGTAATGTCTGCAAGTGGATATTTGGACCTCTTTGAGGCCTTCGTTGGAAACGGGATTTCATCAAGTAATGGTCGACAGAAGAATTCTCAGTAACTTCTTTGTGGTGTGTGTATTCAACTCACAGAGTTGAACCTTCCTTTAGACAGACCAGATTTGAAACAGCCTATTTGTGCAGTTTCCAGTTGGAGATTTCAATCGCTTTGAGACCAAATGTAGAAAAGGAAACATCTTCGTACAAAAACTAGACAGAATCATTCACAGAAACTACTTTGTGACGTGTGTGTTCAACTCAAGGAGTTTAACCTTTCTTTTGATGGAGCAGTTTGGAAAAACTCTGTCTGTAAAGTCTGCAAGCAGATATTTGGACGTCTTTGGGGTCTTCGTTGGAAAGGGGATTTCTTCATAGAACGCTAGAAAGAAGAATACTGAGTAAGTTCTTTGTGTTGCCTCTATTCAACTCACAGAGGTGAACTGTCCTTTAGACAGAGCAGATGTGAAACCCTCTTTTTGTGATATTTGCAGGTGGAGATTTCAAGCGCTTTGAGGCCAAATGTAGAAAAGGAAATATCTTCGTATAAAAACTAGACAGAATCATTCTCAGAAACTACTTTGTGATGTGTGCGTTCAATTCACAGAGTATAACCTTTCTTTTGGTGGAGGAGTTTGGAGACACTGTCTTTGTAAAGTCTGCAAGTGGATATTTGGACCTCTTTGAGGCCTCCGTTGGAAACGGGATTTCCTCATATAATGTTACACAGAAGAATTCTCAGCAACTTATTTGTGGTGTGTGTATTCAACTCACAGAGTTGAACCTTCCTTCAGAAAGAGCAGATTTGAAACACTCATTTTGTGGAGTTTCCATGTGGAGATATCCATCGCTTTGAGACCAAAGGTAGAAAAGGAAACATCTTCGTATAAAAACTAGACAGAATCATTCACAGAAACTACTTTGTGATGTGTGTGTTCAACTCAAGGAGGTTAACCTTTCTTTTGATGGAGCAGTTGGGAAACACTCTGTCTGTAAAGTCTGCAAGCAGATATTTGGACCTCTTTGAGGCCTTCGTTGGAAACGGGATTGCTTCATATAATGTTTGATAGGAGAAGTCTCAGTAACTTCTTTGTGCTGTGTGTATTCAACTCATAGAGTTGAACTTTCCTTTAGAAGAGCAGATGTTAAACACCCTTTTTGTGGAATTTGCAGCTGGAGATTTCAAGCGCTTTGAGGCATACAGTAGAAAAGGAAACATCTTCTTATAAAATCTAGACACAATCATTCACAGAAACTTCTTTTTGATGTGTGTGTTCATCTCACAGAGTTTAACCTTTCTTCTGACGGAGCAGTTTGCAAACACTGTGTTTGCCATGTCGGCAAGTAGATATTTGGAACTCTTTGAGGCCTTCGTTGGAAACGGGATTTCTTCATGTAATGTTCGAGAGAAGAATTCTGAGTAACTTATTTGTGGTGTGTGTATTCAACTCACAGAGTTGAACCTTCCTTTAGACAGAGCAGATTTGAAACACCGTATTTGTGCAGTTTCCAGTTGGAGATTTCAATCGCTTTGAGACCAAATGTAGAAAAGGAAACATCTTCATATAAAAACTGGACAGAATCATTCTCAGAAACTACTTTGTGATGTGTGCGTTCATCTCAAGGAGTTTAAGCTTTCTTTTCATAGAGTAGTTTGGAAACACTCTGTCTGTAAAGTCTGCAAGCAGATATTTGGACCTCTTTGAGGCCTTCGTTGGAAACGGGGTTTCTTCATAGAACGCTAGAAAGAAGAATACTGAGTAAGTTCTTGGTGTTGCCTCTATTCATCTCACAGAGGTGAACTGTCCTTTAGACAGAGCAGATGTGAAACCCTCTTTTTGTGATATTTGCAGGTGGAGATTTCAAGCGCTTTTAGGCCAAATGTAGAAAAGGAAATATCTTCGTATAAAAACTAGACAGAATCATTCTCAGAAACTACTTTGTGATGTGTGCGTTCAATTCACAGAGTATAACCTTTCTTTTGATGGAGAAGTTTGGAGACACTGTCTTTGTAAAGTCTGCAAGTGGATATTTGGACCTCTTTGAGGCCTTCGTTGGAAACGGGATTTCCTCATATAATGTTACACTGAAGAATTCTCAGTAACTTATCTGTGGTGTGTGTATTCAACTCACAGAGATGAACCTTCCTTCAGAAAGAGCAGATTTGAAACACTCTTTTTGTGGAGTTTCCATGTGGAGATTTCAATCGCTTTGAGACCAAATGTAGAAAAGGAAACATCTTCGTATAAAAACTAGACAGAATCATTCACAGAAACTACTTTGTGATGTGTGTGTTCAACTCAAGGAGTTTAACCTTTCTTTTGATGGAGCAGTTTGGAAACACTCTGTCTGTAAAGTCTGCAAGCAGATATTTGGACCTCTTTGAGGCCTTCGTTGGAAACGGGATTTCTTCATATAATGTTTGATAGGAGAAGTCTCAGTAACTTCTTTGTGCTGTGTGTATTCAACTCATAGAGTTGAACTTTCCTTTAGAAGAGCAGATGTTAAGCACCCTTTTTGTGGAATTTGCAGCTGGAGATTTCAAACGCTTTGAGGCCTACGGTAGAAAAGGAAACATCTTCTTATAAAATCTAGATAGAATCATTCACAGTAAACTTCTTTTTGATGTGTGTGTTCAGCTCACAGAGTTTAACCTTTCTTTTGATGGAGCAGTTTGGAAACACTCTGTTTGTAATGTCTGCAAGAGGATATTTGGACCTCTTTGAGGCCTTAGTTGGAAACGGGATTTCTTCAAGTAATTTTCGACAGAAGAATTCTCAGTAACTTATTTGTGTTGTGTGTATTCAACTCACAGAGTTGAACCTTCCTTTAGACAGAGCAGATTTGAAACACCCTATTTGTGCAGTTTCCAGTTGGAGATTTCAATCGCTTTGAGACCAAATGTAGAAAAGGAAACATACTTCGTATAAAAACTAGACAGAATCATTCACAGAAACTAATTTGTGATGTGTGTGTTCAACTCAAGGAGTTTAACCTTTCTTTTGATGGAGCAGTTTGGAAAAACTCTGTCTGTAAAGTCTGCAAGCAGATATTTGGACCTCTTTGAGGCCTTCGTTGGAAACGGGATTTCTTCATATAATGTTTTATAGGAGAAGTCTCAGTAACTTCTTTGTGCTGTGTGTATTCAACTCATAGAGTTGAAGTTTCCTTTAGAAGAGCAGATGTTAAACACCGTTTTTGTGGAATTTGCAGCTGGAGATTTCAAGCGCTTTGAGGCCTACGGTAGAAAAGGAAACATCTTCTTATAAAATCAAGACAGAATCCTTCACAGAAACTTCTTTTTGATGTGTGTGTTCAGCTCACAGAGTTTAACCTTTCTTTTGATGGAGCAGTTTGGAAACACTCTGTTTGTTATGTCTGCAAATGGATATTTGGACCTCTTTGGGGCCTTCGTTGGAAACGGGATTTCTTCATGTAATGTTCGACAGAAGAATTCTCAGTAACTTATTTGTGGTGTGTGTATTCAACTCACAGAGTTGAACCTTCCCTTAGACAGAGCAGATATGAAACACCCTATTTGTGCAGTTTCCAGTTGGAGATTTCAATCGCTTTGAAGCCATAGAAACGGAAATACCTTTGTATAAAAACAAGACAGAATCATTCTCAGAAGCTACTTTGTGATGTGTGCGTTCAACTCAAGGAGTTTAAGCTTTCTTTTCATAGAGTAGTTTGGAAACACTCTGTCTGTAAAGTCTGCAAGCAGATATTTGGACCTCTTTGGGGCCTTCGTTGGAAACGGGATTTCTTCATAGAACGCTAGAAAGAAGAATACTGAGTAAGTTCTTTGTGTTGCCTCTATTCAACTCACAGAGGTGAACTGTCCTTTAGACAGAGCAGATGTGAAACCCTCTTTTTGTGATATTTGCAGGTGGAGATTTCAAGCACTTTTAGGCCAAATGTAGAAAAGGAAATATCTTCGTATAAAAACTAGACAGAATCATTCTCAGAAACTACTTTGTGATGTGTGCGTTCAATTCACAGAGTATAACCTTTCTTTTGATGGAGGAGTTTGGAGACACTGTCTTTGTAAAGTCTGCAAGTGGATATTTGGACCTCTTTGAGGCCTTCGTTGGAAACGGGATTTCCTCATATAATGTTACACAGAAGAATTCTCAGTAACTTATTTGTGGTGTGTGTATTCAACTCACAGAGTTGAACCTTCCTTCAGAAAGAACAGATTTGAAACCCTCTTTTTGTGGAGTTTCCATGTGGAGATTTCAATGGCTTTGAGACCAAACGTAGAAAAGGAAACATCTTCGTATGAAAACTAGACAGAATCATTCACAGAAACTACTTTGTGATGTGTGTGTTCAACTCACAGAGTTTAACCTTTCTTTTGATGGAGCAGTTTGGAAACACTCTGTTTGTCACGTCTGCAAGTGGATATTTGGACCTCTTTGAGGCCTTCGTTGGAAACGGGATTTCTTCATATAATGTTTGATAGGAGAAGTCTCAGTAACTTCTTTGTGCTGTGTGTATTCAACTCATAGAGTTGAACTTTCCTTTAGAAGAGCAGATGTTAAACACCCTTTTTGTGGAATTTGCAGCTGGAGATTTCAAGCGCTTTGAGGCCTACGGTAGAAAAGGAAACATCTTCTTATAAAATCTAGACAGAATCATTCACAGAAACTTCTTTTTGATGTGTGTGTTCAGCTCACAGAGTTTAACCTTTCTTTTGATGGAGCAGTTTGGAAACACTCTGTTTGTAATGTCTGCAAGTGGATATTTGGACCTCTTTGAGGCCTTCGTTGGAAACGGGATTTCTTCAAGTAATGTTCGACAGAAGAATTCTCAGTAACTTATTTGTGGTGTGTGTATTCAACTCACAGAGTTGAACCTTCCTTTAGACAGAGCAGATTTGAAACACCGTATTTGTGCAGTTTCCAGTTGGAGATTTCAATCGCTTTGAGACCAAATGTAGAAAAGGAAACATCTTCGTATAAAAACTAGACAGAATCATTCTCAGAAACTAATTTGTGATGTGTGCGTTCAACTCAAGGAGTTTAAGCTTTCTTTTCATAGAGTAGTTTGGAAACACTCTGTCTGTAAAGTCTGCAAGCAGATATTTGGACCTCTTTGGGGCCTTCGTTGGAAACGGGATTTCTTCATAGAACGCTAGAAAGAAGAATACTGAGTAAGTTCTTTGTGTTGCCTCTATTCAACTCACAGAGGTGAACTGTCCTTTAGACAGAGCAGATGTGAAACCCTCTTTTTGTGATATTTGCAGGTGGAGATTTCAAGCGCTTTTAGGCCAAATGTAGAAAAGGAAATATCTTCGTATAAAAACTAGACAGAATCATTCTCAGAAACTACTTTGTGATGTGTGCGTTCAATTCACAGAGTATAACCTTTCTTTTGATGGAGGAGTTTGGAGACACTGTCTTTGTAAAGTCTGCAAGTGGATATTTGGACCTCTTTGACGCCTTCGTTGGAAACGGGATTTCCTCATATAATGTTACACAGAAGAATTCTCAGTAACTTATTTGTGGTGTGTGTATTCAACTCACAGAGTTGAACCTTCCTTCAGAAAGAGCAGATTTGAAACACTCTTTTTGTGGAGTTTCCATGTGGAGATTTCAATCGCTTTGAGACCAAAGGTAGAAAAGGAAACATCTTCGTATAAAAACTAGACAGAATCATTCTCAGAAACTACTTTGTGATGTGTGTGTTCAACTCAAGGAGTTTAACCTTTCTTTTGATGGAGCAGTTTGGAAAAACTCTGTCTGTAAAGTCTGCAAGCAGATATTTGGACCTCTTTGAGGCCTTCGTTGGAAACGGGATTTCTTCATAGAATGCTAGAAAGAAGAAGTCTCAGTAACTTCTTTGTGCTGTGTGTATTCAACTCATAGAGTTGAACTTTCCTTTAGAAGAGCAGATGTTAAACACCCTTTTTGTGGAATTTGCAGCTGGAGATTTCAAGCGCTTTGAGGCCTACGGTAGAAAAAGAAACATCTTCTTATAAAATCTAGACAGAATCATTCACAGAAACTTCTTTTTGATGTGTGTGTTCAGCTCACAGAGTTTAACCTTTCTTTTGATGGAGCAGTTGGGAAACACACTGTTTGTAATGTCTGCAAGTGGATATTTGGACCTCTTTGAGGCCTTCGTTGGAAACGGGATTTCTTCCTGTAATGTTCGACAGAAGAATTCTCAGTAACTTATTTGTGGTGTGTGTATTCAACTCACAGAGTTGAACCTTCCTTTAGACAGAGCAGATTTGAAACACCCTATTTGTGCAGTTTCCAGTTGGAGATTTCAATCGCTTTGAGACCAAATGTAGAAAAGGAAAAATCTTCCTATAAAAACTAGACAGAATCATTCTCAGAAACTACTTTGTGATGTGTGCGTTCAACTCAAGGAGTTTAAGCTTTCTTTTCATAGAGTAGTTTGGAAACACTCTGTCTGTAAAGTCTGCAAGCAGATATTTGGACCTCTTTGAGGCCTTCGTTGGAAACGGGATTTCTTCATAGAACGCTAGAAAGAAGAATACTGAGTAAGTTCTTTGTGTTGCCTCTATTCAACTCACAGAGGTGAACTGTCCTTTAGACAGAGCAGATGTGAAACCCTCTTTTTGTGATATTTGCAGGTGGAGATTTCAAGCGCTTTTAGGCCAAATGTAGAAAAGGAAATATCTTCGTATAAAAACTAGACAGAATCATTCTCAGAAACTACTTTGTGAAGTGTGCGTTCAATTCACAGAGTATAACCTTTCTTTTGATGGAGGAGTTTGGAGACACTGTCTTTGTAAAGTCTGCAAGTGGATATTTGGACCTCTTTGAGGCCTTCGTTGGAAACGGGATTTCCTCATATAATTTTACACAGAAGAATTCTCAGTAACTTATTTGTGGTGTGTGTATTCAACTCACAGAGTTGAACCTTCCTTCAGAAAGAGCAGATTTGAAACACTCTTTTTGTGGAGTTTCCATGTGGAGATTTCAATCGCTTTGAGACCAAAGGTATAAAAGGAAACATCTTCGTATAAAAACTAGACAGAATCATTCACAGAAACTACTTTGTGATGTGTGTGTTCAACTCAAGGAGTTTAACCTTTCTTTTGATGGAGCAGTTTGGAAATACTCTGTCTGTAAAGTCTGCAAGCAGATATTTGGACCTCTTTGAGGCCTTCGTTGGAAACGGGATTTCTTCATATAATGTTTGATAGGAGAAGTCTCAGTAACTTCTTTGTGCTGTGTGTATTCAACTCATAGAGTTGAACTTTCCTTTAGAAGAGCAGATGTTAAACACCCTTTTTGTGGAATTTGCAGCTGGAGATTTCAAGCGCTTTGAGGCCTACGGTAGAAAAGGAAACATCTTCTTATAAAATCTAGACAGAATCATTCACAGAAACTTCTTTTTGATGTGTGTGTTCAGCTCACAGAGTTTAACCTTTCTTTTGATGGAGCAGTTTGGAAACACTCTGTTTGTAATGTCTGCAAGTGGATATTTGGACCTCTTTGAGGCCTTCGTTGGAAACGGGATTTCTTCATGTAATGTTCGACAGAAGAATTCTCATTAACTTATTTGTGGTGTGTGTATTCAACTCACAGAGTTGAACCTTCCTTTAGACAGAGCAGATTTGAAACAGCCTATTTGTGCAGTTTCCAGTTGGAGATTTCAATCGCTTTGAGACCAAATGTAGAAAAGGAAACATCTTCGTATAAAAACTAGACACAATCATTCTCAGAAACTGCTTTGTGATGTGTGCGTTCAACTCAAGGAGTTTAAGCTTTCTTTTCATAGAGTAGTTTGGAAACACTTTGTCTGTAAAGTCTGCAAGCAGATATTTGGACCTCTTTGAGGCCTTCGTTGGAAACGGGATTTCTTCATAGAACGCTAGAAAGAAGAATACTGAGTAAGTTCTTTGTGTTGCCTCTATTCAACTCACAGAGGTGAACTGTCCTTTAGACAGAGTAGATGTGAAACCCTCTTTTTGTGATATTTGCAGGTGGAGATTTCAAGCGCTTTTAGGCCAAATGTAGAAAAGGAAATAACTTCGTATAAAAACTAGACAGAAGCATTCTCAGAAACTACTTTGTGATGTGTGCGTTCAATTCACAGAGTATAACCTTTCTTTTGAGGGAGGAGTTTGGAGACACTGTCTTTGTAAAGTCTGCAAGTGGATATTTGGACCTCTTTGAGGCCTTCGTTGGAAACGGGATTTCCTCATATAATGTTACACAGAAGAATTCTCAGTAACTTATTTGTGGTGTGTGTATTCAACTCACAGAGTTGAACCTTCCTTCAGAAAGAGCAGATTTGAAACACTCTTTTGGTGGAGTTTCCATGTGGAGATTTCAATCGCTTTGAGACCAAAGGTAGAAAAGGAAACATCTTCGTATAAAAACTAGACAGAATCATTCACAGAAACTACTTTGTGATGTGTGTGTTCAACTCAAGGAGTTTAACCTTTCTTTTGATGGAGCAGTTTGGAAACACTCTGTCTGTAAAGTCTGCAAGCAGATATTTGGACCTCTTTGAGGCCTTCGTTGGAAACGGGATTTCTTCATATAATGTTTGATAGGAGAATACTGAGTAAGTTCTTTGTGTTGCCTCTATTCAACTCACAGAGGTGAACTTTCCTTTAGAAGAGCAGATGTTAAACACCCTTTTTGTGGAATTTGCAGCTGGAGATTTCAAGCGCTTTGGGGTCTACGTTAGAAAAGGAAACATCTTCTTATAAAATCTAGACAGAATCATTCACAGAAACTTCTTTTTGATGTGTGTGTTCAGCTCACAGCAGTTTAACCTTTCTTTTGATGGAGCAGTTTGGAAACACTCTGTTTGTAATGTCTGCAAGTGGATATTTGGACCTCTTTGAGGCCTTCGTGGGAAACGGGATTTCTTCATGTAATGTTCGACAGAAGAATTCTCAGTAACTTATTTGTGGTGTGTGTATTCAACACACAGAGTTGAACCTTCCTTTAGACAGAGCAGATTTGAAACACCCTATTTGTGCAGTTTCCAGTTGGAGATTTCAATCGCTTTGAGACCAAATGTAGAAAAGGAAACATCTTCGTATAAAAACTAGACAGAATCATTCTCAGAAACTATTTTGTGATGTGTGCGTTCAACTCAAGGAGTTTAAGCTTTCTTTTCATAGAGTAGTTTGGAAACACTCTGTCTGTAAAGTGTGCAAGCAGATATTTGGACCTCTTTGGGGCCTTCGTTGGAAACGGGATTTCTTCATAGAACGCAAGAAAGAAGAATACTGAGTAAGTTCTTTGTGTTGCCTCTATTCAACTCACAGAGGTGAACTGTCCTTTAGACAGAGCAGATGTGAAACCCTCTTTTTGTGATATTTGCAGGTGGAGATTTCAAGCGCTTTTAGGCCAAATGTAGAAAAGGAAATATCTTCGTATAAAAACTAGACAGAATCATTCTCAGAAACTACTTTGTGATGTGTGCGTTCAATTCACAGAGTATAACCTTTCTTTTGATGGAGGAGTTTGGAGACACTGTCTTTGTAAAGTCTGCAAGTGGATATTTGGACCTCTTTGAGGCCTTCGTTGGAAACGGGATTTCCTCATATAATGTTACACAGAAGAATTCTCATTAACTTATTTGTGATGTGTGTATTCAACTCACAGAGTTGAACCTTCCTTCAGAAAGAGCACATTTGAAACACTCTTTTTGTGGAGTTTCCATGTGGAGATTTCAATCGCTTTGAGACCAAAGGTAGAAAAGGAAACATCTTCGTATAAAAACTAGACAGAATCATTCACAGAAACTACTTTGTGATGTGTGTGTTCAACTCAAGGAGTTTAACCTTTCTTTTGATGGAGCAGTTTGGAAACACTCTGTCTGTAAAGTCTGCAAGCAGATATTTGGACCTCTTTGAGGCCTTCGTTGGAAACGGGATTTCTTCATATAATGTTTGATAGGAGAATTCTCAGTAACTTCTTTGTGCTTTGTGTATTCAACTCATACAATTGAACTTTCCTTTAGAAGAGCAGATGTTAAACACCCTTTTTGTGATATTTGCAGGTGGAGATTTCAAGCGCTTTGAGGCCTACAGTAGAAAAGGAAACATCTTCTTATAAAATCTAGACAGAATCATTCACAGAAACTTCTTTTTGATGTGTGTGTTCAGCTCACAGAGTTTAACCTTTCTTTTCATGGAGCAGCTTGGAAACACTCTGTTTGTAATGTCTGCAAGTGGATATTTGGACCTCTTTGAGGCCTTCGTTGGAAACGGGATTTCTTCATGTAATGTTCGACAGAAGAATTCTCAGTAACTTATTTGTGGTGTGTGTATTCAACTCACAGAGTTGACCCTTCCTTTAGACAGATCAGATTTGAAACTCCCTATTTGTGCAGTTTCCAGTTGGAGATTTCAATTGCTTTGGGACCAAATGTAGAAAAGGAAAGATCTTCGTATAAAAACTAGACAGAATCATTCTCAGAAACTACTTTGTGATGTGTGCGTTCAACTCAAGGAGTTTAAGCTTTCTTTTCATAGAGTAGTTTGGAAACACTCTGTCTGTAAAGTCTGCAAGCAGATATTTGGACCTCTTTGAGATCTTCGTTGGAAACGGGATTTCTTCATAGAACGCTAGAAAGAAGAATACTGAGTAAGTTCTTTGTGTTGCCTCTATTCAACTCACAGAGGTGAACTGTCCTTTAGACAGAGCAGATGTGAAACCCTCTTTTTGTGATATTTGCACTTGGAGATTTCAAGCGCTTTTAGGCCAAATGTAGAAAAGGAAATATCTTCGTATAAAAACTAGACAGAATCATTCTCAGAAACTACTTTGTGATGTGTGCGTTCAATTCACAGAGTATAACCTTTCTTTTGACGGAGGAGTTTGGAGACACTGTCTTTGTAAAGTCTGCAAGCAGATATTTGGACCTCTTTGGGGCCTTCGTTGGAAACGGGATTTCTTCATAGAATGCTAGAAAGAAAGAATTCTCAGTAACTTATTTGTGGTGTGTGTATTCAACTCACAGAGTTGAACCTTCCTTCAGAAAGAGCAGATTTGAAACACTCTTTTTGTGGAGTTTCCATGTGGAGATTTCAATCGCATTGAGACCAAAGGTAGAAAAGGAAACATCTTCGTATAAAAACTAGACAGAATCATTCACAGAAACTACTTTGTGATGTGTGTGTTCAACTCAAGGAGTTTAACCTTTCTTTTGATGGAGCAGTTTGGAAACACTCTGTCTGTAAAGTCTGCAAGCAGATATTTGGACCTCTTTGAGGCCTTCGTTGGAAACGGGATTTCTTCATATAATGTTTGATAGGAGAAGTCTCAGCAACTTCTTTGTGCTGTGTGTATTCAACTCATAGAGTTGAACTTTCCTTTAGAAGAGCAGATGTTAAACACCCTTTTTGTGGAATTTGCAGCTGGAGATTTCAAGCGCTTTGAGGCCTACGGTAGAAAAGGAAACATCTTCTTATAAAATCTAGACAGAATCATTCACAGAAACTTCTTTTCGATGTGTGTGTTCAGCTCACAGAGTTTAACCTTTCTTTTGATGGAGCAGTTAGGAAACACTCTGTTTGTAATGTCTGCAAGTGGATATTTGGACCTCTTTGAGGCCTTCGTTGGAAACGGGATTTCTTCAAGTAATGTTCGACAGAAGAATTCTCAGTAACTTATTTGTTGTGTGTGTATTCAACTCACAGAGTTGAACCTTCCTTTAGACAGAGCAGATTTGAAACACCCTATTTGTGCAGTTTCCAGTTGGAGATTTCAATCGCTTTGAGACCAAATGTAGAAAAGGAAACATCTTCGTATAAAAACTAGACAGAATCATTCTCAGAAACTACTTTGTGATGTGTGCGTTCAACTCAAGGAGTTTAAGCTTTCTTTTCATAGAGTAGTTTGGAAACACTCTGTCTGTAAAGTCTGCAAGCAGATATTTGGACCTCTTTGAGGCCTTCGTTGGAAACGGGATTTCTTCATAGAACGCTAGAAAGAAGAATACTGAGTAAGTTCTTTGTGTTGCCTCTATTCAACTCACAGAGGTGAACTGTCCTTTAGACAGAGCAGATGTGAAACCCTCTTTTTGTGATATTTGCAGGTGGAGATTTCAAGCGCTTTTAGGCCAAATGTAGAAAAGGAAATATCTTCGTATAAAAACTAGACAGAATCATTCTCAGAAACTACTTTGTGATGTGTGCGTTCAATTCACAGAGTATAACCTTTCTTTTGATGGAGGAGTTTGGAGACACTGTCTTTGTAAACTCTGCAAGTGGATATTTGGACCTCTTTGAGGCCTTCGTTGGAAACGGGATTTCTTCAAGTAATGTTCGACAGAAGAATTCTCAGTAACTTATTTGTGGTGTGTGTATTCAACTCACAGAGATGAACCTTCCTTCAGAAAGAGCAGATTTGAAACACTCTTTTTGTGGAGTTTCCATGTGGAGATTTCAATCGCTTTGAGACCAAAGGTAGAAAAGGAAACATCTTCGTATAACAACTAGACAGAATCATTCACAGAAACTACTTTGTGATGTGTGTGTTCAACTCAAGGAGTTTAACCTTTCTTTTGATGGAGCAGTTTGGAAACACTCTGTCTGTAAAGTCTGCAAGCAGATATTTGGACCTCTTTGAGGCCTTCGTTGGAAACGGGATTTCTTCATATAATGTTTGATAGGAGAAGTCTCAGTAACTTCTTTGTGCTGTGTGTATTCAACTCATAGAGTTGAACTTTCCTTTAGAAGAGCAGATGTTAAACACCCTTTTTGTGGAATTTGCAGCTGGAGATTTCAAGCGCTTTGAGGCCTACGGTAGAAAAGGAAACATCTTCTTATAAAATCTAGACAGAATCATTCACAGAAACTTCTTTTTGATGTGTGTGTTCAGCTCACAGAGTTTAACCTTTCTTTTGATGGTGCAGTTTGGAAACACACTGTTTGTAATGTCTGCAAGTGGATATTTGGACCTCTTTGAGACCTTCGTTGGACACGGGATTTCTTCCTGTAATGTTCGACAGAAGAATTCTCAGTAACTTATTTGTGGTGTGTGTATTCAACTCACAGAGTTGAACCTTCCTTTAGACAGAGCAGATTTGAAACACCCTATTTGTGCAGTTTCCAGTTGGAGATTTCAATCGCTTTGAGACCAAATGTAGAAAAGGAAACATCTTCGTATAAAAACTAGACAGAATCATTCTCAGAAACTACTTTGTGATGTGTGCGTTCAACTCAAGGAGTTTAAGCTTTCTTTTCATAGAGTAGTTTGGAAACACTCTGTCTGTAAAGTCTGCAAGCAGATATTTGGACCTCTTTAGGGCCTTCGTTGGAAACGGGATTTCTTCATAGAACGCTAGAAAGAAGAATCCTGAGTAAGTTCTTTGTGTTGCCTCTATTCAACTCACAGAGGTGAACTGTCCTTTAGACAGAGCAGATGTGAAACCCTCTTTTTGTGATATTTGCAGGTGGAGATTTCAAGCGCTTTTAGGCCAAATGTAGAAAAGGAAATATCTTCGTATAAAAACTAGACAGAATCATTCTCAGAAACTACTTTGTGATGTGTGCGTTCAATTCACAGAGTATAACCTTTCTTTTGATGGAGGAGTTTGGAGACACTGTCTTTGTAAAGTCTGCAAGTGGATATTTGGACCTCTTTGAGGCCTTCGTTGGAAATGGGATTTCCTCATATAATGTTACACAGAAGAATTCTCAGTAACTTATTTGTGGTGTGTGTATTCAACTCACAGAGATGAACCTTCCTTCAGAAAGAGCAGATTTGAAACACTCTTTTTGTGGAGTTTCCATGTGGAGATTTCAATCGCTTTGAGACCAAAGGTAGAAAAGGAAACATCTTCGTATAAAAACTAGACAGAATCATTCACAGAAACTACTTTGTGATGTGTGTGTTCAACTCAAGGAGTTTAACCTTTCTTTTGATGGAGCAGTTTGGAAAAACTCTGTCTGTAAAGTCTGCAAGCAGATATTTGGACCTCTTTGAGGCCTTCGTTGGAAACGGGATTTCTTCATATAATGTTTGATAGGAGAAGTCTCAGTAACTTCTTTGTGCTGTGTGTATTCAACTCATAGAGTTGAACTTTCCTTTAGAAGAGCAGATGTTAAACACCCTTTTTGTGGAATTTGCAGCTGGAGATTACAAGCGCTTTGAGGCCTACGGTAGAAAAGGAAACATCTTCTTATAAAATCTAGACAGAATCACTCACAGAAACTTCTTTTTGATGTGTGTGTTCAGCTCACAGAGTTTAACCTTTCTTTTGATGGAGCAGTTTGGAAACACTCTGTTTGTAATGTCTGCAAGTGGATATTTGGACCTCTTTGAGGCCTTCGTTGGAAACGGGATTTCTTCCTGTAATGTTCGACAGAAGAATTCTCAGTAACTTATTTATGGTGTGTGTATTCAACTCACAGAGTTGAACCTTCCTTTAGACAGAGCAGATTTGAAACACCCTATCTGTGCAGTTTCCAGTTGGAGATTTCAATCGCTTTGAGACCAAATGTAGAAAAGGAAACATCTTCGTACAAAAACTAGACAGCATCATTCTCAGAAACTACTTTGTGATGTGTGCGTTCAACTCAAGGAGTTTAAGCTTTCTTTTCATAGAGTAGTTTGGAAACACTCTGTCTGTAAAGTCTGCAAGCAGATATTTGGACCTCTTTGGGGCCTTCGTTGGAAACGGGATTTCTTCATAGAACGCTAGAAAGAAGAATACTGAGTAAGTTCTTTGTGTTGCCTCTATTCAACTCACAGAGGTGAACTGTCCTTTAGACAGAGCAGATGTGAAACCCTCTTTTTGTGATATTTGCAGGTGGAGATTTCAAGCGCTTTTAGGCCAAATGTAGAAAAGGAAATATCTTCGTATAAAAACTAGACAGAATCATTCTCAGAAACTACTTTGTGATGTGTGTGTTCAATTCACAGAGTATAACCTTTCTTTTGATGGAGGAGTTTGGAGACACTGTCTTTGTAAAGTCTGCAAGTGGATATTTGGACCTCTTTGAGGCCTTCGTTGGAAACGGGATTTCCTCATATAATGTTACACAGAAGAATTCTCAGTAACTTATTTGTGGTGTGTGTATTCAACTCACAGAGATGAACCTTCCTTCAGAAAGAGCAGATTTGAAACACTCTTTTTGTGGAGTTTCCATGTGGAGATTTCAATCGCTTTGAGAGCAAAGGTAGAAAAGGAAACATCTTCGTATAAAAACTAGACAGAATCATTCACAGAAACTACTTTGTGATGTGTGTGTTCAACTCAAGGAGTTTAACCTTTCTTTTGATGGAGCAGTTTAGAAACACTCTGTCTGTAAAGTCTGCAAGCAGATATTTGGACCTCTTTGAGGCCTTCGTTGGAAACGGGATTTCTTCATATAATGTTTGACAGGAGAAGTCTCAGTAACTTCTTTGTGCTGTGTGTATTCAACTCATAGAGTTGAACTTTCCTTTAGAAGAGCAGATGTTAAACACCCTTTTTGTGGAATTTGCAGCTGGAGATTTCAAGCGCTTTGAGGCCTACGGTAGAAAAGGAAACATCTTCTTATAAAATTCTAGACAGAATCATTCACAGAAACTTCTTTTTGATGTGTGTGTTCAGCTCACAGAGTTTAACCTTTCTTTTGATGGAGCAGTTTGGAAACACTCTGTTTGTAATGTCTGCAAGTGGATATTTGGACCTCTT
Organism: Homo sapiens; assembly: GCF_000001405.40. Taxonomy (NCBI): domain Eukaryota; kingdom Metazoa; phylum Chordata; class Mammalia; order Primates; family Hominidae; genus Homo; species Homo sapiens. The sequence goes on from NC_000012.12 coordinate 36,658,018, forward strand.
TGAGGCCTTCGTTGGAAACGGGATTTCTTCAAGTAATGTTCGACAGAAGAATTCTCAGTAACTTATTTGTGGTGTGTGTATTCAACTCACAGAGTTGAACCTTCCTTTAGACAGAGCAGATTTGAAACAGCCTATTTGTGCAGTTTCCAGTTGGAGATTTCAATCGCTTTGAGACCAAACGTAGAAAAGGAAACATCTTCGTATAAAAACTAGACAGAATCATTCTCAGAAACTACTTTGTGATGTGTGCGTTCAACTCAAGGAGTTTAAGCTTTCTTTTCATAGAGTAGTTTGGAAACACTCTGTCTGTAAAGTCTGCAAGCAGATATTTGGACCTCTTTGGGGCCTTCGTTGGAAACGGGATTTCTTCATAGAACGCTAGAAAGAAGAATACTGAATAAGTTCTTTGTGTTGCCTCTATTCAACTCACAGAGGTGAACTGTCCTTTAGACAGAGCAGATGTGAAACCCTCTTTTTGTGATATTTGCAGGTGGAGATTTCAAGCGCTTTTAGGCCAAATGTAGAAAAGGAAATATCTTCGTATAAAAACTAGACAGAATCATTCTCAGAAACTACTTTGTGATGTGTGCGTTCAATTCACAGAGTATAACCTTTCTTTTGATGGAGGAGTTTGGAGACACTGTCTTTGTAAAGTCTGCAAGTGGATATTTGGACCTCTTTGAGGCCTTCGTTGGAAACGGGATTTCCTCATATAATGTTACCCAGAAGAATTCTCTGTAACTTATTTGTGGTGTGTGTATTCAACTCACAGAGTTGAACCTTCCTTCAGAAAGAGCAGATTTGAAACACTCTTTTTGTGGAGTTTCCATGTGGAGATTTCAATCGCTTTGAGACCAAAGGTAGAAAAGGAAACATCTTCGTATAAAAACTAGACAGAATCATTCACAGAAACTACTTTGTGATGTGTGTGTTCAACTCAAGGAGTTTAACCTTTCTTTTGATGGAGCAGTTTGGAAAAACTCTGTCTGTAAAGTCTGCAAGCAGATATTTGGACCTCTTTGAGGCCTTCGTTGGAAACGGGATTTCTTCATATAATGTTTGATAGGAGAAGTCTCAGTAACTTCTTTGTGCTGTGTGTATTCAACTCATAGAGTTGAACTTTCCTTTAGAAGAGCAGATGTTAAACACCCTTTTTGTGGAATTTGCAGCTGGAGATTTCAAGCGCTTTGAGGCCTACGGTAGAAAAGGAAACATCTTCTTATAAAATCTAGACAGAATCATTCACAGAAACTTCTTTTCGATGTGTGTGTTCAGCTCACAGAGTTTAACCTTTCTTTTGATGGAGCAGTTTGGAAACACTCTGTTTGTAATGTCTGCAAGTGGATATTTGGACCTCTTTGAGGCCTTCGTTGGAAACGGGATTTCTTCAAGTAATGTTCGACAGAAGAATTCTCAGTAACTTATTTGTGGTGTGTGTATTCAACTCACAGAGTTGAACCTTCCTTTAGACAGAGCAGATTTGAAACACCCTATTTGTGCAGTTTCCAGTTGGAGATTTCAATCGCTTTGAGACCAAATGTAGAAAAGGAAACATCTTCGTATAAAAACTAGACAGAATCATTCTCAGAAACTACTTTGTGATGTGTGCGTTCAACTCAAGGAGTTTAAGCTTTCTTTTCATAGAGTAGTTTGGAAACACTCTGTCTGTAAAGTCTGCAAGCAGATATTTGGACCTCTTTGGGGCCTTCGTTGGAAACGGGATTTCTTCATAGAACGTTAGAAAGAAGAATACTGAGTAAGTTCTTTGTGTTGCCTCTATTCAACTCACAGAGGTGAACTGTCCTTTAGACAGAGCAGATGTGAAACCCTCTTTTTGTGATATTTGCAGGTGGAGATTTCAAGCGCTTTTAGGCCAAATGTAGAAAAGGATATATCTTCATATAAAAACTAGACAGAATCATTCTCAGAAACTACTTTGTGATGTGTGCGTTCAATTCACAGAGTATAACCTTTCTTTTGATGGAGGAGTTTGGAGACACTGTCTTTGTAAAGTCTGCAAGTGGATATTTGGACCTCTTTGAGGCCTTCGTTGGAAACGGGATTTCCTCATATAATGTTACACAGAAGAATTCTCAGTAACTTATTTGTGGTGTGTGTATTCAACTCACAGAGTTGAACCTTCCTTCAGAAAGAGCAGATTTGAAACACTCTTTTTGTGGAGTTTCCATGTGGAGATTTCAATCGCATTGAGACCAAAGGTAGAAAAGGAAACATCTTCGTATAAAAACTAGACAGAATCATTCACAGAAACTACTTTGAGATGTGTGTTTTCAACTCACAGAGTTTAACCTTTCTTTTGATGGAGCAGTTTGGAAACACTCTGTTTGTCACGTCTGCAAGTGGATATTTGGACCTCTTTGAGGCCTTCGTTGGAAACGGGATTTCTTCATATAATGTTTGATAGGAGAAGTCTCAGTAACATCTTTGTGCTGTGTGTATTCAACTCATAGAGTTGAACTTTCCTTTAGAAGAGCAGATGTAAAACACCCTTTTTGTGGAATTTGCAGCTGGAGATTTCAAGCGCTTTGAGGCCTACAGTAGAAAAGGAAACATCTTCTTATAAAATCTAGACAGAATCATTCACAGAAACTTCTTTTTGATGTGTGTGTTCAGCTCACAGAGTTTAACCTTTCTTTTGATGGAGCAGTTTGGAAACACTCTGTTTGTAATGTCTGCAAGTGGATATTTGGACCTCTTTGAGGCCTTCGTTGGAAACGGGATTTCTTCATGTAATGTTCGACAGAAGAATTCTCAGTAACTTATTTGTGGTGTGTGTATTCAACTCACAGAGTTCAACCCTCTTTTAGACAGAGCAGATTTGAAACAGCCTATTTGTGCAGTTTCCAGTTGGAGATTTCAATCGCTTTGAGACCAATTGTAGAAAGGGAAACATCTTCGTATAAAAGCTAGACAGAATCATTCTCAGAAACTACTTTGTGATGTGTGCGTTCAACTCAAGGAGTTTAAGCTTTCTTTTCATAGAGTAGTTTGGAAACACTCTGTCTGTAAAGTCTGCAAGCAGATATTTGACCTCTTTGAGGCCTTCGTTGGAAACGGGATTTCTACATAGAACGCTAGAAAGAAGAATACTGAGTAAGTTCTTTGTGTTGCCTCTATTCAACTCACAGAGGTGAACTGTCCTTTAGACAGAGCAGATGTGAAACCCTCTTTTTGTGATATTTGCAGGTGGAGATTTCAAGCGCTTTTAGGCCAAATGTAGAAAAGGAAATATCTTCGTATAAAAACTAGACAGAATCATTCTCAGAAACTACTTTGTGATGTGTGCGTTCAATTCACGAGAGTATAACCTTTCTTTTGATGGAGGAGTTTGGAGACACTGTCTTTGTAAAGTCTGCAAGTGGATATTTGGACCTCTTTGAGGCCTTCGTTGGAAACGGGATTTCCTCATATAATGTTACACAGAAGAATTCTCAGTAACTTATTTGTGGTGTGTGTATTCAACTCACAGAGTTGAACCTTCCTTCAGAAAGAGCAGATTTGAAACACTCTTTTTGTGGAGTTTCCATGTGGAGATTTCAATCGCTTTGAGACCAAAGGTAGAAAAGGAAACATCTTCGTATAAAAACTAGACAGAATCATTCACAGAAACTACTTTGTGATGTGTGTGTTCAACTCAAGGAGTTTAACCTTTCTTTTGATGGAGCAGTTTGGAAACACTCTGTCTGTAAAGTCTGCAAGCAGATATTTGGACCTCTTTGAGGCCTTCGTTGGAAACGGGATTTCTTCATATAATGTTTGATAGGAGAAGTCTCAGTAACTTCTTTGTGCTGTGTGTATTCAACTCGTAGAGTTGAACTTTCCTTTAGAAGGGCAGATGTTAAACACCATTTTTGTGGAATTTGCAGCTGGAGATTTCAAGCGCTTTGAGGCCTACGGTAGAAAAGGAAACATCTTCTTATAAAATCTAGACAGAATCATTCACAGAAACTTCTTTTTGATGTGTGTGTTCAGCTCACAGAGTTTAACCTTTCTTTTGATGGAGCAGTTTGGAAACACTCTGTTTGTAATGTCTGCAAGTGGATATTTGGACCTCTTTGAGGCCTTCGTTGGAAACGGGATTTCTTCAAGTAATGTTCGACAGAAGAATTCTCAGTAACTTATTTGTGGTGTGTGTATTCAACTCACAGAGTTGAACCTTCCTTTAGACAGAGCAGATTTGAAACAGCCTATTTGTGCAGTTTCCAGTTGGAGATTTCAATCGCTTTGAGACCAAATGTAGAAAAGGAAACATCTTCGTATAAAAACTAGACAGAATCATTCTCAGAAACTACTTTGTGATGTGTGCGTTCAACTCAAGGAGTTTAAGCTTTCTTTTCATAGAGTAGTTTGGAAACACTCTGTCTGTAAAGTGTGCAAGCAGATATTTGGACCTCTTTGGGGCCTTCGTTGGAAACCGGATTTCTTCATAGAACGCTAGAAAGAAGAATACTGAGTAAGTTCTTTGTGTTGCCTCTATTCAACTCACAAAAGTGAACTGTCCTTTAGACAGAGCAGATGTGAAACCCTCTTTTTGTGATATTTGCAGGTGGAGATTTCAAGCGCTTTTAGGCCAAATGTAGAAAAGAAAATATCTTCGTATAAAAAATAGACAGAATCATTCTCAGAAACTACTTTGTGATGTGTGCGTTCAATTCACAGAGTATAACCTTTCTTTTGATGGAGGAGTTTGGAGACACTGTCTTTGTAAAGTCTGCAAGTGGATATTTGGACCTCTTTGAGGCCTTCGTTGGAAACGGGATTTCCTCATATAATGTTACACAGAAGAATTCTCAGTAACTTATTTGTGGTGTGTGTATTCAACTCACAGAGTTGAACCTTCCTTCAGAAAGAGCAGATTTGAAACACTCTTTTTGTGGAGTTTCCATGTGGAGATTTCAATCGCTTTGAGACCAAAGGTAGAAAAGGAAACATCTTCGTATAAAAACTAGACAGAATCATTCACAGAAACTACTTTGTGATGTGTGTGTTCAACTCAAGGAGTTTAACCTTTCTTTTGATGGAGCAGTTTGGAAACACTCTGTCTGTAAAGTCTGCAAGCAGATATTTGGACCTCTTTGAGGCCTTCGTTGGAAACGGGATTTCTTCATATAATGTTTGATAGCAGAAGTCTCAGTAACTTCTTTGTGCTGTGTGTATTCAACTCATAGAGTTGAACTTTCCTTTAGAAGAGCAGATGTTAAACACCCTTTTTGTGGAATTTGCAGCTGGAGATTTCAAGCGCTTTGAGGCCTACGGTAGAAAAGGAAACATCTTCTTATAAAATCTAGACAGAATCATTCACAGAAACTTCTTTTTGATGTGTGTGTTCAGCTCACAGAGTTTAACCTTTCTTTTGATGGAGCCGTTTGGAAACACTCTGTTTGTAATGTCTGCAAGTGGATATTTGGACCTCTTTGAGGCCTTCGTTGGAAACGGGATTTCTTCAAGTAATGGTCGACAGAAGAATTCTCAGTAACTTATTTGTGGTGTGTGTATTCAACTCACAGAGTTGAACCTTCCTTTAGACAGAGCAGATTTGAAACACCCTATTTGTGCAGTTTCCAGTTGGAGATTTCAATCGCTTTGAGACCAAATGTAGAAAAGGAAACATCTTCGTATAAAAACTAGACAGAATCATTCTCAGAAACTACTTTGTGATGTGTGCGTTCAACTCAAGGAGTTTAAGCTTTCTTTTCATAGAGTAGTTTGGAAACACTCTGTCTGTAAAGTCTGCAAGCAGATATTTGGACCTCTTCGAGGCCTTCGTTGGAAACGGGATTTCTTCATAGAACGCTAGAAAGAAGAATACTGAGTAAGTTCTTTGTGTTGCCTCTATTCAACTCACAGAGGTGAACCTGTCCTTTAGACAGAGCAGATGTGAAACCCTCTTTTTGTGATATTTGCAGGTGGAGATTTCAAGCGCTTTTAGGCCAAATGTAGAAAAGGAAATATCTTCGTATAAAAACTAGACAGAATCGTTCTCAGAAACTACTTTGTGATGTGTGCGTTCAATTCACAGAGTATAACCTTTCTTTTGATGGAGGAGTTTGGAGACACTGTCTTTGTAAAGTCTGCAAGTGGATATTTGGACCTCTTTGAGGCCTTCGTTGGAAACGGGATTTCCTCATATAATGTTACACAGAAGAATTCTCAGTAACTTATTTGTGGTGTGTGTATTCAACTCACAGAGTTGAACCTTCCTTCAGAAAGAGCAGATTTGAAACACTCTTTTTGTGGAGTTTCCATGTGGAGATTTCAATCGCTTTGAGACCAAAGGTAGAAAAGGAAACATCTTCGTATAAAAACTAGACAGAATCATTCACAGAAACTACTTTGTGATGTGTGTGTTCAACTCAAGGAGTTTAACCTTTCTTTTGATGGAGCAGTTTGGAAACACTCTGTCTGTAAAGTCTGCAAGCAGATATTTGGACCTCTTTGAGGCCTTCGTTGGAAACGGGATTTCTTCATATAATGTTTGATAGGAGAAGTCTCAGTAACTTCTTTGTGCTGTGTGTATTCAACTCATAGAGTTGAACTTTCCTTTAGAAGAGCAGATGTTAAACACCCTTTTTGTGGAATTTGCAGCTGGAGATTTCAAGCGCTTTGAGGCCTACGGTAGAAAAGGAAACATCTTCTTATAAAATCTAGACAGAATCATTCACAGAAACTTCTTTTTGATGTGTGTGTTCAGCTCACAGAGTTTAACCTTTCTTTTGATGGAGCAGTTTGGAAACACTCTGTTTGTAATGTCTGCAAGTGGATATTTGGACCTCTTTGAGGCCTTCGTTGGAAACGGGATTTCTTCCTGTAATGTTCGACAGAAGAATTCTCAGTAACTTATTTGTGGTGTGTGTATTCAACTCACAGAGTTGAACCTTCCTTTAGACAGAGCAGATTTGAAACACCCTATTTGTGCAGTTTCCAGTTGGAGATTTCAATCGCTTTGAGACCAAATGTAGAAAAGGAAACATCTTCGTATAAAAACTAGACAGAATCATTCTCAGAAACTAGTTTGTGATGTGTGCGTTCAACTCAAGGAGTTTAAGCTTTCTTTTCATAGAGTAGCTTGGAAACACTCTGTCTGTAAAGTCTGCAAGCAGATATTTGGACCTCTTTGAGGCCTTCGTTGGAAACGGGATTTCTTCCTAGAACGCTAGAAAGAAGAATACTGAGTAAGTTCTTTGTGTTGCCTCTATTCAACTCACAGAGGTGAACTGTCCTTTAGACAGAGCAGATGTGAAACCCTCTTTTTGTGATATTTGCTGGTGGAGATTTCAAGCGCTTTTAGGCCAAATATAGAAAAGGAAATATCTTCGTATAAAAACTGGACAGAATCACTCTCAGAAACTATTTTGTGATGTGTGCGTTCAATTCACAGAGTATAACCTTTCTTTTGATGGAGGTGTTTGGAGACACTGTCTTTGTAAAGTCTGCAAGTGGATATTTGGACTTCTTTGAGGCCTTCGTTGGAAACGGGATTTCCTCATATAATGTTACACAGAAGAATTCTCAGTAACTTATTTGTGGTGTGTGTATTCAACTCACAGAGTTGAACCTTCCTTCAGAAAGAGCAGATTTGAAACACTATTTTTGTGGAGTTTCCATGTGGAGATTTCAATCGCATTGAGACCAAAGGTAGAAAAGGAAACATCTTCGTATAAAAACTAGACAGAATCATTCACAGAAACTACTTTGTGATGTGTGTGTTCAACTCAAGGAGTTTAACCTTTCTTTTGATGGAGCAGTTTGGAAAAACTCTGTCTGTAAAGTCTGCAAGCAGATATTTGGACCTCTTTGAGGCCTTCGTTGGAAACGGGATTTCTTCATATAATGTTTGATAGGAGAAGTCTCAGTAACTTCTTTGTGCTGTGTGTATTCAACTCACAGAGTTGAACTTTCCTTTAGAAGAGCAGATGTTAAACACCCTTTTTGTGGAATTTGCAGCTGGAGATTTCAAGCGCTTTGAGGCCTACGGTAGAAAAGGAAACATCTTCTTATAAAATCTAGACAGAATCATTCACAGAAACTTCTTTTTGATGTGTGTGTTCAGCTCACAGAGTTTAACCTTTCTTTTGATGGAGCAGTTGGGAAACACACTGTTTGTAATGTCTGCAAGTGGATATTTGGACCTCTTTGAGGCCTTCGTTGGAAACGGGATTTCTTCCTGTAATGTTCGACAGAAGAATTCTCAGTAACTTATTTGTGGTGTGTGTATTCAACACACAGAGCTGAACCTTCCTTTAGACAGAGCAGATTTGAAACAGCCTATTTGTGCAGTTTCCAGTTGGAGATTTCAATCGCTTTGAGACCAAATGTAGAAAAGGAAACATCTTCGTATAAAAACTAGACAGAATCATTCTCAGAAACTACTTTCTGATGTGTGCGTTCAACTCAAGGAGTTTAAGCTTTCTTTTCATAGACTAGTTTGGAAACACTCTGTCTGTAAAGTCTGCAAGCAGATATTTGGACCTCTTTGGGGACTTCGTTAGAAACGGGATTTCTTCATAGAACGCTTGAAAGAAGAATACTGAGTAAGTTCTTTGTGTTGCCTCTATTCAACTCACAGAGGTGAAATGTCCTTTAGGCAGAGCAGATGTGAAACCCTCTTTTTGTGATATTTGCAGGTGGAGATTTCAAGCGCTTTTAGGCCAAATGTAGAAAAGGAAATATCTTCGTATAAAAACTAGACAGAATCATTCTCAGAAACTACTTTGTGATGTGTGCGTTCAATTCACAGAGTATAACCTTTCTTTTGATGGAGGAGTTTCGAGACACTGTCTTTGTAAAGTCTGCAAGTGGATATTTGGACCTCTTTGAGGCCTTCGTTGGAAATGGGATTTCCTCATATAATGTTACACAGAAGAATTCTCAGTAACTTATTTGTGGTGTGTGTATTCAACTCACAAGAGTTGAACCTTCCTTCAGAAAGAGCAGATTTGAAACACTCTTTTTGTGGAGTTTCCATGTGGAGATTTCAATCGCTTTGAGACCAAAGGTAGAAAAGGAAACATCTTCGTATAAAAACTAGACAGAATCATTCACAGAAACTACTTTGTGATGTGTGTGTTCAACTCAAGGAGTTTAACCTTTCTTTTGATGGAGCAGTTTGGAAACACTCTGTCTGTAAAGTCTGCAAGCAGATATTTGGACCTCTTTGAGGCCTTCGTTGGAAACGGGATTTCTTCATATAATGTTTGATAGGAGAAGTCTCAGTAACTTCTTTGTGCTGTGTGTATTCAACTCATAGAGTTGAACTTTCCTTTAGAAGAGCAGATGTTAAACACCCTTTTTGTGGAATTTGCAGCTGGAGATTTCAAGCGCTTTGAGTCCTACGGTAGAAAAGGAAACATCTTCTTATAAAATCTAGACAGAATCATTCACAGAAACTTCTTTCTGATGTGTGTGTTCATCTCACAGAGTTTAACCTTTCTTTTGATGGAGCTGTTTGCAAACACTGTGTTTGCATTGTCGGCAACTGGATATTTGGACCTCTTTCAGGCCTTCGTTGGAAACGGGATTTCTTCATGTAATGTTCGAGAGAAGAATTCTCAGTAACTTATTTGTGGTGTGTGTATTCAACTCACAGAGTTGAACCTTCCTTTAGACAGAGCAGATTTGAAACACCCTATTTGTGCAGTTTCCAGTTGGAGATTTCAATCGCTTTGAGACCAAATGTAGAAAAGGAAACACCTTCGTATAAAAACTAGACAGAATCATTCTCAGAAACTACTTTGTGATGTGTGCGTTCAACTCAAGGAGTTACAAGCTTTCTTTTCATAGAGTAGTTTGGAAACACTCTGTCTGTAAAGTCTGCAAGCAGATATTTGGACCTCTTTGAGGCCTTCGTTGGAAACGGGATTTCTACATATAACGCTAGAAAGAAGAATACTGAGTAAGTTCTTTGTGTTGCCTCTATTCAACTCACAGAGGTGAACTGTCCTTTAGACAGAGCAGATGTGAAACCCTCTTTTTGTGATATTTGCAGGTGGAGATTTCAAGCACTTTTAGGCCAAATGTAGAAAAGGAAACATCTTCGTATAAAAACTAGACAGAATCATTCTCAGAAACTACTTTGTGATGTGTGCGTTCAATTCACAGAGTATAACCTTTCTTTTGATGGAGGAGTTTGGAGACACTGTCTTTGTAAAGTCTGCAAGTGGATATTTGGACCTCTTTGAGGCCTTCGTTGGAAACGGGATTTCCTCATATAATGTTACCCAGAAGAATTCTCAGTAACTTATTTGTGGTGTGTGTATTCAACTCACAGAGATGAACCTTCCTTCAGAAACAGCAGATTTGAAACACTCTTTTTGTGGAGTTTCCATGTGGAGATTTCAATCGCTTTGAGACCAAAGGTAGAAAAGGAAACATCTTCGTATAACAACTAGACAGAATCATTCACAGAAACTACTTTGTGATGTGTGTGTTCAACTCAAGGAGTTTAACCTTTCTTTTGATGGAGCAGTTTGGAAACACTCTGTCTGTAAAGTCTGCAAGCAGATATTTGGACCTCTTTGAGGCCTTCGTTGGAAACGGGATTTCTTCATATAATGTTTGATAGGAGAAGTCTCAGTAACTTCTTTGTGCTGTGTGTATTCAACTCATAGAGTTGAACTTTCCTTTAGAAGAGCAGATGTTAAACACCCTTTTTGTGGAATTTGCAGCGGGAGATTTCAAGCGCTTTGAGTCCTACGGTAGAAATGGAAACATCTTATAAAATCTTGACAGAATCATTCACAGAAACTTCTTTTTGATGTGTGTGTTCAGCTCACAGAGTTTAACCTTTCTTTTGATGGAGCAGTTTGGAAACACTCTGTTTGTAATATCTGCAAGTGAATATTTGGACCTCTTTGAGGCCTTCGTTGGAAACGGGATTTCTTCAAGTAATGTTCGACACAAGAATTCTCAGTAACTTATTTGTGGTGTGTGTATTCAACTCACAGAGTTGAACCTTCCTTTAGACAGAGCAGATTTGAAACACCCTATTTGTGCAGTTTCCAGTTGGAGATTTCAATCGCTTTGAGACCAAATGTAGAAAAGGAAACATCTTCGTATAAAAACTGGACAGAATCATTCTCAGAAACTACTTTGTGATGTGTGCGTTCAACTCAAGGAGTTTAAGCTTTCTTTTCATAGAGTAGTTTGGAAACACTCTGTCTGTAAAGTCTGCAAGCAGATATTTGGACCTCTTTGGGGCCTTCGTTGGAAACGGGATTTCTTCATAGAACGCTAGAAAGAAGAATACTGAGTAAGTTCTTTGTGTTGCCTCTATTCAACTCACAGAGGTGAACTGTCCTTTAGACAGAGCAGATGTGAAACCCTCTTTTTGTGATATTTGCAGGTGGAGATTTCAAGCGCTTTGAGGCCAAATGTAGAAAAGGAAATATCTTCGTATAAAAACTAGACACAATCATTCTCAGAAACTACTTTGTGATGTGTGCGTTCAATTCACAGAGTATAACCTTTCTTTTGATGGAGGAGTTTGGAGACACTGTCTTTGTAAAGTCTACCTGTGGATATTTGGACCTCTTTGAGGCCTTCGTTGGAAACGGGATTTTTTCATATAATGTTACACAGAAAGAATTCTCAGTAACTTATTTGTGGTGTGTGTATTCAACTCACAGAGATGAACCTTCCTTCAGAAAGAGCAGATTTGAAACACTCTTTTTGTGGAGTTTCCATGTGGAGATTTCAATCGCTTTGAGACCAAAGGTAGAAAAGGAAACATCTTCTTATAACAACTAGACAGAATCATTCACAGAAACTACTTTGTGATGTGTGTGTTCAACTCAAGGAGTTTAACCTTTCTTTTGATGGAGCAGTTTGGAAACACTCTGTCTGTAAAGTCTGCAGGCAGATATTTGGACCTCTTTGAGGCCTTCGTTGGAAACGGGATTTCTTCATATAATGTTAGACAGAAGAAGTCTCAGTAACTTCTTTGGGCTGTGTGTATTCAACTCGTTGAGTTGAACTTTCCTTTAGAAGAGCAGATGTTAAACACCCTTTTTGTGGAATTTGCAGCTGGAGATTTCAAGCACTTTGAGGCCTACGGTAGAAAAGGAAACATCTTCTTATAAAATCTAGACAGAATCATTCACAGAAACTTCTTTTTGATGTGTGTGTTCAGCTCACAGAGTTTAACCTTTCTTTTGATGGAGCAGTTTGGAAACACTCTGTTTGTAACGTCTGCAAGTGGATATTTGGACCTCTTTGAGGCCTTCGTTGGAAACGGGATTTCTTCAAGTAATGTTCGACAGAAGAATTCTCAGTAACTTCTTTGTGGTGTGTGTATTCAACTCACAGAGTTGAACCTTCCTTTAGACAGAGCAGATTTGAAACAGCCTATTTGTGCAGTTTCCAGTTGGAGATTTCAATCGCTTTGAGACCAAATGTAGAAAAGGAAACATCTTCGTATAAAAACTAGACAGAATCATTCTCCGAAACTACTTTGTGATGTGTGCGTTCAACTCAAGGAGTTTAAGCTTTCTTTTCATAGAGAAGTTTGGAAACACTCTGTCTGTAAAGTCTGCAAGCAGATATTTGGACCTCTTTGGGGCCTTTGTTGGAAACGGGATTTCTTCATAGAACGCTAGAAAGAAGAATACTGAGTAAGTTCTTTGTGTTGCCTCTATTCAACTCACAGAGGTGAACTGTCCTTTAGACAGAGCAGATGTGAAACCCTCTTTTTGTGATATTTGCACGTGGAGATTTCAAGCGCTTTTAGGCCAAATGTAGAAAAGGAAATATCTTCGTATAAAAACTAGACAGAATCATTCTCAGAAACTACTTTGTGATGTGTGCGTTCAATTCACAGAGTATAACCTTTCTTTTGATGGAGGAGTTTGGAGACACTGTCTTTGTAAAGTCTGCAAGTGGATATTTGGACCTCTTTGAGGCCTTCGTTGGAAACGGGATTTCCTCATATAATGTTACACAGAAGAATTCTCAGTAACTTATTTGTGGTGTGTGTATTCAACTCACAGAGATGAACCTTCCTTCAGAAAGAGCAGATTTGAAACACTCTTTTTGTGGAGTTTCCATGTGGAGATTTCAATCGCTTTGAGACCAAAGGTAGAAAAGGAAACATCTTCGTATAAAAACTAGACAGAATCATTCACAGAAACTAGTTTGTGATGTGTGTGTTCAACTCAAGGAGTTTAAACTTTCTTTTGATGGAGCAGTTTGGAAAAACTCTGTCTGTAAAGTCTGCAAGCAGATATTTGGACCTCTTTGAGGCCTTCGTTGGAAACGGGATTTCTTCATATAATGTTTGATAGGAGAAGTCTCAGTAACTTCTTTCTGCTGTGTGTATTCAACTCATAGAGTTGAACTTTCCTTTAGAAGAGCAGATGTTAAACACCCTTTTTGTGGAATTTGCAGCTGGAGATTTCAAGCGCTTTGAGGCCTACGGTAGAAAAGGAAACATCTTCTTATAAAATCTAGACAGAATCATTTACAGAAACTTGTTTTTGATGTGTGTGTTCAGCTCACAGAGTTTAACCTTTCTTTTGATGGAGCAGTTTGGAAACACTCTGTTTGTAATATCTGCAAGTGAATATTTGGACCTCTTTGAGGCCTTCGTTGGAAACGGGATTTCTTCAAGTAATGTTCGACAGAAGAATTCTGAGTAACTTATTTGTGGTGTGTGTATTCAACTCACAGAGTTGAACCTTCCTTTAGACAGAGCAGATTTGAAACACCGTATTTGTGCAGTTTCCAGTTGGAGATTTCAATCGCTTTGAGACCAAATGTAGAAAAGGAAACATCTTCATATAAAAACTGGACAGAATCATTCTCAGAAACTACTTTGTGATGTGTGCGTTCAACTCAAGGAGTTTAAGCTTTCTTTTCATAGAGTAGTTTGGAAACACTCTGTCTGTAAAGTGTGCAAGCAGATATTTGGACCTCTTTGGGGCCTTCGTTGGAAACGGGATTTCTTCATAGAACGCAAGAAAGAAGAATACTGAGTAAGTTCTTTGTGTTGCCTCTATTCAACTCACAGCAGGTGAACTGTCCTTTAGACAGAGCAGATGTGAAACCCTCTTTTTGTGATATTTGCAGGTGGAGATTTCAAGCGCTTTTAGGCCAAATGTAGAAAAGGAAATATCTTCGTATAAAAACTAGACAGAATCATTCTCAGAAACTACTTTGTGATGTGTGCGTTCAATTCACAGAGTATAACCTTTCTTTTGATGGAGGAGTTTGGAGACACTGTCTTTGTAAAGTCTGCAAGTGGATATTTGGACCTCTTTGAGGCCTTCGTTGGAAACGGGATTTCCTCATATAATGTTACCCAGAAGAATTCTCAGTAACTTATTTGTGGTGTGTGTATTCAACTCACAGAGATGAACCTTCCTTCAGAAAGAGCAGATTTGAAACACTCTTTTTGTGGAGTTTCCATGTGGAGATTTCAATCGCTTTGAGACCAAAGGTAGAAAAGGAAACATCTTCGTATAAAAACTAGACAGAATCATTCACAGAAACTACTTTGTGATGTGTGTGTTCAACTCAAGGAGGTTAACCTTTCTTTTGATGGAGCAGTTTGGAAACACTCTGTCTGTAAAGTCTGCAAGCAGATATTTGGACCTCTTTGAGGCCTTCGTTGGAAACGGGATTTCTTCATATAATGTTTGATAGGAGAAATCTCAGTAACTTCTTTGTGCTGTGTGTATTCAACTCATAGAGTTGAAATTTCCTTTAGAAGACCAGATGTTAAACACCCTTTTTGTGGAATTTGCAGCTGGAGATTTCAAGCGCTTTGAGGTCTACGGTAGAAAAGGAAACATCTTCTTATAAAATCTAGACAGAATCATTCACAGAAACTTCTTTTCGATGTGTGTGTTCAGCTCACAGAGTTTAACCTTTCTTTTGTTGGAGCAGTTTGGAAACACTCTGTTTGTAATGTCTGCAAGTGGATATTTGGACCTCTTTGAGGCCTTCGTTGGAAACGGGATTTCTTCAAGTAATGGTCGACAGAAGAATTCTCAGTAACTTATTTGTGGTGTGTGTATTCAACTCACAGAGTTGAACCTTCCTTTAGACAGAGCAGATTTGAAACACCCTATTTGTGCAGTTTCCTGTTGGAGATTTCAATCGCTTTGAGACCAAATGTAGAAAAGGAAACATCTTCGTATAAAAACTAGACAGAATCATTCTCAGAAACTACTTTGTGATGTGTGCGTTCAACTCAAGGAGTTTAAGCTTTCTTTTCATAGAGTACTTTGGAAACACTCTGTCTGTAAAGTCTGCAAGCAGATATTTGGACCGCATTGGGGTCTTCGTTGGAAACGGGATTTCTTCATAGAACGCTAGAAAGA